>NC_000001.11:195684587-196934587 GCF_000001405.40 Homo sapiens
CCAATAATTTCTGATAGACACTAAATGTCTGAGAATTTGTTTTGTGAATTTATTGCATTATTATAAATTCAAGTGCAGGAAAGCTGCACTTAGGAATACTTTAGGTGTAGCAACTCCCAAATATTTGCAGGTAGCATCATATCTGGGGAGTCACACAGGCAACTGATTGGCCATTTGGTGGTTTAAAATCAATATATTCAGCAACTATGTCATTACTAGTCTTTTGGAAATAAGTATAATTTTTGACAGTGACAAATACTGACTTTGTGATACCCAGAATTATGACTGCCTGTCTTTCCAGTTCAAGGACAATATAATAAAACAAATAATAAATTTTTAAAACTAAAAGCAATGCATTTTCATTATTTGCATATATAATATAATTACAGAAAAGTTGCTTAAAGATGAGAGAGATAGAAAATAGAAGACAAAGAAAGAAGAAAGTCATCAGGGGAAAAAAAGACAAGAAAGCAAGAATTTAAAATTGAAATGTGGTAATTCTACTTGTTGATCAACCTACTGGGTATGGGTCTTGGGGAAAGACTGCCATGTCTGCCAGCAGCCCAGTTCTTGAGCACTTCTCTTGAGCACTTGAGAGAATATAGCCTCCTGGAGTGTGAATTTTATTTTTAAAGTTTGTGTGTGTGTGTGTGTGTGTGCATATGTGCATGTGCACACATATATTTTCCAAGATGGTTTTAATAACTATCTTATCTGGTGCTTATATGAAACAGAAAATTTAAAAAAAAACTGTTTCAAAATTGAAGAGAAATACATGATCAAATTTGCTGAGAAATTATATGTCAGATTACAATGTGATATCTAACTATGATCATATACATGTTGAGGAAAAAAAAGAAATTAAATTTGAAGGGACTTATAATTTTGCCTGAAAGGTTTCATCCAAATATTATTTCTAAATGATTGCTATTTTAAAAAACTGCTTTTGGAAAGAACATCAAAATTCTCTTTCCTTATTTATTATACTCTTTAGAAATTAATTACGAAATATATATATTTTTTTCTTCAGGCAAAAAGCTACTTGCCCAAGTTCAATTTACAAACCACAAACTTCATAAACAACCAAAAAGGCATACTTTTTTTTATAAAAGAGACCATTTTTTGAGATCAGATGAATTTTAAATTTTTAAAAATTATATGATACACAATAAAACAAAACCTTAAACTCACCCGCTCTGCAGAAAATTTGTGTCTCATACATGTTAAAATTTGTGAAGGATATAAAAAGTCATTCCCTACTTCAAAGCTAACAAGTTATCCTGCTACAGCATTATGGAAAACACAAGATTCCTGAGTCAGAAACAAAGGAGTCTCTCACTCATGGATCAGATGGTAGCATTCGCATCAGTTCCTTTTGCCTCCCCTATCCCAGTACCACAGGGATGATGGCAAGACGGGCCCAGATCCATGTGCACACTCAATAGGTTTGTCTTACATCTGAGGATGCCTAAGGTTAGGAATCTTCAGTCACAGCTGGGTGATGCTAGAAAGTTGCCCAACTCTGCCCCCAGAGGAAATATTACCTTAATTATTCTGTTCAAGAAATAATTCTGAACCCTGGCTTGGAGGGATACACTGTTTCTGTATTTCTAGGCTGTTTTTATTTAACATCCTTGAACAGATGGTCCAAAACAGAATTGGATTCAAAATGTGCAGAAATTTGAAAATTATGGAGAATTATCTCCCAACAATATGCAAATATCAGAATATTTGGGGGAAAATAGAGTTTTTTAATAAAAAAGTCATTGTCTACAGGTTAACTATCATTGAACTCATCATATTATCTTTATCACTGTGTGGCAGGAAAGAACAAAATCAATGTGATGGATGATTTAAGAAATTTCAATCTAAATTTGGTCATGTGTGATTTTCCCTTTACATACTGAGTTTAAACTTAAAATATTTTTCCACTTCCTTCATATTTAATTTCCAAAACTCCTCTGAGAGTTGTGGTTGTTGTCACTATAGTTGCTGTCGTTCTTGTGTTATTATTTTTACCTTCTTACATATCAGACAAATGAGGTTCATAGAGGTTAAGTAAATTTGCCTTAGGCCATATAGCTAAAGGCTTTTGTTTTTTTAATGTACAATGCTGCTTTACAAAAATAATTACCAAAAGATGACAGTTCCTTAGTTTACCATAGATATGAAGATTTTAAGAACAGATCATATTGATTTTGAATTCAGCTGGAAATTAGCTGGATAATACAGGCTTCTTCGAGGAGAACTCACAAAGTGTAGTGGAAAAAATAACTTCTTAGAAGATAGCACGATGCTAAAATAATTTTATCTCCACTATTTATCATCACAATCATGGTAACAACTTAAGTTTCCTTTCCATATGTCTGTAAAGTGGTGGTAACTTTAGTTGCCATAGAGGTTTATCTGCAGATTAGATTAGATACGACATGTAAAATTAACAGCATATAATTGGTGTTCATTAAATTGCAGTAATCATTTTGATCATTTTCTCATTCTGAAAAAAATGTCAATATGTCTCATTGTTTCCTTCTTTTGTAAAGCTGCTAGACATAATAAGCCTGAGTTGTTTTTGTAAATTAAAAGACAGAATTAGAAAACATATTTCCAGATAGAATAAAGATATGCTCCATTAGTTTTTTTATGGCATCATAAATCAGTGTTTCAAAATTAAGTAATTCAAGAGACCTTTTAGCTATTAAGATGTTGGTTCATGTTCTAGTTCAAACACATGACTTTAGTTCAGCAAAATATTACAATATGTTAGTGATTTGCATATTTTGTGTGACATGCTAACTCAAGTATATCAAATGATAATTTTATGCTCACCTTAGAACTGCTTGCAAAAAATAAGACGGTGTGTAATTCTCTAGAAACTCATTTCTAAATGTGTCTTAAAATTATACTTTATTTTCTACAAGAAACTTTTTCAAATATGCGTGCATTTTCCTCTTAATTATTAAGTTTCATATTTTATATTTTCATAGATATTTTGTATAATGTGAGTGGCATTTTGATTAAATCAGTAGCAAGTGAATTTTATGCAAATATTACTAATATCTTTTGAATTGGAAAAGGTGACTATAGTTTTAATTGTATCATTCAAATAGACTTTTAATCATATTCTTAAATTAATATGATGTGTCACTATACATTTTACACAAAATGTATCTGATGTCATTACAATAGCGCAGATAATCACATATAAATTGCTTTTTTTCTCTACAAAAACACAGTAATAGAAGTACTCATAGCACTAGCAGACCAATTACAGTCCAAAAGTCAAATCTAGCCCACCGTCTATTTTGACAAAGTGTTTTTTGTTTGTTTGTTTGTTTGTTTGAGACGGAGTCTCGCTCTGTCGTCCAGGCTGGAGTACAGTGGCGCGATCTCGGCTCACTGCAAGCTCCGCCTCCCGGGTTCACGCCATTCTCCTGCCTCAGCCTCCCGAGTAGCTGGGACTACAGGCGCCCACCACCATGCCCAGCTAATTTTTTTTTTGTATTTTTAATAGAGACGGGGTTTCACTGTGTTAGCCAGGATGGTCTCCATCTCCTTACCTCGTGATCCGCCCCTGCCTTGGCCTCCCAAAGTGCTGGGATTACAGGCATGAGCCACCGCGCCCAGCCGACAAATAAAATTTTATGGAAAGCAGCCAAACTGATTCATTTATATATTGTCAATATCTGCTTTCTGGGGGGTGCAGTGGCTCATACCTGTAATCCTAGCACTTTGGCAGATCGAGGCGGGAGGATCACTGGAGGTCAGGAGTTTGAGACCAGCCTGGCCAACATGGCAAAACCCTATCTCTACTAAAGATACAAAAATTAGCCAGGCATGGTGGCACGCTCCTGTAATCCCAGCTACTTGGGAGATGAGGCAGGAGAATCGCTTGAACCTGGGACGGGGAGACTGCGGTGAGCCAAGATCGCACCACTGCACTCCAGCCTGGGTGACAGAGTAAGACCCTGTCTCAAAAAAAAAGGCAACAATATATGTTTTCTCACAATGACAAAGAGAAGTAGTTATGATAGAGATAATATTGCCCTCAAAGCCTAAAATATTTACTTTCTGATGTTTATCATTTTAAAACTGTGCTGGTCTCTGCATAACACAATTATATTTGCATTATTTGAAAAATGTAAAAGTAGTTTATCTTGTAGGCAAATGACATTGAAGTATATAGGCCAAAGCATCAATGATTCCTATCCATTCTCAATATCTCACCCACCATCACTCTCCCACAGAGAGTAACCCTTTAATTAGTGTTTATCCATTTCAACTACTTTATTTTAATTATCTAAAGGGAATTTTCATATTTTAAAAATAGCTGAAATTCTATAGAAAAAAGGCAAAATACGCCCATAAATTAAATCTAATGTTCCAGCTTTCAATAACACTTAATCTACACTTGCCCTGTCCTTTCCTGAATCCCATAAATAATCACCATTATTAGTTTGATATGAGTTCTTTCAGGCTATTTTGAATATATTGATATGATTTTTACTTGTAGAAATAGGTAATTGTGTGGTATGTGTAGTGTTTGTATCAATTTATTATATATTATGTACTTTTCTGAAACTGCCATTTTTCACTTAACAACTCGCCTTGACCATTTGTGGATACTGGCATGTTTACACATTCGGCATTTTGTTTAACTTTTTCATTAACTGCCTGGATCATAATTTTTTAAGATTATTCTACTGAAAACACTTAAACTCTTACTAATTTCTTAGTAAGGTACATAAGTCTTACTTCCTGGTTGAGGAATAAGTTGATTGTTTCAAATTGGATTTTCTTGAATGATTGCTAAGTTGGTCATTCTTTATTGGTAATTGTAGCACTACTGTATATTGCATATTTGCACAGTTTGATATATTTGCCACTTCACTATTATTTTTCTTATTTAAGGTTAGAAAACCACATACACACAAAAACATTCTATTCACAATGTCAAACAATTCACCAAAAGTACTAAACATGCAAGGAAGTAGGAAAAGGTAAACCACATTTAAGAGAAAAATGAAGCTAATGAAAATGATTTAAAAATGATTACTATAAATATGCTTAATATTTATAATGAAATCATGAATATTTGAAGAGAAGCAAAAACTATAAAACCAAAACAAAACTACTAGATATAAAGATACAAAATCTGAAATGAAATATTCATTATTTTTGGTTAATAACAAATTAGGCACTACAGAAAAAAATATGAAGCAAATTGAAGCCATAACAATGAAACTAAAATTAAACCTGGGGAAAGAAATGTTAAAAATTAAATAAAGCTTCAATGAGCATCAGGAAAATATTAACTGGTTTAGAATATATATATACATGTGGGCTCCAGAATAAGAGAAAAACAATAGTAAAATATTTGAAAAAATAATGGCTGAATACATTTAAAATTTGTTGAAAAGTATAAATGTTTGTCAAGGAGTTTAAGGAGGGGGGCTAAAAAGGGAAATATATTCTTGTATACAGCTAGCATCATACATTAGGGTGAGAATGAAATGCATTTTTCCTAAGACTAGAAGTAAGGCAAGAATATTCACTTTCAATATTTTTATGCGACATTTTACTGATCATCTTCAAGCCAGTGGAATAAAACAATAAAAAGAAAGAAATGGATTATATGTCAGAACAAAAGACATAAGACACTTTATTTTGCAACATATCATGTTCATCAAAAATTCTAAAACAGGAGTCTGCAGACTTGTTATAAAGGAAAAGTTATTAAATATTTTAAGCTTGCAGCATATACAATCTAGCTAGCAACCATTCAACTCTAAAACTGTGGTTCAAAAGCAGCCATAGACAAATGACTGTGTCTGTGTTTCAGCAAAACTTTGCTTACAAAATCAGGCAAGGGGAGACACCAGAAGTAGAGTGATCAGAAATTCTGGGCCCATCTGCCCCAGAAACACCAAAAAACATGAGAAAACAGTCAGAACCAACCTTATTGTGTCTCTTGAGGCTATTTATGCTCTCTCTGAAACATGCAGAAAAATTCTTACCAGACTGTTCCAAGCTTCTGGTGACTTCCTGGCAATCTTTGGCATTTTATTGCATGTGGATGGATAATTCCATTCCTCTGTCTTCACATGGCATTCTCCCTGTGACTCTTCACATGGTCTCTCCTCTGTTCATGCCTGTGTCTGTATCCAAATGTCCCCTTCTGTAAGAAAACACCAGTTAGACTGGATGAAGGTCTACCCTGACAGCTTTATTTTAAACTGCTTACATCTACAAAGACCATATTTTCAAATGAGGTCACATTCTGAGGTAATGCAGATTAGGAATTCAACATATGTATTTTGGGAGGGGGTGTAAAATTTGACCCATAATCTATTGCAATAAATTAAATAAACTAGATGAACATATTTTTAGAAATAAACAAACTACCAAAATTAACTCAATAAATAGAAAATCTGAGAAGACTCAATAAAGGTAAAGAAAATGAATCAGTAATCAAAAACATCAAAAAAATCCCAAAAAACAAAATTCCAGAACCACATAGTTTCACTAATGAATTCGATCAAGCATTTTAAAAATAATTAACACTAATCTTTCCCAATTTATTTGCCCCCAAAATATTAGTAGAAAATTAACTTATTCTACAAGGCTAGCATTATATGGTACCAAAAATAGATAAAGGCATTATAATTAAAGAAAACTACATATCAATATCCCTTATGAATATGAGTGAAATAATTATCAACAAAGTACTAGCAAACTGTATTGTTTTTTACTATTTTTTGACTGTCTGTAAGAAATCACAGACATAGTACTTTTGTAAACAGCATATTAAAAATGTTTTATTTAATGACCAAATGGAATTTGTATCAGGAAAGCAAATGTGGTTCACAATAAGAAAACTAATTAATATAATAAACCACATTAATAGAACCAAAAGGAAAAAAACAAACAATTATCATTTCAATTGATGCAGGAAACATAATAAATTTAATATTTTGTCACAATAAGAACATTCAGATAACTAGGAATAGAAGGAAACTCCCTGAACCTAAAAAGGGCAGGTATGCAAAACTCTTAGCTAACATCATGTTCAGTGGTAAAAGTCTGAAAGCTTTGCCTCTGACATTAGGAACAAGACAAGGATGCTTGCTTTTGCTATGCTATTAATATTTACCATTGTAGTAGAAATTCTAGTCAGAGCTATTACCCAGTTGAAAAAAAAAAACCTATCCAAAGTGAAAAGAAAATAGTAAAAGTGTCTATTTGCAGATGACATGATTCCATATATAGATTATTCCAAGGTATACACACACACACACGCACACACACAAACACACACAAATACACATACCAAAACTGCTAGTGCTATAAGCAAATTCATCAAAGTTGTAGGATAGAAAATGAACCCAAACAAATTAGTCCTGTTTCTATATACTAGCAATAAACAATTAGAAAAGGAAACTAAGTGAACAATTCCTTTCCCAATAACACTAAAAGGAACCCAGAAATATCTAGGAATACATTTAGCAAAGAAAGGTAAAGACTTGTTTACTGAAAACCAAAAAATATAGCTGAAAGAAATAAAAGAACACCTAAATAAATGGAAAACATTCCATGTTCATGGCAGTAATATTGTTAAATTGACAATACTACCCAAAGTGATCTACAGATTCAATACAATACTTATAAAATTAATTGAATCCTCATTTTGATGGCCTTTTCTTTTGGGAGAAATGGAAAAGCCAATCCCCAAATTCATATGGAGTTGCAAGGGATTCAAAATAACCAAAACAATCTTAAAAAGGACCGTGTTCTAGATTTCTAAACTTACCACAAAGCTACAGTTAGTTACCAAGACTCTGTGGAACTGGCATAAGCATAGATAAATAGATCAATCAAACAGAATTAAGAATCCAGAAATAAACACATATATTCATGGTCAATTCATTTGCAATAAGAGTGCCAAGATCATTGAGTGGGGTAAGAATAATTTCTTCAAGATACCGTCCTGGAATAATTGGTCATCCACATGCAAAGAAGGAAATTAGACTCCTACCTCACATCATATACAAAATTAACTCAAAGTAGAAAAACAACCCCAAATATGAGTTAAACAATTAAACTCTAAGGAAAAAATAGAAGTAAATCTTTATGATCTTGGATTTGGCAGTGGGTTCTTAGGTATGGCAGCAAAAACATGAACAAAAAAATGGACAAATTGGATTTCATCAAAAGTAAAAACTTCTGTGCATGAAGGGACATTATAAAAAAGTAAGACAAACTATAAAATGGGAGAACATATATGCAAAGCATATACCTAATACAGGTCTTATATTCAGAATATATAAAGAGCTTCTATAACACAACTTAAAAACAAAGGACCTAGTTTCAAAGTGGGCAAAATGCTTTACTGGAAATTTCTCCAATTAAGATATGCCAAAAAGCACATAAAAAGATGAAAAACATAAGTCATTGGGAAATGGAATTCAAAACCATAAGGAGATACTCTCTCACTTGCTATTCCTTGTCTTTTTCTATTATAGGATTCAAAAAACAGATATACGATACAGAATATAATTTTTTTCATAAGAAATTGTTTTAGGTTTTGATTCTATATGCATTTTTATATTTTTTTTATTTTCCTAGTATTACCTATCTGTTCAATCATGATATGTTTTTAGGATAGCTGTGGTTTTTGCATTTATTTTTAATTGACACATAATGATTGTACATATTCATGGGATACAGTGAAATGTTTCAATGCATGTATACAATGCGCTGATCAAATCAGGGTAATTAGCGTATCTATCATCTAAGACATTTCCCATTATTTTGGGTAGGGAACATCCAAAATTTACTCTTCTAGTGATTTTGAAAATATACAATAAATGGTTGTTAATTGTAGTCAACCTACAGTGCTACAGAACACCAGAATGTCTTCCTTCTATCTAGCTGTAATTTTATATTCATTAACCAACCTATGGCTATCCTCTGCATCCTTTCCAGTTTCTAGCAACCAGTATTCTACCCTCTACTTCTGTATCATTTTTTTATTTTATAAACTTTTTATTTTTTTGCAAACTTGACTCTTTTGTAATATTTAGCTTAAAACACAAACATTCTAAAGCTGTACAAAACATTTTCTTATATCTTTATTCTATAAGCTTTTTTCTATGTAAAATTTCTTTTTCTTTTTTAGTTTGTAAATGTTTTGTTAAAAATGAAAACACAAACACACACACATTAGCCCAGTCCTACACAGGGTTAGGATAATCAATATCTCTTTCTTCCTCCTCCACACCCTGTCCCACTGGAAGGTCTTCAGGGACAATAACATGCATGGAGCTGTCATCTCCTAGGAAAACAAGGCTTTCTTCTGGAATGCATCCTGAAGGACATGTCTGAGTCTGTTTTATATTAACTTAAAAAAATATGACAAATAGTCATATTGAAATAGGAACACTCTTACATTGTTGGTGGGAGTGTAAACTAGTTCAACCATTGTGGAAGACAGTGTGGCGATTCCTCAAGGGTCTAGACCCATTTGACCCATTGATCCCATTACTGGGTATATACCCAAAGGATTATAAATCATGCTATGGTATCATTTTTCTTTGCTTCCACATATGAGAACACTTTCTGTTTCTGCCTTATTTTACTTATCCTCCAAACTCATCCATTCTGTGTAAATATCAGATTTTCATTATTTTATGTAGCTAAATAGTATTCCATTGTGTTTATATAAACATTTTCCTTATCCTTTCAACTGTTGATGGGCACTTAGGTTGATTTCATGTCTTGGCTATTGTGAATAGAGCTGCAATAAACATGAGAGGGCAATTATTTCTTCAACATACTGATTTTCTTTATTGTGAATATATACTGAATAGTGGAATCGCCTAATATTGTAGTTCTATTTATAGTTTTTTTGTGAAACCTTCATACAATGTTTAATAACAGTTTTTTCGGTACCATTTATCAAAGAGAATGCCCTTTCTCTAATGTATGTTCTTAGTGCCTTTATCAAAAATTAGTGGCTATAAATTTGTGAATTTATTTCTGGGTTTTCCATTGTTTCATTGGTCTGTGTTTGGTTTTATGCCAGTTCCATGCATTTTTAATTATGATAGCTTTCTAGTATGATTTGAAGCCAGGAAGTATGATGCCTCCAGCTTTATTCTTTTTGCTGAATATTGCTTTCCTAAAGTCTTTGGTCTCCATATGAATTTTATAGCTTTTAAGCATTTCTATGAATTGGCATTTTCATAGGTATTGCATTAAATCTTTAGATCTCTTTTGGTATTATGGTCATTTTCACATATTAATTCTTCCCATCCATCAACATGGGATGTCTTTCCATTTTCTTGTGTGTCCTCTTAATTTCTTTCATCAGTGTTTTATAGTTTTCCTTGTAGAGGCTTTTCATGTCCTTTGTTAAATGTATTCCTAGGTTTTTTTTTTTATATATATAGCTACTGTAAATGGGATTGCTTTGTTGATTTTTTATTCTGCTATTTTGTCATAGTGTATAAATACACTACCAATTTTTGCATGTTGATTTTGTATCCTACCACTTTACTGAATTCATTTATCAGTTCTAAGAGGTTTTTTGGTAGAGCTTTTAGGATTTTCTATATGTAAGATCATTTTGTCTGCAAACAGGAACAATTTGACCACTTGACAATTTGACTTCCTTCTTTTCAATTTGGATGCCCTCTATTTTTTCCCTTGCCTAATTGAACTGACTAGGACTAGTTGAATAAGAGTGATGAGAGTGGACATCCTTGACTTATTCAAGTTCTTAGATAAAAAGCTTTCAGCTTTGCTCCATTTAGTATGATGCTAGCTGTGGTTTTGTCATATGGCCTTTATTGTGTTGAAATATGTTCTTTCTTTACTTAGTTTTTTGAGAGTTTTTATCGTGATGAGATGTTGAGTTTTATCAAATGCTTTTTATGCATAGATGGAAAAATCATATGAGCCTCCCACAGAAAAAGTGCTCAATAAATATCTGTCATTGGTGAAAATAGATTATAGATCATATTTTGTTGGAAGTTTGGAGGCAAAGTCTCAAAGGTAAACCTATAATTTTAGGCTCATTCCCTCCCCCACAATATTTGTTGAATACTTAACAAATATTGTTGTTTTTTCTTCATTCTGTTGATGTGATGGATCAAGTCTGTTGATATGAGTATGTTGAATCATCCTTGTATCCCTGGGATAAATCCCACTTGATTATGGTGAATAATCATGTTAACGTACTGCTGGATTCTGTTTGCTAGTATTTTGTTTAGGAGTTTTGCTTCTATGTTTATCAAGTATCTTGGCCTATAGTTTTCTTTTGTTTTTATGTTCTGGTCTAGTTTTAGTATCAGGATACTGTTGGTCTTATGAAGTGAATTTAGAAGAATTTTCTTCAATTTTCTGAAAGAGTTTTGAGGAAAATTGATATTACTTCTTTGATAGAATTCCGCAGACGAGCCATCAGACCTTAGACTTTTCTTTGATTGGAGTCTTTTTTATTACAGATTCAATCTTGTTACTTGCAATTGTTCAGGTTCAATCTTCTTGGTTCAATCTAAGTAGGTTGTATGTATCTATGAATTTATCCATTTCCACTAGGTTTTCGATTTTGTTGTCATGTAGTTGTTTGTAATAGTCTCTCTAATAATCCTTTTTCATTTTAATGGTATCAGTTGTAATGTCCCCTTTTGTGTTTTCAATTTTATTTATTTGAGTCTTCTACAGTCCTTTTAACTAAAACATTTTGTTCTTCTCAGGGTTTACACTTTTTGGGTGTTTTCATTGTGTGTGTGTTTGTTTTGTATAGGAGGAAGTAAGCCATAAGCTGAAGAAATCAGAAGGCCTCTAGAAGCTGGAAAAGGCAAAAGGAAAACAAACAACAATAACAACAACAACAACAACAAAACAGTTTCCCCCCAAAAGCCTCCAGAGATAAACTTAAACATTTAATACCATGAATTTAGCCTGATATAACATATTTTGGACTTCTGAAATCCAGAACTGTAAGATGAAAATTATGGGTTGCTTAAGCTGTTAAGTTTGGTAATTTTTATAGCAGAAATAGGAAATTAATAAGCTTCCTAAACAGGTAATACTCAGCAATTAATTTAACATATGTTTTAATCCCCGTGTCAGGAAAAGGAACATACAAGTCTATTAAATGCAAAGGTTTATTAGCAAAATGAAAGAAGTAATGCATATGAAATATTTATCCCAGTGCCTGACAGTTAAAAGTGTTTGGTAAATGTTCACTTATTCAACAGAATGTTTAGAGCACCTACCATGTGTTATTATCTATTCTAAGGACTGAAAATATATTAATGTATAAAAGGAAAAATAAGGCTCTGTCCTCACATCATTCAAATTATAGTAATATTGTAGCATAGCTAGCATTTAAAAAATGTTTTCCTGTGTTTCATCACCTCTTTTAAGTGTTTTATTTTTCAAGTACTCTTAATTCACGTGTTCTTCACAGCAATCATCTGAGGTAAGTTGTATTATTAGCATTCATATTTTATAGATAGAAAGTTCATGTGCCCATAGTAAATAGAATGGCTGGGATATAAACCCAGACCATTTGTCCTAGAGTCCGTGCTTTGAAATTCTAATTAATTCAGCCTCTTACTGGACTATTATTGTTATTAGATAATTTAGTATTCAGTGTGAAAGACTTAGGTGTGATGCGACAGAATGTGTTTAGCTATACTAAAGAATGAAAACAGTGAGGTTGCTTTGTGGAGAGGAGGCTTACCACAATGATAGCAAATGAAACTAACAGCTGTAAAGAGCACCATCAAGGTACATTACCTAATCCATTGTTCTAGCATCATGCAATGAATTTGGGATATAAAGAGAAAATGTTAAGTGACAAGCTAATATTGGTAGTGTACATTCTTTTTTAATATTTAAAAATAACTTTTGATACCTCAAACAGCATATGGAAAGTGGTAGATATTTGAATATTTCTTGAAATTACATCATGGTTATTTTTTAATATAGGTTTTTTTTTTTTTTTTTTTTTTAGATGGAGTCTCACTCTGTCGCCAGGCTAGAGTGCAATGGCGTGATCTCGGCTCACTGCAACCTCCGCCTCCCAGGTTCAAGCGATTCTCCTGCTTCAGCCTCCCGAGTAGCTGGGACTACAGGCACGCACCACCACACCCAGCTAAATTTTTGTATTTTTAGTAGAGACAGGGTTTCACTATGTTGGCCAGGATGGTCTTTATCTCTTGATGTCGTGATCCGCCCACCTCAGCCTCCCAAAGTGGTGGGATTACAGGCGTGAGCCACCGCACCCTGCCAAATTTAGTTATTTTTAATAAAACATTATTTGATTTATTTTCACTTTGCAATGATAATTATAGAAAGGTAAATATACTCCTAGGTATTCAATATGATCTTTTTAAGATTTGTTTTCACTTATTGGTTTTGATCTTAATTTGGGGTTAAGGTTAGTTTTATTCCTCTCTTTTAATTTCCTAATATTTGTGTTTCTGTCTCTTTTAAAATTTATCTTAGAAAGAAACTGGATTTTTAAAACTTTATTTTTATTTTTTGAGATGGAGTCTCACTCTGTGGCCCAGGCTGGAGTGCAGTAATGCGATCTCAGCTCACTCCAACCTCTGCCTCCTGGGTTCAAGCAATTCTCCTGCCTCAGCCTCCCCAGCAGCTGGGATTACAGGCGCCCTCCCCCACCCCACCACATCCGGCTAATTTTCGTATTTTTAATAGAGATGGAGTTTCACTATGTTGGCCAGGCTGGTCTCGAACTCCAAACCTCAGGTGGTCTGCCCTCCTCGGCCTCCCAAAGCGCTGGGATTACAGGTGTGAGCCACTGTGCCCGGCCTGGATTTTTGAAAGTTTAAATGCTTTCTCTTTTAAAAAGCTAATTTGGAGAGAGGGACAATTACCTTTAATGTTCTTTGATAAGGTTCTTATACTTCAAAGCTATAGGACATGATTAGCCTAAACCTTCTGTGAACTTATGCATGGTCACAGTCATAAATTCATAAGGCTGAAATGAAATGTGTATTAGCCAATAATGTCAATTTATGGTCCTAAAATTGTAACACCTCAATAACAGACTCAAGTTCCAAATTCCAGAAAATTAATGGTAGACTTATTTTCCCATATTAGTTGTATATTTTTCCTGTTCTTATGTTTTCAGTTATTTTCTAATGGAAGTTTAAGTATGCCAAGGATCAACATGTCAAACTTATGCCATTTCAATCCCAGTTTTGACAGTATATCTCTGTTACTAATTTCTACTTTTTTTTCCAGTTAGGCATTCAGCACGTTATATTTATTTATTTTAGTGGAATATATGTCTAAGTAAAACACAGAGAGGAAGAAAGAGAGGGGAGGGAGAGGAAGGGAATAGATCATTGACCCTCATAACTTAAGAATATAGTTATTTGACTAGATGATTGAGATTTGAAAAACCAAGAAACAAGCAATATAAGCAATAAGAAACCTTTCACTTACCACCCATGCCCAGGCTGGAAAGCAAGGAAAAGACTGAGTGGAGGCAATGAAAGAAAAAGGCTTTAGGCCCAAGAGAGGGGATAGGATGCAGAGGGCCTTTGTGGAAAGAAATGGAGAGACTTTTGTGAGATGCCACTGTCCTATCCTCTATATTTCATCACCAATAATTGGGAGTCAAGGCAGCTCACACATTTTGTTCATCAGAGCACCTAAAGCGCCTAAATCTGAGAAGCTACCTAGATTGTCTTATCCATTAGTTTCAGGTTCAAAGCAGGTCATTAATAGCTGCAAAATGTTTAGGCTACTCAGCCATGCCAAAGACAGCAAAGTCTACTTTCACTTTGTTTTCACTTTTATTCCATGTTAAGAAAAAAAAAAAAAAAGGCTTTCTGTCACCAAAGACATTCTTAAGTTCCTTCAAGAAAGGGAATGGGCTCCTAGACACCTATTGTTATACTCGGAACAGTGCTTCAGTGCTTCCAACTCTTAACCAATAATGACGTCCTCCAAAATCTGTGATATGAAAGAAAAAGCCCCAGGAGCACCCCTACCTCTCAAACCAGTTTTTGGATCAAATTTAAGCAAACCATATTCATGTTGAGGAAGTTGGATATTACCCTGAAAGCAATTGTCAGAATTTAAGTGTTTTAAACAGGAGACCAGCATGGTCTTTTTTAAAATTATTTTTTATTTTTTAGTTGTAGGACTATCACTTTTACTGCAGTGCAGAAAATGAAAAAAATGGAGATAGCAAGGTTAGGAGAAAGTGTAAGTGTAGAAAGATCTGGGGAAGGTCCTTATGACTGCAAAGATAGTATATAATTTTCAACAAGGTACTTCTTAAAATTTAGTTTATTTGTAAATTAAAAATAAATGTCATATATTTATGTTGTGAGATTTCAATTATATCATACCTATGACCATATTACGTGACCATCTTATATAAGCTCTTCCACCAAAATGTTAATTCCTTGGGGGTAGAGAGTTCATCTTCTTTTTTTCATATATGTGTTTCATCTAAGTGTATAGTAAGTCTTAAATAAAGGGTTCCTCAATAAAGGGTAAATGTATAAAATATTTATCAATGTATAAGTGGTACTATTTAAAGTAAGCCTAATTCCTTTGGGCTATCAAAATTTATAAAATATTTATATTTCTTTATACTTCAGTGGCTTTTTATAAGAAAGTATTATCTGGAGTGCACACCTTAGTGTAAAATTAACAAAAAAAGGAAGATATTAGACTTGTAAGGAATTTTGCTCAGATGACTAAATGCATGATGTGCACAGATCTAAGATAGATGGGAAGATATATCAATGGGAAAAATTCATAGATATCTTCAACCACCAAAATATTACAATGTACTGACAGGAGATAATTATTTAATGCTAATATTTAGCAATCAATTTTATTTGACTTCTTAATTATTTTTCCTGTGCGTACATGGTTAATGACTTTACAGTTCTCCCCCAAGCTTCTTTGCAATATTCAATCTTTGAAGCTTGAATGAAACTTACCTTTGGAAAATAAGGAATTTTTAATTTGCACCTCTGGGAATGTTATTTATTATGGTCTATCATTTGCATAAGTAATTTCTTCAGCAGCTTATTGATAAAATAGATTTTAAATACAGGGCTGTTGCAACTGCAAAGGAACCCAATGAATTACATTGACAGTTTAATTCAAAACTCATTTTTGCAGATGGGCCAGATGATAGCCCTAGCTTTAAAAACAACAATTAGTTCAGTAAATATAACTGTTTCTTACTAGAAATTTTCCCTATGTTTTATAATAAATTAATTACTATATTCAGAAGTTAACCTTAAGTTAAAACTTTATGACACCTCTCAGAAACAGTGAATTAAATGTATCTGTGTACTAGTGGTATAAAATGGTATTTTATTTAATACAAGTAAAATATTTCAAATAATAAACCACATATTTAATAGAATAAAAATTACTTGAATGTTTATTCTCTGTATGTTTTCTATCTAATAAAAAGGAGCCAACACAGTGGTTAAAAGTACATTCAGGCTGTCTTCACAACCTAGGATCTGAAGGACCCAGGGCAACTCATAGTCCCTCTATGCATCGATTTGCACATCTCTAAGAAGACAGTAAAATTTTTTATTTCATAATATTTTTAGAAATATTCAGTTAATATAGTATCTTAGAATATTTTCTTATATGTAAACAACGTTATGGAAGTAACTTATGATTATTATTAATGGTTTATTTAATAATATAGTCATTAAAATTGCTGAGTATCACAAATTCAGCCATAAAGCTTGAGAAGATCACATGAAAACGATCATTTATTTTAATGCCATGTGCCATGAAAATTAAGCAAGCATCCCATGGCAGACAAATGTGCATGTTAATTGTTATCTACATTAATCATTAAAGCTGTATATTTTAGCTAAGTCACGTTGAAAGTAAAGAAGTTCATAAACTTGATACCGTAACATTTTGACTCCCACAGTGTCAGATGATGAATTTAAACTCCAGCTGAGGTATAGCTATTATGTTGTTTGGCATAAAGTAATTTATGATGAAGATTTTAATGGGAAAACAGTAGATAATTGCATGTTTCTTATCCAGTTTAACTAAACTTATCTCTTTTATTCTGTACTAATGCACAGACAATCTTCTTATTGACCATCAAGGTGAAATAATTATGCACATTAAATAATTTATTGAAATAGAATTCACTAGTATCAGTCCTAAATTTCACATATTATTTTAAAGTAACAATGTTTCAAAATATTGTTCAACATTTAAAAAATTATGCATTATTGTTTTGAAAATGTACTTCAAAGCTTTTGACTGAAGATATAAGAAAAATCCTCTCAAACCTGCTTTCACTAAATAGAAATTCAGAACTTAGGTGTTTTTACTGTTGATTAATTCATTCACACAATGATGACATCAAGGACCCAGATTCTTTCCCTCCTTTTATTTTGTCATCATGAGCATGCCATACACAATAATTACCTGAAGCATAAGTGAACAAACTTTCCTATGTCTCACCTTAAGAAAAAGAAAATGTACACAGAAATACCACCAGACTTCCCTGTAACTCTCATTCACCAGAGGTGCATCACATGCTAACATATCTGGTAAAATTCACCCCCAATATTTCACGTAGGTTCTTTTCTATTTTCTCTAAGTGTCAGCCGGTCTGAGAAATAAAGGGACAGAGTACAAAAGAGAGAAATTTTAAAGCTGGGTGTCTGGGAGAGACATCACATGTCGGCAGGTTTCGTGATGCCCCGCAAGCCGCAAAACCAGCAAGTTTTTATTAGTGATTTTCAAAAGGGGAGTGTATGAATAGGGTGTGGGTCACAGAGATCACAGGCTTCACAAGGTAATAAAATATCACAAAGCAAATGGAGGCAGGGCAAGATCACAGGACCACAGGACCAGGGCAAAATTAGAATTGCTAGTGAAGTTTTGGGCATGCATTGTCATTGATAACATCTTATCAGGAGACAGGATTTCAGAGCAGACAACCGGTCTGACCAAAATTTATTAGGCAGGAATTTCCTCGTCCTAATAACCCTGGGAGCGCTACGGGAGACCGGGGCTTATTTCATCCCACCTCTACAACCATAAAAGACAGCCACCCACAAAGCGGCCATTTTAGAGGCTTCCCCTCAGGGGTGCATTCTCTTTCTCAGGGATGTTCCTTGCTGAGGAAAAGAATTCAGTGATATTTCTCCCATTTGCTTTTGAAAGAAGAGAAATATGTCTCTGTTTCACCCGGCTTACCAGCAGTCAGATTTTAAGGTTATCTCTCTTGTTCCCTGAACGTTGCTGTTATCCTGTTCTTTTTTCAAGGTGCCCAGATTTCATATTGTTCAAACACACATGCTCTACAAATAATTTGTGCAGTTACCACAATCATCACATGGTCCTGAGGCAACATACATCCTTCCTCAGCTTGTGAAGATGATGGGATTAAGAGATTAAAGTGAAGATAGGCATAGGAAATCACAAGGGTATTGATTGGGGAAGTGATAAGTGTCCATGAAATCTTCACAATTTATGTTCAGAGATTACAGTAAAGACAGGCATAAGAAATTATAAAAGTATTAATTTGGGGAACTAATAAATGTCCATGAAATCTTCACAATTTATGTTCTTCCACCATGGCTTCAGCTGGTCCCTCAGTTCGGGTCCCTGACTTCCCACAACACTAACCCCTAAGCCAATCACTGGCAAAAGGAATGGAAATCTCTTTGGCTTAGCACCAACTAGACTTTGCATTTGAACAAAGGATGGAGCCATCTTCCTTAAGACACTTAGTGAAATGATGAATTAATTAACAAAAAGGAGATTGTGCTACTCAAACAATCCCTGCTTAAACAATCAGGAGCATCTTACTCTTCAAAAAGCATGAACTACAGTTGTACACAATCACCTACATATTTGACTATTTATAGATTAATAATGCTAGACTATGTTAAAGCCATATGTAATAAAATTGATCAATTTAGCATTGTAACAAGACTAATTTTCAGATAATTTAATAATATCTTCAATTTATTTCTCAACTTTGACAATTGTTGTTTGACAAGAATATTGAGAATGTATTATATGCCATGCCTGAGTAAGGTGTTAAATATATTCTCCTAACAAGTTTAGAGTGACAAACCAAACATTAAACAAATATACAAATAAGGATATAATATGATAAATGATATGAAAGAAATTGCAAGATGTGGTGAAAGAAAATAGTGGTAGTGGCAGCTATGTTAGATTGTATGACCTTGGGGGTCTGGGGGGTCACACTGAGGAAATGACATTTAAAATGAGTCCTCATTTAAAGAATGGGGAGTAGCATCCCTGCAAGAGAGCAATCTCTGCAAAAAACCTTAAGGAGAAATAAACTTTTATGTGTACAGAGCAAATAATTTTTAAAAAGAAAATTTCAAAGTAATTATTAGAAATCATATAGTTTAGTAAAGATTTTATTAAGCCTCCTTTAATTTTAAATTTACGTCACTAAATCTTTGGTACAAAATACATTCTATTTTTGCCCTTTAATTATTTTTCCTTTTAGCTAGGAAAGCATCAAACTTCTGGAAAATGAAATTAGCAAATAGAAAACAATGTTCCAGTCTTGCAACTTCAGCAAAATTATGTGTTTAATTAATACTATTTGAAGGACATTTCCATATTCAGATTAATATAGCATAATTGAATCTTTACAGAGTTATCAAATAAATAGGATCTACAATGGCACTACTTTGACTGATAATTGTTCTTTGAAAGACATTCATAGTGATTCCCGCCTTTAGTCAAAGCCACATATATTCATCTCAGTGTTTACACTGTTTCATCATTTTATGAAGGAAAAAATTTATATAGAATGGTTAAGAGTTTGCATTTTACAAATCTTGTAAATTGCATTTACAAGAATGTAAATGCAATTTAGCATTTTACGTTCTTGACAGAGCAAGAAAAATAGAGGATTCCTGATTATTATAATCAAGGGAAAATGTCCTTAAAGTCTGTGATTCTTTGTGCTTGTCGAAGAAACAAATGAAATATTTTTCCACTATTATTTATCATTGTCTGGCTAGAGCCTCATTATATTAGAATTTTCCTAATTCTGCCCCTTGCATTTATGTGAGCCTGAGAAAAGTCTGTAATTGCTATAAGCATTGGTTTATAAGCTATAGAAGGGCAGAAATGTTTGTTTTATTTACTGCTATATCCTAAGCACCTAGAATAAAGTCCAATACATAGCAGAAATCCACTAAATATTTAATAAAATAAAACTCTTTAATGAAACTAACAATATTTATGACTATAAATTACATAATGCATTTAAATGTATGCAATCAAATGTAAAATCTGGGCTCTACCCTTTATAATTAAAATAACAAGTATTTTTATGAATAAATCTCATTTTTTCTCACATTAGAAAAGACAAGAATTTCATTCTTTAACTGTTTCAGCACATATTTATTCCAAAACAGTTTCAGACAGAAAAGACTGGTTATGCAGATATTTTAAAAATCAGATTTATGTCTTACCTACACTAATAAACTTAATAAGGTGGCTTACGTGATGAGGTCATATGATTTGCAATTTCTTAGTGGCATAATAAAGCCATTGAAAACATTTACATTTTGTGAAACTCGAAAGGCATTAATGATTAAGTGTAGTCATGAATGATTTCATTGGCTATTGTAATTTAGATTAAGATGTCATACAAGGTTTTAGTTACACAAGAGGAATAAGTTTTTGAGATCTATTGCACAGGATGATAACTATAGTTAATAATAAAGCCTCATATTTTTAAAATTGCTACAAGAGTAAATTTCAAATGTTCTTACCACAAAAAATAATAGGTTTGTGAGGTGATAGATATAAGCTAAATTTAATCATTACACAATGTATACATATATCAAAGTATCATATACATGTATACAATTATAATTCATCAATTAAAAATAAAAATATAAAAAGAATGAGAAGAAAGATAATACTATATTGATTGACTGGGGTAAACATGGGAAAGGAAATTAAACAAGATCAAGTGAAGGACAATCAATGGAACTATGGACAGTTGTTTTGAATAAAATGAAATTTGAAGTTAATGACATCTTCCATCAATTTCATTACTTTAGTGTGGCCATATGGGAAAGAAATTTTATATATTTTGCTTGGAGCCCCCAAACCAAAACCAAAATATCAGATATAGGTGAAAAAAAACGAGAAAATTTGTGTACAGCAAGAAAAACAGCAGTCATTAATATTGTCCTAAAATTAAATGCCTTAAAATGTAATGGATTTCAGTCACTGTGATTGTACACACAGTTGAGCAATAATTATTTGTTGACATTATTAACAAGATTTATTTATCAGGTATTAGTTTGGCTAAATAACACAAATATTCACTTTCACTTTCAATAATGTATTGTGAATGAATATTGACAGCATCAAGTTTAATTGTGTTCTTCAGAGTGTACCACTGATCTTCGGAGATGGAAACTTTCTTCATGTACATTGTATCTGATATTTTTCCCCCACAACTATCTGTTTTGTTTCTGTTCACCTTAGTGTATAGTATTGCATATCCTTAAATCCACGGAAAAACTCACGACTTATTTCTATTTGCTTCCTAGTTATTTACTGAAAATGTTCACATCATGCTGAATATAGAAAAATTGATACGTATAGACTAGAGGGTGGATGGGCCCAAGAGCAAACCACAGAGTAAAGTTAAGGTGTGAGTATGCAGATGTGATAGCTAAAAATTAAATCATATTTTTATGGTAAATGTTGAACCTTGGGTCACCAGTCTATAAACATTATTATCATTCAAAACCCAAATGGTGCGCTATTACTGGGGAGAACTAATAATAGATTTTTTACTGAATAGAGATGCATTTAAGAATTATGCTACAAAATAACTTTTCATTAGGAGTCAGGATGGTGGATACCTTTGCTGGGTGGGGAGAAAACAGTGACTGGATAAGGCTACTAGAGGGCTTCAGGGAGGTTAGCATTCTTTTTGTATTTGGGAGCTGGTTAAACAGGTATGTTCAGTTTGTGAACAGTCACTGAGTTTTACTTTTATTAGAGGTACACTTTTCTGAACTAATTTAATATTAATAAAATGTTTACTTAAGATTACTACATATTCATGACCATCTGAGATTACAAGAAGATTTGGCTTTATATATTTTTGACATTGTTACAGTGAGAAAGGGCATGTTTTATAATAGAAAGGATTTTATTCTGTTTAGTCATTATAACTAATTTGTCTACAAAAATCAGTAGCATCTCTATATGCCAATGACGTTCAAGCTGAGAGTCAAATCGAGAATGGAATCCCATTTGCAATAGACACACACACACAGACACACACCCTAGGAATGCATTTAACCAAGGATGTAAAAGATCTCTACAAGGAGTACTACAAACCTTGGCTGAAAGAAATCATAGATGAGACAAACAAATGGAAAAATATTCCATGCTCGTGAACTGGAAGAATCAGTATCACTAAAATGGCCGTAATGCCCAAAGCAGTCTACAGATCCAATGCTATTCCTATCAAACTACCAATGTTGTTTTCCACAGAACTATAAAAAAGGAAACTATTCTAAAATTCACATAGGACCAAAAAAGAGCCCCAAGAGCCAAAACAATCCTAAGCAAAAAGAACAAAGCCAGAGGCATCACATTACCTGACCTTAAACTGTACTTTAAGGCTATAACCAAAGCAGGATGGTACGGATACAAAAACAGACAGACCAATGGAACAGAATAGAGAACCCAGAAATAAAGCCACATACCTACAATCATCTGATCTTTGACAAAGTTGACAGAAACATCCAACGGGGAAAGGACTCCCTATTCGATAAATGGTGCCTGGAAAGCTGGCTAGCCATATGCAGAGAATAAAACCACACCTTTACCTTTCACCAAATACAAAAATTAATTGAAGATGGATTAAAGACTTAAAAGTAAGACCTCAAACTACAAGAATTCTAGAAGAAAATCTAAGAAACATCATTCTGGACATCGGCCTTGGGAAAGAATTTATGACTAAGTCCTCAAAAGCAACTGCTGGCATGTCCAGCTTCCATCCTGAGCCATGTTATTACCATACACTGTTTTGGCATAGACCATGGGTCGCCTCTTAGCATAAACTATCAAGTGTGGTCAAAGGGGCCCATCAACAACACAGAGGCACACCCGTCGTTCAGGAAATTCCTAACACTCAGGTTTACAGGTTACCTTACAGGTGCTGGAGCAAAGGCTCCATTTCTCATTGAGTAAAGCTATTTCTTCACTACATACTTATTCATCTCTTATCCCCAGTACCCAGCCTAGTATTTGGCACATATTGTCTTAACAGTAAATCTTTCAGAAATAAGATGGTGCAAATCTTTTAACATAAGATTATTCAGTGTAAGGAAAATGAGTAGAAACAGAATTTTCTGTTTCTGTAAGCATAATCTAAGGAATTTAAGCATTAATTTGAAAAAGAGAAACCTTGAGATATCTCATTTTACATATGCCCTCTCATGTCCATGTACATATTTTACTGTAGTTTAAAACTAGAAAATATATTTTCTTGATGCTTACTGATGCTTACAAGGCTGTAACTTGACGAGAGCTATATTAAATTGCTTTAAATTGTTTATACTTGATGTTTACATATCAGAGGGATGTTGACTTAAATGGATTAACTGTAAATTCAACCCTCCTGCCAAGCTATCTCCAAACGTGGTCTCCCACCTGACTATGCATTCATTAGCCCGCCTACTAATAGGCTTGCTTCATCTTGCTCAAGTTCTAACATCAGCTAAGGTCTTCCCACCATGGGTCCTCTTCCACTCTCCCCATGTGGGTACTACTTTCCTTGGCTTCTCATAATGGCTTTAACCTCGAGTAGATTTTAAAAGCTATCATGCAGAGATGAACATAGTACAACAAATCTGTGAGGATTGGGACTTCCTTCATTTTCATAAAAGTAAATACAAAAATCAAAAACACCATTACAGGGCTAGTGAAAGCAGTCTGAAACATAAAACACTCAAGATAACGTGAAAAGAATATGGATTGTAAAATATTTTAAAAGATAGCTGAATATAGTACTGTTATACATCTGTATTGTGTTCCCCCCAATATGTTTTTAAAGAACTCTGAGAAATAAGCTGATACGTACAATAACTGCAACAGACAATAAAACTGAAGAAAAACAAAACAAATTCTGATTGAGAGCAAGAGAATGTGATGAATCTAGAAATCTCATGCTAAAATATCTAATTAACTGTTCGAACTCACAAAATAGAATTGATAGTGTATTAGAAAAAAAAATCTTTTTGAGAAAATATTCTCACTCATGTCAATACCTATGATAAAGTTTTCAATTCCAGTCCTTTATTTCTCCACCCCAAACCACTATCCTCCATTTACCCAGTGATAAGAGTACACTCTTATCACTGGGTAAATGATATTATGGCCTAGTCGGTCATAATATCCAACTACCTGGCAATAATGAATGCCACAAGTCATGCAAACATCACCCCATCAGAGACAGTTAAAGGACTTCTATGGAATTTTTATTTGGAAGTCCATAGAAAAACAATTTTCACTGTATTTAGAGAGCAAAAAAAGGTTGTTTGTGGCTTTCTTAACTGTCATGCAAAGGTTTTTCTGAGAGAAAAACACAAATTAAGAAGGCATGTTAAGAGATAAAAGATGGAAGACAAGAGAGTGAAACCAAAAGACACTTCATATAGTAGGTCTTGGGTCCAGTTCCAAACCCCTTGCTCTTCAGATCTGCTGAGCTGCCATTGAGCCAGTTACATGCATCACTTCACGGTGCCTTTTGTCTACTCTACACCTCTTTCCCATATCTCCCCAACACTTTTTTTTTTTTTTTTGGGCTATCAGAGCTTACCTCTAGTAATAATAGGAGCTGAAAATGCAAGGTACTTTCTCAGCCTTAATTATATTTGAGCACAGATACAATCCCAGCCTATGGCCCTGCAGAAGTGTGTTGATAAAGTGTGTGAAGATAATTCTCCTTTTGCTTCAGGTTTGTGCATTGTTTGAGAATGACTGGATGCTGGTGACAGTGATTAAGTGATAAAAAGAAACATGGAGACATTGACTCTGAGCCTTAATATGATGGAATTCTTGAATACCTCCTAGACCTGTCAGTCTGAAAAATTGTGTTAAATATAAGAAAATGAAACCTCCATTTTTAAACACTTCTAAATTTATTTTTGTTAGTCCATTTTGCATTGCTACCAAGGAATACTTGAAGCTGGGCAATTTATAAAGAAAAGTGGTTTTGCAGGCTGTACAAGAAGCATAGTGTCAGCATCTGCTTTGGGTGAGGGCCTCAGGAAACTAACAGTTATGACAGAAGGCAAAAGGGCAGCCAGCATATGGCAAGAGAAAGAGGAAGGAGGTATCAGGCCTTTTAAACAACCAGATCTTATGCTGTCTCATAGAGTGAGAACTCACTCATTAATGCGATGACAGCACCAAGCTATTCATGAGGGATCTGCCCCCATGAGGCAAACACCTCCCACCCCACGAGGCCCACCTGCAACACTGGAGGTCACATTTCAACATGAGATTTGGAAAGGAAAAAACATCCAAACCGTATCAACGGCCTGCTACATACAGCCAACTGAATACTAAATCATATACCTATCTGTTTTAGACTAAAAACATACTCCTAACAAAGCACTTAACTCTAAAAATCATAAAACAAAAAGCAGATTGTCTACAAAGTAGGTATCATGAGGATGTGGGTACAGGGCCCACTTCATAATTTGTGTATCTCCATAAATTATGGATGCCCATGTTCAAAATGAGGGCTTCTTATTTTAAAAACAGGAAAAAGAGCCCTGTTAAAGGTATTAAAATATATATTATTTTCTTTCTGTGGTTTCCCTTTCAAATTGCCATGATGCTTTTTATTTATCTTTATAAGAAAAAATGTAAATTGTATATTATTTGCATGCATGCTACCATTTAAGTTTATATCATGTGATATCACTTTTAAATATAAATATTAGAGCAACTAAATTTGCAGAATCACAAAAATTGCACAATTCATATTTTTAGCTTGTCCCTGACAGTGCCTCTAGCAGGCCTGAAGAAAAAAGATGTAAGCCAGATTCAGGAAGGTTTGAACAAGAAAGAAAGGGCCCTTCCAGACCAGGAGCCAACCCAAGGGTATGCACTCTATGGCAGCAGGGATGCTCATGGGACAAGTATAAACTCACAAAGGCTCCTGAGAGTGCCACCCTTGATGAATGGCAAGCACCAGGCCTGACAGCTAAAGGATGCCACCTCCTGCCAGCCTCCGGGTGGATTTGCTACAACCTAGCTGGAGATGGTGTCTAGGAAAGCCAAGTCTGTCATCTCCCTTTGCTACAGGCGCATGGTTACAATCCATAGTAGAGGCATCCCCCAAGGGTCTTTTAACCTTTGCTGCAAGACATGGTAGATACTAGATTGAGGGTGGGACAGAAGTTGTAGGTTCTCTTTCGCAAGGACACAGTCGAGCTGGATGCCTACCTGACAAAGCTGGGTGCTGTCTGGTGCTGTCTACTCAGATGAGGATGGCTATTGCCATCCACTACTGAAACACTTCAGTGCATGTGTGTACAACCTCCACTTTATCCATTTCATGAGTACCTAGGCCCCTGCTGGGAAGAGAGTGATGACAGGGAGAGGACATGTACATGAGTTGAGGTTCCAAGCTCTCAGCACATGCCCCATTATTCCATTAGGCTTCAAATAAAAAACACAAGTTTACAGATCAAATAATTTCAAGATAAGAACAGAGCATTAAAACCAAGCATAGAGTCCTTCAGAGTATGGAGTCAGATTGACTACGGAGGTCTCATGCCCATAAAGCCACATAGCCAAGAGCTGTGGCAGCCTCTAGTTGCTGAAAATGGTCTCTGAACAACAGTTCAAAGAAAATGGGAACCTCAATTCTCCAACTGTATATAAATTAATTATTTCAACAAGACCTTGGAAGAAGATTCCAAGTTTCATTTTCCCCACCAACACACCTTGATTTCAGTCCCATCATGAGTCTCTGAGCAGAGAATCCAGCCATGCCATGCTTGAACTTCTAACCTATAGAAAATGTGGGATAATAAATGTGTGCTATTTTAATATGTTTTATGTAATTTGTTACAAAGCAAGAGAAAACTAATAAACACCCTATCCCTTCTGCTCAACTTAAAGAAACCTACAAATCCTACACATGATTAGGAGCATAGTGTATAGTAGTCCACTTTTACAATCGCAATAATTGTTGGAACTTTTTCTATTAAAAATGTGTAATTTATATGTATGTTAGAAGTTTTTATTTTAATCACATCAGATTATGAAAATCATGCAAATAGCAAAGAAAGGTCATTGTAAGTTATTATTAAAAGGAAACTTTCCAGTGTGACAATGAATATGTCACATATCTAAAGTCAAAATCATTTATAAAAGTGACGATGGAATGACAAGACATTGATGAAAGAATTCACGTTTGTTTAAAATAGCTGTTATAATCCAACAATTCAGCTATGAATAAAAACAAAACTGTATAAATACTAAAAATCAGAACAGCCAACAAGATGCTGTTGGCTCATGCATAATAGCTCGGTTATTTCAAAACAATTCAGTTAGAAAAGAAAATAAGTCTGTAAATATTGAAAATGAGAATAATTTTCTACAGAAGAAACACTTTTTTGCCCACGAGACCCAGAAAAATTACATCAACTGTAATTTTTAATTGTTGTAATAAATGTAATATTAATTACATCAACTGTAATTAATAAATGTTGGTTTTGATTTAAAAATCCTAAAATAAAGAATAAATTATTTTTCTATAAGGTGTATTTGACAGGTTAGAACATATAATGAAGATAAATCCTATTAACAATAGCACTAAAAATATAAAATATCTAAAACAAAACAACATTGGAGATTTATGTATAAAATTACATTGTTAGGTAGATCAAAAGGTGGCAAGTATGGGCATGGACATACATTCTTAAATTTTTATTTCACAGATTTTGATACTTGTTCAGTTATTTATGTTATTAGTTGCTTGTTCACTTAAGTTATGTTAACATATCACTGTTGGAACGTTTATGGCTCCTTTGCTATTCAGTCTTATCTATTCTATTTTATTCCCATCTATGACACTAAATTTGCCTTGCATTCCAATAGACCATTATGTGTTAATTTTGTATATATTTTATATATCTGTGTTCTTTCAAAATGTGTCATTTTATTGGTATGCATTTAATCCCATGTTCGTTTTTCTATATCACCCATTTTATTTTTCATGGAGGAATCTGGTTTTGAAACCCATCCCTATTACTATATGTGCATCTAATCTATCACTTAATTATTTCATGATAGTTCATGGTATGCACCCATCATATTTGTCAAACCACTCTCTAATGACAGAAAGCTGTATTACCTCCAAATCCGGGCACCATAAATAATGTTCAATGAACATGCTTATAAATATCCCACTTGGAATACTGTAGGGATTTATTTGAAATATGCCACTACCTCTATATTATACATTATGTCTACATTTAATTTGCTTGAATATTTCTAGATTGATTTACAGAATGACTGTTTTCTGGGCTTCCTCCAGCCAGCAATGCATGGAAGTGTCATATCACCAACATCTACCAGCAAATTTTTTGACTTTTAAAGTTTTAAAACTTTAAAACTTTGACTTTTAAAGTTTTAAAAATTTTTAAACTTTTGCCAGTGTAGTGGATATGGCTACATTTTTCTTTTAAAAATTTCCATGTCTAAGCATCAATTATTTCAAATATATTCTTTTTATTTGTTTCCTTTTATAAATTGCCCAGTTATACCATTTACCTGTTTCACTCTTAACTCTCCCCTCTTTTTATTGATTTGCAGAAGTCTTTATATATTCTAGATATTGTTTCATTTTTAGACATTGTGAATATTCTCTTACACGTGTTCTCTTTCTATTCACTTTGTGATTTACTTCATTAAATAAAAATTCCTTGATTTTATTATAATATATTTAATATTTTGCACATTATGTTTTGCTTTTGAAACTTTGAGAAATCCTTACTACTGGGTGCTTTGGCTCATGCTTGTAATCCTAGCAACTCAGGTGGCCCAGACAGGAGGGCTGTTTGAAAAGAGGTGTTCAAGGTTACAGTGAGCTATAATCACCACACTCCAGCCTGGGCAACAGAGCAAGACCATATCTCAAAAAAAGTCCTTCCTCAATCCGAATTCATCAAGATATTCTACATGGTATACATGCCCAGATTGCCCTATGCCAAATGTCAGTCCAAGTAAACAGCCTTGCCAGCAGAAATGACTTACACATTTTACCATTGTAGAAATGACAGTTGCTGATGCCATTTTTTAATCCATTTCATCCTTGAAAGAATAAGAATTTTAGGAGTGATAACTGTATATGAACAGGAAAAAATCTTTAAAAAGGATAGTTTACATTATTAGTAAAATATATTGACAATATTTGCATTCAACATAAATCTTTTTACCAGACTCCAAGTTCCACTGAGAAGCTATAAAAAAAAAAAATCTAAAGGCTTGAAAGATTATAAAATCATACAGAATTTTAATCTGCTAAAATTTATATTAAGAACCAACATCTAGGAGTACAAATATATATTTTTGCAGACATCTTATATAATGCTTTTGGAATGTTTGAGGTAGAAACATATCTTCTTTCTCTATCTGCTACCCAAATACAGGACATTATCCACCTCTGTAATTCTTCTGAATAAGATACTTTAGAATCAACTACGGCATCCCTGGTTATGAAAGAACTAGAGGAAGTTCTATGACAAGTTCATGCTTATTTATGCTTGTTAGATGTGGATAACTATGACTAAGCATTAAAGCTACAAAAGACAGTGTGGTAAAACCAAAAGGTTATTTTATATCCAAGGAGAAATACTTTGTTATACATGGCTTGGACTATTTGGATTTTCTCTGTATCAGGTGAAGCAGACCATTTTTAACATATCCCTGTAGTCTTCTAATATATTCCGGAGCAATTTCTGGATGAAATCACCATTCTTCTGAGTTGCATTTTTACTGTTTCAATTTTCCTAAAATTTGCTCCTTTAAGGTAAATGACTATCTAACAGAACATTAATAACAAAGAATTTCACATGTCATTCTCTTCATTGACTTGCAAATGCAATCATTCATGTTCTCTTTTGAAGGTAAAGGAATACAGTATATCACATTACAGACTGCAATTCTCATTAGGCAGTTGTGTGAAGAGCTAGTTCTGTTTCTAATTCATTTCTTGGAGAATCCCACTGAAAAGTATCATATTTTGTATGAAAGGTTAATCCTATCCCTCAACCAGAAAAGAATAATCTATTTTTCTTGCTGAGGTATAAGTAATAGAATTAAAGACAATTGAAGACTCAATAGCAGAAAAAGGAGAATATCTGAATCCACAAATCAAAGTATGAATAGCCGAATGACTTAAAACAGAAATATGCATGAATTCAAGACAATGGAGAAATAGAATATATCCTGGTTGTAAAGAAAGATTTAGGCATATTAGCTAAATTAAATTAATTAAAAATTAGACTTTTATTTTCCTTAGAGGATTGCCTCTTAGACAGGAAATGTCAAAGGTGGGGTGTGTGTGTGTGTGTGTGTGTGTGTATTCTAATTTGGGGGCATATATTTCATCTTGTTTGATCCTGTAAATAAGTTCAAGCTTGTACCACTTGCTGCATGACTGCCAATAAATATAGAAACAAGGCAGTGAGGCAAGGAAAGTGACTTCAGAGGTCCAGCAAACCAAAAAGATGAACTTCTGTTCCAAAGAACCATCTTCAGTTAGCATGAACTTTAGGCTCATTTTTATTTTAAGGGAAGGGGGAAGAAAGGGGATTGAGGTCAAGAGGTGACTGACAACCTCAGACATCTGGGCATCAGCAAGGGTCCCAGTAGGTTGTGAAACTTCTTTGTGCTTGGTCAGCTGACCTCTGTTCAGATGAAGTAGCTCAAGTCATAATGTTGCCCTAAATCTTCACCAAAATACCATTACTTGTATGTGTACTTCCTTATCTCCTTGTGAGTTAGTTTTGATAAAGGAACCGTTATTTTTTTTTTCTTAAAGTTGAACTACAACCTAAACTTCTCCTATAATTAGCTGATCTACAAGCAAAGCTAAGCAGACACTTTTAACGTAAAGGATATGACCACAGGAGGCAGGGAGTCAGAGGAAAAATGGAGTCAGTCATGCTAAGCTTCCTTCCACTATTACAATCATAACACATTATAAAAATGAAGTGAATATAATGATAAAAAGATTACAATCAAATTGTTAATAACAACTGAAATTTTTAAAAAATTTGGAGAATTGGACCAAAGTATCCTAATTGACTATATGAACCAATAAAAAAATATTTTCATCAGGTAACAGAAAATTAGAAAAAAATAAAAAAGAAGAGGATAAAAAGTCAGATGTCCAGGAAATGCTTGGAAAAGTGATATTACTATTCTATTTTTTTTTGGATTTTTAGATAAAATCCAACACTACTCATCGATCAGTTAAGAACATTAATATCTTTAACAAAATATGCCCAGCTAGAGGAAAATTTAAAACAATACCATCTCAAAGGTCTCTCCAACTTTAGAGCTATTGAGAAAAAGAGAACATCTAATTTGAGAATGAAGACCCCAAAACCCCAAACCAGTTTCAATACAAATTTATCAAATTTTCTACTCTTCTTAGACACTGCAGTAAAAAATGTCTTAGTCTCAAAATCAATTTAAATGAATGAAAATAAAGTATCATTGAAAAAAATGGGGACTTTTTTTTTATTCTGTTTTATGAACTTCAATTGTCATTTGTTCAGGTTGCTCTACACAAAGTTTTTCAAATGTGTTTTTTTAATTTTTGAGAAACACAATATGAGGCTTAGCTGTGATTTTCAGCCCGGAGACATTATGAGTTTTTTTTGCTAGTTCTGAATCATTGTGTTAAAATTATGATTTGTTTTAGTATAGTGCTTCAGGAAATAATAACAACACTTTTAGTATTTCAAATAATACTTTTAAATAAAAAATCTTAGGAAGGTTGAAATTTCTGAAGTTGGCATATAGTGTTCCTCATGCTAATATGCTTCTTGAAAGGTTAGAAACATTTAGAGGTGCCAGTAGTTGTTCAGGGCACAAAGATACCATAAATCTTTCTCAGACACATATATATATGTGTGTGTGTGTGTATGTGTGTGTGTGTGTGTGTGTGTATATATATATATATATAACACATTAATTTTTCAGTATTTTAGGAAAGATTTAAGAGTATAATATATATACTCTTAAAATCTGATAAACTCCAAATGAAATTTATATACTGGTGGGAGCTGAGCTCATTTCTCAGCTCAGCATTTCTCAATGCTTTCTACTGTGCTAAAAGTAGAGAAAATGTTAACGAACAACTAAAGAATAAACAACACTGCCTTATATTAAAGGTACAGATCAGCAAACAGAAATGATGCCTGTTATATAAGGAATTTAGCCTCCAGTCCAGGCAAGGCTTCACAGGGTCACAGGTTGAGACAAGGTTACAAACTTCCAGAATCCCTTTTGTAACATTTGCATGTGCTTAAGGGAATGTGACCTCAGTGGAAATGGCTCACATTAGCCAAATTCATAGGAGACTGACGTGACCAAATGAGAAATCATTAATGTATAAATAAAAATGTAATTCTAAAAGAAAGTGTAACACTTATTTTCCTTGTTTGACACAAATATTCTCTGGAGAAAAATCCTCTTGAAAAGCACAAAGAAACTACAGTTGGGTGATGATAATAATTAGCACTTGTGACCAGAGGAGTCTGCATCTGCTGGGCAAGGCTGCCCTAAGGACCAGGGCTGAAGACACCATACAACATCTTTGCTCTCAAACTTTTACTTTTCTAAAGATACTCCCCTTACTGATCACACAGTCTTTTTATGAACAGGACACATCATAAGAAATTGAGAGAAGGCAAATTAGGTTAATTAACTTCTTACATAAAATCTCAATGGACGGGGGGACAGGATGACTGATTAAAGCAGAACTGAAATGGTCAAAATGGATTGGAGGTCCACTTTTCCACTTCAGAAGCTTTCTCATTCCACCTCCATTCCATTTCATCTCTACAGAACTCTGGAGCTTCGCTAACAAAGACTGAAAAGTTTCTGGATTAAAGAGAAGCAGTATCCTCTAGTGGTCAATGATAGAATCTTATTTGCCCACTGTTTAAAACCGAAATTTCTTTGTTCCTAAAACAGCATATTAGTATCTTATCCCTATACCAGTGTGAATGAGCTAGCTTATCCTTTAGTAAAAACAATTCTCAAATCTCATTGACATAAAATATAAGGTGCTTGTTTCCCACTCTGTCATGTTTTTCACAATTATCCTGCATGTTTTTTTTTTCTTACTCCAGACTCAACCAATCTCTGGACATTGCTGGAAACTGCAAAGAGGAAAAAAAGAACTTATATAGACCCTAGAAACTTCTACCCAGAAGTGACACAACTTAATTCTGCTCACATCTTACTGACCAAAGTCACAAGGCCGAGGCTGACCTCATGGTGCAGGCTCATGTAATACTGATCTGGAAAACAATATTAATGTGATCCAACACACAACTAAACAACACATTTCCTACAAACCTGAGAAGTGCTTAAGGAAACTGTATCGCTATCATTTTTCAATGTAGCTCAGAAATATTATGGTCCCATATATTCTGTTAATTCTTAAATCTATGGTAAAGGTGGAGTTGGTGCTGGTGGAGGAGGGGGTATGTGGTTTGTGATCATTTTGGAACATTTGCCAGCAGCAGAATTTTGTTTATCTTTCAGTGTGGATTCCTCAAGGTAGGAATAGAATGGGCACAGTTCCAGCAGTGTTAGAAGACATGGCAGCACTTTCTGTATATTTCATTGTTTTCTTGAGTTTTAGTTTGTGTTCCTGTTTTCCTTAAATATCAAATATGTTTATTTTCTTACTGGTCCTGGAATATAAACCGCATAATTTAACGAGAGGAGCATCTTAAATGTGATTGAAAGCCTCACTCTCCTGGGCAGGCTGGCAAGCATTACGTTCAGATGTCTGTCATTAAAATGGCATCTTTGGTTTTTCCATCATCATTGTTAATCACTAGTAATGAGAATTAACTACTGGAAATAGATAATGCCTCATGAACCTGTCAAAGTCTGGAAAAAGATACTGAAAAAGATGCTATATACTGCAATGGTTTTTAAATATATATATATCTAAATAAAAAAATGCTTGCTTATCTATCCAGATACCTTCAATAGTTTTTCAAAAAATAGTTTTCACCTGGATTGGTATTTTAAAAATGTGACCCACAGAGGCATGCCCCTTTATGAGCTGTGCAACCTCAGAGAAGAAAGAGCCAAGAAATGTGTTCCCAAGTGCGAGGGCCTCTCCTCTGCTTTCAACAAAGGAACTACACTAGTTTTTATCTGTATAATTTTATTTAGATTGCTTAGGTTTTCATTTAAGGAAAGGCATCATGGCTAAAAACAACAGCAAATCAAAACAAAAACAAATTTAAAAAATAATTGAATGCCACTAATCTATATGATGTAAAGAACTTTCAAAGAGGCACTATAGCATAGTGATTAAGACTGTTCTGAAACTAGAATGCTTCGGATAATGTTCTATAGCTAGAATGCTATATAAGCAGGCCTGATAGAAGTGTTGGTCTGATTATTGATTTTACAATTAGCCATTGATTTATTTAGAGAAAAGATAAACAAAGCTTGTTTTAAAGTGTATATTTTAAAAATTAAAAACATAGCAAAAATGTTGTTTGTTAAAATATTCATTATTTGGGGGAAAGTTTGAAAACAAAATGAATTCCCAAGTTAAGAGAAAGTCTCAATCTTTAACAATTAACAAGTTAGCATAAATTACTAATTGACATTACCAAGTACAGGTAATTTTCATGTAAAAAGAAAGTAGAAACAGCTTTAAGAGGTCAATGTATCAACTTCTCGTGATTCAGAACTCCAAAAGTTTGTTGTTTAGGATGTTTTCATATTTTTCATGTATATTTGTTTTACACTATCAAAACCTTTGTGGTAATTACCTTAATAAATTTTTTAAAAAATTATTGTTTTATATGACCAATTTATATTTCTTATTTAAAAAAAGTTTGTAATTATTCCTATTCCTTCAGAGAATAGAGCTTCTGAAATTTGTTTTTACTTTTATGTCAGGCCTCTGAGCCCAAGCTAGGCCATCATATCCCCTGTGACCTGCACGCATACATCCACATGGCCTGAAGCAACTGAAGATCCACAAAAGAAGTGAAAATAGCCTTAACTGATGACATTCCACCATTGTGATTTGTTCCTGCCCCACCCTAACTGATCAACGTACTATATAATCTCCCCCACCCTTAAGAAGATTCTTTGTAATTCTCCCCACCCTTGAGGATGTACTTTGTGAGATATACCCCCTGCCCGCAAAACATTGCTCCTAACTCCACCGCCTATCCCAAAACCTATAAGAACTAATGATAATCCCATCACTTTTTACTGACTCGCATTTTGGACTCAGCCTGCCTGCACCCAGGTGAAATAAACAGCCTTGTTGCTCACACAAAGCCTGTTTGGTGGTCTCTTCACAGGGACGTGTGAGACACTTTAAATTCAAGATAACTTCTATTTCAAAGTCTCAAGAAGTATTTAATAGAAAATTCTATCTCCCTTTCAGTTTAAAAAAATTATGAAAGATGTGCTCAAAATCAACTCCAGTACAATCTGTAAAGATTCAATATATCTGACAGAAATAGTAACCACATCCTGAATTTGAGAACATACACCTACATTTTTAGTTTCTGCTTAGTATATAAAAAGCTGAGAAGACCATTACTTCTACTCTATTACCAAGGGTGGGGGTGGGGGGTTGAAACAAATATACAATCTACTGTAAAATTTAAAAAGCAGACAGTCATTGACAGACTATCTCCATACTTTTAGTTCCTACGTAACAAACTGTAACACAACTTATTATGAAAACAAACCAAGGCCTGGAGCAGTGGCTCCTGTGTATAATCCCAACATTTTTGAAGGTGGAGGCAGGTGGATTCCGTGAGCCCAGGAGTTTGACATCAGCCTGGGCAAAACAATGAAACCACATCTCTACAAATATACAAAAATTAACCGGGTATAGTGGTGCATGCCTGTAGTCCCAGCTACTGGGGAGGCTGAGGTGGGAGCCTGGGAGTTCAGGGGTGCAGGGAGCTGTAATTGTGCCAGGGCACTCCAGCCTGGGCAACAGATTGAGACCTTGTCAAAAAAAAAAAAACAAGGAAAGGAAAGGAAAAAGGAGAGGAGGAGGGAAGGAAGAAGAAAGGCAAGGCAAGGAAAAGAAGAAGAAAGGCAAGGCAAGGAAAAGAAGAAGAAAGGCAAGGCAAGGAAAAAAAGAAGAAAGGCAAGGCAAGGAAAAGAAGAAGAAAGGCAAGGCAAGGAAAAGAAGAAAGGCAAGGCAAGGAAAAGAAGAAAGGCAAGTCAAGGAAAAGAAGAAGAAAGGCAAGGCAAGGAAAAGAAGAAGAAAGGCAAGGCAAGGAAAAAAAGAAGAAAGGCAAGGAAAGGAAGAAGAAAGGAAAGGAAAGGAAGAAGGAAGGCAGGCAGGCAAAACCATGCTTATTAGTATAGTCTTGTAACAAACAGCTGGTTTTCAGCCAGACACAAACAGCTGAACTTCAGGCAATCACAGGTAGCCAAGGATCAGACTATGCCCAAATAAAGCAAATGCCTCATCACACCATACCCAGATAAGGCAGATACCTAATTGTAGCCAATCAGACAATTTCCCTTTTTTGTTTTGTTGGGGAAACCAGCCCCACACCGCCGGGCGGGTACCCCAAGTCCAGCAGAGACAAAGGAATTAGAAAGAGACAGAATAAGAGTTTAAAAGGCAGGTCCAGGGGACCGGAGCAGAGGCTTGCTCACGGCCCAGAGCTCTCAGCCTCCACCCAATTTATTGGTTTACAAGCTCTTTGTTCTCAGGGCAAATGGGAGAGGTAAGAAGGGATGAGGAAAAGAATTAATCAGTAAAGGAGAACTTGTGAGTCATTCAATAAAATGTATAGCAGTGGCGGTTTCTGTCAATTTCCTCGAGCAAAGGCGTGTGTCTAAACTACTTAAGCTCTTACCAGGACCGAAACAGGTGGGAGCGGGTTTCAGCAGGAGCCAAGTTGTTTGATTATACTCCAGTACTTCAAGGGAGTGTTATCTCCCCACGCACCCGTGGCATGCCCCGAGCTGTTATGCTCTCGGGGCATCAAGACATGAAGGCAATAAGGATGTGTCTGGAATTGGTGGGTTCTTGGTCTCACTGACTTCAAGAATGAAGCCGCAGACCCTCGTGGTGAGTGTTACAGTTCTTAAAGGTGGCGTGTCCGGAGTTTGTTCCTTCTGATGTTCGGATGTGTTCGCTCTTCTGGTGGGTTCGTGGTCTTGCTGGCTCAGGAGTGAAGCTGCAGACCTTCGCAGTGAGTGTTACAGCTCTTAAGGTGGCACGTCTGGAGTTGTTCTCTCCTCCCAGTGGGTTCGTGGTCTCGCTGGCTTCAAGAGTGAAGCTACAGACCTTCACGGTGAGTGTCACAGCTCATAAAAGCAGTGTGGACCCAAAGAGTGAGCAGCAGCAAGATTTACTGCAAAGAGCAAAAGAACAAAGCTTCCACAGTGTAACAGGGTTCCCAAGCAGGTTGCCACCGCAAGCTCAGGCAGCCTGCTTTTATTCTCTTATCTGGTCCTACCCACATCCTGCTGATTGGTAGAGCCCAGTGGTCTGTTTTGACAGGGTGCTGATTGGTTCCTTTACAATCCCTGAGCTAGACACAAAGGTTCTCCACCTCCCCACCAGATTAGCTAGATACAGAATGTCAATTGGTGCATTCACAAACCCTGAGCTACACACAGGGTGCTGATTGGTGTGTTTACAAACCTTGGGCTAGATACAGAGTGCCGATTGGTGCATTTACAATCCTTGACCTAGCCATAAAGGTTCTCCAAGGCCCCACCAGAGTAGCTAGATACAGAGTGTGGATTGGTGTATTCACAAACCCTGAGCTAGACACAGGGTGCTGATTGGTGTGTTTACAAACCTTGAGCTAGTACAGAACCTTAGCTAGACATAAAGGTTCTCCACCTACCCAGCAGACTCAGGAGCCCAGCTGGCTTCACCCAGTGGATCCAGCACGGGGGCTGCAGGTGGAGCTGCCTGCCAGTCCCGTGTCGTGTGCCCACACTTCTTAGCCCTTGGGTGGTCGATGGGACTGGGTGCCGTGGAGCAGGGGGTGGTGCTCGTTGGGGAGGCTCGGGCCGCACAGGAGCCCGTGGAGCAGGGGGAGGTTCAGGCATGGCAGGCTGCAGGTCCCGAGCCCTGCCCCGTGGGCAGGCAGCTAAGGCCCGGCGAGAAATTGAGCACAGCAGCTGCTGGCCCAGGTGCTAAGTGCCTCACTGCCCAGGGCCGGTGGGGCTGGCCGGCCGCTCCGAGTGCGGGGGCCGCTCCGAGTGCGGGGTCCACCGAGCCCACGCCCACCCGGAACTCGCACTGGCAGACAAGCACCGCGCGCAGCCCCGGTTCCCGCCCGCGCCTCTCCCTCCACACCTCCTCGCAAGCTGAGGGAGCCGGCTCCGGCCTTGGCTAGCTCAGAAAGGGGCTCCCACAGTGCAGCGGCGGGCTGAAGGGCTCCTCAAGTGCCGCCAAAGTGGGAGCCCAGGCAGAGGAGGCGACCAGAGTGAGCGAGGGCTGTGAGGACTGCCAGCACGCTGTCACCTCTCAAGGAGACTTTTCTCCTCAGAGGCCGCCCATGGCTCCCCATGGGTGTCTCACACAGGGGAGACCAACTTATCTGGCATCCCAGAAACTCTTTCCCACATGTTTCTTTTCTTGGCCTATAACAGCTTACTGCTCATGCTGCTGGGTGGAGCTCTCCTAAGCTCCTCTGGTTCTGAATGCTTTTCAATTCATGAATCATTCTTGGTTCAAGCAAACTGTCAAATTTGTCTAAAGGCTTTCTTTTTACACTACAAAGATCATGTATTTACTTGAGCTTATTAGAGACCTAAGGTCACAAGGCAACCAATTAGTTTGAAATCTAAGGAAAGACAAAGACTTAAAGGAGAGACAGACAAAGACTTAAAGGAGAGACAGACAAGAGCTTCCCTGGAGCAGACTGTAAGATGAAAAGAAGTCCGGCTTAAAAGAGGGTCTGGTGATTTTAGCCACACTTTTAAGAACTTTCTAAAGGTCAGGTGACAAATTACTAGACTAGAGTGAGAAATTAGAAACCCTGAAACTCGTGAGGGGAATTTGACCTCACAAAGAATTTCTTCTTCATTGGCCTCAACAGGGGTTCATGAGAGATATTGAGATCAGGGTAGGATACCAGAGAAGTTTCCTAGAGTGTTGCAGGCGTGTTGGAGGGAAGTAGCTGCTGCTACAGAAGAGGCACATACCTCTATTCCGTCCTTTCCCCTGTGGAATGGAAGCCTTTGTTACAGTAGAAAGAGCAGCAAAATCAATATACTTCAAGGCGAATAGTAACCACAAGAAACCATCTTAAGCCCAGAGTGACAAACATCCTTGACCACTGAGATAGGATCTTGTGAAAGAGCTGGAAAATTCTTGTGACACAAGGCTGGTTATAGATTCTAGAGAATTGTCTATCTTGGGAAGAAAGACAAAGATCACTGAGAAAACCAAATCTAGACAAAAGGTATGCCTAAGAATGAGACTGAACCAATAAAATGAAAACGCCATAGAACTAAAAAGTTGGTATATATTATTCCAAGTATATGGATAATTACAAGAAGAATATATAATCTAAATATTACAGTTAAATACAGAGATTGACATTAAAACTTTGAAAAGCACAACCAACTGTATATTGTCTCTAAGACATCTACTTTAAATGTAGCAACTCAGAAAATTATAGTTGTAGACTTTAACATTCCTTTCTCGGTAACCAGGAGAATCAATAAAATCAGCAGGGATTTAAAATATTCAACCAAAACTATCAACCAATTTGATATAGTTTATATTTATGCAACACTATACCCAACAATGAAAGAATATGTACTATTTTCAAGTGGGCATGGAACATTAATTAAGATAAGTTGAATCCTGGATCATGGTTAAGTAATTGAAATAATACAGGCCACGCATGGTGGCTGGCTGGATGCGGTGGCTCACACCTGTAATACCAGCACTTTGGGAGGCCGAGGAGGGCGGATCACCTGAGGTCAGGAGTTTGAGACCAGCCAGACCAACATGGCGAAACTCCATCTCTACTAAAAATACAAAACCTAGCCAGGCGTGGTGGCACATGCCTGTAATCCTAGCTTCTGGGGAGGCTGAGGCAGGAGAATTGGTTGAACCCAGGAGGCAGATGTTGCAGTGAGCCGAGATTGCGCCACTGCACTCCAGCCTGGGCAATAGAGCAAGACTCTGTCTCAAAAAAAAAAAAAAAAGAAAGAAAAGAAAAAAGAAATAATAGAAATAATATAACGTATGTTTTCTGATCACAGCATAGTTAAACTGGAAATCGATGAGAGAACAAAAAGATATCTCTAAACTACCCAAATACTTGGAAAGGAAATATCACCATTCTAATTAACCTGCAAGTCAAAAAGAAACAGTGGATATTAGAAAATATTTTAAACAAACTGTTAATGAAAGGACAACATATAAACGCTGTGTGATGCAAACTGACCGGTAAAGAAAAATTTATTAGAAAATAAAAATATTGCATAACAATGAAAAAGCTTCCATTTAAATGATAGAGATAAAAACAGGAGAAAATTAAACAACACAAAAATAAATAATAAGTGCATGTAGAAATGAATACAGTTAATTTTTTTTAAATAATGGAAATCAATAACACCAATAGGGGGTTGGTTGGAAAGAACAATACACTATAATTGCTAAATCAAGCCACTTAGAGCAAAATAAAGATGAAAAACACAAATTACCAATAAGTGAAAGAGGGGATATTATAACACATGCTATAAACATTAAAATGATAGCACTATATTAGGCTTATGTAATCCTATATTTTTTAATAAGTTGAATTCATAATTTTAAAAATTCCAACAACCACAAAAATTCCAAATCAAGGAGTCTTCAATAGAGATTTCTTCCTGTCATGTGTAGAAGAAGTAATACCAATTGTATGCAAATTTTCCAAAAAATTAAAGACTAGGGAAAAGTTTTCATTCATTTTATGAGGTCTGCAGTACTCTGACACAAAAACAAGACAAAAATAAGAAAACTAGAGGCTGTTATTACCAATAAAAATAAAAATAAAGAAAATCTCCAGCAAAATATTAGCAAATGAAATCCAGCAATATATTAAAATAAAAACATATCATGACCAAGTAAGTTTTATCTGGCATACGTAAGACTGGTTTAACACTTGAAAGTTAGTATATTCACTGTATTAACAGATTAAACTAGAAAAATGATGTAATTCTCTTGCTAGAGAGAGAAAATACATTCGTTAAAATTCAACATTCATTCATGATAAAAATGATTACTAAACTAGGACTAGAAGGAAAGTCCTTTACCCATGCTGAAAAAATTTGTACATAGATCAATGAAATAGTCTGCATTATTATTTTATTTTTATTAAGCTATTACATTTTTAAACATATTTTATACACATGTTCTTTACCAAGTATGTGATTTGTTATTTTTTATTTCTTTATGTATTTTTTGCCTGTGGCTTTCAGCAATTTTTCTGGAAGACAGGAGAAATGCTATCGTTTTTGCCTTTCACAATTGGTAGAATTCTCTGATCTTTAGATTTAGCCTGATATATCTTTTTCTGTCTTTTTATTTTTAACCTATTTTATCTTTAGCTTTAAATAGGTGTCTCATAAGCAGCGTACAAATAGGTCATAGTTTTTTATGCAGTCTGACAGTTTGACTTTTTTTCTTGAGACAGAGTCTCACTCTGTCATCCAGGTTGGAGTGGTACAGTGGCACAATCTCAGCTGACTGCAACCTCTGCCTCCCGGGTTCAAGTGATTTTTCTGCCTCAGCCTCTGGAGTAGCTGGAATTTCGGGTGCCTGCCATCATGACGAGCTAACTTTTGTATCTTTAGTAGAGACAGGGTTTCACCATGTTGGCCAAACTGTTCTCCAACTCCTGACCTCAGGGGATCCTCCTGTCTTGGCCTCCTAAAGTGCTGGGATTACAGGGGTGAGCCACCCTGCCTGGCCACAGTCCGACTTTTAATTGGGGTATTTAGACTACTTACAATTAATGTAATCATTAATGTGATAATTACCTTGTTAATTGTTTTGTACTTGGAAGTTCCATCTGTCATTTGCTTTTTTTCTCCAATTTTCTTCCTTCTTATGCACTAATTAAATGTTTTCATTGATCCTACTTTGTGCTGTTTGTTGGCTTATTAGCTATAAATCTTTATTTTATTATTTTAGTGGCATGTTATAGTGTGTAGTGTACATTTTTAACTTATCAAATTATCACAGCCTATGTTAATGTGATATACCACTTCATATATAGTATGTAATCCTTGCAACAATGTAATTTCATTTCTCCTTTCCTGGCTTACATGATATTGTTTTTATGTATTTGACTTTTATATTTGACATGTTACAAGCCTCGCAATACATTGTTATTATTTTTGCTTAAACAGTCACAATCTTTAACACAAATTTAAATAATAACAAAAAATATTATTTATATTTACACATATATTTATAATTTTTAGTGCCCTTTTTCTGTGAGGGTCTAATTTACTATATGGTTATCATTTTACTGCTACCGGAAGCATTTCTTTAATTTTCTGATGATTTTTTTCGGATACTTTTTTATGTATTCTAAATGTTTTATTTTGTCTTTGTATTTTGAAGATATTTTCACTAGTTAAATAATTCTCATTTGGCAGTTATTTTCATTTCAGTACTTTGAAGGCATTGCTTTACTGTCATATAGCTTGTACTGTTTTGACATGAAATCTTCATTTTCTTTATATTTGATCCTCTATCCATAGTTGTATTTTTCTCTGATTCCTTTAAGTATTTTTTCCCTTTTATGGATTTTATGTAATTTGCTTATGATATGCCTTTTATAGTTAACTTTGTTTTTCTTACTATTTGGGTTCATTGAGGTTTTAGGCCCTATGGGTTTATGGTTATCGTTTTGGAAAATCTTTGAAGATTAGGTCTCCAAATTATTTTCTCTCTACTTTTGTCTCCTTTAGCAATTCCAGATACTTATATAAAAAGATGTTGGTGGGTAGCCTACGGATCTTGATGTTGCTGTCTTTTTTTTTAATCTTTATTTCTCTTCAAGTAGTTTCTATTGCTACTGTTTCAAGTTTCCTAAGCTTTTCTTCTGTAAAGTCTCATCTGTCATTAATCCCATCCAGCATGTTTTTCATCTAGAATTTCTTCTCACATGAACCCTTATTTAACCTCAAACCTTTCTCCAAGTTTCACCTTCCTTTCAATAACCAAATCCACCTCCAAACCGACCTTTTTATCCAGTGACAACTCATATAATATTATTTTTTGAATTGTTTAATTCCTCTTTGCTCCAACCTCTCCTTTCCTAAGTGGGGCATAGAGCTCAAATTACTTAATCATAAAGTGGATTTACTTGTCTTGTTCCTCAACCAAAATAGCCACTGTTCCTAACGTTATCTATGCTTATGCCTCTTTCCTAGAACTCTCATTGTGGTAGACTTGAGGGGGATCATTTGAGAGAAATAATATATTATTTTTGCTTGCATTGATCTATTTATATAAATCTAACTAGTCATATCATAAAAAACTTGGTTCTCAAACTAAAGACAGGAAAATCTGTGTGTAAAACCAAAATGTAGTAAATCCTTATCTTATGTGAAAAGAGTAAAAAGACACAATTTCATTTATAAAAAATGGTTAATCAGAGAAATGCAGATTAAATTATACTTTTTAATGTCCATAGTGTCTTTAATTTTAAGATAGCTGATCAATAACCATTCCTAATTCTTTCTCAATTTGTGTAAAACTGTTCTTACAAAAATAAGATTAAGTATAAGTTTATAATAAATTTGGAAATCATAAATATTACACAAGAGTTAGTTTTTTTCTCACTAAATTCTGCTAGGACAAAAGTATGGGGTTCAGGTGAAAACACACCTACTAGGATAGCTCATTAGGTATCCATAACTTAGAGGCCCAAGAAACAAAATGTGAACAAAAGTCATTTATATGTGAATCTCAAGTAAAACCCCCAAAATCCAATAAGCAGAAATTAGTTAAGGAGTAAGTAAAGGAAATTTGGCTCTAATATACATATTTGAATTTTTAAATATTATTTAACATAATTTTATTGTAAAGTTGTATATATTCATTTTCTTTTTCTTTTATTTTTATTAAATGTGGAATCTTAAGTTTTCATCATATAATTATCTCCTCTCAAATTTCTCCCAGTTTGTTTCCATTCTGGTGAATTACTAAAATTTGATAGCAGCCTCTTCTATTAATGCCATTTTATCACACACTGGTTGCCCAAAATTCTAAAAGCACAGCCAGATTGTGTAATTAAGGAATCAAAAGAAAGAAGAGAGAATCATGTCTGAAAAGCACTTATTAACATTAATTCAATACCATAATATTGTAGATTATTAAAGAAGCTTTGAAGAATTTAAGACAGTTGCCTTGGCTCACAGCATGTTACTATCTAGTTAGCAATACAACATAATTTTCCTAACTGCAAGTCCAGTTTTTTTATATTACTCACTACTGCCCTCTTAAAAGGATATCAGGATATCTAAAAAGAACTGTAAAATAGTATTTTTATAACATTAAGAAATGTATTTTTAATTGATAGATAACAGTTGTGTATATGTATAGGGAAGAATAGTATTTTGACACAGGGAATATTGCATAATATAAGCATTCTGGAGAGCAAATTTTTGTATGGTTTTATGCTTGCATTCATCAGTCTGGATTTCACTTGTCTTTAATTACTTCACTTAATTAGCTCAAACCATTGGTATATCCAAAATAACAAAGTTTATGTGATGTTTAATTACCTTCTCTTACAATTTGCATGAGAAAAGTACCTGAGTGTAAAATAATTTTGTTATGTCTATGATGTATATGTGGTGCTACCCTCCACCGGAAATTGATGAATGAGGGTAGTTTATAAACAAAAGTAAAATGAGCCATAAAAGATGATGGAAGTTTTTGGAAGTCATTTTTGGAAGAAGTTTTTGGAAGTTATTTTTGGAAGAAGTTTTTGGAAGTCATTTTTGGAAGTTTTAGAAGTTATTTTATGCACCTAATGATGAGAGAAAAAAACTCAGAAATGTCTACAAAAACTCTTCAAGACCATTTATAGCTTTTAAAGAGAGGTAGTTGAAATGTGGAATCTTTTTAAAAGAAATATAGACTGGGCCCGGTGGCTAACATCTGTAATCCCAGTACTTTGGGAGGCAGAGGTAGGTGGATCGCTTGAGTCCGGGAGTTCGAGACCCAGCCTAGGCAGCATGACAAAACCCCGTCTCTGCAACAAATACATAAATTAGCCAGGTGTGGTGGCACATGCCTGTAGTCCCAGCTACTTGGAAGGCTGAGACAGGAGGATCCTTTGAGCCTAGGAGATGAAGGTAACAGAGAGCCAAGATTGCACTATTGCACTCCAGCCTGGGTGACAGACCAAGTACCCTGTCTCAAAAAAATTTGTTTTAATTAAATAAAAGGTGTTGGTATTTTTATACTATGGTTTCTATCCTGATGCTGAGTAGGTTCTTATATTTTCTTTGTGTTAGCTTTACTAATACTACTTCCTATACTGTTCTAACCAATTACTTAAGTACAATGGTATTTGAGGAATTTCATCGAAGTTTTGTTAAGATCTATAAAAGATCTCTTTTTAAGACTATAAACATACTTATATATTTTATTATAAAATGCATACTCTAAGTTCTTTGAACTTGCTGCTCTTGAAAGTTCTAGAAGTGGGGAATATTTTATAATAGAATCAATTACTAGGAAACAGAAAGCATTTGTTTCTCATACTAGGTCTCAACATATGTTTCATCCGTTTCTGCAGGAGCAAAAATTAGTTTACAAATTCAAGTTTACATGACATTTTACAATTTAGAATATTGCTTAAACATAGCTGATGCTGCCTTATATACACCTATAATAGTAGTGAATTGTATTTCTATTTCTAAAATACCTAATTTAAATAAAATATTGTCTTTGATTATTATTTTCTTTGTATTACTATAATACATGCAAAATATGTATATTCGAACCAAAGTGGCACATTAAATGACAGTTTGTTATTTCTTCTGTGATTTTTATTTTATATCACACTTGCCATTATATAAAACGGCATTATATAAAAAGAAATATTTTCTAGACATAAAAAGTTGAATTTCTGATTATTAATCTAAAAATAATTACTGAGACATTATAGTTGGTGCCTAGGACACAACAATGAAAACAACAGACTTGGTCCCTGCCTAGACATAGTTTACAACCTCTGTTCCCTGACTATGAATGATAAAAGACAGATTTTTTTTCCTCTAGCATTTCTTTATAACCACAAAGAACAGATTTTATTCCATAGGTTGTCTCCTCTCCTTCAACTTTGAAACCTGTTGCAGAGCTTTTGATAGTTAACTATTATAGGAGTAGGAACTAACTTTATTAAAAAACATGTTTTAATATGCTTCACATACTTTTTCCAAACTCTTAATAACGTATGTTACATATGTATAGATACACAAGAACAATTACTATTTTACTGTCAAAAGTACTGTTTTGAAAATTCAAAGCTCTTCTGATACACCAAAGATGTTAGACAACATTTCGTGTTTTCTTTTATTCTTCATTTGTCTTAAATTCTTGCCTAGATTTCATTTATGTTGTAAATTTTGCCATGTCATCTTATTTTTGTTTAAATCCAATCTTTCAATATTTATTCTGTTTAGATTTACCAAATGCTAGACATTAAGCAAGAAAAAGGTGAATGTTATAGAGTACATTCCTTTTAGAAACTCTTAATCAAGATTAGAAGAAAGGCATATATAAAGAATGTTTCATATATTCTGTATGATATAATTGTGTGAAGTAGCTGGGCATGGTGGCTCACAACTGTAATCTCAGCATTTGGGGAGGCTGAGCTGGCCGAATTGCTTCAGCTCAGGAGTTTGAGACCAGCCTGGGAAACATGGTGAAACCCTGTCTCTACAAATAAATACAAAAATTAGCTGGGTATGGTGGTGTGTGCCTGTATGCCTAGCTACTCAGAAGGCTGAGGTGGGAAAATGCTTGAGTCCAGGAGCTGGAGTTTGCAGTGAGCTAAGATCGCACCACTGCACTCTAGCCTGGGCAACAGAGTGAGACCTTGTCTCAAATAATAACAACAATAAAATTGTGTGAAGTATAGTTAAGTTTTTAATATCTATCTATTGATCTATCAATATTATTCCAAATGAAGACACTATGTTTCTGGAGCAGAAAAGATTATTATTTATTTATGTTGTAGTAGGTAGCCAGTCAGACATAAGAAGGACAGGAGAGGACCCCTGCCCCAACCAGGAATGTCAGGCAACCATCTTGTGATGATCAGGCAGTTGTTAACCCGTCCCTCAAAAATCATAACTGGTCACAGCCCATGCCAGGGAAAGGCAGTCTCCCAATAAACAGAAACATCTGAAACTGGGGACCAGCAGCTTCCTGATAAGATCTCAGGAGTTGGGTGAGTGGGATCAAGCATGTGCACTAACAGGTAAAATGGCAGAGTTTAACTGGTATATGACCTCCTTGGGATATTTTACTGGTAAGGGGAAAATGCCTCAAAGTGAGCATGCACACAATTCCAGGAAACACACTATGCATAGTCCCCTCCCAGGCGCTAGCCAGCCACTGCACATGCAGACAGGCCACCCCAAGGGAAGAATCAGGGGAGAAGAGATGCAAGACCCTAGAAATGTGCCAATGTATAAAAGTGCAATTAAAGCCCAAACAGGGCACGTGATCTCTCAAGCCGCCTACTTGGCCCTCTCTCAAGTGTACTTCATTACTTTTTATTCCTGCCCTAAAACTTTTTAATAAACTTTCACTCCTGCTCTATGACTTGCCTTGATCACTTCTTCTTCCTTGTGCCCCTCAGTCGAATTCTTTCTTCTGAGGATGCAAGAATTGAAGTTGCTGCAGACCCATGTGGACTCACCACCACTAACATAATTTGGTGCTGTGACCCAGATACATTCCACTGCTAACATACTTTGGTGCCACGTGACTCGGATACATTCCCTAGTGGTAAGAAACCTCTACACCTCACCTTTGGCTAGAGATATTCAACCCCCATAAATAGTTTTCTTCTCCCCTTTCACTCTTCTCTTTATTAACCAACCCCAAAATGATTCCTCTCAGACACATATGGCTCTGCTCCCACCAACTGATCTCTTCACTCACCCTGATAGGTGGCTTGTGGGGGTGGGAAGAACCTTGGGGTCTGCATCAAGTAGAACTGAGGCCCTAATGGCCCTCCTGGACAGGACGCTCATAAGAATGGTAGAGCTAAAGCCTAAAACCGTGCAATGTCTGGGGTTTCATCTGCTTTTTCAACTAAAATTGTCTCTTTCCCAAAAACCTACACTACTTATTCTCCCATTTTCTCTGTTTGTGTTCCAAAATGGCCTTGAGCACACACTGGACCATCAACCTTAGGGCAAATCTTCCTCTTTGCTTTCACTTCACAGGCCACCTGGCTTCTCAAACACACGCTCCCTGTTATTTGTGCTTCCACAGCTCTTACTGCATTTGCCCAGCAGCAAAGACATGGGCTCCCTTGCAGATACCCCTTGAGATTTATACTTGTTCTTACCTTAACAGCTAGGATGACCACCACCCCTGGTACAGACACTGATTGGAATACTGTCTCTGCCAGCATCTTATGACTCACTATACGCTTTTAGTTCCTGTTACATCTCAGGGCCAAGTTTCTTAGTGTCTTTTGAAGCAGCTTGTTTACCAGCACGGGGCGACACTCTGGACCTTTAAGGATCCCACTTACTTGCTTTTTTGAGTTAGCACCCCTTTGGGAAAAGGTAAAATTCTTCCTGAACTGTTTTGAAGTTTCTATCCCAGGTCCCAAATTATCCAAAAGTTACTACTTCACATCAAGAGGGCAAATAAACATTGCCCTCTCGAATCCAAGGGCTGCTGTTTCTGCAAGCATAAGAAGGCTTTCCAGGAGTATTCCTCTCACTTTCTCCCACTTCCTCCTGTAGCCTGCTTTTCTCTAATTACTTCCACACCCATCTCAACTTGCATCAAGACCTTCAAGGTCACATTCAAAGCAAGAGGGAACAGAAGTCCAGCCCCCTTGTGGCAGTTAACTGAAAAGCAGGCTTCTCATCTACTTAAAGAACATGGGAAATGGGAATCTAAGAAAAGTGATAATCATTTTGTTGCTAAAATGCTCTATGAGAGAGTCACTATAAGGTCATGGAGACAAAGATATAGGCCAGCCCAATGCCACATGCCCAAGAGATCCATAGAACAGAGATAAAGTTTGGTCCCCAGCTAACAGATTGACATTAGAACAGAGGTGAAGGCAAGATTAGGGGTATACAGTAAGACCAGTTCATTCCAGAACCCCAAGGATGAACAGGGGGCACACTGTTCGCTCCAGTATCTCCTCTGTTCTAAAGTGGGTAATTGTGGGGATGAGATGAGACCAAAGTTAAGAGTACATGATAAGACCAGTTCATTCCAGAACCCAAAGGATGATGGGGGACCACATTCATAGGAAAGTAAGATGGAACACCTTCTTTTTCCTTTTTTCTCCTCTCTTCTTTCAGATGGGTAATCACGTCTCCATAGCACAGGCATGTCCTTTGGTGCAACCTCAAAAAAAGGGAAAAGTTTGATTCTCCCAAACCTTAAAACAAATAACTCATTTTCCTTTGTAATACTGTTTGGCTTAAAAATGAACTGTGAGGAAATTACAGAAGACAGCCTTGAAACCCAGTGCCTTTATGCAGGAGATACTCAGATTAGCCTCTTCAATCTTTCATAACTGAGAACAAAAACAGGAAGACAAGGGTAAGAAAAAGAAGAAACATAGGGACCAGAGGCAAGCTCAACTATTGGCTGCTTTACAAGCTCTCCAGCGCCCTCCTGGTTGCCCTCAGAATACCCTCCCAGGTAACTTCCAGTGGTGCAAGAAGCAAAGCCACTGGAAGGCAAACTGCCCCAATAGCATAAATGGGAAAAAACCCCTCATGGCTTGCTCCCTCTGCCACAAGCTTGGAGGCTGAAAACAAGACTGCTCTGAGGGCGAAAGTTCCCCTAAGACAGAATTTCAACTCCTGATAGACTTGAGGTTAAGGGGCTCTCTGCTCTGGCTGGCTTCCAAATCAGACATTGTCATTAAAAGGACAAGGGCAAGGGCAACTCCAAAGGCCACAAGTAACATCACAAATTTCCCTTTTGGGTTCCAGAGCTGCCTACTCTGTGCTAATCTCCTTCTCTGAGGAAGTCTCCTTCAAGTCCTGTTGGGTAATAAGGAAAAATAGCACTCCTCTTTCCAAAAGAAGAAATTCACACCCCTTTATATTACTTAAAGGACCAATTATCATTCTCCCACCAGTCCTGGGGAATGTCTAAACACTCCACACCTGTTGGAGGAATCATAAAGTTTCCAAGATGGGTGCTCACTTAATATTTACCCAATCTCTGAATTCATCCTCCCCTTTTATAGCCCCATTCCTCCTGGGAAAGCAAAGTAAATCTTTAACCAATGACTTTAACCTGGACAGTCCTACATCAGGGATTTCAAAATAGCCACCACTTATTTGGACCAGCCCTAGCAAAAATTGAACTGAGAAATCTCTTGTGGGAGGGGTGGGGGTAATTTCTACAGTATTTAGATAACCTTTTTATTTGCTCCTCCTTAACAGGACTCACACAGCAATATGAAGTACAAACCATAAATTCCTACAAGAAGGTTATAAATGTAAAGAGGTATTTTTGTAAGGAAGGTTACAAAGAAAAGAGATTTTTATATCAGAAATTATCTTGTATAGTAAATTCTTGTCCTAAAGTAAAATAACTGGTTGTTTAAAAAGGGATGTTTAGGAAAAGTCAGAAAGTTCAAGCATATAATAGATGGTCTGTATACGTCATGAAAATATTCATGAAAGGGAATTTATAAAAGAAATATTGTACAATTTAAAAGTTATTAGGCTTACTGAATGCTTCCTAACTTGCAACTATGTATGACTTTCAAATATACAACTTGCCTGCTTTAATATTAGGTAAGGCCTGGGGACATACAGAGTTAGCTATGTCCCCCCGGCTATGCTGGAAAGAGTCAGAACTTATCTGCACTTCTGACTGGTGTACTAGGCTCTAATCCTGGTATAATTAGAAACATTTACCATATTTTTCACTAAAAGTAAAAGTTGCTAAGAGTTAACAGTGTAACACGTATTTGAGATTACCTGAAAAACAGTGTTAGATAAAAGGCATGTAAGGACAGTAAGATGTACTTAATTTTAAGACAACATAGGGATGAGGATGTTTTCTCCTAGTTTAGATGGTTGAAGGATTGTTTTAAGTTAAACAGGATAAAGCTAAAGTTTGAGCAAGTTTTACAAGATCTGTAAAAAATTAATGTTTTAAAAAATTCTGTGTGTGAACATATTAGCTAAAATTAAAGGGATGTTATTCAGTTTTCCAGAAATTGAACATTGGAATAAAAGCATAACATTGTTTTCTTAGAGAATTATCCTGCTTTTTAAGAGAAAATTGTAAATAGTTATAAAATGTTTATGAAAATCTTACCTTATGGTCAAATAGATTAAGATTGGATACATTTGTCTATAAAGTTTTATTAAGGATTTGGTTTAACACCAATAGTAGGCTAATACAAAGGTAATATCTGGCTTTATTTGGACTGTATTTGTGTAAATGTGTTATTGATATGTGTTCCAAAGTACATAACACAATGATATGTGTTAAAACTCCTATCATTCTGATAAAACTTAAATAGTAAATGTTATGTGAAATTATTGTGTGCCACCAAGGTAACAAATTTCCTTGTCAATCGTAACTTTCAGTATGGTTGTCCTAAGACAATTTGTGATCTACAGACAATTGTTGTCTTACTTTAATCCTCTTCCAAAGGTGGTTTTATAATCAACTATAGGTCTCTAACAGGTGATCTTAAAGGCAGGTTTATAATAACTTTCAAGACTGTGACATTAGAATAAAGGAAAAAAACTTTCAGGACCATCATGGAGAGTGGAAATATTCACGAATATAAGCATAACAAGACTAAACTAATAGAAGACTAAAATCATCCTGTTATGATTTTTTGCTTAAAACTGCTAATCTTTGGCTTTTCAAATCTAAAAAATTTTTCTTTTGAGCTGTTTTCAGTTTTTAACAATTGACTATAGTGTAATCCTATAAACAAAATTTGGAGCATATTTCTTTCTCTCTACGTAATTTCTCCAGAATTTTGAAACCATTTTTGAGTATTATTAACTTATAGCCATATGGCTATTTGCATAAGTAATCTAAGAGTCTTTTTTCTTTAGCAACAGGACACAATTGGAGAAACTATTTTACCAAGACTTTGACTGGAATGGCCTGCTTTTCTTTAAGGAATCTAATTTATCTATGGAGCCAATAAAAGCCCCTTGAGAAAACTGGCCTCTCTTACCTTCTCTACACAGTCACTGTACAGCTCTTGTGGTAAATAAAGAATGTCACTTTCTGACAGGACCAGGAGCCCCAATTTATCCTGTGACCTCAAGAGGAGAAAAATTTATCCAACTCGCACAGGTACTTGGTGACACCAACCTATGGCTGGGCTTAAGGCTTTAATAAAACTCTTATCTGAAATTTCCTATGAAATGAAGTTACATCAAAGTCAATTTAAAAAGGAGCCTATATGGCAAATAATTGCATTTGTTGTGCTTTATGCAAATAATCGAGCCAAGTGTAATAAAACTAAAGCTTAGTTTGCAAACAAATCAGTCCTATCATCATTTGTTTTTAAGAAAATTGAACACTGAAGAAAAAAATTGTTTCAAAAACTATGGTATACATTTTATTAGATTCTAGTCTCATCAGTTATTTTTGAGTTTTTGTCTTCAATTTAGACTAACCCTGCTTAGCCTTATGAACCAACTAGTGATCTCTGGCTTCAGGTCAGAAGAAGCAATAGGAATGGGTAATATAAAAAATCTGGATCAATATTGTGCTTCTGGGAACATAATGGAATTGTCTAGCAACCCCATGCACCCAAGTCTTAGCAGACATAACTATAGCCACCAGATACCTGGGCTTGTTGGAAGCCTCTGAATTTTTTGGAGCTGCCCTCACCCACTTATTTTGTTTTTACATTCTTCTAAATCTAATAACCCAATTTGTCTCCTTTCACCTTCAGGCCATCAATATCCAGATGATCCTCAGTGAGGGATACCCTCCTGTCAATATTCAAGAGTCATTCTTCTACAGAAGACCCTACACTGTCCATAAGTGAGAAATGACAGGGGCAAAACACTGCTGCTGTGTCCTTTGGACCTAACTGGATAACACTTTCACTAACCCATGGAGTTACTTTCATGCCCTGATAGCTAACAAGAGGCCAAGACTCACAGAACAACCACCACCACACCTGTCTGCAGTAAGCAATTACCGAAGACAGATCTTCGTCCATTTGTCCTAAAGAATTGGGGTCTTTGCGCCTTGATGGGTGGAATACTATGGTAGGTAGCTAGTCAGACATAAGCAGGGCAGAAGAGGGCCCCCTTCCCCAACCAGGAATGTCAGGCAACCATCACATGATGGTCAGGCATTGTTAAACTGCCTCTGTAAAATAATTGTTCACAGCCCATGCCAGAGAAAGGCAGTCTCTCAATAAAAGGAAACACCTGAAACTGGGGACCAGCAGCTTCCCGATAAGATCTCAGGAGTTGGGTGATTGGGCTTAAGGGTGTGCATGAAGAAGCAAAACGGAAGAGTTTAACCGGCATATGACTTCCTTAGGACATTTGACTGGTAATGGAAGAACACCTCAAGTGAGCATGTGTACAACTACAGTAAACACACTGCTCATGCTTCCCTGCCAAACACCTGCAGGCCACTGCACAAGTAGAAAGCACACCCCAAGGGAATTATCAGGGGTGAAAGGAGAAAAGACCCCAAAAGTATGCCAATATTTAAAGCCTTAAGTCAAAGGTCAAACCATGCACTTGATCTTTCAAGTCACCTACTTGGTACCTCTTCCAAATGTACTTTACTTCCTTTCAATCCTGCCCTAAAACTCTTTAATAAATTTATCTCATGCTCTAAAACATACCTTGATCTCTGCTTCTGCCTTATGCCCCTCAGTTCTTTGTTCTAAACAGCCCTTTTTTTCTAAGGAGGCAAGAATTGAGGTTGCTGCAGACGCCTACATATTTGTCGCCAGCAACATACTTTGGTGCTGTGTGACTCAGATAAATTCCACTACTAACATTTATAGCAAATTGTTCCAATTTCTACTCCTGGACAAGACAATGAGAACTAGACATCATTCTAAGCTTAAAGAGGCCTATGATAGGTAAGAAATTTCAAAAATATATAATTCCTTATTGATTTAAGAAAAAGAGGCAACTGTCCCCTTTCCACTTCTTAGAGTATCTTCTTGGAAAGTAATGGAAATAATTCTAGTTACTTCCTCTAACTGTTTGGAATGCAAATAAATCCTGCTAGCGGAAAGATAAGATCACTGTTTCCAGCTAAAACACCCTAGGGATGCCTCTATGGCCCCAGGATCTTGTGAATCTTTGATATGTAAACACACAGCTCAGGACAGGCAAATCTCTCTAGATTTCTCACTCTTTCTTCAGTTATAAATTAATTTCTTAAGTCTTGTGCTTTAAACCCAAGCCCCAAATTCCACTAAAATTTGCCCACAAAATCCTAATGGTGCAGAAATATTGAAATATTTTCTCTACAGCCCTATAGGTACATCCAAAGTGTTATGGAGTCACATTAAGGGGAGGTACAACCAACTTGGATGGATTAGAGATAGTTATCCAAAGAATTGATTCTGAGTCTTAAAATATTATCTCTTAATAAAAAGAAAACAAGTTCAGTACAGTTACATCCCTTGCCCAAGTTCATTTAGTACTAAGTATTATTTGCTACTACCCTTCACAGAATAAAAAGTGAGTAGTAAGAGGGATAGTGAGAGGCCGGGCACGGTGGCTCACGCCTGTAATCCCAGAACTTTGGGAGGCCAAGGCGGGTGAATCACTTGAGGCCAGGAGTTCAAGACAAGCCTGACCAAAATGGTGAAACCCCATCTCTACTAAAAATACAAAATTAGCCAGTTGTGGTGGTGCACGCCTGTTATCCCAGCTACTCGGGAGGCTGACACAGGAGAATCACTTGAACCTGGGAGGCAGAGGTTGCAGTGAGCCTAGATTGCAACATTGCACTCCAGCCTGGGCATCAAGAGTGAAACTCCATCCAAAAAAAAAGGGGGGGCGGGGGTGGATAATGAGCGCATTCCAGGCGAAGGGGAAAACACTTACAAAGACGCATTAATATAAGTAAACTTCAAATAACATGAAACTTAAAATGTACATATACACGTAGAAAAAGATAAAGCAGAGATTTAGGTGTGAACCAGAACTAAAATTCTAAGCCCCCCAGTGACTGAACAGAACCCCCCTTGGTCATGAAGATTTCAAAGAAACCTGAAAAACTAGTTCAGGTCATGACAGAAAGGGAAGTGTTGGATATGCTTCTTTGTACTCTCTTTTCTTCGGAGTTTAGACACAACTGACTAGCATTAACATTGAAATAGAGATCATAAGACTGGCAAAATAGGCTTTTGGTACCAATAAGACACCAACACCAGCCTGACTCTGATATAGCATCTCATGACAGCAGGCCCTGAAGGAAATCAAAGAATGTTGACTTTATTAATTTAAATAGGAGATTTTATGGAAAAAAGAAATTGTGAAGAATAGGCAACAAGGCAATTTTGGATAGGATGAGCAATAAAATCATGGAATCAGATGATTGGAAGAACTCACAAGACTTCACAGAGCATACTCCTTGAAGGTGTTTTACATAGGCAACAATTATGGTATAACTGGAAAAATAAAGAACATGAAACAATTGGAGCCCTATTGACTTTGAGGTACTTCTTCCTAGGGTCATAATTACACAGGACATGTTTTATCTTTAGTTTATAAAACCACCACCTAGATGTGTGCAAGAAGTTTCAGTTTCAGGGAGGTCAAGCAAAGATTCCAATGGGGTTTTTTATGCCTTACTGATCATATAGCCAAACGACACATTTTTACCAGTGACATCAGACAAAATTTATGAATAATCAAGCAAGATCTGCATGCCTCCAGGGGAATTTCAGATGTTAAACAACATATTTTCAATTATTAGTCAGCCCACTCACCCTATTTGGGCAAAGAGTCAGTACTAGACTTTCCATCATTCCTGGAGATAAGCATAGAATTCCATCAGTCCATCTTTAAAATAACTCTGTCCTATAAAATTTGAAATATAAAACCTACAAATACAATCAAATAAAAGAGCCCTATAAGAACCTACATATGTAATACTAAAGGTTATGAAAAAATGTAAGATTTAAGAGTAAAACATAGAGTAATGAAAATGTAGAAACAAATTGTATCCTTGAAGAGTATATACCCTAAGAAAAACATGATAAAAGTAAATGAACTTAAGTTTCATGTATCTGTCAGAAATTTTATTGGAAATTTGATTCAATAGTAGTATAATTGTATATATGAATCTGGATCTTTGGAAGGAGGTCTAAGATGAGATAGAGAGAGAAGGAGATAGAGATACATAGATATCTGATATTCGACTAGGGTATTGATGGTATATGAAGAAATAACATGAGACTGCATGAAATCACCAAAAGAATGAAGGGTAAATTAAAGTAAAAAATAATTAGAATCAAGTGACAAGGCACCAGCCCTTAACATTCTACTGTTGGACTTTGGAGAATAGCAGTGAATCAGCAAGAGGCAGAGATGGAACAACTAACTAAGAAGGAGAAACTAACAAGAGCACGTGTTGCCCTTGCAGGTTAGTAAGGAAGCTGTTTTAAGAAAGGAAGAATGATCATTTGTGCCCAGTGCTGCTACAAATCACGGCCTATGAAGCATGAGACACGACTATTGCATTTTAAAATGTAGAGATTGTAGGTGGACTGAAAATAGAATTTGATGGATGGGTGAGATTGCCAGCATACAGAGCAGGATAGACCATGACAGGAATGGGTTAAAAAGACTAGTGAAAATGGAGGCATTTGGCGGGGCGGGGGTGGGGGGAGGGGGGGCGGGGGTGGGGGGAGGGGGGCGGGGGCAGGGGAGATTCTACAAAGATACTGAAACCAAGCAGCCAGCCAGAGATATGTGAGAGAAACTGGAAATACATCATTTTTGTAGACAAGGGAAAGGAGTATTTCAGCAAGAAAAGCCTGAGTTAGATGCTGCTACAGGTCATATTAAAAAAGAACAGAAAAAATGTCTGCTGGGTTTAGCAACGTGTTCCTCAGGCCATAGAAATAGTGTTTTGATAGAATAATGGTTACAAAAAACAGATGGGTGTGCATTGAGGAAGAATCTTCTCAAGAAAACAGAGTTGGTTTTCTTTGTGTAAAGTTCCTATTTCTTTTATGATGCTAATCTCATCACAACTGTGATACTTCACCCAATGGTAACTATGTTTAGTATACTGATATTAAGGAAGGTTAATTCTCTCCGCTGTCAGCAGCGCTAGAATTTGTCCAATACAGGTGCTTCCTTTTGAATGAGAAAAAAATGCTGGAAGTTGAGTGCTAATTAACAGTCAATTTATAGTGTTGAAAAATGGATGCTTACGTCTCTGATAAAACAAATGATGATAAACTAATTTTAAACACTAAGGATCACAAAAAATCTTGTTTTCAGTAACTAGTTCTACATAAAAATTTGAATAAACTTCCTCCACCAAAATAGCTGTCATTATTTCCTTTAAACCTAAAACCTACACATAATACCTCTAAAGCAGAACAACCAAGTCTGAATATTAGAGAAAAAAATAAAAGCCCTAAACACCTGAACATTAAGTTTATAGATAAATACCATTGAGTTAAATGAACCATGGTCCCTTTAAGAAATGCTGTAGGAAGAAAAATAAAATATGGTACACTGATTCTGCTGACCACAACCAGAATACTTACACTGTAGTTGTTGAATAATCCAGTGGACTCCATGCTGTCTTTAAAACAACTGTGTACCATATTACTAAATAGTCATGAGGATAAACTTTTCAATTAGAGTTCACTGTTATTTAAAATTTTACACAACAAGAAAATACTGTGTATTTCAATAAACATTTATGGTAACTATGTACCTGACATTTGGAGTTCCAATTTATAAAACTGTGCTTTTTTATTACAAATATAGCTCAGGCTGGGTATGGTAGCTCACTCCTGTAATCCCAAGACTTCAAGAGGCCAAGGTGAGAGGATCACAAGAGCCCAAGTGTTCAAGACAAGCCTGGGCAACATGGCAAAACCCCATCTACGCATAAAATACAAAAATCAGCTGGGTTTGTTGGTGTACACCTGTAGTCTCACCTACTCAGGAAGCTGAGGCTGGAAGCTTTATTGAGCACAGGAGGTTGAGGCCATGTTTATGCCACTGCACTCCAGCCTGAGCAACACAAGGAGACCCTATCTCTCTCTCTTACTCTCTCTCTCTCTTTCACACACACACACACACACTACATATGAGCCATACACACACACGTCATACATTCAATGATTATGTTGGCTCTTTTAAATAATTGCACACTAAAATTCATTTCATTGCAGACTGTAGGTTTAGGTATCAAAAAATAATGTTTTTGATAGCAGCAAGAGCAGACAAATGCCTGGGCAAAAAGGGACAGGTACCCAGTGAAACCCCACCTTCAAGCCACAGTTTAAAGCCTGAAGGCCAAACTACAAGTCAAATCCATGGAACAGATTAAGAAACTGTCTTCCTCTTAGGTACACTTTCCTTTGATTGATCATGGGGACCCTTCACCTATTTTACGTACACCTACTATTCCCTAATTGTTTTTACACTGCTCACCTTTGACTGGTGGCTTTGTTTTAACCTTTCTTGCATACTCACGAACGAATCAGCACACACTCCCCTATCCTGTGCCTATAAAAGCCCCAGACTCAGCCACACTGGGGAGATGACCTGACTTCAGGAGAGACGACCCAACCTTCCCAACCCCTCTCCACTGAGAGCTGTTTTGTCACTCAATAAAATTCTCTGCCCTCATCACTCTTCAATTATCAATATGACCTCTTTCTTCTTGGAGGCAGGACAAGAGCTAGGGACCCACTGAACACAGGTACCCAGAAAGGCTGTCACATTGGCCCTCTGCCATTAACCCTCATTGGCAGACAGCAGATGCCGCACGTGAGGGAAGCAGTGGTGGGGCTGAGCTGGTCCCAGAGCTGTGGACCAGAATGGGGCAGGGACTGACTGAGCTGCTAACACACTGCCATCTCTCAGCCTGCAGACTGTGGTACTGAAAGAGCTAATTACCATACTGTAACACACCCTCCAGGGCTTTGGGGTCAAGAGCACCCCTCTGGGTGCAGCCACATTCCCCTCGGGGCGAGACTCCTGGTCTGGCCACAGGCACCACATGGAGCCTGCTTCTGTGTTGGCACTCAGAGTGGCCGGCCAGATGCCACTCTTGCCTGTTCACATGCTCCCTCTCGCCAGGAACTGAGTGCAGGGTCACAATGACCACGGGAGAAGCAGGCCAGAGTGCAAGCCAGATGAGGCCCAGCTGGCTGAGTAGATGGGGGCCTTCTGTTGCTAGTCCAACAAAGAGACTAAGAAAAATCCTGCATCGTTTTGATTTAAACTCAGCTAAGGTATTTTATAGCTCATCCTCTAGTCTTTTCCTTTTGTTAGTTAGACCTGTAGGTAATAGTACATTCAATGGGAAGTAACTGCAAAAATTTACAATTTGCAGAATATGAAGAAAACATTTTGCAGTATTCATGGTTATCTTTCATTTTTAAATAATATAAATCTTGGAGAAAAAGCTTGAACCTAATCTAAACTTTTACCACTAATAGAAAAGTAAACTGAAATACCCTAAAACTTGACTTCTAGATGCCAAATAATTTATTACACCTATCTATCTATTTTTATATTAAGTTTTTTAGTTAGGATATATATAGTGAAATGTACCCATGTTAATTTCAGTTCTGTAAGTTTTGACAAGTATATATACCTGTGTAACCACCACTATAATTAAGCTATCAAACATTTACATCACCCAAGTGTTCCCTTGTGCCCTTTTGCAGTCAATGCCTTTCTCACACATCAACCATTGTCAACCAATGATATTTTTTCTGGCATTGACATTGACTTTTCACATAAAATTTCACATAGAATTTCATATAAACGAAATTATATGGAAAATAACCTTACAGGCTTGACTTCTTGCACTTTGCATAATGCTTTTGAATTTCTCCCATGCTGTTACTAATTTTTTCTTTTCTATTGCTGAGTATTATTTCATTTTGGCTATACCAAGACTCATTTATCCATTCATGAGTCAACAGACATTTTAGTGTGTCTTACATAAAGCTGCTATGATGATTCATGTCTTGTATGCAAATACTTTTTTTTAAACAAAATTTCTCTTGGCTAAGTACTTAGGAGTGCAATTACCATCCCATTTGATATGTACCTATTCAACTTTACAAGAAACTGCCAAATTATTTTCCAAAGTAGCTGTGCCATTTTTCATTCCTGCAGGCAATGCATGAGAGTTCAAATTGTTATGCTCATCAGTATTGTATATGGATATTTATATTTGCTTCCTTTTTAGTCAATCTAGTGGCTACATAGTGCTATTTCATTTTGGTTTTGCTTTAAATTGCACTTTTATGATGTATATTATTGAATAGTGAAGTCGGAGAGCTTTTTTCTTAAAGGGTTAAAGAAGAAAAAAAATAAGCTTGCTGGCCATGCATTGTATCTCCAACCTACTCAACCCTGCCATTGTTGTTCAAGAACAGCCAGAGGCAATATATAAGAGAGTGGTTGTGGCTGTGATCCAATAAAAGTTTATTTACAAAAGCAGACAGCTGGCTACATAATACCTGTAGTTTGTCACACACTAAATGTGGAACATATTTTTATGTGCTTCTTAGCAATCCATATACTTTCTTTTGTGAAAGCTCTATTAAAACTTTTGAGCATTTTTAATTGAACTTTTGCTCAATAATAAGTTTTATTAATAGTCATCGCTGAGTTTTATAACATTGCTTCAATTTAGATAGATGAGATAGATAGATAGATAATATTGTAAATGCATTTTTGAAAGCTGAGGCTTATATTTTTATTTTCTTCTTGGTATTCTGGAAAAGCAGATGTTAACATTTTTAAAGAAAAAAATACCAATTTATTTTTGTTTTATGAGTCTGTGTCACAAGTGGAATACCTTATTCTACACCAAAGTCACAATGATTTTTTCCTAACATTCCTTTTAGAATTTGTATAATTTTAACTTTTAAATGTAGGTCTAAGTGAAATTTTTATATATAGTGTGAATGAGCAAAGTTTATTTATTCCCAAATGGATATTCAGCTGTTTTATTACTATTTGCCCGAAAAGAGCATATTTAGCTGAATACTTTATCTTAACAACATGGTGAAATATCAATTAATCACAGATATGTAGATCTATTTCCTTTCTATTGATCCACTATGTTCACAATCTATCATTATGCCAATAACACACTGTCTCGATTGCTGTAGATTTATATTGTCTTAATGTCAGGTAGTTAAAATCATCCAACTTTGTATCTGTTTTTCAAAATCCTTTTGACTATTATTCACCATTTGTATTTCCATATAAAGTTTAATATTAGCTTTGCGTAATATATAAAATTCTTGCTGATATTCTGCATGAAATTTTGTTGAACCTATTGGTCAATTTCAGTAAAACTGACAATAATAAATTTTTAAATTAATAAAAAAATTTAGAGACAGGGTCTTTCTCTGTCACCCAGGCTGTAATGCAGTGGTGCAATCAAAGCTCACTGCATCATCAGACTCCTGGGCTCCAGCGATCCTCCTGCCTCAGTCTCTCAAGTGGCTGCGACTACAGGTCCAGCCATTTCAATCTTCTGGGCTCAAGCAATCTTGCCTCGGCTTCCCAAAGTGCTGGTATTATAGGCATGAACCACCCTGCCCAGTCAGTAATGAATTTTACAGTTTTCAAAATATATTTCTCCATTTATTTAGTTTATGTTTTGTTTCTTTTAGCAGTATTTTATATTTTGCAATGTAAAGAAAACTTGTGCACATGATTTAATACATTTAGTCTGAAACATTGCATAATTTATTTGGTAATAGATTTATTGAGATTGAATTCACATGTCACAATTTGCCCATTTGAATTGTACAATTCAATGGTTTTTAGTATAGTCTCAGAGTAGTGTAACCGTCACCACAATCCACTGGAGAACAGTTTTATCACCCCAAAAGAAACCTTATGTCTTCTAGCATTGAGTCTCTAATTTCCCATATTACACACCAGGTTACATTAAAAAAAAATACCTACTGATCCACTTTCTTTCTCTATAAATTTATCTATTCTATACACTTTCTGAAAATGGAATTATATAATATGTGATCTTTTGTTACTGGCTTTTTTCATTCATTTAATATTTTCAAGAACCATTCAAATTTTGTGGAATGTACTAGTCAGTAATTCCTTCTTTTTCTGCTGAATAATATTTCACTTTCTGTTTATACCACATATTATTTATTGATCAGTTGATGAGCAATAAGGTGGTTTACACTTTTTGGTTATTAAACGTTTCTAAAAACATTCATGTACAAGTTTTTGTGTGGACATATGTTTGGTGGATCACATGTTAAATTTATGTTTAACATTTTAAGGAACTGCCAGGCTGTTTCCCAAAGTGGCTGTAACATTTTACATTCTCACTGGCAATATGTGAGTTCTAATTTTTCCACATCTTTGGCAAAATATGCTATTATCTGTCTTTTTCATTATAGTCATTCTAGTAGGTGTAAAGTAGCATATTGTGGTTTTGATTTGCAATGTTATAATCTCTAATGATATTGAAGGTCTTATTCTGTGCTTGTTAATCATTTCTATATCTTCTATGGAAAAAAAATCTATTCAGATTCTTTGTTAATTTTTTAAAAATTGAGTTATTTTTAATAATGAGTTGTAAAAGCTCTTTATATATTCTGGATACAAATTCCTCATCAAAGATATGATTTGCAAAGATGATCTTTCTTTCTGTTTTGTGCTTTTATTTTCATGCTCAGTTCTACTCCACTGAGTTGTATGTGTCTCTTTATGCGCGTACCACATTGTGTTAAGTTTTGTAGTAAACTTTGACATCAATAAGTAGAAGTTACCCAGTTTTGTTCCTTTTCATTCCCAAGATTGTTTTGGCTATTCTGGTTCCCCAGAACTTCCATATAAATTTTAGTACCAGCTTGTCAATTTCCAGAAGCCAGCTGGGATTTTGTTAGAGATTGCACTAATGCATTAATTGTTAAAATGACAATAATAGGAAATATTGTCATTTTAACAATATTTAGTCTCTTTGCCATGTACATAGAGTGTCTTTCCATTTATTTACATTTTCTTTAACTTATTTTAACAATGTTTGGCAGTTCTAAGTGTATAAGATTCCACTTTTGCACTTTTGTTAAATTTATTGCTAAGTATTTTATTCTTTCAGATGCTATTAAATTGGATTTTTTCCTGCAGTCTTGCTCTGTGGCCCAGACTGAAGTACAGTGGCATGATCATAACTCACTGTAAACTTGAACTCCTGGGCTCAAGTGGTTCTCCACTTTAGCCTCCTGAGCAGCTAGGACTAACACGACCAACTAAGTTTTTAGTTTGTTTGTCTGTTTATTTCTCTGTTTGTTATAGAGACACTCCTGCTATTGCCCAGGCTGGTCCCAAACTCCTGGTTTCATACCGTTTTCCTGCCTTTGGCTCCTAAAGTGTGGGGATTACCTGCCTGGCTGGGAATTATTTTCTTAATATCATTTTGAATTGTTCATTCCTGGTGTGTAAAAATATAGTTGATTATTTTATCCTGTATCCTGAAATTCTGCTGAACTAATTTATTAGTTCTCTTTGATTTTTAGTTGATTTCTTAAGTTATTCCATATGCAACATCATGACATTTATGAATTGAGATGATTTTCTTTATTCTTTTTCAATCTAGATTACTTTTTTTCTCATATTTTTACATAAATGTCCTGGCTGGCACCTCCAGTACAATGTTGAATAGAAGTCTGCAAGAATAGATATTCATGCCTTCTTCTTTTTGGAAGATCATTGAGTCATTCATTAATCACTAAGTACAAGGTGAGCTGTTGATTTTTTGTAAATCCTCTTTTTCAGATTGAGGAAGTTCCCTCCTAGTATTTATGTGTGTGTGTGCGTGTGGTTCTAATCATGAAAATGAATCAGAGTTTGTCAAATACTTTTACTCTTTGCATCTATTGAGATGATCAAGTGGTTTTTGACCTTTGTTCTACTGATATGGTGTACTATATTAATTTTTTACATATTAAACCAATATTACATTTCTGAAATAGATCCATTTGTATATGGTGTCCACACATCTGTATATGTTGCTTGATTCAGTGCTACTAGTATTTGACAAGGGCATTTTTGTGCGTATATTCATTCATAAAAGACATCTGTCTGTAGCTTTCTTTTTACCTGATGTCTTTGATCTTCTTTTAATATCAGGAAAATACTAGTCTCATTATTATTTCTTAATGTTATTTATTAATAGACCATTTTCAAATAGAAATAATCTACGGTTTTAAGATGTCCTGAAAGCCTGACATTTTAGCATGCTTTTATTTTCTAAAAGTATGTTTTTCTTCTTGTTATCCTTGTTTATTCCTTACAATAGCTTTTTTTGTTAAATTAAAACTCAATTTGTTATGTAAATTTAATTTTTCGAAACTGAAGTAGGCATGCTACAGGATAAATTTTCTAATGACACAGAGCTCTGTGTGTGGTCACTTTTGGTATACTGCTAGAAAATATGGTGGTTTTGCACTCTGAAATTTTCTGATACAGTTTCCTTTCTCCACTTGTATCTATAATCTATCTTTTTTTTTCCACTTTTATCTGTAGCTTCTCTTTCTTTTGTTCTGTTGTTGCCTCTAATTGGCTTACTTTGATTCCATTTCAAACGATTTCTCTTCAGTTTGCTGTCCTGTCCTAGAAAACAGTTTAGCTGATCAGTTTTAAGTGTTTACTGTGACATTACAGCTCCAGCCATGGGGAACCACTATGAACTCCTTGTACTCATCTGCTATTGGATTCGGCAAAACTACTTCCCTTTTTCAACTGTTATTTTCAAACTGGACCCCATGTTTTCCATTAAATAGCTGTTGGCTATTTAAGGATTCTCCTATTATCATGACTATCAAATACTGTATTGAGTCTCACTACTTTTTCTTTGCACATATAATATTTACATGAACGTCTTGTGGTCATTTGCCTTTTGCACTTTTTGAGGTTCATAGGGATACCTTGTCTCTAGACTTTATTGTAAACAGTGTTCATGGGTTTTGAGTTTTACATATATAATTGCTCTCCTGTTTTTTTAATGTTAGGATTTAGAAAACTATGCTGCAATCTTCATCTTCTCAGATTTTCTTTATTATCTCTACATGCCTTCAAACAATTGGCTAATAAAATGCTTTTCAGTCACTAATTTTGGTTCCTAAAGTTATTTTCTCATTAATTTCAATGTGATTCACCAAAGATGAATGTGATTAGTTATGGTCACTATACCAGTTAACTGTTAATATTAAGAGACATGTTTTTAAATTTTCTATGATTTATATCAATCTCAACTTTAAGAAACAGAAAATATGAGTTCTGCAGCAGTTTCAAATGGGAAGGCTTAAACTAAATGAATCACAGGCGATATCTCTGAGACCTGTATTATAAAAAATTAAGTTGGTTGTTTTCACTGTTTATATTGAAATATTAACTGAATAAAATTGAATAAATAGTAAAAATAATTCTTATTAGCCAAATTTTGAGGATTTAACCCTGTTCCTACATATTTGAGAACTAAGCCAAGGTTCAAGTGAACTGATAGAAAATGAAGATAAAGTTCAAAATATTCTTTTAAGTTCAACAAAGAAAACACTAATGAAGGAAATAATTTTGGTATGTCTCAGGAAATATTAATGGAGTGACAAAGTGCTTAACTATTCTATAGATAATGATTTGTCAGTATTTATTACGAGACTTAGTTTGGCCAATATAGTGACTGTAAATTGACCCTTACTGCTATGGGAAAAATAGCAGTCTCTCCCTGTCTCCCAGGCTGGAGTGCAGTGGTGCGATCTCGGCCCACTGCAAGCTCTGCCTCCTGGGTTCATGCCATTCTCCTGCCTCAGCCTCCTGAGTAGCTGGGACTACAGGTGCCTGCCACCAAGCCCAGCTAATTTTTTTGTATTTTTTAGTAGAGGCAGGGTTTCACCATGTTAGCCAGGATAGTCTCAATCTCCTGACCTCGTGATCCGCCTGCCTCGGCCTCCCAAAGTAGAACTAGCTAAACTTTTATTAACGTGCTCTACCTAGTTCACATTCTCACAATTTCAAATTGAACTACATCACATCCTGAGTAGAAAATGAAGATATGAACAATATTGCAGATAAATATTAAAACTGAAGATATTAACACCCTTGCCAGTTATTTGTTGACATTTTTCACTCTTGATATTGGTGTGGTTTATTATAACATTTGGCTTAGCACCTAAGTTTGACAATGTTTTACAAAATCCATTCTTAAATTTCTGCAGTCCTCTATCATAGCAGATGACTATCTGGTATAAGAAAAGAAAAGAAAAGTTGGTCATAAAATAAGTTAAACACTCCTCTCTTTTGTTTGTTCACTTATGAGTTATATGTGAAACACATGAGAAAAATTCATGATTTTGACAATATAAAGGAAAATAGATTTTAAAAAAGAATGTAACTGCCTGTAAATATAAATAATAATTGGTTTCAGTAGACAAAAAATAATTCTTAAATATGATGAATAATCCAGTTGTAAAATGTGTATTATTCCTATAAGTTGGTTTGAATACAGACGTAAACATATATGTAAAATTTAGAAGCAAAGTAGTAAACAGAAAACGCAATAAGTAGCTGCCGCTAACTCAATAAATTCTTAGAGTTGGAGATTGAACTTGCTTTTTTGTCCCCAAGATCACATTCACTTCATCTTATGTTCATGCTTTCTCTTTTGCCAGGAAATATGTTCCAACAGATTTTGCCAACAATTTCAATATTTCTAAAGGTAAAAAATGAAAATATGAAAAAATAAGAAAAATATATGAATGTTACTACAGAATATATATACATAAAATATATAACAGTGTATAAAATACATTCAAATGAAGTTTTGGCCTATAACTTATACTCAGTTTGTTACTGAATTGATCAAAGGCATCACCATGTAAAAATTACCCTCCTCTTATATTGCTGTTATCCCATATGAGATTATATTAATATAAATGTGCATCACAATTTTAAAAAATAGAAAGATAACTTATTAAAATTCATGAGTGTTTTCTCCCTGTATGACTTCAGGCCCTGGGCATAAGGAACATGTGAATTTTCATGTCAAGGTTGAAAAATAAATCCCATTAGTATAGCAGTAATCAATTGGATGTATTTAGCAGAGAAAATAAAAGGTTTTTTAAATACAGAATATGTCCCTCTATAAACTAATAAACATTTATTTTAGAAATATATTTTATAAACATGGAAAAAACAGGCCAAATATAATGTGAGAATTTTTATATTGATCCATAGCAGTTTCTACTTCTGCACATTTAACCAAATGTCTTAGTTTGAAGGTAATCAGCCAAGTATAATATGTTCATATCATATTAATATTATGCCTTATAAGTAGGGAGAAATGTAAAACAAATTTCTGGGAGTTTTTGTCCCATGTAAGGACCCCTAATAGTTAAAAGATGGAGTACTGGGGCAAAGAATCCACTGAGATTAGATAAACAAGAAAGGTACAATAGCATTTATTTTTATAAAAGAAACAATTTTGCATGTAGCTTTATCTTTAAAATGTGATGCTAGTTTCAGGTAATGGTCCTCAGATCTAATTTCTATTTGTTTAATCACATACTATTATTTTGCATTACCTGGCATTTTTCTTGTAAGTAGTTATAAAATCTGCTAATGCTTCTACATGCATTTTAATAGAAAAATATTTTTTGTATTAAAAATAGAGAGCCATTTTAAAAAATAAGAATGGGTGTAGAAAAGTCAAATTAGGATAAAAAACACAAATAAGTTTTTTATGGTGAATATTTATTGCTTAAAGTATTTTGAACTATTTTACAAATCTATTACCCTTCAATACTATTCTCATGTCCAGTTTAATGCTGATACGGTGCAGTTAATTGAATCATGGGGGTGGTTCCCCCATCCTGTTCTCATGTTAGTGAATAAATCTCATGAGATCTGATGGTGTTATAAATGGGAGTTCCCTTGCACCCGCTCTCTTACCTGCTGCCATGTAAGACATGCCTTTGCTCCTCCTTTGCCTTCTCCCATGATTGTGAGGTCTCCCCAGCCATGGGGAAATGTTGAGTCCATTAAACCTCTTTTTCTTTATAAACTACCCAGTCTCAGGTATGTCTTTATCAGCAGCATAAGAACAAACTAATACAAATGCTGAGGAAGAATGATGTGATTTTTTCACTCATATAGTTCCTCTTCCAGTGGTTTGGTGAAGTTGTTAGTAGCAAAGGCAGGATGAAGATTTTGTAAAGAGTGGTTCAAAAGGCATAGATTACCCTATTTGATGAAAGAATAAAAAAGTCCACTTAGGTGAAAAGCATTTTTCAACAGATATTAGCAAGTTGCTTGGCTGTTGGAGACATTATTAGGCAGGTGATGGGTATCAGTGGTCCCAGGGTTATTCTTAATGAACCCATCGGTAGTAGAAAAAATTACCCACTTTATTGCCCATTTTAAAACTTTGACACATAAAGATAACTTCTGGATGACAGAAACTCTTGTTAGATGACAAAATATGTAGCAAGGATTATATCTTTCCAGCAAAATAAATTTATCTTTCATATTGTCATTCACAAATATTGTAAAATCTTGTATTTATTTATTAACATCTTCACATGTCCTACTTCTGAATTTCTTGAGGGTAAAGCACAATTTTAATTTCTGTTTATCTTTACATCACTTAGTACAGTGATTGGCATATAGTACACTACATATGTGTGTGTATTTAAATTAATTATGCTTATAATTAAATTACAGAAAAAAGAAATGTTGATATCAACTCAATGCTGACATTAAATAATCATATTACTTACAATATATTTTCTTTGACATTACAAATTAAATATTTTGAACAATAATGGCAAACTCTGAAGGAGGGTCCAGTTTAGAAAGACTATATGAATAAAAACTTATTTGGTATGACATTTCCAAATTCTATTACTTTTTGAGATAAGTGAATGCTTTATGGCTTGAAAAAATAAGTCTCTGAATATTTTTACATTCACTTTGGCCTGCAGTGCTTTTTCAAACAGATATAAAAGCGGAATTATGCCTTTAAGCCATTAAGGTCAGGATGTAAATTTTCAACATGTCTAAATTACGGTTAGCCTATGAATAATTTCTAGACAAAGCACTTACTGAGATGAATATCATGCCCCGGTATCTCAAAATTTCACTGAAAACAGAAAAATACACGTCAGCATGGAGTGACTCTCCATAAACATGTCAAACAAACCCAGAGAGAAACAAATAAAAGTAAGGCAGAGAAGGTATCTGTTTCTTATGAAATCATTTCTTGTGCTATGCCATAAAAATTAAAGTTATATCTTCACTATTATGTGATATAATATATATTCAGTCAAATCATTTAAGATATCTCATTTCCCATATCAACCATTTTATAATCAGATGCCTATTTCAATCCAAACACACACACACACACACACACACACACACACACACACACACACACACAGAGAGAGAGAGAGAGTGAGAAATACGTGGTTAACATGTATTATCTAAAAAAAGCAACCTGAATTTTACACTGTTTCAATGGAACAATGGTTTTTAAGTAAATCAATGAATCATAAATATTAGAACATGCACTTACTGAGATGAAAGTGACAGATAATAATTGGCACCTGGTTGTAGCTCCTATGTGGGATTGCACAATTTCAGCATGTAATTTTCATCTTTGCCTTTAGACTCAATTTCACCACAGCATTCACAAATCAGTAGACACTTAAGGAATGATTCATTCTAACCAAACCTTGTGGCTAGTCTAGATTAGAATACAGTTCTTTGCAAGCGGAATGATAATTTTCATATATTTTCAACAGTCAAGTAAGCTATACTGAATGTCTCCTTCCTGATATCAAATCTCTTAGGTTGTTAGCCAGTAATAAGAAAGTTTAATATTAATCACACAGTCATGCTTAAAATAAATGTCATACTTTAATAATGAAGTTTAAAGCCATGTTACCTCACTTCTTTTTCTTATTTCTCCACTGCCATTTCCCTATCAAGTAAGTTGTACTCATTGTCTCAAGAGAAGTGTGGATTTAACATAAAACAAATAATTTAATCAATTGGTGAATTTTAAGTGACGGCAAATGCAATAGTATGTGATCAAACAAATTTTAATGAATGTAAAGTTATTTTGAATAACATTAAATAATTTTAACTTTAATAATTTAAAATTTCAGTAAATTGTAAATAGAAAATATTCCCATATAATTATTAGTTCTCTATTGTTAATATCTTACATTAACATGGTGCATTTATCAAAATGAGGAAACTGCCATTGACTCTTTATTATTAACTAAACTCTAAACATTATTTAAATTTCTTTTTTTTCTGGTTAACATTCTCTCTCTGTTTCAGAAATTTGTTACATGTACTCAGTCTCCTCTGATGTGTGACAGCTTCTCAATATTTTCTTTTCTTATTTTTTCATACCTTGATAATCTTGAGGATTAATAACATAATAACCCATTTTACAGGTCACCTGTAAAATGTCCTTCAAAATGGGTTTTTCTGACAGTTTTTTCATGATTAGATTGGGGTTATAGGTTTTTGAAACGAATACAACAGAGGTGATGTGCTCTTCCCATATATCAGATTAAATATGATATGCACATGAGACCATTAATAATTTACCACCTGTGTAAGGTAGTGTTTGCCAGGTCTCTGAAAGCTAAAGTTACTGTTTTTCTCTTTGCATACTCTCTTCTTTGGAAACAGGTCACTAAGTCTAGGCCATCCTCAGAGGATAGTGACTGGCTGGTAATTAAGCACTTCTGGAGGGGGCAGTATCTATGTATATTATTTGGGCTTCTGCAAGGGAGGTTTTTTTTTTCTTTTTTCCTTATTTGTTTGTCTATGCAATAATTTATATAGGTTTGAGCTCACATATATATTTTATAGATTGAGTTATTGTGCAATACTACATTATCTATCTCATTGTTCAATTTTCTCCAGCTTGACCTTTTGGAGCTCTCTCAGATTGAATCCAGTGTCCCTTTGGCATGCCCCTTCTACTTTAATTTTTGAGGACTTTGTTACCTTGTGGTTCTATTTGAGCTCAAGGCTCACTTGGCATTTTCCCTGCCTTAGCCTTAACATGAGATATTCATTCTAAGAGTGCTTGTTTTTATTGGTTGGAGAATAATTAAAAAAAAAAAAAAAGACAGGATTGAGGTTTGTTGCTCAGGCTCTGGAGTGCAGCAGCACAAGCATAGCTCACTGCAGCCTCAAACTCCTGGGTTCAAATGATCCACCTGTCTCAGACTCCTGAATAGCTCAGAGTACAGATGCACACCACCATGCCCAGCTAATTATTTATTTTTACTTTTGGTAGCGATAGGGTCTTTATATGTTACACAAACAGGTCTCGAACTCCTGACTTCATGGGATCCTCTTGCCTCAGCTTCCCAAAGTGTTGGAATTGCAGGTATGAGCTACTGCTCCCAGCTGAGAATGGCATTTAAGTGCCAAAATCTGAGTGCTTCGTATGCTCATTATTATAGGAGCATCATTTTAAAGCAAACATATTTTACCTTTTAAATTTTGACTCTTGAGAGAAGGTTTTTTGTTCATTAAGAATTCTAAAATGTTGAATATATGTTGCGAAAACAAAATCTTTTGGATTTCTACCTTGTCTTGAAGGATTTTAAGATGAACTTGAGAATAGATATTGGCGTGTGGTGGTCAAATGAGAAAAATTTCCCTTCCCAAATGGATTAACAGTAAAGACTAGATGGTTGGCAGAGAATCAGAGAGTCTGTGACTAGATCTCATAGACTCTAAGAAGTGACCATCTCTTCCCTACACTTTGGGTTGAACTAAAAAAAAGACAGGGAGGCTAAAAAATTCATAAATAGATTTGAAGTGTCTTGGGGGCATAAATGGCATCACTGTCCTTTCCATAATATAACCCAGTAACAACTAAATCTTCAAAAAGTATGTTAAACATGGTACCTTTGCCAAAGGCTCAAGCAGCTTGTCTTTAGGACAAGTAGAGTCATGATGTATGACAGCTATGTCTAGATAAGAGTATTTGTAGGCATTCTCAGATGGTCAATAAAAACAGTGGGTGTCAAGAACCTAAACCAGATGAGTTACAACATAGCTGAGGTCAGGGAGAAAGAGAGAGGTACCTGTCAAGATCAGTATTGCTCCAAGTATTTCAGTTCTCCCTGTAGGCCTAAAGTAAGATCAAAATGTCTTACTACTTGTGCCCAGATGGGACCTTGGGGCTACTTCTGGTTGATGATTGTCAGCAGAAATGGGAAATGGGATATTCCATGTCTAGAATGAGCATTTGATTTCCAATAGTAGGCTCTCCAAAGCACTTTTTCCCTTCGTTTACAGCTACCAGTAACATATCACATGTCTTTTCTTTTTCAGATAATTTTGCTGTTATCATGAGCACCACAGAAAAGATAATAACAATAAAAGGTAGAACTATGCATTGGCCCTTGAAGGACAAGTAGCAGAAGCAAGAAATGAAACCATTGAGATTTTGAGGTTGTTACTCCAAGCATCCCGGGTAATCTTGACTAAGACAGAAATAAAAGCAGGTGACCTTCCCTTAATTCCAGGACAATATAGAGCTCTAAAAAGTAATTCTGACTTGGGGAGAAATAATAGAGAAATAATCCGCAAACTCTGAGTTTATAAAGAAGAGAAATAAATTGTTTAATAGAGTATCATGGGCTATATTATTATTAGTCACCTTTAACATATTTGCGTATTTGCTATATCTGCTGATATGTAAAAAATAAATTAGCTATTCAGCCACACAAAGTAATGGAGGAGCTTTAAATGCATATTACTAAGTGAAAAAAGCCAGTCAAAGGACTACATATTGTATAATTACAATTATATGAAATTCTGAAAAAGGCAAAACTATATAGAGATAGTAAAAAGTTTGGTGGTTGGAGAAGAGAGGAGGACCAAATAAATGAAATACAAGGGAATTCTAGGATAGTGAAACTATTCTTTATGATTCTTTAATGGTGGATGCATGACGTTATGCATTTATCAAATCCTGTAGAACTTTACTACAAAAAGAATAAACCATAATATTTGCCAATTTTAAAAAGTTATGCAGGAAGTCAGGGTATCCTAGGAAAGAATGCAGATTATGACAAACATGAGGATTTCACTGTATTACAAATGAAATATTCTAACAAAGGTGGTGAGGGAAAGGGGCTGACGGAAGTAACTGAAAATAGAGTCTACATAACTAAAGAAAAAGACGCTGCACATAAGCACTCTAATAAAGTTTCTTTTACGAGGACAGTTTAACAATTTTGATGATACTGTACATGTGTACTGGCATTGAACAATTAAGAAATGAATGGCAAATGCGAACCTGATTTCTGACTGCTGGAGTGGAAATTTACAGATCAGCAACAGGAGGAGCTATATTGATCCATGCTATAATGGGTTAGAGTTGGAGATATTATTAAGAATTCATGTTTAACTAAAATAGAGGCAGATGGTTAAATACAGAAGTATTTATAGGTGTGTATACACACTCAGGTTAGCAAACACTTATATTGTATATTCCTTTGCTTCATTGGCTAAGAGAAACTAAAAGAAGCAACATCCCAGTAGCAAAAGCACGTTTAGTACCCAAATCTTGATTTCTAACATCATTATCCAATAAGATGAACAAGCGTTCCTTGGCAAAATGGCAGATTCTAGGACTGAGGCAGAAAATATACAAGATGAGTTTAGGGTGTCTTACAGTACCCGAAAGTAAAGAAGTGCTAAAGGAAAGAAAAAAATACATTGATGGAACTATGTCAAAGTGGCATAGGAACCATCTGCACGAGCTCCCAAAGACCAAAACTGGAATAATTTCAGCAATTTCATCTCCACCTGCCAAATCCATCACCTCAGTCTAGTCATGAGGAAAACAAGACAAATTCTGATAGAATAGCAGTCTAAAATATACCTGACCAATACTTCTCAAAAACTGAAAAGGTCATCAAAGCCAAAGAAAGTTCTGAGGAATAGTGGCTGCTAAGATGAGCTTAAAGAGATGTGACAACTTCATGTATGTTGTATCCTTGATGGTATCTGGAATAGATAAAGGACATTCAGTAAAAATTAGGGAAGTCTAAGTAAACAAAAAAAACTGTAGTTAATATAGCATATAATATCCCTTTATTAATTGTAACAAATGTAGACTACAAATGCAAGATGTTAATAGGAAAAACTGTCTTTTGGGTATGTTATGCTCAACTTTTCTAACAACCTAAAATTTTTCTTAAAATGTTTATTTAAAATGGTATATACAGTAGGATTCTTATAACACTTATATCCTTTTATTTACCTTCTATCTCTATATATTTATCTGTCATATATATATAGATATATATACATATATACACACATAGCTTAGAAGTCAGAAGTCAGACAAAATACAATTTTGTTTAAATGATATTCATTTTAAAATTAAGATTTTACCACTTCTGAAGTTCTGGTGAATATCAGCATCATGTAAGAAAATTATTGGAATACAAATAAATATCTAAAATTTTATCTAAAATTGTAATTTTATTATTAAAAAATTTGCAATTAACTTTAAAGTTACAAATTGCAGGGCTGGAACTATGATTTCTCTGCACTGATGGCTGCCAGATTACTTCATTACTCTTATGTACATTACTGAATACCTTTTTAAATGAAGTTTAGTGAATGAGGAATTTTTTTTAATATCTCACTTTTTTTATGGTACCCTATTTGCTTCATTATATCTGGACCAATTTTGAATAATCTGATATGGTCTCATTTGTGATTTCCTTGTTTTTTCAACCAGTTAAAATTTGAGATAACAAAAGTAACTTCTATTTTATTTTACCCTCGCAGAATGTGGGTATTTATAAGTAGGATTTCTTTCAAAATTGATGGTATGAAAATCATTAAATTTTAAAACATTACTTTAATTTAAAATTATTAAAGCTTTAATAACATTATAAATATTGAAATATCAAATAATTATACAAGATTAGAATTACAATATCCAAATGCTATTATTATTTTATCAATCAACTTTTTATAAATATTTGGTACAAAGACTATAGTATTTTTCAAAAAATTCTCCAGCTAAAATACTTTCTAAATACATTTTAATCGACTCTGAAACTTTATTATGTTGTTTTGGTAGGAATTAAACAATTTTTATAATCATTATTATCTCAGCAATTGAGTAAATAATATACTTTTATGTGTTTATTGAATAATATAATTTTAATATAGAAAGAGTATAAAAAACCTTTACTCCAAATTACACATAAAATGCCTTCCTATAAGTGAAAGTAAATGTTTGATATTATTAGTACATTCAAATCCATAACTCTTTGTATCACTAAAGTTGTTAGACTTTATAAATCAAGAACAAGTTTATTTATGAATATATATAAATTCAAAATAATGAATGTAATAAATAGTAATACCATTTTTATATTATTAGAAATTGTAATGAGTATTCATCTGCTCATAGGACTTCCAAAAAGTGATTTTCTCCAATTCTGAAACAAAACGTAAATGTGTTCTATGTTTAAATCTATTCAAACTTTTCTGTAACTTTTATGCCAATGTATCTGAAAGCATATTTACCAGATGCTCACTAACATCCTTGCATTTTTCTCTCTTATATATGTTTGTTTCTGTCTTAAAAATAAGCATGTATAATTTTTACACTATTTGTAACATTATAATTTTCAAGTGTCACTCATGATCCAACATGAAGACTGTTTTTATCTAATAAAAGGTTGGAATGTCCTTATTCATAGCTCATACTCAGAAAGGTCAAGCAAAATTAGTACTGCATTTGTATTTACAAGATGTTAAACAATTACTCACAAGTAGGCTAATTTTAGTACCTTTGTGCCATGTGGAGATTAATCCCTTTCTTGAAGGTGTCATGTAGATTGTTGTTTGTCAGTTGATTGTGCAATTGAACAGTTTAATCACTTCTTGCTCTTCATTGCAGGCAGGAAGAGTTGGAAATTAGCTTTAAGAAGTCTAAATTTAGAGACATTGTTTAAGCTGTAACATTAGAAAATTTCTTCATTAAATTATCACACCCCTGTGCATACACACAAACAAAAATGGATTAGTTTAATAGAAAGACTAAATCAAAACTTAACTAGTATTGTTATTTTTGAGACAAATATTAATGCCAGAATTTTGACATTTTCTAGTGTCATATATGTGCTAATGTACTATTTTGTCATTTTGTTTGTGTTTGAAATGGTATATATACTATGTAAACTAAATTATTTATTAGGCATTTATTTTGTTTAAGAGTATATAGTAACATCACAAATTTTATTTTGTAAGATAATATTTTGCTAAAATTGATCTCAGATTCATGATATACAAAATAAAAGTAATAGAACCTCAAACTATCACTATCTATGTTGTCTTTGGTTGCTCTTTTATATAATATTATAATTAAGAATGGAGAGATTTGTTTATGTTGCCATTTATGACACCATTTGTGTTGTGTTGCAAACTTAAACTTTGGAGCAGAGAAACTTGCTGAAAAAAAAAACAACTTGTATAAATTAAATAAGAAACTGAAACACATTTTAAATATTTTGATTTCAGGTCATATCTTTTAAAATTTTATTTCTTTTCAGTGTACATCAATTTTTAAATTTTGATTTCTTTTATCTTATGAAGTTGAGTACTTAGATCATTTATGTTCAGTGTTTTCTCTACTTTTTTCATCATTAAATATTACCTTTTTCTTTCCTTATTTTATTTTTTACAAGCATGCAACAAAGCAATTCCTTCATGCATAGTTACTGGATATGTAAATCATTGCATTTTATTTTGAGGCCACTACATATGAAATCCCTTTAAAATCTGCATTCATTCAACCAACAATTTCATCTCTGTGCATACTCCACAATTAATTATGTGTATGTGCAATGAATTTTCCTCATGGATATATAATCACATTGCTGCTAATAGAAGAAGAAAAAAGGAAATAACACAAATATCCAAATCTTGGATCTTAGGAAATTAAGCAATGCTATAATCATACACAATTTCTTTGGGTTTCCTTAAACTTTCATGAAAACATTTAACAGCAGGCAACAATGCACACTATGTGTTAGTGTAGAAGAAGGTAAGATTAATGATTAAAGATAAATCAACCCAAAAAAATTCTATACATAAAAACAACAAATAACGTAAAATGCTAAAATAATCTATGTAAAATCTTTCAGACTCAAAAGTAATGTTTACGTAGAAGAAAAGAGAGAGCTATACCTCACAAAAAAATATTAGCTCTGTCACTAGCTATCAGTATGATCATTAACAATTCACTTAACCTGTTTGGGTCTCAGTTCCTAATAGTTAAAATAGGGATAAATACAGATGAGGACATATTAACTTCATAGATTTTTGTGACTATGTTAATTGAGGTAAAATGCATTTTTAATCTATTTGTTACATGTTAAAAATCATTATGAAGGTATAATTGTGATACAAAAATTGTACATATTTTGTGTACATATTTCGATACATTTGAACTTATGTATACACTTATAATACTATCACCACAATAAAGGTGCTAGACATATCTATCACCTCTAAAAATTTCCTTGTATTCTTTTTGTGTGCATGCGTTAAAAGAATACTTATCATGGGCACTATCGTCTTAACATATTTTAAATTTGTTAAAAGAAAAACTTTAGACACAATAAATTTAACAGTTTATTTGAGGAAAAAATGATTCATGAATCGAGCAGCTCTCAGAATCAGGTTTGCAGAGCTCCTCCTAGCAGTGTGAGCAATGAGATTTTGGTGGCCGCGGAAAGTAGGAACGAGAGAGCTGGAGCACGCCCCCTACCTCTTTGGCCTCTGTGGTTGCTGGCGTCTCACTCAGGTTTTTGGGTGCCACTGTGTTCCCCTCATCCAGACCCTGGTACTTGCAGCGGAAGCCGCCTGTGGTACACCTGGTCCAGCTGCAGCCTCGCAAGGAGCTGGTGCCGGTGCCGGTTCCTGGAGCTGCATGCCCTGCCGCAGCAGCTGGCGTGCCTGGCTGTGTGCAGTGGCCAGACCCCACGATCACTTGCTCACAAACCCCTTGCCACTCTGTACCTGGCTCTGTGCCTGGCTTGCCTTTGGCAGCCGTGGGATCCAGGGTGGTAGCGTGAGCCGAGTGCAGCTTGCCAGGTCGAGTGGGTGGAACCAGCCCAGCAGGCATGAGCAAAACTCAAGCAGAGGTACCACCGGCTACTGGGGCTGGTGAAGCAACACCCCAAAAAGTCCTGCATCATTTTAAGTGGCTCATCCGGGATCTGTAGATGTGTGAGTAAAAGCGGACTTGCTGCTTTTCTGTCCTTTTTTTTTTTTTGAGTCCCTAAACTCCACAATAGCTAAAATGAAAGAAAAACACCGGGCCTCTGTCAGCCAGTTAAGGGCTGTCAGACTTAAGACATGGAGGACAGGTTTGCAGGCAAGGACACTGTCAATCCCCCTGTCGCCTTCAGGTGTTGGGAAATGTTGGCTTTTTTCCAATCCAGTTTCCCTTCTCAGAGGTCTAGCCATTGCCTCGGCGTGGAATAAGGTCCTGGAGGAAATGAAGGCATCTGGCTGAGGCCACACCTTGGTGTTGCCTGAGGGCCCCTAGACCAGCTCCAGTCCCTGACAGCCCATTAGGGTGTCAGCACTAGGATCTCCAGTCTTTCCTATCACATTTTCTGTCTTTCGTGGTTGTCATAACTCCTATCTCTTCTTTGTATTCAGTGTTGAGGATGTTGTTTCAAAGCACAGAGATATTTCTGGGTAGAATCAGCACTTGGCTTAGTCATCTGGAGTATAATTCAGAGCAGTATTATTTCTGTCTATTCTTAGAATCAAGAGGGATGTAACACGTGAGAGTTTTCTTTCCCCTGTTGAAGGAACCCATTTCCAAACTTTAAAATGTGCTCTCATTTCTTTGTCTTACTGCACTGATTTCTGAGCTCCTTTCCTCTATTTAACTTCTCCATTTTAGTATATTTTTCCATATTTATGGTAAGTTCACCATGAAAATAACATTAATTAGTTATCTATAAATATATGTTCATGGATAGTATACAAATTTATTGCATTAGATTTGAGGCATCTAGCCATAGAATCACTATTTTTTCTTTGAATTTTGATACAATTAATCAACATGTGTCCTTGTATTAAAAACATTATATTTGTAACACACTCTCTTATGTACCAGTACCATTAAATGGTTATGCTTAGAATTTTCAGTTTATATTTACTGGACGGTCATGCATAGACTTTTTTGGGTATGTAATAATTCTTTCTTAACACTTAGAAAATTTACTTGAAAATTTGAAGGACACTTTTAGACACATAGTCATAGATTGTTCTAACTTACATGACCCTTATGCATATGTTAGGAAGACAATACAGGTTAATTAATTGGTTAAATGTTTCTAAAATGTCTTCACAGTTGGCTTACCTTTCTAAAACACTTTTAAATCATCTGTCATTGTCTTCTTTTTCCAAATAATTATATTTTCTATGGCAACAAGAGAGATGATATTGCAGGCTTTCTTAAAAGATCACTTCACTCTTGTTTCTAGTGTTTTCTTCCAAATCAATAAATACGGAATTTTAACAGAAAATGTTAAAGATGGGTTTTGAACAATGAGAAAATATATTTCTTTCTCAGATGTTTCTTAGGTGGAAAGAAGATTTCTGATCTACAGTCATAACACCAAGATTGACATCACTGTTACTGTTAAGCCAGCAGTAATTTTGTGATGTTATTGCTTGCGTGTTGAATTTAATGATACTAATATATTAAGAAAAAATGTTTACTTGAGAACCTTTGAAATGTAATACATGCATAGTGTAATCTCATATTGAGTTATGTTTATTTTCCATAATAAACCATAGTCAGCAATATCATCTTACTATTTTAATAAATAGTATGATACAATTATCTAGAATATTATCTAGAATTTTTATTACACTTTTGTAGGCCTGAAAATGCTTACTTTATCTCTCTCTGTCTCTCTCTGTCTGTCTCTCTCAGATCTTTTTATCAGGTTCTGATAAATTAAATTTAATATTTTTAAATAGAAACAAAACTTTGGAAGGATTAATCTAAATTGGAAATAAGTTTTTTCCAGAATAATAATGAAAAATGAACCCTAAAATTTTCTAGATACAGTAACTTTCAATAATAATTATATTTTGACATTTTATACTGTTTTCATTCAAAACATTTATTTAATTTTCAACATGAAAAAGTTGATTACACCTAGGAAAGCTTGGAAATCACCATTCTTGCATCTTCATATTTTCCCTTTTGAACTCAATAATATTGTATTCATAAAATACAATATTCATTAAATACAATATAGTATTTCTGCGTATTTTCCATTATTAAGTGGCTTTACAACTTGTATATTCTTTCTCAAGAACTCTTTTGGACACTAGAATTACTTATGAAATTATGCACTACTGATTTATATTTAAACACTTATAACTTATTACCTACTTTTAATTAAAATATTAACACTTTAAACATGAAGCTGTAGGCATATATAATATAATAATAGAACATAAATATCTCTATCCTCAATACTGCTTTCTAAAATTGACCTCTGATAAAATATGGGGGTAGTCTTTCAGATGCTTTGCTATGTTTAACTAGCAAAGTGTAAATTGCAGAATAATATACATTTTATTGTGCTATTTTTTGAAAATAATACAGGTAATATATTCCTAATGTATATTATTACAAAATAAGTCATAATGAACAAATTGCTATAAAATATGATTTCTGTTACACATGTATTATATTGAAATTTATGTAGTCACTACACATAAATTGTTTAAAAAGTTTTAATTGTTGAATAGTATTCTGTTACTGAATGTGTTAAAGTCTGCCCAGATATCTTAGATGTTGAAACTTACTCTCCTTTTGTCAGGGTTATCATTTATCCGTTATAAATAATGCTTCAATAAGAATATCTGTGCATATATTTCTTTTTCTTTTTCTTTTTTTTTTTTTTTTTTTTGAGATGGAGTCTTGCTCTGTTGCCAGGCTGGATTGCAGTGGCATGATCTCTGCTCACTGCAACCTCTGACTCTCGGGTTCAAGCGACACTCCTGCCTCAGCCTCCCAAGTAGCTGGGATCGTAGGTATGTGCCACCACGCCCAGCTAATTTTTGTATTTTTAGTAGAGACAGGGTTTCACCATGTTGGCCAAGATGGTCTCGATCTCCTGACCTAGTGATCCGCCCGCCTCAGCCTCCCAAAGTGCTGGGATTACAGGCGTGAGCCACTGTGCCTGGTCCTGTGCACATATTTCTATCATTTGTAGGAAGGATTCTACCAAATAAAACCTTGAATATTAAAAGTTTGCCTTAATGTATGTACATATTAATTTTATATCTCTACTGCTTAATTGGCAACCAGAAAGCTTGTGGTGAATTTTATTCACAGCAATCATGACTCAGAGTTCAGTGCTGAGTCATAGGTTGAGGACACTTTAAAATTTAGAACAAAACTATTAGATAATCTATACTGTAAGTGTTTAGTTTTCCCTAGTTATGCTGTATTTGCATTTTTATATGTTTATGAACTTTTAAATATTTCAGTTGGTGGAAATAAAGTGTTCAATCCCCTTGTTCAGTTTTGTAGAATTTTGTTTCACTTTTAGAAAGCTAAGACAGTGTCTATGACAATCATATATAAATCAAATTGTGCATTGTATACCATTTGTTTGTTTGTTTTGGTAACAAATACATTTTAATGCTCTCAACATTTTATCTGATGTTTTTACATTATATTTGATGCAATGTATGAAGAAAAATTGATATGTAGATGTTTTTTCTACAATTGTATATTTGTAAAACATCTATATATCAACTTACATGTGAGCAGGATTTATTTTTATGTTTAAAATTTTTGAAGAACTTTCACTTTATTGTTTGCTTGATACTTGGTGAGGTATTTTTATATGCACATTTCGATTTTTCATAAGATCAGGAAAGTAGACTTCTATTATAGCACTGAGTATCTTTTTCTGTCTTATTTTTTCTGGTTTCTTTGGACATCATTAACATGCATGAGTTTGCTCTTTTTTTTTTCCTCTGCAATATTCTCAGTTACTCATTTACCTTGGCAATCTACCTGCTTTTCTTTCTTATTTTCCAAAATATTAATTATTCTTGCCTTGACTCATCTTAATTCATATTCACCTCAACTTTTTTTATTTTTATAGAGCTGAAATTTATATAACATCCAATTAACCATTCTAAGGTGAGCAATTAGTAGCTTTAGTTCATTCACAATGTTGTACAACTACCGTGTCTATGTCCAAGCTTTTTCATCACCCCAAAATAAAACCCTATATTCCTTGATACGGTTTGGCTCTGTGTCCTTACCCACATCTCAACTCGAATTGTAATACCCACATATCCAACATGTTAAGAGAGGATACTGTGGTCCCCACGTGTTGAGGGAAGGAAGTGATTGGATCCGAGGGCGGTTTCCCCCATGCTGTTCTCATGATAGTGAGTGAGTTCTCGCAAGATCTAATGGTTGTATAAATGTTGGGAAATTCCTCCTGTGTCCTTTTTCTCTCTCCTACTGCCTTGTGAAGACGGTGCTTGGTCCCCATCACCTTCCGCCATGATTGTAAGTTTCCTGAGGCCTCCCCAGCCATGTGGAACTGTGAGTCAATTAAACTTTTTTCTTTATAAATTACCCAGTCTGAGGTAGTATTTCTTATAACAGTGTGAAAATGGACTAATACATCCATTAAGCAGTTTCTCCCCAATTTACTTATTATTTCCTGAGTCCTGGACAGCCACCAATTTACTTTCTGTCTCTATGGATTTAACTTTTCTGAGTGTTTCATTTAAATGGAATCGTACAATATGTGATCTTTCATTTTTTCAGTTAGAATAATTTTTCCCAGATTTATCCATGCTGCAGCATGTATCAGTATTTCACTCCTTTTATGGTTGTATAATATTCTATTGTATGTGTATTTCACATATTGGTTAGCCATTCATCCTTTGAGCTATGGAAGGATATTTGGATTGCTTCAACTTTTGGCTATTTTGAATAATGTTGCCCAAATGGCCCTATACAATTATTTGTTTTAGTACCTGTTCTCAATTATTTGAGTTGCATAGGAGTGAATTGCTGAGTCATATAATGATTTGATGTTAACTTTCTGAGGAGCTGCTGAACTGTTTTTGACATCAGCAGAACTGATTTATAATTCCACTAGCAATGTCCAAGTGTTCCTATTTCTCCACGTCCTTGATAACATCTGCTATTTTACATTTTCGTGATTATATCCTCTATAGTAGGTATTTCATCTCAAATTTTTACTTCATAATCTCATTTAATCTTGTATTTTACAGAATTTATCTTTTCTTGATGTCATAATGCAGATACCATACAAAATCATGTTTCCAATGATAGCTCTATTCAAAGTGTTTTCTTCTTTTTCAAGTTGTTTAGAATCTTGTTTAGTTATTCTCTTTCCATGGACACTTCTCAGGATGTTTTCAATCACTCTTATATATAAAAGCAAAACATCTTATGGGGAAAAAAGTCCTGTTTTTTTGACCACTGCTGTAATGTTTATCTCAAAATTATAGTAATTTCTAGAATTAGCTGATGCAAGTTATTCATTCAGGAATTTATCAGACTGTGGAATCTCAGGAGAAAATGTGTGCTGTGGGATACTGATACCTAAACAGTGTAGTCAGTGTGGTTAAACTGACATCTTGAGAATTATCTTCATATATCTCTACATTTTTTCTTCTTATCAGTACTCAAAGTATATACTATGACATTTGTTAATTGCTGAATGCCTCATTAGCAGTGAGATACTCAGTGTTAGGGGTGACCCAGGTTCCTAGGGGCTGCCTGAATTTTGCAATGGCAGTTGCTCTTGTACCTTTTCTGCATTGCTAGTTATGTGAGCTCTGGGTCTGCACTAGCAAGATGTAATCCATCTGCCTCTAACTCCACCCTTAGTTCTATTTTTTGCACTCTTAATTTATAGAGAGTCCTAATAGTTTTCTATGAGTATGACCACTTCTTTTTACCTCAATATACCCACTACTTTCTCAGGAAGGGTGTTTTTTGAATCCCCCAAGTCCTTTTTTATTCTAGAATAATGTGTACTATATTTAAAAGACATTCTTCCCTCCTCTAAATTCCAATACTAATACAGTTTCTCTGTCTTGCATTCTTTTTCATACTATGCATCCTTTATCACTCAACAAACATCTAGTCATTGCTTCCTAAGCATCAGACTCTTTTAAGCACTAATTAATTCATTTGCTTTCTGGAGAGGGATGAGGGGCTGGATATCCTGCTCTCCTCTGCAGTCACCTTAGTTGGCATTATTTAAAAATTTGTTTTAAACTTTAATAATTCATGTGGTTTTCTGTAATCTCCTAATAGGCCAAAGTGTAAGCTATATTTGTTAGTCAATCATATTTACAGAATATACCACAGATGAAGTTACCCTGCCTTTAATCTATAGAGGGAGTATAACACAATTTAAGAACATTAAGTTGAATATAATTTGGCAATAGAAATTTGGTAACTATTATTTACTGGTTGTTTAAAATTTTAGGCACATAATGTAAATTTTATACCTTGTTTTTGCTTTCTATTAAATAGGGTTAAAATGATTAAGATCATGAACTTTGGAATTAAGACACACCTAAGCCCAAATCCTGGCTCTCACACTTAAGAATTGTGAAACTCCAACCAAGTTACCCAATTTTTTCTATTATTGCTTATTGTGGAATAAATTGTGTCCCCTCAAAAGTCATACATTAAAGCTGTAAACCTCAGTACCTCAGAATGATTGTATTTGGAGATAGGACCATTAAAGTGATAATCAAGTTAACACAGGGCTGTTAGGGTGGGAGCTAATCTATATAACCGGTGTCTGGTATAAGTAGAGGTCGAGACAGAGAGATACCAGATTCATGCACACACAGAGAGAGGGAACCATGTCAACACACAGCAAAAAGGTGGCCATCTGCAAATGAAGGAGAGAGGTCTCAGAAGAAACAAAAGCTGTCAATATCTTGATTTCTCACTGATAGCTTCAAGAAATGTGAGAAAGTACATTTCTGTTATTTGAGCCACCCAAACTGTGGTATTCTGCTATGGAAGCCCTAGGAAATTAATACTGTGGTATTATCTTTATAATGAATAATATGTCTCTTGAAGTATTTGTATGAGAATTGAGTGAGAATAAGGTATGGGTAATATTTAGCACAGTGCTTAGCACAATATATGTACTAAAATAATAGTGGTCAGTAGGACTCATGTTATATATGGTGTATGGTTAACATTATATGTATTTCAGAGTTAAATTGTAGCATATTGATTTTCACAATATGTTAGCTGTGAAAATTAGTACTGTACAAAATCATATATACACACATGTGTATGTGTTTGTGTTTTTCTGTATGTGTGTGTATGTGCATGCCAAGAGAGGTATAGAAAGGTAGAGCATTAAATAGCCTTTAGTTTCCAGTATTTCCCCGCTGAATCACAACTTCTTATTTTCCCAAAGGCGTATCCAGATAGCTTAGAGCTGAGAAAATTTTTAAAAACCCGGCAGGCAAGGAGACTGCAAGAGTTTGTAGATTTACAGGTTTACAAAATCTACTCTATTGATCTATTGGGAGCAGTTGCAGCAGACTGGTGATGAGAGTGGTTGGCATCCATCAGGGAGGTTGTACACATGTTGAGGATAAGAAGGCCAGCTTGGTAGTCAAGAAGCATTGGAATGGATCTGAGATCTGCTACCTTATAAGATTGCAAATTTTTAAAGTTATAAATATTCTAAGGTACGCTTTTCTCACCCTTGACTTAGGAATAAACGTGCTTGTTTTACAAAATTGCTGAGCACATAGCAACTCTTAAAAATAGGACACTTATAAGGATACCAATATTTTTGCTAGTAATAAATATTAGCTTCATTTTGATTTTAAATAGGCAAACAAGTCTCTGGCCTTAGTAGTTTGGGATCCTGATTTTCTTTCATTTGCTATAAATAAGACCTATAAGGGGTCATGTTTTTTAAAACCAATTTAAGTTATTTATAAATAAAGCAAATATCCTAAGACACTGATTTTTTCCCACTTTCCTAATATTGATCAATAATTCAGTTCATTTGTTCAAACTTTAAGGTAATTTATTTAGCTCTTTATTAGCATAAGTATTGAATTTTTAAAAATCACCAAATTTAACTTTGGTGACTAGATAAATTCAGTTTTAAATCCTTCCAATTTTATAAAAAGCTCAAGAAAAAAATGAGGTAAAGCCAATTCATCTTCAGTAAAATAGACACATTCTTGGCTAACATACTTCAAGGAAAAAAAAAGTTAAAATTGTAGTACAACATGCACTGTGTACATAAAATTGTATGGATATACATAGCATTGTTCTATTTTTTATACTTCAATTTGCAGACAGAAAACAAAGAAAATGCTTACTTTTGGGAAAAAACATAAAATGCAAAGGGATGATTATTTTAGTAACCATTGATAAAATTACCAACTATCTGAGGCAAGTTTTGTCCACTTTTCCAGGTTTTTAGATATCACTTCATTTCACATGCTATAATCTCAATTATCAGCTAATATAGTATAGCATCTGATGCAGTTACTTGATAGTTGTTTAATGTTAAATGTTCTTCTCCCTCTACCAAAGCAATAGATTGTAATACAGTGATAACTTCTCTGTTTGGCAAAATGTCACTTACATTAAAAAACCAAAACATTTAAAAAGAAAATTCTAAAATATCTATTGTTTTAATTTAATATTGAAAGCATAAATATTTCTTATTATTTTCTTATCATATTTTATGATTCTGACACAAAGAATATGTAACAAAACATTCAATTTTTTAACAACATATGAGCACATGAAATAGATATTTATTAGCTTACATTTTTATTTTATGCCCAAATTTTAATGAATGCACATAATTGAAATAACCAATATGTATTCAGAGTGATAGATTCCAAGTTGGTCCCTAAAATGAGTTAACCTACCTAAATGCAAAGCTCTTCAAATAAACTTTATGTGCTATGTGCTGTTGATTTGAGAAAAGTAAAAGACATAGATAAATCCCTTGCCTACAGTTTTTATGATCTGCAAGAGAAGGTACAGTTATATTCACAAAATACTGTGAAGCAGACACAAAGCATGCTGATGACTACAAAAAACACTCCAAGTGTTTAACAATAAAGAAATTGTATTGCTATTGAAAACTGAAACTACTAAACTAAAAACATTTGAAATTTTCAGTTCAATATCAAATTTTAAGGTCGAACTCATAGATTTTTCTATTGCAAAAGCATTTTAAAATTTTCTATTGGTGATTGTCTTAATTTTGTTCAATCTATTCAAAAAATTTGTATTTTTAAACTTTTTAAATTGTTGAATTAATCTATAGAGTGCATGGTACATTTGTTGACCTCTTATAATTTTAGCAGAGAGATCTAGAGACAAATTGCTTATTAATACCTCACTACTATTTCAGATGCAAATTAATGGTGTTTAAGTAACAATTTTGTTTTAGAATAACTCACAGCAGCATGAAAGTATACATTGTCCATGATAATGAGATATTAACAACAACAAAAAAATACCACCTAACCCATGAAATGACTTTCTTACAGAGAAATAAAATAATAAATCACAATCTTCAGCTTTATCTGGATTTCCATCTTACCAAAAGCAAATTGTAAAAGACCAGTCAGTAACTAACATCTTCCAGAGAAAAATAAAGATATATGTAGATATCTTAATATTTTATATATAAGATAAAGATTATAAGTAATATAAGAAAGATAAAGATATATATCTTTACATATATATCTTTACAATGACTGCTGCATTGTAATTAACAAATCAAAATTAGTTTACTTTTAAAAGCATGTGAAGATATTCTGAAGACAATGTTTAAATTCAAAAGACTAAGACAGTAAAATTTTTAAAAACTCTAAACCATGAACTGTGTTTTCTGGCTTTAATTAGAAAACTATAAGGATTTTTGGTGGTATTATAAATCACAGTATTTAAAGGGTTATAGGGCAAAAAATTAGTAAACATATTCATAAGTAAAATTTGTTAATACAACTTATAAAAATTACTTTACAAAATTTACTAAAATCGGAACAGAAAAAATATGCAATGTGCAAGATATGAATTTATGAAGATGTGAGTTATCAGCTCAGGAACCTGTTAAAATGGCTAGTATCAAAAACATAAAAATAACAAGTGCTGGTGAGAATGTGGAAAAATTGAGACTTTTGTACACTGTTAGTGGGAATTTAAATGTGCTCAGCCATTATCAAAAACAGTATGGAGATTCCTCAAAAAAGTAAAAGTAGAACTACCGTATGATCCAACAATGTCACTCCTGGATATATATATCCAAAGGAAATGAAATCAGTATGTTGAAGAGATATCTGCACTCCCATATACATTACAGAATTATTCACAATAGCAAAGATACAGAATCATCCTAAGTGTCCCACAGTTACACGGGTAAAGAAAATGTCATATATATACATAATGGAATGTTATTCAGTCTTAAGAAAACAACAAAAGAGAACTGGAGATCTTGCTATATGCAGCAATGCGGATGAACATTATGTTAAGCGCAAGCAGCCAGTCACAGGAGGACTAATACTGTATGGTTCCTCTTATATGAGGTATCTGAAATAGTTCAGTTTATGGAAACAGAGCATAGGATGGTGGTTACTAGAGGCTGAGTGGGTGGAAGGAGGAACTAGGAAATTGTGGCTAAATTAATACCAAGTTATACAAGATGAGTACATTCTAGCAATCTGCTGTGGAACACTGTCCCTGTAATTAACAATATTATATTGCACACTTAAAAAGTTATTAAGGGGGTATGTCATGTTGTGTTTGTGCCACAATAAAAATAGCTTCCAATTATGTAAGTAATCTTGAATAAAGAATTTGCCTCTAATTTTTTAGAATATAAAATTATTATATTGTGTTGAATTCTTGTATGAGCACTGTTAAAATAAAGTTGCGATTACATTTCTTTCAATAGTCTATGCTTTCCATGAGTACCCAGACTCTTTTTTTTCATAAATGTTGACTTAAATACAAATCTTTAAAATGAATTCTAAGTATTCTAGTTTACTCATATGACTGTTTGGGTTCTAAATTTGTACACAAATTTCAGAAGAAGGAATTATCCTACTGTTTCCTTCCTTTTATAATTGTTGTAAATTCTAAGCATTACTGTTTTTGTCATTCTGGAGAAAGAATGGAAACAATAATAATTTTTTAGATCATTTGAAAACTAGCATGTAAATATAGATGGGGAGTGCTACCCAAAAATTAGAAATTACCCAAATTTTCTATTATAATGGGCGCATATATCCTACGTCTAAATATCCATTATTTCTTAAAATGCATCTACACTAAAAATTTAGTATGTGTGTATTCATGATAACCTGTCAGAAGTAATGAAGTTGCCCACAGGGAGGTGGGTAAGTAATTATTACTAATTTTCTGCAAATACAAACTAGGTATTTGAATAAATGTGTTGGAACAAAGAAATACAAAGCAAACGAAACATCCTTAGTATTTAATAATATTAAATATTTTGTAAAATATATTACAACAATTTAGATAATTTTTTTTTTCGAGACAGAGTTTCACGATCTCAGCTCACTGCAACCTCCACCTCCCAGGTTCAAGCGATTCTCCTGCCTCAGCCTCCCGAGTAGCTGGGATTACAGGTGCTCACCACTATGCCCAGCTGATTTTTGTATTTTTTTTTTAGTAGAGACGGGTTTTCACCATGTTGGCCAGGCTGGTCTTGAACTCCTGACCTCAGGTGATCCACCTGCTTCAGCCCCCCAAAGTGCTGGGATTACAGGCGTGAGCCACCGCACCCAGCCTAGATAATTTTTAATGCATAATAATAAAACTAATATTCATAAATCCACCTGAAAATTAAGTAGCAGTTGAACATTGTATAATATAATTGATTCTACCTATGTGCTCTTCCCATCCTATCTTCCTGAAACACCTCAGAAATACCACAGACCTGAAAAATATTAACAGTCCTATATTTTGTTAAAATAGTTGTACACACATGCATACACAACTGAATAATATTAATTTAGTTTTGATTATTTTTGAGCTTAGAAGTGATTCCTAAAGATAATAGTCCTCACTATGTGGATTTTCCCCCTTGCATTATGTTTGTGAGATCTATCCCATGTTGTCACTTAAAACGATAATTCAATCCATTTTCACTCTTGCAAAATATTCTATTGTGTGGATATCCTAAAATCAATTAAGAATGTTTTTTGTTGTTATAAAAACTAACACTATTAGATTTCTTGTACATCTTCTGATAAATATATGCAAGAGTTTCCCTAGGGTATGCACTTAGAGAAGGACTTGCTAATTTATAATATATTTACAGTTTTAAATGTAATTATAAACTGTTTTGCAAAATAGTCTCCTAGTTTTATATTTCACAAGAAATTATGTGTTTCTGTTACTCCACACCCTAGCCATTATTTGTTATTGTCCAACTAAGTATGAAATAAAACCATGTCATGGTATATTTTACAGGCTCCAATTAACATCTTTTATTATTTTAAAAAATATATGTTAAGTCATTTTACAGCTACTCTTCAGTAGTAGCAAACAACTTTGTTAGAAATTTTAAATCTAAGTTATTGTTAAGCAACATACTTCTGTAACAATTTTAATATGTTTTAATTTAAATATCTGTTTTACCGAGATGTTTTCCTGAATGTTAGGAATTAAATGGTTTCACCTTTTATATGGTCCCAGACCACCTTCTCCTTCCCTTATTCTAGCCTACATCACACACTATACCTGAATTTATTCTTTCTCAGTAGAATATAAGCTCAGCATGTCTTGAATATCATTGCATCCCCAGGCATATAGTTGGCAATCAATAAATATTTGTCAGCTGAATAAATGAATAAACTTTTAGTTTAAAATGTTAGAGAATTCTACAGAATTGTTTACTAAATTTTGAGTCACTCATGAATGTAGAGAATCACTACATGAATAATGAGCTGTTTCTTTTGATGTATTTTCATTCCTCTATTTCTCACCTTGACAAATTTTTTAATCACTAGAGAATCCTCCAACAAGTCTTCACAAATGCTACCAAATGTATTTTGTCTCTGTTCTATTTTCTCAAAATGCTTTTTTTAAAAAAAGAAAAAACAAACCCGAATCCATGAACATCGTACGTGGTACTCAACACTAGGCTAGAAACAGAAGACAAAGGCCTGATAATTTTTACATTGTAGGTATTTAAAACTGTGCCCCATAATGTACTTATTGCATTGTATTTTATGAATTTTATTCATTTTAGCCTGACACAGAATGAGAAGCCTTAGAATTGAGTTTTCATCTTTGGGGTCCTGTGTATTATACTCCTTTGTGTGCATGCTTTCAGCCTGATACTGGACAGAAATGAATGCCGAGATGATTTATTTTACTCAATAGATGTATTTGTATTCAATAAAATTTTAAACTTAGTAACGATCTGTAGAAAACATACTATTTAAAACTTATTTTAACTGCTAAATATGTGAGACAAGACACCATAAAAATAGACTTTGTGTAAGAATGAAATTATGAAGATAACAAATATGCAGAATTTAGACTAGAATTTTAAAATGGAAGCAAGCAAGAACCTGAGTAGCCTTATGTAGGGATAAAATGGTTTTACTGGATTTAATTAACTTACCCTATAAGAAATGAAAATCAAAGAATCATTCTTGTCTGAACTGAGCTATTAACATAGTTTTAACTGCAGTCTTTATGGCTTGAAAGTCTTAGAGCAGATGGTAAATTTATAGTCCTTTTGCCCCTATGGAGAAGAAAGAAGGAGAAAATATAGTGCAGGAGCTTTATGTGTTTCATGAATAAACTCAGAATGCAAGTGGTTGGAACCATTTCTTAATGGTGTATGAAAGTTATCATCATATATTCTATAGCAATATAAACAACACATATTTTTATGCTCTGATAAACTCTTTCATAAATAAGAGGAAGGAGCTGATTTTTCTGAAATACTGACAACAATTTTACTGGAGTACCCAAAAGAAAGAAATGAATGTGTATGCTTATTTTCTAATTAATTTTAAGTATGAAAGCATGAATATATATATATATATATATATCTGATGTGTATAACATGATACGTTTCCCTGAGCTGTTATTCATTATATCCACAGAGAACTGTATTTCAATGTGTAATGTGTCAAGATATTGTCAAAAAGCTATATCTATATCTGCTATTATAATATATATATGATTCATGATATATATAAATTGATAAATTTATATGTTACATACATAAATATAAATATATATACATACATATATATATTTAGAGAGAAAGAGAGAGAATTGTTCTGTCAAACTATCAAGTCAGTTATATTAGCCACAGATAAATGGTGATATATATACATGAATGTATATATAAGCATTATGTTAAAACATATTCTCCAGAGCTATTAGTTCACCATATCCAAATGGGAAGAATTTGCACAAATACACAGAGCTTTAAGGAGTAGAATCAAGATTCAAATAGTAGTTATACAGCTCCAATAGCTGCATGCATTTTAAACTATTACATTATATTTCTAAATTCTTCCTATATACCATTTAAAGTATAGCCTCGTGTGATTTTTTCTTTTTATATTTTATAGCTATGCCGTTAATGCTCCTTATGGTATAAAACATACATGTAATATAACTTATAACATTATCCCATATATTTATATTTATTTTGAGACATTCAAATATAATTTTCTTTTAAATATATTGTTAGATAAACTCAAAACAGAACTTGTTATTTAGTTATTAGAATAAATTACATTGCGAAACTTCTGATGGTAAGCCATTAACTATTTTTCTAATGACATTGCTGTATCATGTTTCAAAGTCTCATTTATCTGGTAAATCTTGTCTTAAAATACACCAATAATTTGTTGAAATGTAACGTTGGAAAAGTGCTTTAACAGTCATTTGATTATATTAGGTAACAGTGACTATTGAATATCTCAGTTAATATATTTTTCATATTATATAATTTCAACTTCAATAATTGATTGTCTATCTTAATAGCACGTCATATAAATGAATCATATATACATAAACATAATAATAATATTAGCTAACATTAACTGAGCACTTCCAATGTAGCAGTCATTAATGCATTTGCTTTTTATTTTATTATAATATGAACACTAAAGCAAAACAAAAATATTCTAACATCATAGGCAGTATAATGGCGGGAAAATAAAAAACAGAAACAAAATTACATATGATGCCCCAAATATAATACATTAACACAGTGGATCATATTAAAGTTTTTTTTAGTCTGGAGGGTCTATATATAATTCAGGTTAAATGAAGAAAAAAAGCAAAGCACAGCTTCTGCTATGTGTTAGAGTCTTTATTTCCTGATATTTACAAATGGTTGTACTAGCTACCATTTGTTGAGTTATTGTTTGCCAGGCATTTTCCCTCTTGCCAACCCTTTGCTGTAAATGAATTTAGTTTACAAATAAAGTTATAGCCATCCAGAGAAAGTAAATAACAGGACTACTATACTTCAGAATGAGGATTTAAATCTAGGTGTATGACTACATTATATTTTTTCCATCAAATTAAGCTGCATCACGAAGAACTGAGAACTATTCTAATTTAATTCTGGCATTTTTATATAAGATGAGATCCAGAAACAATTTTATTTTATTTCCAAAAATGTGTTGAACGTCCACTATAAGAATAACGTATTTAGATACATAGGTTGGGAGGAAGAGAGGAAAATATAAATTTAACATTACACTATGCACTAAGTTACAAGTTCTGTTAAATCTGTTTCTTTTGGTATACTCTGTTTGCCTTTCGTGTTATGATCTGATGATGATGGACATGATTATAGAAGCCATTTTCTTTGTTGTTATGGGAAGCACCAAAAAGCCTAGGCTTGAAGTAAAAAGATTCTCTCTTACCATGTTTCTGCCTGGATTAGACTGTTAACATTGGATGTGAAAAAGGGCTGGCAAGAACCAAACTGGGCTTAGCCCATGAGGATTTTACTGAAGTGGTAATGTTACAGCACCAGTGGTGCCACAGCTCAGGCAAGGTTACAGCTCTGTGATTGCTCCCGTAGATCAGGGGTGCCTCATAAGCAGAGTTCTAAGAATAGCAACTCAGGGGCAAGTTTGCAGTCATATTTATAATAACCTTTAGTGTCACACAGATTAAGGGGTGGTTTATGCAGAAATTTATAGGAAAAGGATGGTAAATTGTCGGTGGTGACTTTCCATTGTAAAGGACGGGGTGGTAACTCCCAACTGTTGCAATGGCAATGGTAAACTGACATGGCACGTCTTCTGGAAAGCTGCTTCTGCCTGTCCCTAGCTTCTGCTACTCCTCAGTTTGGTCTGCTGTCCGAGATCCACCTTTGGAGTTGAGTCTCACCTGCTACCTCAGATGCAACACTCAGAGATTTTACTCTGCAATTATTTCACCACCAATATTAAGTAATGATCAATTAAGTTAATGATCAATAGCTTTCCAAGTTTAATAAATTTAATAATTCATGTTTCCAAAGCACCAAAGACTGATCATATAGATTTCTAAAATTTTCCTATTTGCATGTATGATCCTGGCCCAGCACAATTCCCTCAGACTAGGCATCAAGTTCTATACATTATCTACCCCCTCCAATAATAGCTTATCTCTTTACCAAAAGACATAATTTGCACAGGTACAGAAATATTTATTTTTATTTTCTTGATAAAGTATAACTATCACTTATTTACACTCCCAGTACAGATTTTAATATAATAATTGGAATCCTATTTGAATGCAGTCTCATGTTATTAAATTGGTTATGCTGGGAGTAATCTCAGTCATGCTATTATTTTTGGTCCTTGTTACAGTGGCTAGCTTCCAGAGTAAAATAAGACCCAGGTCTAAAATATCTGGGAGAACCAAAAGTTTTTCCAAATATTTATATTTTTCTAGTTATATGCTAGATTATTATAAAACCTAAGGGTTCTAACCAGACAAAACACCTCATAGGTGCCATAAAATAGCCTTCTCAAAAGTTAATGTATATAAATTAAATACTGTATATATAAATTATTCAGAACAATAATACAATGAACAACTATGAACCACTACTCATCTTATGAACTATAGTATTACTTGTAACATTACATCTACAATTGTGCGTTAAAAAAATTACTACCTTTTCTTCCACTAGATAAGAAATTTTTTGATTATTAACCCCATGCCCTTAAAAAGTAGTTTTATTACCTATATATGAGTCCCTCATAAATGTATTAATTGCTTTCCATATTTAACATTATGAAAATGTTATCATACTATAAGGAATATTGCTCACATCTGTTTTTACTTAACATTAGGATTCTGAAATCTAATCATATTTTTGTATGTTGCTTTAAGTCATAACTTTTTACTACTGTCTAATATTCCAGAGGATACATTTGGCTGCAGTGCTATTTGAAAACAAGCAAGACCATGAACTCCATGTAGTTAATGCTTGATGGGAGAAGGCAAGGCAAGAGATGAGAGTTGTCTATTTAAGAGTAGAATTGAAGCTCACAGACTCTGGGAAGTATTTGGATATTCACATTCTTGATCTGTTAGCCGACAGCCTTACTGTATGATCAGGCAAATTGGCTCTATATGACTGAACAATAAAGAATACCCTAGAATAGATAAATCTTTATGGTAAAGAATATTCTTGTTTGGAATAGTTATTTATGGTGAGAAACATCACTGAATGTGGCATCTAGTTACAGAAACATTTTGGGAATTTAGAGGAAGAATTAAAGTGAATGATGTAGTTCTTTCTACTAAAAAAAAAAAACAAAAGAAAAAAGGAGGAAGAAGAAAAGGAGGAATGGAAAGGGAAGGGGGAGGGAAAAGGAAGCAGAAGAAGGAGAGGAGGAGGAGGAGAAGTAAGAAAGACAGCAGGAGCAGCAGCCTCCACGTGCCAGGTCAGATGAAGGCTGTAGTCATAAAGCATATATTTTCTCTCTATAGCCAACTTCCTGAGTTCATAAAATGAACAAGCGTGTAGGTGTTCAGGCCATGCATCAAAGTGCTGAGAGGTACCACTTTCCCTGTGAACTGATATAATGATTAATGTGACCAAAATAATTTACCCGATGACAATGGGAAATGAATTCTGTGAAGGTGGCTGTAGGTAAAATTCCCTAAGGACAAGGACTGGAGCACAGCTGGCTCATTTGACCAGCGGCTAGCACCCTTAGAGGATACAAAGCAATTTTGATATCTATTCTACTTTAGCTAATGTATTCTGTAACAGAAGTAACCAACACTTACAGGTTTGGACAAGGAAATTCTTTATCAATTAAGGACCCTTTTATATGTTTCTTCTGATCAAAATATGCATTTTGCTGCCACCAAGCTACAGAAATTGGCAAGAAAAAAATAGTCTTACCTACTCAAGCCATATTCTTAATTACCCTTGGAACAGTGGTCTCATTTAAAATTCAAATATGCAATTAAAACCTTCTTACTCAAAAAAAGTGTTAAATAAGCTAAGACTAAACAAATGCATCCTAAAATTGAATATGAGAGAAACTAAAATGGATGTTCAACTGGGAAGTCTTCTAGGATTAGAAAGTAGAAATTAGCGGGTGGAATAAAATGCAATTACATAAGTATAAATCTTTCCTGCATCAAAAACTTTCATTTTGCCTGATTCAGCGTTCTCAGGCCAAGGTATAAAGTTACTTGTATCCAAGGAAGTTTGTATATCAGATTCAATGCTAGGCAATTGAAACATATTAATTCATGTAGTATATTTGAAGGAAAAAATGTTTATCTCTATTTGGAGGATGATATTGATGGTTTTGCTTGCTTAGTTGTTATGAGATACAGATTATTTCCATTATAAAGCCATTATATGCATCTCATACTGTTGTCTTATTAGAAGTACATGAAAAATATTCTGTCCACAGAGAACAATAATTTCAGTGGAAAACATTTTATTCTGTTCTATATTCTACTAAGGGCAGCAACTATTAAGATGTAGTTCAAATGGCTAAATGTTTCAAAGGAAACACACTACATTAAGAAATCTACACTATGACTTATAGAGGTAGCTAGATGATAGATACATAGAGATAGATGGATACACACACAACAAGTAGAGAGTATCATAGAAGCAAATGTCCTATAACAAAAGAAGAAAATGCAAGTTAATAACAAGTTGGTGTTATTATTGTGAAATTAACTCTAAAACTCCCACATTTTCAAATGCATCTTAAATTTTGACTAATATTTTTATTTAATGAACCTGCTTAGGGTAGCAGTTAAAATACTTCTTTACTCCTATACATTTGATCATTTCAGAAATTTTATGCACATTCACACCATATTTTGTTTCATACAAGAAAATACTTAATCCTATTCATTTTAAGGTACTTGATATGCTTCTTTAAGAAATGCAAGAATGAACTAATATTTACCAGTGCCCATTAGACTGTGGAATGACATTAAGAACTATATAAAACAGGTGAAATAAATATTGCCCTGGAAAGGCAAAAATTTACAATACAAATGTTAAGAAACCTTTAATATACATGGAAGAGAGATGCTGGAATTAAAAAAATATTCACATCAAACAGTAAGAATAGTCACCTCCAGTCAAAATTTAGGACATGGTAGGCTTTTGCCCACACAGTAATAGGAAAATATATTTTTAAATTTAAATATTATTTTAAGTTTAAATTTAGATAAATGATAATTTCTAGGGAGGAAGAGAGAGAATTCATTCAGCCACATGCTGTAATGCTTGGATTTCAGAAACCTAAAACAAGTGAATCTGAAATATGCCCAATCTATCCGAAACTGCATTTCTTTTATTTATTTATTTATTTATTTTTGAGATGGAGTCTTGCTCTGTTGCCCAGGCTGGAGTGCAGTGGCGCGATCTCGGCTCACTGCAAGCTCTGCCTCCCGGGTTCACGCCATTCTCCTGCCTCAGCCTCCCGAGTTTCTGGGACTACAGGCGCCCGCCACCATGCCCAGCTAATTTTTTTTGTATTTTTAGTAGAGACGGGATTTCACCGTGTTAGCCAGGATGGTCTCGATCTCCTGAACTCGTGATCCACCCGCCTTGGCCTCCCAAAGTGCTGGGATTACTGGCATGAGCCACCGCGCCCGGCCCTGAAACTGCATTTCAACCTCTTCTTAGATAAAATAGTGACAAGATCAAAGACTTTTGCAGCTAAACAAAGGAGAGCTGAATTTAATTAATGCTGCAGCCTTATCTTAGGACACTTAGATTCTTAAAGGAATCTGAATGATCAGTCCAAGGTTCTTAACAAAGGATCTACACTCTCTGAAAAAAAAAAAAAATAGCAAAATAAGTTATATTTTCCTGTCCATTGTATTTTCAAATCGAATGTCTGGATTATAATAAATTATGAATCAGGTGAAGAAAAAGGAAAATATGATTGAGAAAAAAACAGTAAATAGAAGGAGATCCATATATGATGTATATGATCGGTTTTGTAGAAAAAAGACTATAAAATAACTATTATAAATATGCTACAGAATTTGTAAGAAAAGATGTATATAATGGCAGAAGAATTGGCAGATTTTATAAGTTACATGGGAAATCCAGTTTAAAAAATTGAATTTCTATTCTCAAAAATTTTATCTGAAAAAATGCAGTAAACAACATAATGCTCTTATATATATATATTTTTCAAATAAATACTAATGGGTCATGGAATCTTTAATACAATCTTTGCATGTCTACCCTCATATAAAATACTATTTATGTGAAATTCATAACATACATTTTAAAACAGTTTTAATGTGAAATTATTCTGTCATGTCATAACTATATACCCATAAGTTAAAGTCAAAATACTTTAGCACTGTTAAAACAAAAAAGCAAACAAACATTAAAGCACTAGACATATTATCTTTAAACAATAGACTATAAATGACATTTTCCATAATGTCATTTAGTATAGTGTGGTATTCTATTAAAAATTGTATAAATGTACATTATCTAATCCTTTACAATGAAAGGCATTACATATCCATTTTAATTGTATAAAACTCTGTTGAAAACAATCTTTTTACATAACTCGTATTAATCATTTTAAAAATAGCTATTCTCATGTTTCACTGGAAAACAAATGAATTGCCAGGCCTACAGAAGAACTAAATAATGACACACTTTCTGAATGCTATCTTATTAGTGATCCACTTGACTTTATTAGCCTACTTAAACTTATTTTATTAAGTGGAATAGTTAGAATGTTTAAACATATATATATATATATATACACTTATGGTAGATGATATAACATAATGATGTATGGCTGGGAATATAAATAAAACTCTCTTCATCACACAATTGTGAATTAAATGCTCAACTATAATACCAATAAAAATGTAATGTTGGGAGGTGATGGCATTTTGAATGCTTAGTCAAATATATACATCAGCCATTCTAAATTACAGGCATGAAACAATCAGAATGAACACAAGCTGTAAATAATTGCTATGACTGTTCTAGGGCATATTAGATGCATGACGAGTTTGCTTGAGAAGAAGTCTCACTCTGTCACCCAGGCTGGAGTGCAGTGGTGTGATCTCAGCTCACTGCAGCCTTCACCTCCCAGGTTCAAGCGATTCTCCTGCCTCAGTCTCCTGAGTAGCTGGGATTACAGGCACCAGGCACCTTCCACCATGCCCAACTAATTTTTGTATTTTTAGTAGGCATGGGGTTTCACCATGTTGGGCAGACTGGTCTCGAACCCCTGACCTCAAGTGATCCACCCACCTTGGCCTCCCAAAGTGCCAGGATTATGAGAGTTAGCCACCACTCCCAGCTTGGATTTGCTTTTACATTATTGACATAGTTTGGAGTGACTCTACCCAAATCTCTTTTTGAATTGTAGCTCCCATAATCCCCACGTTTTGGGGAGGGCCCCACTGGGAGGTAATTGAATCATGGAGGTGGGTCTTTCTCATGCTGTTCTCCTGGATGTGGGTAATTTCTCATGAAATCTGATGCTTTTATAAAGGGGAATTCCCCTGCACTTGCTCTCTTTGCCTGCTGCCATATAAGACATGACTTTGCTCCTCATTCACCTTCCACCATGATTGTGAGGCTTCCCCAGCCATGTGAAACTGTGAGACCATTAAACCTCTCATTTATAAATTATAAATTACCCAGTCTTCAGTATGTCTTTATTAGCAGCATGAGAACAGACTAATATGACTACATACAGTGGAATTAAAATTTAGAAAAAAATATAAACATATTTGTATGTTTGAATCAGGAGGATCCATCATAGTTGTAGTAACTTGTACAAATGTATTGACCTGTCATTAAGTAAAATATAAACATATATTGATTTCAACAGAATAAATGTTTCAAATTTCCATCAGAATAATTTCTCATTTTACTTAATGACAGGTCAATTACATTTGCACAAGTTAGTGTTTCAGTTAGCTATTGCCAAAATAATGTTGCACAATAAGCAGGCAACAAACATTACTGACAGAATAATAAATATTTTGCTCATGCATCCTGGGTTAACTGGAGCTAAGCTAGGAAAGTTTGCTGATCTCGGGCTGGGTTTACTCTCAGTGTTAAGTTTCAGGTAACTGTCAGTTCACTTAGGATGGTTTCAGCTGGGGTAACATAGTTTAGTTCCCTTTGTCTCTTGTCTGACATTTACCTGGTGCTGGCATGTTCTGTGGTAATAGCAGAGTAAGAGAGAGTGTTCCAATATACAATGCCATGTTAAGCCTCTGTCTGTGTCATATTTGTTGACATCCCCTGACCAAATCAAATACTATGGCCAAGTTCCAGGTGACAGGATGGGGCAAATCTGCATGTCCATGATGAGAGGCCAGTGTAAAGTAAAATGTGTAAACCTGTAATGTAATCCAACATTGCCCAACTTCACATGTGCATTTATTCACATCCTTCTCATGAGCAAACATGCTCAACTCCCCAAGTCTCATTTAATCATGGGATCACCTTCAACACCTAGGAATTTTAATTTGACACCAAGGGTTAGATATAGATCCTCTTGATTCAGAGAGCTACAAACACATTTTAAAATGTTATCTGTATCCTTATCGAACCAACATTCAGCAGTGAAGAAGACAGAGTTCCATTTGAGAAGGAGAAGAACCAGAGGTGTATAGGAATAAGTAGTCAATAAAAATACTGAAACCCCGCTGGAACAATGCTTACAGGTCCCTGTAGTGATTTTATGCAAATGGTGAACTTATTTATAAACTAACAGAGAAATTATTCCTGGGAAATTTTACCTAAAAATAAATCTGGAGGAAAAAAAGAGAGAAAAATATATCCCCCAAATTACTTAAAAACCATGTCTTGATATATTCAAATCAATTTTCTCTGTTTAATTATTATTTTTATTGTTTTTTTAATTTACTTTAAGTTCTGGGATACATGTGCAGAATGTGCGGCTTTGTTACATAGATATACATGTGCCATGGTGGTTTGCTGCACCCATCAACCGTCATCTAGGTTTTAAGCCCCGCATGCATTAGGTATTTGTCCTAATGCTCTCTCTCCCTTTTCCCCCAACTCCCCAACAGGCTCCCGTGTGTGATGTTCCCCTCCCTGTGTCCATGTGTTCTCATTGTTCAACTCTTACTTATGAGGGAGAACATGTGATGTTTGGTTTTCTGTTCCTGTGTTGGTTTGCTGAGAATGATGGCTCCAGCTTCATCCATGTCCTTGCAAAGGACATGAACTCATTATTTTTTATGGCTGCATAGTATTCCATGGTGCATATGTGCCACATTTTCTTTATCCAGTCTATCATTGATGGGCATTTGGGTTGGTTCCAAGTCTTTGCTATTGTAAATAGTGCTGCAATAAACATACGTGTGTATATGTCTTTATAGTAGATAGTCATTTTTCTAAATATCACAATTATTTAGCACACTGGTTACATATAGCATATTTATAGGTCAATATTAAACCTAACAATGTAGAAATATAGTTAATATTAAGCACATTGGGTTATTTCTTCTTAAAGTATCTTATAGAGTGCCTCATAATAAATATATCTCCATTCACATTTGCTGCAAATACATAAAATAACTAGGAAAGACCTAAAGAAACTTGTGAACAAATAAATTGGTTTATTGTATGAAAAATACTACAATAACTTTTCTTAGAGCCATTAAATTAGTCTTTAAGTAATGAAAACATATATATTAGAATATAGATATCTCACTTTTTGTCAGAATAATTTGTATATTTAATGAAAATTGTAAAACATTAAACAACTTCATTTTTAACTTTTACTTTAGTTTCAGGAGTGCATGTGCAGGTTTATTATATAGATAAACTCCTGTACGGGAGTTTGTTGTACAGATTATTTTATCACCCAGACACAAAGCCTAATACCCAATAGTTATTTTTTCTAGTCTTCTCCCTCCTAACACCCTGCACCCTCCAATAAGCCCCAGTGTGTGTTGTTCCCTTCTAGGTGTCTATGTGTTCTTACCATTTAGCTCCCATTTGTAAGTGAACACATGTGGTATTTGGTTTTCTGTTCCTGTGTTAGTTTGCTAAGGATAATGGCCTCAAGCTCCATCCCTGTTCCTGCAAAGAAGATGATCTCATTCTTTTTTATGGCTGCATAGTATTCCATGGTATATATGCACCGTGTTTTCTTTACCCAATCTGCCATTAATGGGCATTTGGGTTGATTCTATGTCTTTGCTATTATAAATAGTGTTGCAATGAACATATGTGTGCATGTGTCTTTATAGTAGAATGAATTATATTACTTTGGATATATACCCAGTAATGTGTTTTCTGGTTCCAGTGGTATTCCTGTCTTTAGGTCTTTGAGGAATCACCGCACTGCTTTACGCAATGATTGATTTACACTCCCACCAACACTGTGTAAGCTTGCCTTTTCACCACAACCTCATCAGCATTTGTTATTCATTTATTTTTTTTACTTTTTAATAATAGTCATTCTGACTTGTGTGAGATGGCATCTCATTTTGGTTTTGGTTTGCATTTCTCTAATGATTTGTGATATTGACCTTTTTATCATATGTTTGTTGGCTGCATGTATGTCTTCTTTTGAAAAGTTTCTGTTCATGTCATTTGCCAACTTTTTAATGTTTTTTTTTTTCTTGTAAATTTGTTTAAGTTCTTTGTAGATGCTGGATGTTAGACCTTTATCAGATGTATAGTTTACAAAAATTTTCTCCCCTTCTGTAGGTTGTCTGTTTACTCTGTTGATAGTTTTTATTTTTATTTTTATTTATTTATTTTTTGCTGTGCAGAAGCTTTTAAGTTTAATCAGATCCCATTTGTCCATGTTTGCTTTTGTTGCTATTGCTTTTTACATCGTTGTCATGAAACCTTTGCCGGTTCCTATGTCCAGCATGGTATTGCCTAAGTTGTCTTTCAGGGTTTTTATACTTTTGGGTTTTACAGTTAAGTCTAATCTGTCTTGAATTAATTTATGTATATGGTATAAAAAAGGGGTCCAGTTTCAATCGTTTGCATATGGCTAACCAATTATCCCAGCACCGTTTATTCAACAGGGAGTCCTTTCCCATTGCTTGCTTTGTCAGCTTTGCCAAAAATCAGATGGTACAGCTTCATTTTAATATAAATAAGTTATATTAAATTTATTTAACATTAAAAATAATAAAATGTTTAAAATGTTAATGAAGAAAATAAAATGAGTGAATAATTCTAGACAAGTGATGTTAAAACATTTATTAAAAATGGTTATTTGTTCCAGTATCCACTAATGAAGGATTAAGTAATTCAGAACTACCTTTCTGCTGAAGACAAGAAAAACCGGTAAAAGGTTTTTTTAAAAACTATAATTGAGGGCAATAGAGTCTGAAATATTTCTAGGACACAATCCAAAGAAGAAAGGCGTCTCAAGGAATAGAGCCCAGAAACAAGAACAGCTTTTCCTCTGCAACTTAGCCAATTCTGTAGCAGCCAACTGAATGTTGGAGAGTTTGAGCTTTGCAGCTGTTTAATCATCTCACTGATCAAGGGAAAGGAAATTGGAATGCAGAGCCTGCTAAATGGTGAGGGTTTAGAGAAAGTGGAAGAGGCTGGCAAAAACTTTACTTGTGGTTCAAATCTGAAAGTCTTCACTCTAGCAAGAGAAGGAAACCCAGTGACTGAAGTCCAAATTTGAAGCTGACAATATCTGACATGTAATAAAAAGATAATTGGGCATAATGGAAAAAAGCAAAGACAGTACAAATGTTACTGATAGGAGAAAACAAAATAAAATACAATAGAAGGAGATCATCACAGAATATTGGAGTTATAAATACAGACTTTGAAATATATGATACACCTTTGGGAATTAAAATTTATGCAAGAAGTCTCACTAATTTTGGTTCAGTCAACGTCAATGAGACAACTTATAAGAAACTTGGAACTAAAACAATTTTGATCTTTAATTCATATCATAGATCAAAATAAATTCTGAATAATTTTAGTATATAAATATATAAAATTGCACAACTGGAAGACAGTTTAATATAAAATAATATGACATTCAATTTAGAGAGAAATATGTTCTATTTTTTAAACTGATACATTTATCATAAAACAAATTAGTTATTTAAATTAAATACATCAAGTTAGAAGTTATGCTTTGTCCATCCTGTTCCCAGTTGATTGTGGAGTATTGCCTTGGGAATATGATTGCCAGGATAGTCAGTGGTTACCTCATTTACTAATTTTTATGTAGGCAAAAATAGAAAATAATGCAGTCAGATGAATATGTGTCTTTTGTGTTTTTTTTAACAAGTATTTATGGTATATCCTTTGTGCCAGGGACTGAGACATCTATTCTGGGTACCTCAGTATACAAATCAGCTAAATCTCCAAGAAATTAGAGGGGAATTCTTGGACACTTTAGAAACACTCATATAATTTAGGGCATAGTCATAGTCAAAGACAATAGAAGATGTGTGGTGGTGATGGCAGTGGGGGCCCATCTGGAGCTGCCACTGCCATGACACCGGCTGCAGTGGAAGCAGCAAGGCTGGGGCTGTGTGCTCCATGGAGCCGGCAGGAGCTGGGAACAGTTGGGATCCCTGACCTCTTCTGAGTTGGAGGGGTGGGAGCCCTGCCCTCCTGGGCACAGCTACAGCTACCCAGCCACGGCTGTGGACCCTGGAATTCCTGCACTCTCAGGGACCTGGGAAGCCTCCCTGGCCCCACAGGCACAGAAGTGCTTTGCCACCACTGCCTGGAATCTCCCTGCTCCCAGTGCCCACTCCAATTTCGGAGCAAAGGTGAGGCCCAGGCTGGGCGCTGTTGCAACCCAGCTGGGTGTGCATGCGCTCAGGGAAACACTGACACTCCAGCCCCCTGCTGCTTTGGGCCCCTCTGGTTGGGCACCAATGAGCATGGGAGCAAGGCTGAGGGGGAGCTGAAGGCAGCTCAGTGTGGGCCTGCAAGAACCCTTGGCACAAACAGCTTGGTCACCATGTGCACCATGGACAGGAGGTTGGTGGCGGCAGGAGGCAGACAGGCTCCTGGGTAGAAAGGGGTGGGTCCCCGGTGAAGTCCCACCTTCAAGCCAGAGACTGCTTGAAGCCTGGGGACTGAGCTGTCAGTTCTGCAGACCAAAGTGAGAACTTATGATGCTTTTATAGAGCTGCCGTGGCCACCTGTGGGCCAATCAGCACCCACTTCGTCTCCTCTGAAGCCCATATAAATCCCAGACTCAGCCAGATTCAGGCAGTGGACAGGATGACCTGCCTGTGGAGAGGAGCTACCTATTGTGGGTCCCCATTCCACTGACAGTTGTACACTGGTCGGGACAACCTACCTGCAGAAAGGAGCTACCTACTTCGGGTCTCCTGAGAACTGTTCTGATGCTCAATGAAGCTCTTCTCTGCCTTGCTCACCCTCCAGTTGTCCCTGTACCTCATTCTTCCTGGACATGGGACAAGAACTCAGGATGCACCAAATGACAGGACTAAAAGAGCTGTAACACAAACAGGGCTGAAACACACCCTGCTACTTGCCATGTTGCGAGTGGCAAGAAGAAGAGAAGAGTTGTGGCCTTTTGGGAAGCCAAGAGGTAGGGCCTTCCTGAGCCAGGGCTGTGACACCCTCATTGGGGTTCTGAAGTTCCTGAATACTCCAAGATTCTGGACACCACTGTGTTCTCCTCATCCAGAAGTGGATGCCCACAGCAGAAGCCATGTACAGTACATCTGGTCCAGTAGCAGATTCGCATGGAGCCACTACCTGTGCCTGGAGCTGCCTGCCCAGCCCGCTGCAGCAGCCAGCATGTTTGGCTGTGCACAGTGGCTGGACCCCATACTCGCTCATCTACACACCCCTCACTGCTCCATGCCTGCCTTGCGCTTTGCAGGTGTGGGATCTGGGCCAGTAGAGTGAGCGAGCAAAGTCTGTTAGGCTGAGTGGGCAGAACGAGCCCAGAAGGCATGAGCAATACTCAGGCAGAAGGCGGCACCAGTCAGAGAGGATTCTGGCTGGTGAAGCAATACCTTGAGAATCCTGTGAACAGTGATATAATGCATTCCAAAAAGTTGACTTGCTTTTCCCTCTGAATACCTGTAAGTCAGTATAGCTGTTGCTCTGATTAGATAGGTGTAAAAGTAAGTTTTTGGGTTTTTTTTCCTACTGATGTCATGCTCATCTCTCAGTTATCTATACTAATATGGAGAAGCAGTAGTGTGGAACATCCAGAATGCCTGATCATCATAAAGTCCTGAATGGCTGCAAACAATTTATACGCTATATGTTTTAGAAGCATCACCTTCCTGGTAATATTTTGCTTCAGTGCACATTAAAATTAGTTTGCATTCCCTATATACACAGTGTCTAGGTGATGAGGGAACAAGTCCAGGAAGTATGAAGGATGGTTAGCAATAGCCCTTTTAGTAGATAATACACAGAGCGCCAATCTGTATGTAGTTAACACACAATTGGCAATACATAAATCTGTTGCTATGATTGAGGTTACAGAGTGTTATATTACTCTATTATTATGGTCTGTATTTCATCTTTCCTTAATCATGTTTAGGAGAACCTAAAATAACTTACATGTGGAAGCATATTGTAAAATCTTATATTTATTGCTTAAGCAGAAACAAAACTATAGCAGTCACTAGAGATGAACAGATTACAGAATAAGGTCATTGATATTTCTCTAAGTATACTGGTAGCTCAGGGAAAAAATAAAGCAAATTTAGTTAAATGTTGGTTAATATAATGTACTGGTTTATGTTACTTCTGAAATTTAAAATATTGACTGTTCACTTTATGAAATTTTAAAATTCAAAATGGGTAAGGGAAAAAATATAATAATAGTAGCATCACTAACTAGAAGAGAGTGTTGCCAATACTGTATATATTTCCTTCATCTTAAGCAACTATTTTATTTTATGAGAACAAATTGATCACATTGAACATTGTTTTTTAATCCATTTTCACTTTTTATGCTCTTATATACCCTATTATTTGACTGTATGGTTTTAATACTATTATATTATTTATTAATAAAGTTAAATATTAAAATTAAGGTTCTATTATTGAATACTAAGGTTTCCTGAAAAAATTTTTAAGGACAAGGGAATATCTTGGGGTTGTTACAAGTTTGGTCTTTAAAAGCAAAAATCTTGTGTTTAAATTCCATTTCTATATTTTGTTTGCTGTTATTTATTAAATATTCAATTCCCAGTCTCAGTTTTTCTAGGTAAATTATTATAAATTTAATAAAATCATCTCCTTTATTATGCTGGCATTTTTTATTTGATTATTTGTATTTACTTTCATTTATTTTTCTTATTTTGAAATGGAGAGAATCTTTAGAGCAATGTTAATAGAGGAGATAAACTGCTGATTTATATAGAAACACTGATAAAAGAAAAACTTCAGCCAAATTAAATTTAAAGGAGTTTAATTGAGCAATGAACAATTCATGAATTGAGCAACCCACAGAATCACAGCAGATTCACAGAGACTCCAAGGGTGCCTTATGGTCAGAACAAATTTACAGACAAAAAAGGGAAAGTGATGTACAGGAATCGGAAGTGAGGTACAGGAATCGGAAGTGAGGTACAGAAACAGTAAGATTGATTACAGCTCGTAGTCTGCCTTATTTGAATGCAGTTTGAACATGCAGCAGTCTATGGGTGATTGTAGTATGGCCGCTGGGATTGGTCAACACTCAGCCATTATTACAGGTAAATACTATTAAGTCAGATTTTCAATTTTGTCTGACTATTAAGCTATGTTACAGTTCATCCACAAGGCCTCAAATATAAATGTATGGAGTCCTTCTCAGGCCATATTTAGTTTGCTTTAACAACACCTTTATCTGTTTCTACCTTTTTGTATTGTTTATCAGTTTGAAATAGGTAATATCAGTCCTTAAGATATAATCTTTTTCTAGTTTACTTGGAAATGTTTTTATTTAAGTCAAAATATATTGTGAATATCATAAAATAGCTCCATAATTAATTGACATTAACAAATTATTTTTCCTTTTGATATATTTGTTTCACAACCTCACTTATTTATTTATTTATTCAAGAAATATTTATTGTGAATTCATGAATTAAGGCAATATTCTATGTAATAAGAATATAATAGTGAAAAAATGTATAAAAATTTCTGCCTTCATGTTGCTGTGTTTTAGGAGGAAGAGAATAATAATAAAGTTAAATGATTAATAGATCATTTGGTAATAAATAATGTTGAGAAAAATAAAAAAGAAAAGAATTTCAGGTGTTAACAATGGTATGCAGTACATTGTCTCAAACAGAATTGACAGAGAGGATGTGGCTGAGAGGGAAACATTTGCATGACAGCCTAAAAGATGTGTTAAAGTAAGCCATGCAACAAGTTGGGAGGAGTGTAACAGACAGAGACAACACAAAGGAAAGACCACTTACCTGGTTTGTTCTGAGAAGAGCAAAGGGACCAATGAGTTAGAAAAGAGGAGTCGACGTTGAGTCAAAAGAATCATTAAAACGGGGGAGAGAGGGTATATCCCCTACAATCCACTGGGAAACTATATGTCCCAAAACCATTGATAAGGTTCTGACTGGCAAAGGAGTTTATTTGAATTCCAACTTTACCATGGGAGAGATTGTAGGGAGGCAAAGGCAGAAGCAGGAAAACCATTAGGAAGCCATTACAATAATCCAAGCATGAGACAGCAGAGACTTGGCTGAGATGGTAGAGTTCTGGAGGCTGAGAAGTGACCAAAATAGAAATACATTTTGTAAATAAAACACAGGAGATCATATGGTGTGGTAAAAAAAATAAATAAATACATACATACATAAAAAATAAGGAATCAAATAAAACCCAATGGTTTTTGCATGCATCCATATAGATAATAGTTACACTTACTATAATGAGAAAAAATAACAAGGAAAGAGCAAGTTTGGTAGTGATACCCTTGGGAGGTCCTGAAATGCAAGTAGTAGTCAGTGTCCAGGCTCTTGACATCATCTTAAGAAGGAATTCAAGAATGAGTCAGGAAATAGTGAAAGTTCGGAGATTTATTGCAAAGCGGAAAGTACACACTCAAGAAAGTGGAGTGGGGGTTTACTCAAGATAGAGTCATGCAACCGGGTTTGGAGTTTCTAACTTTATGGATTTCTTTAACTTCAGCGTGGAGCATTCATGAAAGTTCCTGGAAAGAAGGAGAAGAGTTTTCGAAACCCTAGTGCCACACAATTTTACACCAAATATGGGTGTTCTCAAAACTGTCATGGCAGTGCTGGTCGTGTGTGTGATTTACCGTGATTTAGCAACTTACTTAATTGCTGTGTGTCCTCAGTTCTATCACATGTAAACTAAGAGTACTATCCGCACTTATCTCATGGGTTGACTGTGATGACAAATCAAATAGTTTGTAGCACCTCATATGTAGTAAGAGTGCATAATGAGGTCCCAGGAGAAACCTAGGCCAAATTCAGTGCCATGTTGGTTCCGGTCAGTCTTAGCCAGCTTGGTTCACACCCTGTTTTTCAGGGTCTTATCCATCCCTCACTTCTGCAGCTCTTTCATCCATCATTTCTGCAGCTCTTTCAGCCGTTTCCTTTTGCTTATTCTTATGAAATTGCTGCCTAGAATTTCCTATTTTCCAGCAACCACCCGATATTATTCCTGTGTCAGCAGGGAGTGAAAATCTGGCATTTGGTTTTGGAAAGATTAAGTTTGAGAAGATTCTAATTTAAGTGGAGATGTGTTGTAGGCTGATGGATACTTAACTTGAAGGAGTGATCTAGCTAAGAGATAGAAATATGAAAGTGATTGCCATATAAACAGTATTTAAATGTGAAGACATCATCATTGGTGTGTGTGTGTGGGTAATAAGAGGTACAAATGTTTAAAGTTTAATAGATCAAGTGAAACCAGGAGAAGAGACCTAGTAGGAGAGACTAGTAAAGGGAGCTGAATATTTTCAAGAAAGCAAGTATAGTCAGTGTTTCAAGGAGCAGAGATGCATCAGTTGCAGCATATGCAGCTGATAGGACAAGTAAAATTAGGACTGAGAAATACCACTGGTTTAGAAACATAGAAGTTGTGTGAGGCCTTTTTTTTTTTTTTTTTTTAACATAGTGGAGCTGAGAGTCTAATTAGAAAGGATTTAAGAGAGAATGGAGGAAAGTACTGAGAGGCAGAAAGTACTGATGACACTGTCAAGGAGTTTTGTTGTAATGTGGCAGTATCCGTAAGATGGATATGGGGTGAAGAGAGGAGCATTTTTAAGATGGGAGAAATTGCATCATGTTTGATGCTGTTGAGCACGATCTTTATGAAACATTCCTACTAGAGAAAAAAAAATTCCTACTAGAGAAAAAAAAAAATGACACAGAACAGAGACAGTAAATTTCTGGAGGACTATTTATGAGCAGGTAGGAGAGATCTCACCTGGAGCACAAGTAAAAGGTTTTACCTTTGGTAGAAATGCAAACAGTCCATTCATAGTAACAGGAGGCCAGAAAGCGAGCAGCAGTCCAGATTAGAGTTACCAAAGCCCTGAGATAAAATACAAATTGCGTACTGCTGCAAACGCCAAAGGAAATTTCTTTGGTCGAACTTGCTAATTAGTAAAAGAAGAACAAAAAGCCAGCTCGATAGGTTCAAGGTATACAAACTCATTGCAATCCAAACAATTATTCCCATTCCCATTCTCAAAGTCCCAATATTTGCCAATAAACATCTTACATTTTATATATAAATTATAAAGAGGTAGTAAATGTAATATCTATTACAAGTTTAAATTCTGAAAATCAAAATATGGATCTGGATTACCTCAATTTTTTGGCTGAAAAATGGCAACAAAACATCTCTTAGCAGTTATGGAATCCCTCTAGTTTTCCAATCATGTCTCGAACTAAGAATAGAAAAGCAGGAGCATAGTTTATTTCTGTAAATTATCTTGTGTAATGAGAAATGTGAACAAACCAACAAGTTCTGTGTAGTCATGTCTACCATATTACAGCCTAGAAACTATTGCTCCCCCAATTCCTTACCTTCAGTAGACACTTTACCTCAGGACAATATGGCCAATAATTTAATAAGCTCTTTTTCCTTAATATATAATGGATTATCCATATCACTCCTAATGATGAGATCATTATGACTTTCAAATCCAAACATGTCAGATATTCTTCTCAGATTGCATTTATCATGTATTTTGCATGGATCACTTTTCACTTAAAAATATTACGAGAGTTTAACAGGGAAACATCAATTGTTCAAGATATTTCAGACTGGAAGATATTTAATTCAGATATTTGGAGACATGCAACATTTCTAGGAAGGCTACTACCACTAAAGACATTTTTAAGTGTAGAATTCACAGATAACTTTTACCAACAGTCTCAGTTGCTGCAGCCCTAACAAAATGATTCACAAGATAACATACAGAAATCTCAGCCAATTTCTTAAATCCAGGGATCTAGTTATTGTTGCCAGTGCAGCAATTATGGCTCCTGCTTCTTTTGCCCTTTCAATCTTGCATTTCACTGGCAGAAACGCAATAATCAGACTTCCAATCCTTGGAATAAGATAATAGAAGGGAGACTGTGGTGCTCATTTTTCAATAGACAATTTAGCCCAGATATTGAAATCCTCCCAATTATGTGAGGAGTAATGTTGGAAAGAGGGAGTAAGTAAGAGATAAATCTTTAAGAAATAAAGGAAGGTCATAAACTAGATTTTGTTCTTAGTTTTTAATATTATGTCTAAAAGCTTATGCCATTATCTCTCTCCATATGAAATGTTATTTGTTATTTTTCTCTTTTTATGTCCTAACACTGACATTTTCAGGTATGTTTTCCTGACTTTATGAAAACCAATGAGAAGTTCTCACTTGTCTTTATGTCCTGAAAGAGCTTCCATTACACATTAGGTGCATTACACCTAATGCAAGGTGTAAATTAATTGCACCTTGAATATTTCAAACTCTGAATATTTTAAATTAACTTCTGCTCAAACTACATCTGTTTGGAGAATTTTTAGATATAAAACTGACAGCACTTCAGTTTTCTTTTCTAGTCATTCTATGTAGTTTTTCTACCTTTTTATTAGGTGTTTTATATTTTTAAGGATAATCTTTAATTTTACATACATTTTATTGTTAATATTGATTTTGCATGATATATTTTCTTTTTTTGAAAAGCAATGTTGCCTAGTTATTAATATTGTGAGCTCAAGGCTGAAAGTGCCTGGAATAACAGCACCCACTCATACTGGTTATGTGTTCTTGATCTAACTTGCTAAGTTGCTGCATGTCCTCAGTTTTCTCACATGTAAACTGAGAGTACTATCAGCCCTTATTTCATTGGTTGACCATGATGATAAATCAAATAGTTCATAACACCTTATGCATAGTAATAACCAAGTTAACAATTGTTATAATGACTGTTTCAACACTAGACAAGGTTATCTTTGCTCTTAACTCCTGAAACTCAGGTTTTATGAAAATGGGGAAAAAAAGTTTTACCTCTTTTTTTTCTATACTTCACCAGTTCACAGCTTTTTTATTTGTTTGCTTGTTTTCTCTTTAATAGGCTACACAGTTTACACTACAAGTCCCCATGTCCCAGCTTCGCCATTGGCCTCCTGAACCTGAGCAAGTGAATCATAAAGCCTCGTAATGCTGGCAAGGCCTGGAATCTCCTGGGAAGCTAATTGGTGATCATGAGACTATATTGCTTTAAAAAATTCTTTTCAGTAAACTATTTTAAATTCACTTTCTGAACTCACCTGCTGACTGAATGAATCCTGATATGGTTTGCTCTGTGTCCCAACTGAAATCTTTTTTTATTTTTTCAATTTATAAAGTTTATTTTGCCAACGTTAAGGACACAGCTGTGAAACAGCCCCAGGAGCTCCTGATATGTGCATAAGGTGGTCAGGACACAGCTTGGTTTTATACATTTCGAGAAGACATGAGACATCAATCAATATATGTAAGATGTACATTGGTATATTGGTTCAGTCCAGAAAGGCAGGACAACTAAAATTGGGAGGGGGCTTCCAGGTCATAGGTAGGTAAGTGACAAATGGTTGCATTCTTTTGAGTTACTGATTAGCCTTTCACTACCCAAGTCTTATCTTGAATTGTAATCCTCAAGTGTTGAGGGAGGGACCTGGTGGGAGGTGACTGGATCATCAGGGCAGTTTCTCCCATGCTGTTCTTGTAGGGAAACAGTTCTCATAGGGAACTTTCTCGTAGGGAGAAAGTTCTCATGAGACTGATGGTTTAAAAGTCGCAGTTTCCCATGCAATCCCCCTCTCTCCTGCTGCTTTGTGCTTCTCCTTCTGCCACGACGGATCATAAGTTTCCTGAGGACTCCCCAGTCTTGAGGAACGGTGAGTCAATTAAACCTCTTTTGTATAGAAATTACCCGGTCTCAGTTAGTATCTTTATAGCAATGTGCAAATGAACTAATGCAGAGAATTGGTACTGAGAAAGTGGGGTACTGCTATATAGATAACCTGATAACATGGAAGTGACTTTGGAACTGAGTAACTGTCAGAGGTTGGAACAGTTTGGAGGGCTCCCAAGGAGACAGGAAGATGAGGGAAAGTTTGGAACTTCCTAGAGACTTGTTAAATGGTTTTAACCAAAATGCTGATAGTGATATGGACAATGAAGTCCAGTCTGACGTGGTTTCAGATGAAGAGGAGGAACATATTGGGAACTGCAGCAAAGGCACTCTTGTTATGCTTTAGCAAAGAGACTGGTGGCATTCTCCCCCCGCCTTAGAGATCTGTGAAACTTTGAACTTGAAAGAGATTATTTAGGGTATCTGGCAAAGGAAATTTCTAAGCAGCAAAACATTCAACAGGTGACCTGGTTTCTTCTGAAAGCATAGAATTATATGCATTCACAAGGAGATGATTTGAAATCGAAACTTATGTTTAAAAGGAAAGCAGAGCATAAAAGTTTGGAAATTTGCAGCCTGATCACGGGGTAGGAAAGAAAGACCCATTTTCTGGGGAGAAATTCAAACCTGCTGCAGAAATCTGAAATATACTGCAGAAACCCCTGATAAACCCATCAGATTTCGTGAGGCTTATTCACTACCATGAGAACAGTATGTGAGAAATCGTCCGTATGATTCAAATTATCTTACACCGGGTCCCTCCCACGACATGTGGGAATTATGGGAGTACAATTCAAGATGAGATTTGGGTGGGGACACAAAGCCAAACCATATCATATATGTATATATATATATCACTGTATATAAATTTAAACAGCTAATATAAAGAAATGGAAATGCAAAAAGAGGAAGAGAAGAAAAAATAATGGTAAACAAAAAACATAAAAATGATTAGAACTAAGAATAAGTCCAAACATGTAGTAGTCTTGATTTGTATGACTAGATTAAATTGTCTTATTATAAAACAAATGCTCACGTTTGATACTAAAAATTATATAACTTTATGGTATTTGCAAGATACATCTAAAACAGAACACATAGAAATAAATTTGCTGGAAATAAAGAGAATAAAAAAATATATACCTGCCATACAACCCAACAATTCCACTCCTAGGTATCTACCATAGAGAGATGAAAACTCATGTTTCCGTAAAGATTTGTACACTGATGTTTATATTTCCTATTGGTAATAGACAAAAATTACAAACTTAAACATCCATAAACAGGTAAATCAATAAACAAACAGTGGAACATGCATACAATGGAATACTACACTGCAATAAAAGGAATAAACTACTTATAAGAAAACATAGTTGAATTGCAAAGCCATTAAGTTGATCAAAAGAATGGAGGCATATAAGAATACATTCATAATACAGTATGAATTAATTTATTTGAAACTCCAGAAAGACAACTATTTAATTTATGGTAATTGCCTGGAATGTGAGAAAATATTTGCTGGGTACAGGTGCAAGGGGATTTTGTGGGATGAGCTAAATGTTCTGTATTTTGATTTTTGTGATGATTATTTGGATATATTGATTTGTCAAAGCTCACTTAAATGTGCAAGAAAATGGATGCTTTTCTGCTCAATGAAATAAAAGAGGATACAAACAAATGGAAGAACATTCCATGCTCATGGGTAGGAAGAATCAATATCGTGAAAATGGCCATACTGCCCAAGGTAATTTACAGATTCAATGCCATCCCCATCAAGCTACCAATGACTTTCTTCACAGAATTGGAAAGAAACTACTTTAAAGTTCATATGGAACCAAAAAAGAGCCACATTGCCAAGTCAATCCTAAGCCAAAAGAACAAAGCTGGAGGCATTACGCTACCTGACTTCAAACTACACTACAAGGCTACAGTAATCAAAATAGCATGGTACTGGTACCAAAACAGAGATATAGACCAATGGAACAGAACAGAGCCCTCAGAAATAATGCCTCATATCTACAACTATCTGATCTTTGACAAACCTGACGAAAAACAAGAAATGGGGAAAGGATTCCCTATTTAATAAATGGTGCTGGGAAAACTGGCTAGCCATATGTAGAAAGCTGAAACTGGATCCCTTCCTTACACCTTATGCAAAAATTAATTCAAGATGGATTAAAGACTTAAATGTTAGACCAAAAACCATAAAAACCCTAGAAGAAAACCTAGGCAATGCCATTCAGGATGTAGGCATGGGCAAGGACTTCATGTCTAAAACGCCAAAAGCAATGGCAACAGAAGCCAAAATTGACAAATGGGATCTAATTAAACTAAAGAGCTTCTGCACAGCAAAAGAAACTACCATCAGAGTGAACAGGCAACCTACAGAATGGGAGAAAATTTTTGCAATCTACTCATCTGACAAAGGGCTAATATCCAGAATTTACAATGAACTCAAACAAATTTACAAGAAAAAAACAAACAACCCCATCAAAAAGTGGGCGAAGGATATGAACAGACACTTCTCAAAAGAAGACATTTATGCAGCCAAAAGACACATGAAAAAATGCTCATCATCACTGGCCACCAGAGAAATGCAAATCAAAACCACAATGAGATACCATCTCACACCAGTTAGAATGGCGATCATTAAAAAGTCAGGAAACAACAGGTACTGGAGAGGATGTGGAGAAATAGGAACACTTTTACAGTCCCCTTGGTGGGACTGTAAACTAGTTCAACCATTGTGGAAGTCAGTGTGGCGATTCCTCAGGGATCTAGAACTAGAAATACCATTTGACCCAGCCATCTCATTACTGGGTATATACCCAAAGGATTTGAAATCATGCTGCTATAAAGACACATGCACACTGATGTTTATTGTGGCTCTATTCACAATAGCAAATACTTGGAACCAACCCAAATGTCCAACAATGATAGACTTGATTAAGAAAATGTGGCACATATACACCATGGAATACTATGCAGCCATAAAAAATGATGAGTTCATGTCCTTTGTAGGGACATGGATGAAGCTGGAAACCATCATTCTCAGCAAACTATCACAAGGACAAAAAACCAAATGCCGCATGTTCTCACTCACAGGTGGGAAATGAACAATGAGAAAACTTGGACACAGGAAGGGGAACATCACACACTGGGCCCTGTTGTGGTGTGGGGGTAGGGGGGAGGGATAGCATTAGGAGATATACCTAATGCTAAATGACGAGTTAATGGGTGCAGCACACCAACATGACACATGTATACATATGTAACAAACCTGCACGTTGTGCACATGTACCCTAAAACTTAACGTATAATAAAAAAAAGGGTGCTTTTTTTATTTTTATGTATAAAATTTTATGTATAATTTTATGTATAAAAATTATATCTCAGTACATAAAAAGCTGGAAAAAGTAAAACAAAGGACTGTCATGAGAGCACATACGAGGAATAGCTAATTTGGTTTTGGAAGCTAATAACAGGCTTTTCCGGGCAGAGGTATCAGAGCATTTTATTCTTTTTAAAGTGAGATCTATGAAAAGAACAAGACTGTGCTGGTAAAAGTGAAGGAAGAAAGAATATTCCAGACAGAGGAAGCCATCCGCACAGATTCAGGGAACAGATGAGAAAGACAGTGGCTCATTTGGAGAACTGAAAGTAGTTCAACAGAGCCAGAAAGAATAGATAGTGAGCTGGTGTGATAAAAGAAGGAGGTAAGGGTACTTGGGAGTGCATAAGTGAGGCTGTCTTTATTTTGCTCTTGAACATAAAGGATACTTTGTCCAGGTGTAGAATTCTTGGCTCACTAATCTTTCCCCTCTAGCAGTCTGCATTTGTGTTCATTGTCATTTGATGCTTAGTGTTGTTGAGACTTCTAAAATTGTCTGGAGTTTGTTCCACTTCAGGTAAACTACATTTTCTCACTCATTGAAGGTAAGGCTACGTTTCGATTTTGTTTTCTCAATATTATTTTTCCAGATAGTCAATGAATCCTATCAGTTCATTGTTCATTTTTATTATTGCCAATCCCTTTATCATTCTATTGTCAACTATTATAAATCTTACCAAACATACATTGGAAGCCTTACATCTGTTCTTCATGTTTCTTCTTTTCTGATAGTTTTATAAACTCCTTTTCCACTTATAATAAATTCTAAGGGAAAGTTTTATGCCTGTTATTCTCTCCTTATTTGATTTTCTGTTTTATTAATAACTCACTGGTTTTCCTTCTTCATTATTAATCTAATTTAACAATTGTTTTCTTTACCAGCACGTGATCATTCCCTTTTCATTACTACCAACTTTCATTTCATAGACACAATGTCCTCTTAAAAATAGTAATAACTAACAAAAAAGAGAGGGAGAGAGAGATTGATTGTAAGAAATTAGCTCGTGCAATTGTGGGGGTTTGCAAGGCAGGTTAGCAGCTGGTAACTGAGGCAGGATTTCCATGTTACAGTCTTCAGGGAGAATTCCTTCTTTGGGAAACCTCGATTCCACTTATAATGTCTTCACGTGATTGAATGTGGCCCTTTCCCATTATCAATGGGACTGTACTTAAAGTCAACTGATTGTAAATGTTAATCACTATGCAAAATAACTCCACAGTGACATCTAGATTAGTGTTTGACCAGGCAAGTGAGCACCACAGCCTAGCCAAGTAAATAGACCATCATGCAGTATAATTGACATGAGTTACTATGCATATATATAAAATATTATATTCATATATCATATCATATTTACATGGGATATTCTTGGTCCTCTTATTTCTTTTTCTATTCTACTCCTTATAAAAACATTTATCCTCATTCCTTCAAGTGGTTATATTTTTATGAAATGCACCATCATTCTGCTCGCCCAAATTGTTGCTTGTATTTTGTCTTTAATCAACAGAAAGTTATGTGAATGTCTGGATTTGGAGGTAGAAATGAATTCTGTCAAATCAGACTATGTTAGATAACCTGTCTCAAATTCCCATCTTACAATCTTTTATACGGGTTAAAAAATTAGCCCCTTTAATATAAGAAATATGTTTATAATAACCCTTCCTTGGTGTGCCTCACCTTGAATGCTCACTTAAGTTAAAAGTGACATTAGAAAAAAAAAAGTATACCTTCATCCAAAATTATTCTATGAAATAAAAGCAAAAATGTCCCTATCACACATAATCAAAGTGATTCATCTGGTAAGCTAGATATAAGCAAATTTTGGAATTTTGTTAAAATAGTTAAAGATAAACTATGTTACCTTTCAGAAAAGTAAAGGGAGTGGTCAGTGACTATTAATAAAACAAATAGTGCCATCTACTGTCAAAAAATTCTATTATGAAAGTTGCCATAAACATCATTATTTTTCAGTGTGATAGTGCTATAGTCATTTATTTGATATTCTAAAATTTCCAAGAATTTTTATTTATTTCAAATAATCACAGTTAAATTTCTAGTTCTGCTAACTGGAGTGGAATTTACATGTACTTAAATCAAATGACTGCCACTTTACAAAATCACTGTCATCAGGAAGCAATTTTTTAAAAGTGTTTCTTTGTGCTAAGAAGTACACGATGTAAAAACAACAACAACAACAAAATGCTTGTATCCTTTCCAAACACCATACACACACATGACTCAGTCAGAACTGCAGAAATGTAAGGATAACGATACTAAACAAGAGGAAAAATGAAAAAGACAGGAAAAAGCCTGGTCAAATTATTAAAGAAGTGCAAGCATTGATGCAACTTACTGATAAAGGTGAAACTGTAAAGTATACTTTAAAATAGATGCAGTAAGTAGAATTAGAGTTAGCTTCCATCACCTTTTAATCTACAAATGATTTTACAGAGAAAGCAGCATTAAAGATCTTTGTGGGCAATCAAAACAGTAATTTGAGAATAGCATTATACACTGCATTTAAGTAGGATTCAATAATTTTAAAGTGCAGGGACAAAATTTCCTCATATGGCTCACTAGCTACATTGCAAATTTCTTGAAATCAGAACACAGAAGTGCAGTCCTGTGCTCGCAATGCAGACTTGCAGGGTGTAGAGGCATAAATGGCTCCAGAGCCAGGGACATGGGTCCAGAGGGGGGTAGTCTCCAGAAGACTCCTTTCGGGCCTATTACCATGCCTCAGAGGTCCAAGTGGGGCATGGTGAATATATTATCCTTTATATTATATTTCTTATATGTCTACAACTGCCACTTCATGGCACTAGGACTAAAGGTTGGCCAAAGTACAAGATATTTGTCTTATCTGATGACAACTCTGTGTCCTGGACTCTCTTCCAGAATAAGACCTTTCCTGCAGCACTGCTTGAACTCCTCTTAGCAAGAGGGAAACATGTGAAATGCTACCAAAATAGAATAGAAGTAAATTCTTATTATATTCCTTTGTTCACTCATATCCTGAAGTGCATCAAATCAGGTTTTCTCACCTGTATAATGCTGTATTTTACTTGAGTTGGAATAATTTTGCTTAGAAATAAATAAGTAAAACAGCACCTGCCTCCAGACCTAGGGTCCATCAGGAAAAATATAAGGTATATGAGGTGTATGCTCTAAACCCAAGGCCAACATGTATAGGAAAACCTTAAGTCCTTCAGTGCATGTGCTTGGATGAAGAAGGTAATACAATTGTAGGCAACTGCAAGAGCAATGTAGGTAAAATTCACACCTACAGGCAGTCGTGAAAATTTTCCCAATATAAACTTGCACTTCACATGCACTTTTGTGGTGTGAAGGAGAGGAACTGGTGAGAAACTGATGAGAAATGATGATAAGCAGACTTTTACTGGAACATTGCTCAATCCCCTCTATAAGGCAATGATGCTATGTAGACAATCAAACATGAAATTGCTAGAAAGTTTATAGATTGATATAATCTATTTTAATGCATCTAGGATTCAGGTAAGCTGCGAAAAAGTAGTGCCAATATGTTTATTTTATAGGGGATATTTAAAATTAATTTTATTCTTTTTAAAATTGCAATGGTACCCAAATTCCCTAACTTCCTATGGTAGGCTGAATAACAGCTCCTAAAAATATCAGGTTGTAATTCCTGGAATGTGTAAATGCTATCTTATATGGAAAATATACCAATATGTGATTAAATTATGGAGTTTGAAATGAAGAGATTAACCTGATTTATCTGGGTGCATCCTACATGAGATCACAATTGTTCTTAAAAGAGGGAGGCAGAGGGAGGTGTGACACAGACAAAAGAGAAGGCCATGGGAAGACAGAGCAAGAGAGGGTAAAAGATGCTGGCCTTAAATATTGGAGTAATGTAGCAACAGGCCAAGGGATGCCAGCAGGAGTTGTAGGAGGTCAATACCTTGATTTTGACCCAGTGATACTGACTTCAGACTTGTGGCCTCCAGAACTGTGAAAGAATAAATTCCTGTCGTTTTAAGTCACTGACACTGATTTTGTGGTAGGTAATTTGTTACAGCAGCCACAGGAAACTAATACAATCTGGGTGAATTTCTCTTTCTATAATGAAGGATTCTTTCATAATTAAAAATATAACTTTAATATAGTTGGTATTATCAGCACCATGCTATAACTTCTGCAAAAAAGCTCTCTAATCCTTATATCTGTTTTCTTGATAAATCATACTGTTCTCCTCCCTGCTCACTGTATTTCAACCATACCAGATCCCTTAATGGGAAAGGGTATTTCAGACCTGGGCACTGGCTGTTTCTTCTGATTGGAGTACTTCTACCTCAGACATCATAATGATGAACTCTTTTGCCTTCTTCAAGTCTTAGATCAAATTATTCCTTTTTACTGTTTATATTCCAACTAGTGAGGGATAATGTCCCTCACTATCCCCTAGGAGATTGATTCCAGGAAGCTTGAGGGTACCAAACTCTGTGGATGCTCAAGTCTCTGATAGAAAATGCCATAGTATTTACATATGATCTACACAAACCCTCCTGCATATTTAAAATAGTCTCTAGATTACTTATAATTACTAGATTACTTATAGTCTCTAGATTTATATAATCTTATAAAAGGGTAAGATTACTTATTACTTACCCTTAATACAATGTAAATATTGCGTAGCTTTTATACTGTGAATTTTAAAATTTGTATTATTTTCATTACTATATTTTTGTTTTTTCTGCATATTTTTAATCCATGGTTGGTGAAATCCATGGATATGAAATCCGCTCATATGGAGGGACTGAGAACCAATCATATTCTATTCAACACTGCAACCTCCTTTCCCACCCAGCATAACAGACTAATTGTACCCTGCTTCTTCTGCTTTATTTTCTAAATCTCATTTCAATCTCTAAAATGTTATGTAATTTACTTAATTGCTATGTTCATTTTATATCAACTTTCTGCCTCTTCTACTATGTTATCTTCTTGAGAGAGAAGATTTTAATCTCTTTTGCTCACTAGTGTATTCCCAGTGCATAGAACAATATCTAGCCCATAACAGGTATTCAGTAATTTTATTCTTGAATGAATAATTGAAGGAAAACTTTTAAAAATCCATTACCATAAGGTAGGGATGCAGAGAGCCTAAATCATACTAAAGTGAATTTCAGCTTTCAGTTCAAGCTGACATATTATCAAATCTTCTTATGTTTTTATCATTTCAACTTCTGTTCTGTGCTAGCTAAAGTCTCGAACTTGGCTAGGTGTAGTGGTTTATGCCTGTAATCCCTGTGCCCGGGGAAGCCAAGGCAGGAAGATCATTTGAGGCCGGGTGTTCCAGACCAGCCTAGGCAACATAGCAAGGCCCACCATCTACAAATGATATAATAAAATAACAAAATTAGCCAGGCATAGTGGTATGTGACCTCAGTCCCAGCTGCTCGAGAGGCTGATGAGGAAGGATCACTTGGCCCAGTAGTTGGAGTTTGCAGTGATCTGTGATCACACCACTGTATTTCAGCCTTGGTGAGAGAGCAGACCCATCTTTGAAAAAAAAAATTAAGTCTCAAACTTTATTAATAGTGTAACAGAATGAGCAATACTTTGGAGACATGCTGCTGCTATATATATATATATATATATATATATATATATATATTTTTTTTTTTTTTTTTTTTTTTTTTTTTTTTTTGAGGCAGATTCTCACTGTGTCACCCAGGCTGGAGTGCAGTGGCGCCACCTCGGCTCACTGCAACCTCTACCTCCAGGGTTCAAGCAATTCTCCTGCCTCAGCCTCCCAAGTAGCTGGGATCACAGGTGCCCACTACCACACCCAGCTAATTTTTGGTAATTTTAGTAGAGATGAGGTTTCACTATGTTGGCTAGGCTGGTCTCAAACTCCTAACCTCAAGTGATCCACCTACCTCTGCCTCCCAAAGTGCTAGGAGTACAAGTGTGAGCCACTGACCCCGGCCCTTATATTTTTCTAATTATCAAATAGGCTGTGAGAGTTTCTATTTACCTAGGTCCTCAAAGTGTCTTTAGGAAAAGCTATACCCTGGACAAAGGCAGGTTGGCAGAAATACCAGGGGTTGAGCTTCTGCAACAAGTTTGGGTCATAAAAACTGCCACTAGGCCTGTCAGGCAACTTCCTGAGTCAATAAAATCTCACATTAATAGATATAAAGAAAAAGCAATTGAAAATTTTCCAGATAAACTGGATTCCATCTGTAAAGAGGAAAATCTGTTTTGTGGTCCACTTAGTTAGCATCTTCCCTGATCTATTCATAAGAGAAATCAAAAGGAACTTCCAATTTCTTTATGGAAAGGGGCTGAACTACTAAAAGAATGTATCACTTTAAATAATGAGGAAACAGTTTGTACTATGATATGATATTGTGAAGCTGTACCCTGTAAAAGAAGGAGAAACTGACCATGCTCTGACCTGAAGGAGCATGGCACCAGCAAAAAAGACCTGTAGGGAAGAAAGAATCAACATAGGAAGCTGAGGATGTGGAACTTCAGTAACTACCAAGTGATAGATGAGCAACTCAGGTTAACTTATCAGGGAAAGAGAATGTCCTTTAGCATGAAGGTCATAGCCATTTGGATGTTGAGGACATGCAACACAAGCAATTTTTCATACCATTTTGTTTAAAATTTATATTTCCTAGATGGTATTTTCCAGAGTTGTTTAAAACTAACTTTTACATTTGATTACAGAATGTTTTAATTTCGTAATCTGTGACACATTTTCTCCGTCTGTTCTTTAGAAATGCATTTTAACAATAAACAGATCCAATTAAAGAAAGTTGTGTTTTACTTTCCTTTTTAACGATGATGTAATTATTCAAATTAGAAATTAACATTATGCTGGCAGGTTTTGAATACTATTTTTGGAAGAGGTGAGAAATTTATCACCCTATTCTATTTCAAAAAGGTGCGTTTTAACTTATATATTTAGAATTAAATGGTTAAAGATGATTCTTTCAGGGAAAGTTATAGATCATAGGATCCTAGAATGATAAATCAGGAAACAAGGGTAGAAAAAAAAGAATGAAAATATAAAAAGTCTTTTGTTACAACAAAATCTAAGAAATCTAAATAACAATTCAGAAAGAAATTTGGAGAGAAGTTTGCAATAGAAAATGTGATATCCAAATAATTGTGTATCAGCAAAGATTAGAGAAATAACAATGTGGCATGCTCATGGTAGAAATTTCTCCTGAATCAAATTAAGTATGTTTGTATAGTATATTAATTCTGCAAAGAAAAATTATCAGATCATTAACACAACCTAGGATTTCAGGATGAATGAAAATTAAAGATTCAAAGAAAATGTTAATATATTTGATTGTTTTTATACAGTTGTTCTTAAAACTAATGGATGATAACTGTTTTACTGAACATTACATACTAAAGTGAATTCATTCCAGAATGTAGTCAGGCCAGGCTTGGTGGCTTACGCCTGTAATCCTAGCACTTTGGGAGACTAAGTTGGGCGGATTACCTGAGGTCAGGAGTTCAAGATCAGCCTAGCCAACATGGTGAAAACCTGTCCCTACAAAAAATACAGAAATTATCTGGGCATGGTGGAGCACACCTGTAATCCAAGTTACTCAGGAGGCTGAGGCAGGAGAATTGCTTGAACCTGGGAGGCAGAGGTTGCAGTGAGTCGAGATTGTGCCACTGCACTCTGGCTCCGATGACAGAGCAAGACTCTGTCTCAAAAAATCAATCAATCAATAAAATAAACAGGAGTGAAAAACAATCCCTATTTCCAGCTTCTTGGAGTTCGGTAGAAGAAAGTTACATAAATAGCTAATATCAGAATAAATTCCAATTGAAGAAATTATGTAGACACATTCTTTTGGTCTCAGCTGTTCTATACAGTCATAATTGATTTTGCTGCTTCTCAAGTGTCTTCTTACTTTCTTTTTAAAGCGGATGAGTGTTCTGCAGACAGAAACATTCCAGTCATGGAGATCAACCTGTGCAAAGGCAGAAAAGCACAGATGGAAATAGGACACATGCGGGAGTCCAATATCGCATTAATCCAGGAAGAAGGTGTATCATAGGTGAATGTTGAAATGTAGAAGCAATAAATTTCATAGAAGTATTAAAAGAAGGATCACCCAATGTATAAAATAATATCTCAGCAGGGTCCTTTATGATTCAAAGTACTGTGTTTGTGTGCTAGAGGATTTGTATGTTTGGAATAGGGAGTCTAAATCTTAAAAAAAAAATCCATACTTCACAGGGTATAATATGCACAAGGGATGAGGAAGAGTCTACTGTAGTCAGTGGAAAACTAGAGATGTGGATCTTACTATCCCTAGAATACATGAGCAAGTGGAAACAGGTTGCACAATCAACAATATGTGTTTAATAAAATGAAGATTCTGCAAGAATTTACAAAGAGGTATTCTAAATACATTCTGAAATAAAATTGTGAAGAATCATGAAATAATGGCTATATTAGTTTGATTTCAGCTGATCAAAAATAAATAATGAAGCATTAGTTACAAAAATGAGTCATATTAAACTATATTCATAAGGTTAGTGGCTGCCTCTACTCCCCAGAAAGAATAAAAAGAATATGCTGGAAACTTGGTCACTGGGATCAGACCAAGGACCTACTTAACAGAATTTGGATATAAGATGTGGACCTGATCACAGGAATATGTAGAACTTTCCTACATTGGTCAAAGATTGTCAGAAGACTTTCTAAAATAATCAAAAAGTCAGTAGCCATGGACTTCTCACATTTTCAGTGACTGGGTCTATAACTAATCTCTATATTTTGATAGGTGAGAGATGAATCAAATTATTAGAGCAATTGTCTTTAATATTCAGTATACATAGATATCATCAGAGATGTTTATTTAAAATTCAGATTTCTGCATCCTTTCTTCAGAGCTATAATTCATTATATTTGGGGTGGGTTTCAGGAAACATCATTTTGGACAAATATCCCAGTTGATTCTGACAAATATCATCTTTCAACAACAAAATGTCTCAGTTGATTCTGATAAATATCATCCTTCAACAACAAAAAAGAAACAAATAAATAAAAATGTTTAAAAATAAAACTACTATTACATTGTCTGTTTCCAGAAGAAGGTCCAGGCATCAACCACTTGAGAAGATTCCAATATACTGTGACAAGCACTTGCTGATTACCTTCCTTCTCACATTCGCCAGTGAATTCATACTGTCTCAGGTATGATCTGCATGGTCCCTATAAGGGTTATCAGCACCTAAAATAGTTGCTATTCTAATGCTAGATAATAAAATGGATCTCTGATCTGTAGGCAGGGAAAACAATGAGTCAAATTGAACCACTACTGTATTTTTGAATAATTGTTCTTTATCACAGACTCAAGTATCTTGTAAATTCTCTGGTCTAAATATGATTGTCAAAATACTTTGAAACTACTTGACATAACCACATGATAAATTATATATTACCAATAACCATGTCATACCCTTTGTGAGATCACCTCTGCTGATCTACCAAGTAATATGGGTCATAATTGCCATGGGATTTAGTGATTACTGTATTCCACTATGATAATGCTAAGGCATTTACAATTTCAAAATTATACACATACTAGAAATCTAGGTAGATGTATAAAAGCAAAGGAAATTTCATACTTTGAATAGATTCATTTGCACATAGCAGTTTGGTTTTAAAAGATACAGCCTTAAAATCATTGATATTTTTAAACACAGATTATATACAAGTGCATTACATCTCATTTTTCTTATATCATCACCTACAAAGAAAGAAGAAAAAAATGAAATATTTGATGAGAAGAATAATTGAATGAATGATAATTAAGAGCCGGGTTTATATCATACGCCAGTTTCCATGTTGTAAGTACTCCCAATAACTGATTTCAAACTACCCATGTGATGTCATTGAAGGCAGAGTTGAAAAAGATTTTCAGTAGAATACCAGAATATTGCTGTTTCCACAGCATTCATTCAACAAATACAAATAACCTTAAAAAAGCAGAGATAATATAAAATGTAGTGAAATAATATAAAATGTAGAGTTTATATTTACATTTAGCATATCACCTTTACTTTAAAAATTATTTAATCATAATTTTACATAATTTAATTTTTATTCATTTGTTTTACAAGTGCCTTGGTAAATTACTGATAATTTAAAAATTGTCTCTCACCAGCTTGTGTGAGTCAACTAGAGTACACCAACTAATATTTTATTTTTCGTACAGACAGGGTCTCACAATGTCTCCTAGGCTGGTCTCGAATTCCTGGGCTCAAGGAATCCTTCCTCCTTGGTCTCTCAAAGTGCTGGAATTACAGGCATAAGCCACTTCACCCAGCCAAAAATGTATTTATCTACAGAGAATTTATAATTTTATACAGGTAAGATGGAACTTCAATTTTATGTTATTATCTGGATAGGTAAGTTTTGTAATACTGTTTCAAATAACTTACTCTTTGCCCAAGTTGATGATAGCAACTTTCACATACATAAAATTCTTACATACTGAAGTCTATTCCTAGATTTTATTTTTATTAAATTTGATACATTTGTCTAATTAGTAATGAGAATACCACATTGATTTGATTCTCAATGCCTTATACTATGTTCTACAATCTGGTTAATCCCTTCCTGTTATTAAACTCTGTACTTTAACATTTTAGGTAATATTTGCTATAATTTTTGATAAATGATATTCATCACATTTATATTTTTCAATGATTTACTTACAATTTTTATAATAAGTGGCTGCTGAATTTTATCTTATGCTTTTCAGAATCTATCAATATGATCTTATAATCTCTAATATTAAATATTATCATATTACTTGAACTGCAAATATATAGATATATTAATATTAGTTTTAATATTAAATAGGATCATATTTATTTGAGCTGCAAATATATACTAATAGATACCTTGTTCTTCATTCTCCTTTGCATTTCTATAATATTATCTACTTGCTTAGATGAGCTGAAATAATTTACGTAAGTTTTCAGTTATTGTCTTTTAAAGAAGAAAATAACAACTTTAACCCCATTTGGTGCTTTTTAAAATAGATCCATCTTTTTCCACGGTGTCTTTGGAAATTAGTTTTTTTTTAAGTTGTACAAAGTTCTTCTAGGTTCACATATTTGTCGTTACAAAATTATTCATATAGGATTGGCTTAAAATCACTTAAATGTTCCCTATATCTACATTTGCTTTCCTTTACCATTCCTGGTCTCTTCTACAATAATTGGGTTATGTCTAAAATGGGAAGAGTGGTAACATTTCTTTTGATAAAAGTTTAATGCTATCTTCAGCTAACATGAAATATATATTTAAGTCTGTAAACTTCATATTTGTTTCAATGCCCTTAGTTTCATTAATTTCACATTTATGCTTAAAATTCTACTATTACTAGGTTGAATTAAATTAAACTGCTAACATTCCACTTGTTTTGACAAGAACAAAGCAAACAAACAAAAAAACAAACACACAATTTCAGAAGTTTCATAAGATTTAACATATTAAACATTTTTTTGGTCCTTTGCCCTTCATTGTGTTTCTAACCTTTAGCACAGTGCATGTCATACAGTACACCCTCTCTCTAAATTTTGTTGAATAAATAATTAAATTTGTTAAATACTCAGTTCTTACTATAGTTTAACACATCACAGTCTAGTATGATTCTGTCTTTCCAGAATTATTGTTCTTCATTAACAAACTCATTCTAATATTCCAAATGTAATAGAATTATTTTCATTCCATTTACACGATATGCAGTGTTTGCAAATGTCATTAATTCTATTCAAAGTGTCTATTGTAGTTTTCTCTGTTGCCTCATCATAAAAGGCACATTCTTACAAGTTATATTGCCATTTGGTTGTCCCAAACCTAAAGATGCATGCAAAAGTCAACAATTCCCATACTGACCCTTTTATTTATCTTGCCACTTTGCTGCTTTTCCATGATTCTCTCTTATACTGAATGGCATCAACATCCACTGGTCCAAGCCAGAAAAATCTCAGACATCTGCACAATTAGAATATGTAGTAATGAGAACTGTAAAGAACATATAAGCAAGGATAATATCTAGTTGGAAACTTATTTTAATATACCTCAATAAAATTATCACGTAAGTCAAAATTGTTTTAAATGACACATTTTTTAGAAGAAATGATTGGGGAAACTATATTTATATAATGATTACATTAGAAATCATGAATTTAAGTGGCATATATAGGCCAAATGCTTTTTTTCAATACGCATTAAAAACCAACATTTCAAGTATTTAATGTAGCATTACATCTTTATAGTAACTAAACAAAATCATGACTCAGAGAGAAAATTAAAAAATAGAAGATGAGTGATACAAATTTTCATGCTATCTATTCAAAATGTGCTTGACCTTTCTTTCTTAGACAAGTTTGTAAACACATCATAAAATATTATATGAGGTGATCAGTATGAGTATTGTAATAAATTAAAATGTTTGGCAAGGTCTATTTTTTAATTTACATACAATATTTGGATTTACCTAAATGAGTTGATGAAATTGCTAAAAATAATGCCTCCTGTAACAAGACTTTTTAAAGCATCTACGAATTCATATTATGAATGTGGAAATTAGTTGAGTAAAGCTAAGAGGTACACATATGCTTCAATTAATGTATTAACTAATGACAGATGATATAATGGCTTAATTATTGATTACTATCTTGCTGTTTGAACATGAACATTGTAGATTTTGCTGTTTCTTATAACTTTGTAGTAATATTTATGTGTTGTTATTAAAAATAAAGGTATGGAGATATTTCTAATTATACAAAAGATATACAAGGGCCAGATGTGATGGCTCATGCCCGTATTCCCAGCACTTTGGGTGGCTGAGGTGGGTGGATGGCTTGAGCCCGGGAGTTTGAGACCAGTCTGGCCAACATGACAAAACCCCGTTTCTACTAAAAATACAAAAATGTGCCACGCCTGGTGCCAGGTGCCTGTAGCCCCAGGTACTTGGGAGGCTGAGGCAGGAGAATCACTTGAACCCTGGAGGCAGAGGTTGCAGTGAGCCAAGATCGTGCCTCTGCACTCCAGCCTGGGCAACAGAGTGAGACTCGGTCTTTAAAAAAAAAAAAAAAAAAAAAAAGACATGCAAAAGCAGGCATAAAGTTTCAATTAAAATCTCTTAATGACTTTAAAGAACTAATTATACATAATATATAGTAATGTATTTATTTACTAATTTATTTTTTAATTCATTTTATTTTTCACTTATTTAATTTGTGCTTGGCTCTTTTCAAGTTTCTTTTATAGTTTCAAGTTTCATTTATAGTTTCTCCCTGCTTTAATATTATTTTACTTTTTTCTCAACTTTTATTTTGGATCAGGGACACATGAGCAGATTTGTTACATGGAAATATTGCATGATGCTGAGGTGTGGAGTATAGATCTCATCAGCCAGGTAGTGAACTTAATACTTGCTAGGTAGTCTTTTACACATTCTCCTGTCCCTCCACACTCTAGTAGTCCACAGTGCCTGTTTTTTTCTAAATTTATTTCCATGTGTGCTCAGCTTTTAGCTCCCACATATAAGTGAGAACATGCAGTATTTGGTTTTCTGTTCCTGTGTTAATTTGCTTATGTACATGTGGGCTCAGCTTTTTGCTCCCACTTATAAGTGAGAACATGCAGTATTTAATTTTCTGTTTCTGTGTTAATTCACCTAAGATTATGGCCTCCAGCTTCATCCATGTTGCTGCAAAGGACATGAGTTCATTCTTTTTTATAATTGTGTAGTATTCTATGGTGTATATGTACCACATCTTCTCCACTTTGTAAGTTGTCTGCTTGCTCTGTTGATAGTTTATTTTCCTGTGCAGAAGCTCTTTTGTTTAATTAGGTCCCTTTTGTCAATTTTTGTTTTTGTTGCAATTGCTTTTGAGGGCTTAGTCATAAATTCTTTGCCAAGGTCAATGTAGATAACGGTATTTCCTAGGTTTTCTTTTAGGATATTTATAGTTTGAAGTCTTACATTTAAATTCTTAACACATCCTGAGTTAATTTTTATGTATGATGAAAGGTAAGGGTCTTTTTCATATGCCTAGCCAGCTATCCCAGCACCATTTACTGAATAAGGAATGCTTTCCTCATTGCTTTTTATTGTCAACTTTGTTGAATATCAGATGTTTGTAGGTGTGCAGCTTCATTTCTGGGTTCTCTATCTTATTTCATTGGTCTATGTGTCTATTTTTGTACCAGTACCATGCTGTTTTCATTACTGTAGCCTTCTAACATAGTTGAATTCAGGTAATGTGATTCCTCCAGCTTTGCTCTTTTTGCTTAGGATTGCTTTGGCTATTTGGGCTCCTTTTTGGTTCCATATGTGTTTTAGAATAATTTTTTTTTCTAATTATGTGAATAATTACATTTGTAGGTTGATAGGAATATTGCTTAATCTGTAGATTGCTTTGGGCAGTATGGCCATTTTAATGATATTGATTCTTCCAATCCATGAACATGAAATGTTTTTCCATTAATTTTGTCACTTCTGACTTCTTTCAGCAGGAAAGATCTTTCATCTCCTTGGTTAGCTGTTTTCCTAGGTATTTCAGGGATTTTTTTGTGAATATTATAAATGGGATTGCATTCTTGATTTGACTTTGTGTGAGAACATATTGGTTTATAGAAATCCTACTGACTTTTCTACATTGTTTTTGTATCCTGAAAGTTTGCTGAAGTCATTTATTAGTTTAAGGAACATTTGGTGGAGTCTTTAGAGTTTTCTAAGTATAGAATCATATCCTTAGTGAAGAGTAATAGTTTGACCTATTTTCCTATTTGGATGCCTTTTATTTCTTTCACTTGACCTATTGTTCTGTCTAGGACTTCTAGTACTATGTTGAATAGGCATTGTGTGAATGGAAATGTTGTTTTTCTGTTTCTTGAGAGGAATGGTTTTAGCTTTTGGCTGTTCAGTAAGATGTTGGCTTTGAAATATGACAGACAGCTCAATATTTTGAGGACTATTTCTTCAATGCCTAGTCTGTTGAGGGTTTTTATCATGAAGGGATGTTGGATTTTATCAAATGCTTTTTCTTGTGTCTATTGAAATGATTATATGGTTTTGGTATTTATTCTATTTATGTGGTGAATCACATTCATTGATTTGTCTATGTTGAACCAACCTTGTATCCCAGGAATAAAGCCTAGCTGATAACGGCGAATTAACTTTTTGATGTACTGCCAGATTAAGTGTGCTAGTATTTGGTTGAGGATTTTTACATCTATGTTCAGCAGTTTATTGGCCTGAAGTTTTCTTTTTTGTTTTGTTTTGTTTTGTTTTCTCTCTGCCAGAGTTTGGTATCTGGCTGATGCTGGCTTCATAGAATGATTCAGAAAGGAGTGCCTCTGCCTCAATTTTTAAAAATAGTTTTAGGTTTAGTACAATTCTGGTAGAATTTGGAAGTGAATTCACCTGGTCCACAGATTTTTTTATTGTTGTTGGTAGGTTATTTATTACTGATTCAATTTTGGCACTTGTTAGTGGCCTGTCAAAAAAAGACATACAAGTAGTCAACAAACATATGAAAAAATTCTCAACATTATTAATCATCAGAGCAATACAAATCAAAACCACAATGATATACCTTCTCACACCAGTCAGAATGACTATTATTAAAAAGTCAGCTGGGGTTTTTATGGTTCTAGGTTTTATGCTTAAGTTTTTAATCCAGCTTGAGTTAATTTTTGTACAAGGTGTAAGGAAGGGGTCCAGTTTCTGTTTTCTGCATATGGGTTTTTCTAGCACCATGATTAAATAGGGAATCTTTTCCCTATTGCTTATATTTGTCAGGTTTGTTGAAGATCAGATGGCTGTAGATATGTGGTGTTATTTCTGAGGCCTCTGTTCTGTTCCATTGGTCTATATATCTGTTTTGGTACCAGTACCATGCTGTTTTGGTTACTGTAGCCTTGTAGTATAGTTTGAAGTCAGGTTATGTGATGCTTCCAGCTTTGTTCATTTTGCTTAGGATTGTCTTGGCTATATGGGCTCTTTTATGGCTCCATGTGAAATTTAAAGTAGTTTTTTCTAATTCTGTGAAGAAAGTCAATGGTAGCTTGATAGGAATAGCATTGAGTCTATAAATTACTTTGGGTAATATGGCCATTTTCATGATATTGATTCTTCCTATCCATGAGCATGGAATATTTTCCCATTTGTTTGTGTCCTCTCTTATTTCCTTGAGCAGTGGTTTGTAGTTCTCCTTGAAGAGGTCCTTCACATCCCTTGTAAGTTTTATTCCTAGGTATTTTATTCCTTTTGTAGCAATTGTGAATGCGAGTTCACTCATGATTTGGCTCCCTGCTTGTCTATTGTTGGTGTATAGGAATGCTTGTGATTTTTGCACATTGATTTTGTATCTTGAGAATTCCCTGAAGTTGCTTATCAGCTTAAGGAGTTTGGGGGCCGAGACAATGGAGTTTTCTAAATATACAATCATGTCATTGGGTAAAAGAGACAATTTGACTTCCTCTCTTCTTATTTGAATACCTTTATTTCTTTCTCTTGCCTGATTGCCCTGACCAGAACTTCCAATACTATGTTGAATAGGAGTGGTGAGGGACAGCATCCTTGCCTTGTGCCAGTTTTCAAAGGGAATGCTTCCAGCTTTGCCCATTCAGTATGATATTGGCTATGGGTTTGTCATACATAACTCTTATTATTTTGAGATATGTTCCCATTCATGACACAGGCATAGGCAAAGACTTCATGACTAAAACACCAAAAGCAATTGTAACAAAAGCCACAATTGACAAATGGGATCTAATTAAACTAAAGAGCTCCTGCACAGGAAAAGAAACTATCATCAGAGTGAAGAGGAAATCTACGGAATGGGAGAAATATTTTGCAATCTATCCATCTGACAATGGTCTAATATCCAGAATTTACAAGAAACTTAAACAAATTGAGAAGAAAAAAAAAACATCAAAAAGTGGGCAAAGGATATGAACAGACATTCCTCAAAAGAAGATATTTAAGAGGCCAAACAAACATGAAAAAAGCTCATCATTGGTCATTAGAGAAATGCAAATCAAAGCCACAATGAGAGACCATCTCACACCAGTTAGAATGACGATCATTAAAAAGTCAGGAAACAACAGATGCTAGAGAGGATGTGAAGAAATAGAAATGGTTTTACACTGTTGGTGGGAGTGTAAATTAGTTCAATCATTGTGGAAGACAGTGTGGCGATTCTTCAAGGATCTAAAACCAGAATACCATTTGACCCAGCAATCTAATTACTGGGTATATACCCAAAGGATTATAAATTATTCTGCTATAAAGACACATGCACATATATGTTTATTGCAGCACTACCTACAATAGCAAAGACTTGGAACCACCCCAAATGCCCATCAGTGATAGACTGAATAAAGAAAATGTGGCACATACACACTGTGGAATACTATGCAGCCATAAAAAATGAGTTAGTGTCTTTTGCAAGGTCATGGATGGAACTGGAAGCCATCATTCTCAGCAAACTAACACAGGAACAGAAAACCAAACACTACATGTTCTCAGTCATAAGTTGGAATTGAACAATGGGAACACATGGACACAGGTAAGGGAACATCACACACCAGATCCTGTTGGGAGGTATGTGGCAAGGGGAGGAAGATCATTAGGACAAATATCTAATGCATGCGGGGTTTAAAATCTAGATGATGGGTTGATGTGTGCAGCAAACCACTATGGCACACATATACCTATGTAACAAACCTGCACTTTCTACACATGTGTGCCAGAACTTAAAGTAAAACAAACAAACAAAAAACAAAATAAAATAAAATGCAGTGTGTTCTTAAAAAAATGAGTGAATAATTTAACTGTTGTCAAAAATTGTAACAATAAAGGTATCTTGAGAGAAAAAAAAGTAAAAAAAAAAAACAGATGTTGGTGAAGCTGTTGAGAAAAAGGAATGCTTATACACTGCTGATGGGAATGTAAATTAGTTCAGCTACTAGGGGAAACAGTTTGAAGATTTCTCAGAGAACTTAAAAACAGAACTACCATTTGATCCAGCAATTCCAATACTGGTTATATGCGCAAAGAAAAATAAATTATTCCACAGATAAGATACGTGCACTCATGTTCATCACAGCACTATTCACAATAGCAAAGAGATGGAATCAATCTAGGTGCCCATCAACTCTGGATTGGATAAAGTAAATGTAATACATGTACACTATGGAATACTACACAGCCATAAAAAAGAATAAAATTGTGTTCTTTGCAACAACATGAATGGAGCTGGAGGCAACTATCCTAGGTGAGCTAATACAGAAACAGAAAACCAAATGCTGCATGTTCTGACTTATAAGGGTGGCAAAGCATTGAGTACACCTGGAGATAAAGCTGGGAACAATACAAACTCGAGACTACCAAAGCTGGGAGAAAGAGAGGAGGTGTTGGCTGGAAAACTACCTGTGGGGTATTATGTTCATTACCTGGGTGATGGGATCATCTGTAGCCCCAACTTCATTGGCACCACTCAGTATAGCCATGTAACACACCTGCACATGAAGCCCTTGATTCTAAAATAAATTTTTTTTGAAAAAACATTGCACTGAATAGAGGTAACAAAGTTTGTTGGTGCATTTACCTTTTGAAGGATATCTTGGTTTCTTTCAGTTTGGGCAATTATGAATTAAACTATTTTAAACCTTAAAAAATGAACAAATTTCTGAAATCATGATGATGATGATGATGATGATGATGAGTGAGTACCATCTATTGTACACTAACACTGTGCTTGGCACAGGGCTGTCCTTTATCATATTTTGACATTTATTCCTCACAAAACTCTTAAGGATAAGACTTATATCTCCATTTTCCAGATAAGGAACTGAAACACATCCTTTCAGAACCAAAATAAAGATAAATATTTCTGGCCCAATGTCCAAGCTCTTAACAAGAAATGAAAAAGGTAAATAGGGAACTGAATAACTCAGCTTTACCAGAAGTGGAAATACATGTCTGAGAAAGAAAAATGAAAGTAAGTGGAATTATTAGCATGAGCTCAGACTCACAGTGCATTAATGATATGATAGTAACATTAATACTTATAAAGTGAGAAATAGGAGGATGTTGCCTACTTTTGAATGTGAAGGTGATGCAGTGATGCTGTAACATCATCACTCTTTTTGGCTTTAATAATGCTTTTTTAGGTCGGGCACGGTGGCTCACGCCTGTAATCCCAGCACTCTGGGAGGCAGAGGAGGGCGGATCACGAGGTCAGGAGATCGAGACCATCTTGGTTAACACGGTGAAACCCCGTCTGTACTAAAAAAAAAAAAAAAAAAAAAAAAAAAAAAAAAAAAAAAAAAAAAATTAGCAGGGCGCGCTGGCGGGCGCCTGTAGTCCCAGCTACTCAGGAGGCTGAGGCAGGAGAATGTCGTGAACCCGGGAGGTGGAGCTTGCAGTGAGCCGAGATAGCGCCACCGCAGTCCGGCCTGGGCGAAGGAGCAAGACTCCGTCTCAAAAAAAAAAAAATACATTTTAAAACCCTTTTTTTTTTAAACCACCTCTTACATTTTCTACTGCTGAAAAGATGTTCAGAAAACCTCCAAAAAATATAGGGGTACTAGAAAAAATATATATATATATGTTTTTTTTTTTCAAGAAAATTGCCTCTGGTGTTTTAGTCACTGCCTAATTCATCTCAATACCTAATATTCTATTTTTTAAACGTTACTATTAAAAATAAAAATAATTTTCACTAAATAATATTAGGAAGAAATAGCTTAGGGGAATATATAAATCTGAATGGTAAAGAAAAATGATAAGTTTTCTTCTAAAAACGTATCCCAAAATATCATAAACTGGTTATAATTATTTTAGTTTATTCGTACATTCATTTATTTATTCATATATATATACACACACATTTTTTTACTCTGTACTAGGTACTGTGCTCAGCAATGATAAAATGGACTCAAAAGACATGCTTTCTACATTTAAGTTGTACCACATAGAATAATTAAATGATCCTTTCCAGCAGTTATACACCCTAAAAGATATGACACATATACAGAAATCTTTTGATTTACTGTCAAAAATTTGCAAAAAGAAAACAAAAAAAAGAATGATGTTGATTTCACACAATGATATTATAATAGGTGTGAATCAATGTTTTGCTTTGTTTTTGTTTTTGTTTTGTTTTGTTTTTTTCACACTAAGTATGGTATATTGAAAAATCTGGGCCAGGTGCGGTGGCTCATGCCTGTAATCCTAGCACTTTGGGAGGCTGAGGCAGGTGAATCACTTGATGTCAGGAGTTAGAAATCAGCCTGTCCAACATGACAAAACCCTGTCTCTACTGAAAATATAAAAATGTGCCAGGTGTGATGGTGGGTGCTTGTAATCCCAGCTACCTGGGAGGCTGAGGTGGGAGGACTGCTTAAACCTGGGAGGTGGAGTTCACAGTAAGCCCAGATCGCATGACTGCACTCCAGCCTGGGTGACAGAGCAAGACTCCATTAAAAAAAAAAAAAATCTGTTTCAAAGATCCCATTAAGAACATTATTCCAGAAGAAACATACTTTGAGCCATTATTATACGCTAATTTAGAAATGGGCTGAATTTTATATATTAGTGCTACTAATAAAGTCACATGCCCCACAATGACACTTTAGTCCATAAGTAATCACATATATATTATGGTGGTCCTGTAAGATTTTATTATTGTATTTTCACTGTACCTTTTCTATGTTATGATAAACAAATATTTTGTGTATTATGTTTAGATACACAAATGGTTTGTGTATCTAGACTTAATAAACTTTGTGTATTCTTTTCTATGTTTAGATACACAAATACTTTGTGTATCATAGGCAGTGTGTTACTAATTGCCTATAGTATTCAGTACACTAACATGTTGCACAGGTTTGTAGCCTAGGAGCAAAAGACCACTATATAGCCTAGGTATACAGTGGCTAAACCATCTAGTTTTGTGTGAGTATAATCTATGATGTTTACACAAGGACAAAATTGTCTAACAGTGAATTTCTCAGAACATATCCCTGTCGTTAAGCAACACATGACAGTATTTGAGTTTGTAAGATTTAAGCATACATATCTAAGGGAAATTATCACTATACATTCTTACAGTAGGCTACCTTAAATATTTAAGAAGATTACAGAGCTTGGTGGATCATTGCTAGACCATGTAATGTTCTTTCTCCAACTTATTTTCCTTTCTAATAAACAACCTGGAAAACTTTGGTTCATATTATTCAATATTTATGCACTGGCTAATTTAAAGAAGCAGTAATCTAAATCCAGAAAGCTTAAAAATACATTTTTAACCAAAGGTATTTAAAGAGACAGTAATTGTCTTTACACATCACATTCAACAAAAAAAATCATGAGCTATCTTTAAGGATATATACTCATTGCCCCATCCTCTATCAATTCCTCAATTTGTGTTAATGGATGAAAAACATCAAACCCTCAACTGCTATTCTCTAAGCTGATTCTCAGTGCCACGCTATTGTATCACACAATCCCCTCACTTCTGAAAAATATTCTAAACTTTCCCATAAAAACATATTTTGAATTTTGTTTTGAAGTAAAAAGATAAAAGCAAAAAAAAATTAAAAATTAAAAATTATATTTTTTTTAACTTTTGAAGGTAAACACTGTTTTACAAGGACCCAGCCATGACACTGTCAACAGATTTGACATCACTTTACTCTATGAATCCAAGGTACGTGCCTTAAGAACATGTTGAACAAAATGTAAGAACATTTTGCCTACATGTTGGTTATTGAAAGACAATGTGAGGCAACTCATTTACATTGGTGGCAGAAATTAACCTTCAGAAATGTTGTCACCATAAATACATTTTTAGGCACACATCGTTTTATCCATACATTATTGAATAAAACAAGAATAATTAGGTAAAAATACCAGATTACTGCTCTACAAAGGCTGAGTGCTTTCATTCAAATGCAAACAAACTACAGTAGATATTTAGATTCAGTGGTAAGAAATAATACCACTTGTAGAGGACTGTGTTGCCTACTGCTTCTAGAAAGGCTTCAATGTTTAAAGGTAAAAATTAAAATGAGCAAAGGAAATTTTTTTAAACGTGATTTATTTTCTTTGGCTATGTGTCTTGAAACAGATCAAAATCATTGTATTACACACCTAAGGCAAATAATAATAATGTGTTCTCTGGATTTTATAAAATCAAATCTCAGTGATTTATATTCACCCTTTCTAATAGTGATGTGCAGATCATTACTGAAAGCATACAATTCTGAGTGAAGCTACAGAGCTATATGTAATTGATATCTTTATCAAGATTTAATATTCCTCACGGTTGAATAATGACTTCCTTTGGTGAATATATAAAACTTTCACCTTATTTTACCATTGTTTCTTTCATCAATCACAGAGCTACGAGTAATTGGAATGTTTTGCTGAGAACAAAGAAAATGTGGAAAAGTATAACTGCCAATGATTTTTAAAATTTATTTTAATTTTAAAACTTCCATTTTACATTAAGTTATATTTCTAGGAAAGTATTAAAAGTTTGTTGTTTGAAACTCAATACTTCATTATATCAGTGTTGTATCTCTGAATGTCATATATCTAAGAAATCATAATCCATAGTGGAAAAATCAATTCAACTCAAATGATTCTGCATTTGAAAATATCCAGACAATCTCTTATTAGATTTTAAAAATGTTAAAATATGATTTAAGGAATACTTTGTATCATTTTTAAGTGTCCAAGGTGCTACTGAGCAAGTCAAAAAAGAAGTTTTATATACAATATGCTGAAAAAAGCTCACTTCAATTAAATCATAAATCTCTGTTCAAAGAGTTGAAGCAGATTAAAAATAACAAGAACTTTATAAAAATATAAAAAACAAATTATAATGTACATTATTTTAAAATAACTTTACAACAAATAACTTTATAACAATATTAAAAAGGATACACACTTTTAGAGACTCAACTTATATCAGTGCACCCTCACTGAGGCGGAAGCTAAAATCTTTTCTATTTTTATTTGTAAAAATAAGTTTTAATGTTTGGATTACAATCTATTCATTTGTGGTTCAAATTTACAATAACTTTTAAATATGTTTAGCTCTGCTTGTATTGTAAATAATTTATCTCTATGAAAAATAAGGAAAAAAATCTCTGTTAATTCACTGATCTACAGGTGACCCTAAATGTTTTAAATCAATGAATGTTTAAATATATAATCCCTAGGTCCTTATGCTACTTTTGACGTTTACTTTTTGTATAACTTTTCTTACACATTTGTACAACTTTGATATGTTTAACAGATGGGTTCATTAAAAGCTAAGTATTCCAGGTTGCTGTATTGTGCAATTTGTCACCAAAATACTGGCTTTGGTCATATTTGCAAATTGTTTAATTAGCCAGTATTGGCTTACTATCCACAAGTTAGAGAAAGGCAGACAGCACAATGGCAAAACTAAAATGTCAAAATAAAGCAGCGAGTCACCTATTGTACTTAGTTTTTCTGGGACAGTCCCAGTTGATGCTTGTTATCAAGGTGAAATTACTAATTGTGCACAAAGCTTGATGAAAGATTAAATGACTATCCTTTTCCAAGAGGAAAATACCATTTTTTTATGAGACATAAAACAGAATCTTATACTCTTAATAAAAATTAAGTTATTTAGGAAGACTTGTTTTTTTAAACAGTAACACAATGTCTACCTTTTGGGCAAACCATATGCCTGTCCAAACTACACAGAATACCACTAATACTTATACAAACGTACACACATTATCCTGTGAAATCTTCATGAACACCATTATAATTAGAAATTAGGATCTGGGTACAGTGGCATGTGCACATAATCCCAGCCACTTGGGAGGCCCAGGTAGGAGGATCCCTTGAGGCCAAGAGTGTGCTATGATTGTGGCTGTAATTAGCCACTGCACTCTAGCCCGGGCAACACAGTATTAAATAAATGCATAAATAAGCAAACAAATAGAATTTAGAAATAGAAACAGCCACTGTTTGTTGTTTCAATAGTAAGTGTGTATTAGTAAAACTTTGGGCTAAAATTATAACAGCTAGAATGAATATTCAAAATACAATAAATTTCAAGTCCTAAAATAGTCACAAAAGAAAAATTTAGCTTAATCCGGGCTTAAAACATTAAAACTTTAAAACAATTACATAAAATTTAAAGGCAAATCACCAAATAGGATATGACTGCAATGAATAAGACAATTATAAAATTACCAGCCATAAATAAAACCTACTACGAATCCTTAATGTATCATCAATCTACTACAAAAAGTGGTAAAAAATATGAACTAAATATTATAGAATAAAACAAAAGTCCCACAAATATACAAAAAATGTTACATGTATTTGAAAATAAGTAGATAAAATTTTGAAACATTAAAATCTATGAGTATTAAACTAACAACTTTAAAAATATAATAACATTTCCATATTGTTAGCTATGTTGAGAGAAAATCACTGCTAATAAGAGTACAAATTTGTACTCGCTTTCTGAAAGTATTTAGATTTCTCCAGAAAATGCTCATATTTTTTGAATTGTTGATTTTTTTGAAAACAAAAAGTAATGAAAGTTATATAAAAATCTAATATTTTCAACATTTTTGAGGATATTACTCAAACTATTATCTTAACAAATAAATGTTTATATAATCTAAGAAGCAGTGTCTAAATATTAACAAATATTAACATGATTAAAGTAGTTATGATATATAGTAATATTAAAGTAGTTATGATCTATAGTAATATTAACTATTGGTGATATGTAATGCTATTATAAAAGGTAAATGCAAACATAAACCCATAAACAACATAATTCCAACTGTGTAAAAATAGATCGGTGCGTAGAAAAAAAGGTTTAAAGTAAAATGCTTTAAATTGCTATGTTAATTATGTATGGATAGTGAGAGTTTGAGTGGTTTTTATTTTTTACTTTTAATGTATTAGCAAATTTTTACTTAATGACGTTGAACAGTTACAAAAATTGTAAAGTAATTGAAGTAAAAATAATTGCCCATAGCCTAAGACCTATCTGAAAGTAACAACTGACTTTCTACTCATTCAATATATAATAAATAAAATAATATATACAAATACTTATTTTGTGGCCAAATTCATGTAACATTAAATTAGCTGTTTAAAAATATGCAATTCAGTGGCATAATCACACATTTACTATATTGTTCAACCATCTTTTTTTCAGTGTGTTCATGTATAAACATGTATATTGCATTCATGTATATTACTAAAAGCTATTTAATTCAGAAAGATTGTTTTCTTTCTCTCAATTTATATGATTCTATTCAATTATTCCCATGGTTGTATGTTGACTTATGCTGCCTCTGTTTCATTGATGAATACATCTCATTTTCTTAATTAGAAGGCAAAAATAAATACATAAAGTTTTTGGTTCACATCAGAAAAAGTTTTTCATAGGGATTGGAGATCCCCTGAAATATATCTAAAAATCCCTAGGGTACAGCAATTGCCTTTGGAGGAACACTCATAAAAGGTGAACACTGAAGTTTTGTGAGATCACTTAATTACTATGTCATAAGCCAGAGACCATCTTGACACACATACTGTGTAGCAGCATTCCTAACATGCCTGCACTATAGAGAATACATTAGATAGTCACTACAATAAAAGATGTGACATTGTAGCAGCTCACTATTTTGCATTTTTAGGGGAAGGCAAAGACATTCCAAAGACCACAACAAATAATTACTATACACTTCACAGATGAATATTGCACAGATGTAACATTTTATTTTACATTGTATAGCAGAACAGGTAAGTGCTTGCACTGTGGAGTTCAATTTATTGGGCTCAAATTTTAACTTTATTACTTAATAGCTGTGGGGCCTTGGAGGAATTCTTCAACTTTTCAAAAATTCACTAACTGAGAAAAATAATAAAGTATATACTCCAGAAGCTAAGATAATGTGAGAATTGATTGAGTGAACCTACTTAAAGTAAAGGTGGGGGTGGGTTTACTTGTTGTGAATCCTAGAAGCTCAGTTTGACGGAAGTCAGAACCTGAAGTTTCCTTAATCTTGTCACAGCTATATGAAAATGCATAAACTACTTTAAAATAATAAGAAATGAGAGTTCAAGGGCAGTGCTTTGAATTACTAACTAGATAGGGAAAACAATGATATATTTATAACCCAGGAAACTGTGTGAGAACAGGATTATTTAAGATAAATATTACAGAATTAAGGGTGAATGACAATCTAACAATGAAAAAATATTCTGGATTCCCAAAAAGTAGTAAGGGAAAATCACCAGCAATTGGATAATTTGTCTGTATTATTTAGATAAATGCTTCATTTTTATTCACAAAATTAAAGTAATTCAATTTGACATACACTTTTTAATTAAAAATACAATTTTAGAGATCAGCTTTAATATATTTAAATGAGTTGGAGACACTACTATATTATTTCACAATATTGCAGAAAACTACCATGTTAAACTGTCTTTGAATTCATTTCTGGGACACACCTGGCAGTGCGACTAAGAGAACTAGGCTATAGAAGGGAATCGAGCTTGTCTTATTTCTAAGCTCACCTTAGTTCACATTCCTTCAGGGGAAGATATTGATGCACTTTTAAAATGAATGTCTATGTCATATATTAGATTAATGAAATGAACAACATTTAGAAGTAAAAAGACTCTCCTATTATCAGATAGGCTGACAGGTGTTGGAATAATATAGTAAAAGACATTTAGTTGGTGAGAAAGCATACTATACTGCAAATAGTCCATGTTTGCCTTCAGCATTTGTTAGATCAAATAAGAATAATGTCTCAGAAAATTTAAAATCTTTTAATGCGTAGAAATGACCATAAAAGAATTATTTTTCTTGCCATGAAAATGAAGCTGTCTACTGCCTCGAGGGAAAGAAAATAATGGATTTGGAAAGTGACATTCATATTTTAAATATTTCCAGGCCTGGTGATTTGTTTTTTATTTGTTATGTTCTACTGTAACTTGGGAAAAACTGGAAATGAATACTGATTAGAAATTTAATCAAAGAATAATGAATGCTATTTTGCCCTTTTTAAACCAATAACATTATATTTTTCTCTGAATATATGCTTCCTAATAAAAGCTAATGATATTAGGACTATAATGCAATTTTTGAAATGGTCATTGATTTGTAAAGGTGCCTAAAATGTGCTAAGAGACTCTGATAAAGTACTTTACAAAATAAATTTAGACTATAAAATATCTCCAGAAGATATTTTATAATCCAGAAGACTAATAAATGGTCAAAAGTCAATGATATAATTCTAAGGTATAATGATTGTATTTATAATTTTCTATCACCTCAACCAGACAAAATTTTTCTATTAGAGAGAGACATTTTATTCATTCAACATTAATTCAAGTACGTATTGAGGGCCAATGTTGTAGCAGCTGCTTAATAGATGGTTGGCATATGGGGATTAAAATGTCATGTACATTTCCTACTCTTATTGAGATTCACATTCTAGTGGCAAACAGATAACGTAGCTAGTCACAATAGTGTGGGTGTTGACCATGAGAGAAAACATTCTGTTATCAGAGTACATAAAATGAACACTTAAACCTTATGAATTCATGACAATTTTCCTAGAGAAAAGAACACTTACGTCAAGACCTTAACTTCTAACCTAAAATTATTCCCCAAAGAAACCAGTAGTCATTTCATTCTTTCGAACATGATCACATTGATGCAAATAAAACTTTAGTGTAGCAGGGTCTCAATAATTGTTTGGTAAGGATTTCTTGAATTTTTAAAAACAAATTCCAAAAATTTTAGTGATGCTTTTAAAAATTGCTTTTATCAAACTAATACACCTACCTAGTTTAGAAATTATATAACAGTCTCAGACAGATAATAAAAATTGTGCCCCATATCCAAATAACACCCTCCAGAAACAACCGCTTTAAATATTGTAGCCATTTCTTTAGTTACCTTCAGATTTTCAGCATTACTTTGACTTTGCTTTCTTGATTTTTTAGTTTTAGAAACAATTGCTCTCCTTTATGGAAGGACATTAATTATAGTTTGTTTTAGTTCTTCTCCTGCTCCCTTCTTGTTCCCTTTAAGTTGCTGTTCTTTCTCATTGTGGTATTCTCTTTCATGCTGAGGACTTTGCTATTAAAAAATAAAAATAAAAAAACAATCTCTGGCTTCCATTAAATATTTTAAATATTTTAAAGTAGTGAAAAGTTGATTAGGTGTTTTCTGTTGATGGGCAGAAATATATATTCTTGGACTTGAGAGTAAAGTGATCTGGCAAGGATCAAACGTAAAAATGTCAGCCTCAATAGTAAATGCTGGCTCATTCACCTGTGTGGGTGTCAAAAGTGGTGGTATGCATGGCAGAAGCCTGGGAATGGTGTACAGGAAAGAGGTAGCAACCCTTGTCATTCTATGCATAGACTTTCTCTTTCACCGTCGTTGTCAATATAATACGTTAATTCTGTTCTCAACTGTGCTCAATATCCTGGAGCCCTTCTGTTGATTTTTGCCTAGAATTATCCTTCTGTCTTCCTGTTAGGATGCATAGCAGAACTGGGGGTGAGGGTGGGATAAAACTGATCCAAATAGTGTTTAAGCAAACTTGTTTTCAGCGGCCAGTTTTCAATCCCATTGCTAATTTCCGGTTGGCATTTCCAATTATCTACAAGATAAATTAAATTGCTTCTTGTTGATTTCTCCATCTGCGAAATGTTATGCTTCAGCTTTCACTGTTCTGACAAATATCCATCAAGTATTCAACTTGTCAAAAATTTTTTGTAGCACTTTTTTATTCACTCTTGCCTTTTTTCCATTCTTCTTTGCATCCATGGAATTAGATTATTTGTCCGTTTTTTAATGTTCTTTTTCTGAAAATTTAGGAAAGCATGGACATAAGCACATATATTCAATTCACCATATTTAACCAAAAATCTGCTGGGCATATATGTTACATAGATGCATGCACGCATGCATGCATTTGCTGATGGATTTCCTCATATAAAATCTTAGAATGCTGAGTCAGTCTCAAGTCTTTATGTCATTATTTGCCGCAAACCAGCACATGGGAAATAATCTTGTGAATGCTACCATGTGTCTCTGTTTGTCATTATGATATCCCTAGGGCTTTGACACAGAATAAGTATTTGGTGAATATAGTCGGCTGACTGACAAAATGATATGCCATTAAGCCTTGAATCATTGGATTTTAAAGCTTTGTTCTTTATGATTATTTTGGTGTGATTATTTGTTAATAGGAACAGTATTTCTATGAATAAATTCAGCAAAGTCTATTGAAAGATGTCTCTTGGTGCTGTAAACATATATATGTATATATATAATATACACACATACATACATTTATATAAATATTAAATTTATGTATATATAAATTTAAATTTTAAACATATAAATATTAAATTATGTATATATAAATTTAAATTTTATGTATAAATATTATTAAATGTATGTATATAAATTTAAAATTTATATGTTAAATATTAAATTTACATATAGTATTAAATTTATATATAAATAACAAATTTGGATATATAATTTGAAATTTTATGTATATTATTAAATTCACACATATAAATTGTATTAAAATTAAATAAAATTTAATATTTCAAATATATGTATATATACATATATACAACATAAAATTTTAGAGATATATTAACATATATTACTGTCTCCTATATATAATTAGATATAATATATATTATATAAATATAGACATATATTATATATACATTATATATTATATAGTATACATGTATGTTATATATTATATTACATATTAAATCATATACTTATATATTATATAATAGTATATTTATACATGATATATTAGTATATTAATTTATATATCATTTTATATTTAATATGTATTACTCTTTAAGGTAAGATGTATTACTTATTACTTATCTATAGTAATATGTATTACTCTCTAGAGCAATATATATTAAATTAAAAATGAATTAAATTAATATTTATTAAATTAAATTAAATTTTGGAGTCTTAAATTTTAGAGTAATATATAATTATATGTAACTATATAATTATAATATATAATACAATATTATATATTACTTATACTATAATTTATAGTATATATAATTTATAGTATATATACTATAAATATAATTTATAGTATATATACTATAAATATAATTTATAGTATATATACTATAATATTAAAATTATAGTATATATAATATAATATTAATATAATTTATAGTATATATAATATAATATTAATATAATTTATAGCATATATAATATATTAATATAATTTATAGTATATATAATATAATATTAATATAATTTATAGTATATATAATATAATATATAATAATTATATATAATATATGGTAAAATATATATTACTCTAGAGTTTATTTTTAATTTGTCATCTTATTCCATAAATTGGGCTGAGCAGTGTGCTCTACCTTCAAGGCAAAATGATTCAGGCCCTATGTGGAACAGGAAATTTTACTGCTTTCAGCAGAGCTGACACACAGTTATTTAAAATTCTGGTCATGTAAAGAAGCTCTGCTACAGTCTTTAGACTTTCTGGAACATAGCTTACCAAGTCTAGTTTGACAGTTTCTCCTGTATACCTCTAGGCCTGTTGCTCAGAACTGCATTGACGATGTTGCTTATATCACTTATTCTTCCAACCAGTTTAAAACTAGTTCTGGCTTATCAAAATCTATCACTGTGACCTTAACTGAAGTGCTTTGCTAATTCTATATCTTGCTTCTATATTTTTCCAACATACCCAGTAAAAGATATCTTTCAAATATTTCCCATGAGTTCACTTGCCTGCTCAGTATAAACCAGTGTTTCATTTAGAAAGTAAATCTTTTTCTTTTGTGCTTTAGATTTGACCTTTTTTTTATTTTTATAACCTGCTTTGCGTATCCCATCCACATGTCTTAAAGAGTAACAGCCATAGTCATCTTAAGTCAGATGTGTTTTCCTATATCCCTGCTTAGATGTATGTTTCATGATTATGGATTATGGTGATACATAGAAGGAATAGTTTTGTCTTTCCAGCAAAACAACTACTTTTTAATAAGAAATTATAAAACTTTGATATTAAAAAATCAAATCTATGTGACATATTTATTTTGCTTTTAACTCCAAATTTGGATATTTTATTGAATAAATAATATCAGCTCTTACTTTATTCTGAAAGACAATATAATATAATGGTAAATTAAATGGAATCTCCAGTTAGCCTACATATGGTATAATCCTGATTTTGCCACTTATAAGTTGTGTGATCTTGGTCAATTTACTCTAAATTATATAAACTTCACTTTACCAACCTGTTCAATAGAGATGGTTATAGTCACTATTTCATAGACTTTTTAAAAGGTTATATAACTTGATAGATAAATGAAGCATTTATAACATGTCCAACATATGGTATACATTATAGAGGTATTTGCTGTCATTATTCCTTTGGGTCACTATAATAATGAGAGAAATTTTAGTTAACATCTAGAACTTTTAATAGATTATTTAAAACATATCATTTAACTATAGAAGTATCTAATCTATCTAAAGTAAAAGTTCAATTAGCTGCATCTCTTCTATCCAATCCTTCAAATACGGCATGGGCTATTTAATTTTATCCAACATCTGCTAAATAGTTGTAGTTTGATTTGTTTGAGAATTCTCTCATGCTGAGATAAAATTTCTTTCATTGTTATTTCCACTAATTATTGCTAACAATATGTAATTAGAGGCAGAGGTAGACAATGTCCCTATTGCCTCCCAGTTACTAGTGCCTGAAACCCAGCAGCATAACCACCTTTTGATCACAATGGATGTACAGCATCCTTGAGTTAGCTTGATTTAGTTCCTCTTAATTGAGAACAAATTGTCTTGACCAATATAATAATATTTATACTTTAACCAGCATTCTTTATGTGTCTCTTTCAACCAATCAAAAAAAGATCCCAAAGTGTTATCCAATCCATGTTTCACCACTTTAATTTGCAGGAAGCTGTAGCCAAAGGTCCTGCTAAAATCAAAATACTCTGCCTTATGACCAACCTCTCTTAATCTGTTAACCCAATGATCCTATGGATAAAATGGTCAACAATAGACATAGTTGAACATAAAATCAAGTTCTGAATCAGTAGGTCTATGGGTCATTTAAAAGTAGAGGAATGTCTGAAGCAAAACCATCACACATGGTAAAGATAGAGGTAAAAAATTCTTTGTGAATGAAGACTAGGTTGTGAGGGAAGAGGAAGAACAATGGCCTTAAGAGAATTTAGGCAAACCAGGTTCTTTAATACCTCAACAAGACCATTTCATTTTACATTTGATTAGGTTATTGTAAGATGTGCTTTCATGATTTAAGGGCAAAAAATAGAAAGGCTAAGGGAGACTAAAGAGTTTCATATTACCAGAATATAACGCTTCAATTTGAGTGTATCTTAACTCCACACTTCTGAGAGGAAAGCTAATTATTCTTGATTAACTCATGACTCCTGCACCGCTGACAACACTGAAGCCTTGATTTTTTTATGTCATTTTTACTTGAGTCTTTTTTTAGATAAAGATGATTTAAAGTGCCCCATAAGGCTTAGAACTGAAAGTCAAGTAACATTTCATTTCGTTTTATAACTAGAAATTAAAAAACCATACAACTTATTTAAAATTGAAAAACAATTACAAATATCGTCAAACCCATTATTGCAAGTATAATTCGCTTATTTCATTATATAAATAGTTTCTGTTAAAAACTTGATCATTTCAGGGGATTAAAAATAACAGAAAGGATTTGTTGCAGTTTACACATTTGCGTTTTACAAAGTCATAGCCCTGGTACCACTTAAAAATGTTTGAACATAATTTGTTGATGCAATATGCAACATGCTATATGAAAATTCAATTGGCATTTGAGGTTTTTCTTTTTAAGAGATGTTAGAATTATAGTACTAACCAAGGCTAATCTGAATGCCTCTGACTTTAAAAACATTGCCATGACATTTTTCTTTCACAGTGACCTAATCCAAAAGATCTTGGTTTCTGAACTACTGCAGGGTTCTGCACAGGAGATTTAATATTTTCAGCTGTATTTCAGCAAAAGCCTCAACATAACGCCAAGAACATTGCCTTGATTCGTCCCGAAAACCCGGTAATACTTAACAAATATCACTTTCAATTTTCATGTCTCCTCTGTTATTTTCTTCATATTTCATTCATCTTTCCTCAATGTAAATTTTTCTTCATTGAGTTACAGTAAATCAAAAGAACAATAATGTTAAATTGGGGACTAGAGGGTTTTAGAAAAATGATATTATGTCTGGTAAATCTACTTGCTAAATGCTTAGATAGACCATGTGTATATGATATTATGAAAATGTAGCTCTAATGAGTGTAATTTAAAAAGTAAAATAAATATTTAAAAAAACCTTCATGGCTTTTAGAAGTACAAAATAAGATTTGAACTTAGGATTTTATAAAACAAATATATATTTTAGGCTGCATTTATAGTTAGCATTTTGTATAGATTACTCATATTTTCACTTTTATTTTACTTGGTCTCCTTACGTGTTTGTGATTGTCTTATTATGTTTTATGGCCATGTTATGTGACCATGTAATTGTTAACCCTCCATAAATTAGTGCTGATATATGAGAGTGTTATTTTATAAATCTAAAGCATACAATAGTCATTTTTTCTTGGAAGCATTTTTGGACTTCTATACCCTATTTTAAGCAAAATTTTCTGTATAATAGCTACTATTGGTTTCTGTCTTAAGGTATTCCTAGATATATTACAAGTATCATTTCCAGGCTTAGCTATAAATTTCTATTATTTGATAAACTTAATTTTTTCAAAATAGTTTTTGCATTTTTGGATATTTAATATTCTTTGGAAATTTGTAGAACAGAATTAACTGAAGAAGACCCAAATTTTGTTGTGAAAGATACATAATTTGTATCAATGTTAATAAAAAGAATAAGCCAAAATATATTTTTATGAGTATGCTTGGCATAACTGAATCTTTTGAAAAGATTTATGCTGATAAAGAGATATTTGGGAGGTACGCACACACACACACACATATACAACTTTATTTCAGATAATTTTTAGAACTAACATGATATCAAATGCAAAGCATATAGGAATACCATTTTATTGTTCTTTCCAGTAGCAGTGATAGATCCAATTAGCTTTATTCTTCATTTTTCACTCAGCTGGTCTATGGGAAGTAAACTTAAGTCAGCAAGAGAGTGTGAAAAGAAAGAACACACTCTTGAATATAATATATTAAATATTATATTCAATATATAAGTAAAATACATCACTCTCAATTATTTTACTAGAATATCATTTCCAGGTAATATTTCTACTATATTGATGGAAGCTATCTAGGCAACTTTTTATATTACTCCCTTCTTAAAACTGTTTCTAGCTTTAGGCAGATCCAAAATGACATGTCATAGGGTTATCTGAAAGATGTCATGTAACCATGGCAATTTTTTTCTTGCCTGATAATTCAGCCCATATTCTGTAATAAAAGAACAGATCACAAAGGAAAGCTAATGAGAAGGTGATGAGTCCAGGTGGTAACCAGGCAGTGAGCAAAGAGGAAGAAGTCAAGAAGAGCAACCTTGAGCTCAGACACCACTGTGCAAAGGGGAAGCTCTTCCTTCCTCAAGGAATTTTAATGCTTAACATTCTGAATTGTGAGAAGTATTGAAGAATCTCACCATCTCTCTATTTGGCTCTCACTCCTTCTGTTTTATAATTATTAACGTTCATTTGAAAAACAATTTAGCAACATTGTACTCTGATATTGTGGAGATAGAGTTGACTTACAGTTGGACTGGAAATACTCTTTATCTCTGGAGATACCTGAATATCTAGTTTTTAAACCTTAAACAAAATAAGCACAATGGAGTTTATATGTACTGTTTAAGGTCTGAAATCCTCTTGTAGTGATCCTCAGGGTGACTTTCTTTACTAATGGTTTACAACTGTCCTAAACCGTTTGAACCCTGACTTCATTATTGAAAAGGCTACTGACAACTGTTTCCAGGGAGTTCTTCAAAAGCCAAGATTCTTTGCACAGATCATGGCAGTGCAAGCCAGAGGCTGGCACAAATAAGGACTCTGGGGAATTCACAGTACATACTATCTCTCAGGTCTTGCACTCTATTTCTGTCACTGCACCACATCTTTGCTTACCCAGGTGTACCCTGTGGAGACTCTGGTGAGTCTCTCTTAGGAGAACTTACTATGCGTATTTGTATTTTGATATATCTTTTAATATTGGTCCAAGGTATAGTGTTCAGGTCTCCTTTAAATCCTTGAAACATTAATACCTTTAAAATAATGTACCTCATCTAGTGTGTAAACAGCTTTTCCCAGCTTTCACTTTGGCTTTTCTCTTCAAAACCTTCCCAGGTGGTTCTTGGTTTGGTCCATGCAAATACTACCCAGAGGCTAACATCCCTGTGCCTGAGCTGGCCATGGAGCTTCCTGTTTATCATGCTGTTAACCGAGTCAGGCAGGTTCAGGTGGAAAATTGCATAGGTAAATTTCACCGTATCCAATGATGCAGAATAAGATATATAACCCCATTCCAGTCATAAGAATAACATCAGACAAATCTTAATTGAGGAGCATTCTACAATACCTGGTAAGTATTCCTCTAACTGTCAAGACCATGCAAAGCAAGAAAAGTCTGAGAAATTATCACAGACAACAGGAGCCTAAGAATACAAGACTACTATCTGTAATGTGGTATTCTGAAGGGATCCTAGTACAGGAAAATGGCATTAGATAAAACTGAGGAAATGGCCGGGTGCGGTGGCTCATGCTTGTAATCCCAGCATTTTGGGAGGCCAAGGTGGACAGATAGCTTTAGGTCAGGAGTTCGAAACAAGCCTGCCCAATATGGTGAAACCCCATCTCTACTAAAAATACACAGGCTAGCCAGGCGTGGTGGCATATGCCTGTAATCCCAGCTACTTGGGAGTCAGAGGTTGCAGTGGGCCGAGATTGCGCCAGTGCACTCCAGCCTAGGCTTCGCAGGGAGACTCCGTCAAAAAAAAAAACCAACCAACCAACCAACCAACCAACCAACCAACCAAACACCTCTGAGGAACTATGAATAACATGTGGATTTTAATTAATAATACTGTATCAATATTGATATGCGAAACCGCAGAAACTGCATTTTAAGTATATGGGAGCTCTCTTTAAAATTTAAAATTTAAATTTAAAATATTTAATTTTTTCTGTAAATTTAAAGTCACTATAAAACTTAAAAAGTTTTTTGAAGGTATTCAAATGAGGTATTCTCTTCTTACATAGTGTTTTATCTTTAATAACACTTCTGTGATATAAAAAACAAAGTATGCTTAAATTACGCTAAGCTCAGTTTCAAAGTAATAGGTAATAATTACAAAACATTATTGGCATTCCAGACATTCAAGAACATGGAAAGCATGCAAAATCAATATTTTCAAGAAGACTGGGAGTCAATGTTGTGAACATTAAAGTAAACAAGAAGCTATCGAACATAAAACATAGCAAAATAGAGCATGACAAAGAGTCTAATTTCTCTTCTGTCAAATGCTATATTTTTCCTATGTATGCCCACAATTTAAATTTTTCTATGACCTAAAAAGAAATAGTTGCCAAAGTGAAAGTATTCAGAGAAGTTCTTCGGTAAGAAAAACTTTTGTTTTATTTATATTCATTGATAAATAAATCATTGATTATTATTTAAGCACATATATGCTTATCATCTTGAGCAGAATCCTTCTAAAGCAAGATAAATGTATGTATACAGTACGTTCTTTTCTGCACTAGATAGACCTTTTTCTGAAACACTTAATTTTTCAGAATTGGGTTTACATGGCATAAAGCATATCCCTGTGGAAAGCATAAAGATGGAATCAGAAAATCAAATTTGACTTAAAAAATAAATCAAATGGAAAGTATTTAGTGATATTATACATAAAGTAGTTGAAAGATATAGTGTAAATATGAAGGCTTTTATGTACACTATATATAAGAATTAAGTTGAAAATGAAAGTTGTATAGTGAATTAACAAAATAGAACCCAATTGAGGCTATAGTGAACTATCATGCCACAGCACTTGAGCCTGGGAAACAGAGAGAAGCACTGTCTCAAAAACAAAACAAAAATATAACTCAAAAATAATTTTAATTTGCTAGTATTATAATACTTAATCATTCTTTTTTAGTAACAATAAAAATTTTTAATGTAATTGTTTATTTTTTCTTAGAGTCACCTTCTAGAACAGTCATGATTTAGAATCCATTTGAATTACACGTTTGAAGTTTCAATATATTTTCTGTTTTACTAGTTCAGAATTACTTTGCATAATAATAAATGTATTTGCAAATATGATTGTTTTAGCAAATAAAGTTATGATCATCTATAATTCCACAATCCAGAAACAACCACTAAGTATCAAACTCTTCAATTTAAAAACTCTTAAATTATTTTCTTACCATAGAATTGAATCACAGAGTATGTACATTGTAAGAGAGTTTTGATATCTGTTCCTGATTCAGATTGTCATACAATATTTTAATACAGCCCATATTGGATGTGGGTTACCCCAATTTTTATACCATCATTGATATTTTGTATTATTCATTTATATTTATTAGTCTGGTAAAAAATTGATTTGTTTTGCAATTCTAGATTAACAGTGAAGCTCTTATGTTAGATATAGATGTGGAAAATGCACATAAGCTGTATATTCCACCATACACAAAAATCATTTTCAGAGGAATATAGATCAGAGTGTAAAAGGTCCAGTAATAAAGCTTCCATAAGAAAACCCAAGGGGGTATTTTCATGACCTTGAGAAAGGGAAAGAGTTCTTTAAAATGACACACAAAAAAAATAACCATAAAAGGAATTATTGGCTTGGTGCGGTGGCTCACGCCTGTAATCTCTGCACTTTCGGAGGCTGAGGCAAGCAGATCTCTTGAGTCCAGGAGTGCAAGACCAGCCTGGGCAACATGGCAAAACCCCATCTCTACCAAAAGAAAGTACAAAAATCAGCCAGGCATGGCGAGGCACCTGTGGTCTCAGCTACTCGGGAGGCTGAGGTGGAAGGATAGCTTGAACCCAGGAAGCAGAGGTAGCAGTGAGCCTAGATAGTGCCACTGTGTTCCAGCCTGGGTGAGAAAGCCAAACACTGTCTCAAAAAAAAAATAATATATATATATATATATATATACACACACACATATATATACACACACACATAGACACACACATATATATACACATATATATATATAGAGAGAGAGAGATTAAAAATAATACTTTGTTTTTTAGAGAGTAAAAATGCAAGAACAAAATGAAATATATTTTTAGCAAATTTAGCTGAAAACAGACTTGTATCCAGAGTATGTAAAAAACTGCTATGAAACAATAAGAAAAGATGTTCTGACAGAAAGGAATGGATATAATAAATGGACAAATATAAATAAATTAGAGGTTTGCAAATTAAGATATCTACATGTCCATTTAACATGTGAAAGTACTAAACTTCATTAGTCAGTCATCAAGAAAATGCAAGTTAAAACCAGAGTGAGATACTACCATAAGTTCACCAGAAGGGCAAAATTAAAAACACCACAAAATACTCCTGAGATATGGATCAATGAGAATTCTTATATATTGCTAGTGAGAGTGTAAATTTATGCAACTACTTAAGAAAAGTACAAAATTATCTAATAAATTTAAACATACACATCTCTCATTCAGCAATCCACTCCTAGATGTATGCAAAACTGAAGTGTACATATGAGCAAAAAAAGATGATATATATTAATTTTGTGTTATTTTTAATAGCCCAAAGCAACAACCCAAATGTTTATCAACTCTCATATAGATAAACAAATTGAATTATATTAATAAAATAAAATACCATAGCTATGTGTAATAACAGCGATAGATTTCAAAAATATAATTTGGAACAAAAACAGGTAGGCACAAAAGAATACATATTTTATTATTTGATTTATATAAATTTCAGAACCAGAAATACTATAGTGGGGATTAAAAGAGCAATGTTTACTTTTATATTTTTATTTTTTATTGTACCCATCCTAGTCGATATGAAGCATTATGGTTTTTCTGTGTCTTTTAAATTATTTTTTATTTTATTGTTTCTTTTGTATTTTTTCCTTTTATATTTTTTTACTTATTCATTTATTGACTTATTTATTTTGTTCATGACTAAGTTCTTTAGTGGTGATTTCTGAGATTTTGGTACCCCCATCAACTGAGCAGTATACACTAAACCCATTTGTAGTGTTTTATCCCTCACCTCCTTCTCACTCTTCCCACACACATCAAGCCCCCAAATCCATTGTATCATTCTTATGCCTTTGTGTCTTCATAGCTTAGCTCCCAATTATGAGTGAGAACATACAATGTTTGGTTTTTCATTCCTGAGTTACTTCATTTAGAATAATGATCTCCGATCTCACCCAGCTTGCTACAGATGCTATTGTTTCATTCCTTTTTATGGCTAATATACTGTGGGGTGTGTGTGTGTGTGTGTTTGTATATATATATGCCATGTGATATATATATATATATATCTCACATTATATGTATGTGTATGTATACATATATACATATACATAGATACATACATATATACATATACATATATGTGTGTATGCATATATATATATATATATATATATATATGCAAAACATTTCCTTTACTAGTTGACTGATGGGCATTTGGGCTGGTTTCATATTTTTGCAATTGTGAATTGTGCTGCTATAAACATGGTCATGCCAGTATTTTTTTTTTTTCATACAATAACTTCTTTTCCTCTGGGTAAATACCCAGTACTGGGATTGCTGAATCAAATGTTAAATCTACTTTTATTTCTTTAAGGAATCTCCACACTGTTTTCCATAGTGGTTGTGTTAGTTTACATTCTCACCAACATTGTAAAAGTGTTTTCTTTTCACTACATCCATGCAACATCTATTACTTTTTGGTTTTTTGATTATGGCCATTCTTGCAGGAGTAAGGTAGTATTGCATGGTGGTTTTCATTTGCATTTCCCTGATCATTAGTGATGTTGAGCATTTTTTCGTATATTTGTTGGCCATTTGTATATCTTCTTTTGAGAATTGTCTATTCATGTCCTTTGTCCACGTTTAGATGGGATTGTTTGTTCTTTCCTTGCTGATTTGCGTTCCCTGTATATCCTGGCTATTAGTCCTTTGTCAGAAGTATAGATTGTGAAGATTTTCTCCCACTCTGTGGGCTGTCTGTTTACTCTGCTTATGATTTATTTTGCTGTGCAGAACTTTTCAGTTTAAGTTCTATCTATTTATCTTTGTTTTTGTTGCATTTGCTTTTGTTTTTTTGGTCATGAAGTCTTTACCTAAGCCAACGTCTAGAAGTGTTTTTCTAATGTTATCTTCTAGAACTTTTACGGTTTCAGGTCTTATATTTAAGTCTTTGATCCATCTTCAGTTGATTTTTATATAAGGTGAGAGAAGAGGATCCATTTTCATTCTTTTACATGTGGCTTGCCAATTATCCCAACACCGTTTATTGAATAGGATGTCTTTTCCCCACTTTATGTTTGTTTGCTTTATCGAAGATCAGTTGGCTGTATTTGGCTTTATTTCTGAGTTCTCTATTTTATTCCATTGGTCTATGTGCCTATTTTTATACCATTACCGTGCTGTTTTGGTGCCTATGGCCTAATAGCATGGTTTGAAGTTGGCTAATGTAATGCCTTTAGATTTGTTCTTTTTTTCTTAGTCTTGCTTTCACTATGTGGGCTCATTTTGGTTCCATATGAATTTTAGGATTTTTTTTTTTCTGGTTCTGTGAAGAGTATTGGTGGTATTTTGATGGGAATTGTATTAAATTTTAGAATGCTTTTGGTAATATGGTCATTTTCTCCATATTGATTCTGCCCATCCATGAGCATGGTATGTGTTTCCATTTGTTTGCATCATCTATGAATTCTTTCAACTGTGTTTTGTAGTTTTCCTTGTAGAGGTCTTTCACCTCCTTGGTTAGGAATATTCCTAATTATTTTATTTTTCTTGCAGCTACTGTAAAAGTAATTGGGTTTTTTTATTTGATCCTCAGCTTGGTTGCTGTTGGTGTATAGCAGAGCTACTGATTTGTGTACATTAATTTTGTATCCTGAAACTTTGCTGAGATGGATAAATTCCTGGAAATATACAATCCTCCTAAATTAAACCAGGAAGAAATAGAAACTCTGAACAGACCAATAGCAAGCAGCGAGATTAAAATGGTAATTAAAAAGTTACCAACAAAAAAAAAGTCCAGGACTAGACAGATTCACAGCTGAATTCTCTCAGACATTCAAAAAAGAATTGATACCAATCTTACTGACAATATTCCAAAAGATCCCTCCTTCAATTATTATATAAAGTCAGTATCACCCTAATACCAAAACCAGGAAAGGACATAACAAAAAAAGAAAACTAAAGAACAATATCCATGATTGACATAGATTCGAAAATCCTCAAAGAAATACTGGCTAACTGAATCCAACGGCATATTAAAAAGGTAATCCACCATGATCAACTGGGTTTCATACCAGGGATGCAGAGACGGTTGAACATACACAACTCAATAAATGTTATATGCAACATAAACAGAACTAAAAACAAAAATCACATGATCATCTCAATAGATGCAGAAAAAGCATTTGAAAAAACCCAGTCCACCATCACTTTATGATTAAACCCTCAGCAAAATTTGCATAGAAGAAACATATCTTAAAGTGATACAAGCCATCTATGACAAACCCACAGCCAACATTATATTGAATGAGAAAAAGTTGAAAGCATTTCCCCTACGAACTGGAACAAGACAAGGATGCCCACTTTGATCACTTCTATTCAACTTAGTACTGGAAGTCCTAGCCAGAGCAGTCAGACAAGAGAAAGAAATAAAAGGTATCCAAATCGTTAAGAGGAAGTGAAAATTCCTGTTTGCTGATGGCATGATCGTATACATAGAAAACCCTCAAGACTTATCCAAAAAGCTCTTAGAACTGGTAAATGAATTCAGCATCTCTTTTTATTGTGATAAAGTATACATAACAAAATTTACCGTGTTAACTGTTAAGCTCAAAATTCAGTGGCAGTAAATATGTTCACATTTTTGTGCAACCATCACCACAATTTATTTCTACAAATTTTTATCACCTCAAACTGGAACTCTGTACCCATTAAACAGTAACTCCCATTTCTTTCTGCCCACAGGGCATGGCAAGCACCGTTTTACCTTCTGTCCCTATGAATCTGAAAACTCTAGGTACTTTATATAAGTAGTCTCATACAATACTTATCTTTTTGTTTCTTGTTTATTTTACTTTGTACAATATTTTCAAGGTTCATCTAAGTTGTAGCATGTGGCAAAATTTAATATTCCACTGAATGTGTATATATATATATATATATATATATATATATATATATATATCACATTTTGTTTATTTACATACCCATCAATGAACATTTGATTTGTTTCCAGCTCTTGAATACTGTAAATAATCCTGCTATGAACATTAGTGTACAAATATATTTTTGAGTCTCTGCTTTCAGTTTATTTTGATACATATCCAGAAGTGTTCATTGTTGAGTTATATGGTAATCCTATATTTAATTTTTTGAGAAATCACCATGTTTTACAGAGAAGCTGCACCTATTTTACATTCCTACCAGCAGTCCACAAGATTCCCAATTTCTCCGCATCTTCAGTAACGTTGTTTTCTATTTGTTTAACAATAGCCATCCTAATGAGTACAACTTGTGGTTTTGGTTTTCATTTCTCTAATCACTAATGACATTGAGTATCTTTTTGTGTGTGTCTTGGCCATATGTGTATTTTCTATGGAGTATTGTCAGTTTAAGTCTTTTGCTTATTTTTATTGGGTTTTTGTCTTGTTGAGTTTTTATATGCTTCGGATTCTATAACCCTACTAGATGTATGATTTGCAAATACTTTCTCCCAATTTATAAGCAGTCTTTTCACTTTCTTGATGATTTTTTTTTTTGATGCATAGAAGTTTTTTGTTTTGGTAAAGTTCAATTTATCTATTTTTGTTGTTGCTGTTAGTGCTTTTGCATGTCTAAGGAATCACCAAATTCATGAATATGTACCCCTATGTTTTCTTCAAAGAACTAATAGTTTTAGCTCATATATTTAAGTCTTTGATTCACTTTGAGTTGATTTTTGTATATGGTGTAAGAAAAGCTTTCAACTTCATATTTTTAAAATTGTTTTAACATCAGTACAGGTCAATGATCTTCAGAAATAATACATTTTAATTTTCTAGAAAGTAATGGTATGAAGTTCCAACTTTTTTTAAAAAAGACTTTTTTTCTAGCTTCTTAAAATTTTTGTGTTCCAGAAAGAGAATGATAACAGCTTTACATTTTATGGATATTCCATTAAAATTATTATATTTAGTATAAGGGAAGAAGTATAAAGCATCATTTTATTTGTAAAATATTACTGAAATGGTGATTTCTACATGCATTTGATTAGCACAATTATATTTGATATTCTGAGAAGGATATCGAATAGTTTCAATAGATAACATAAATGATTTCTCCGTGAATACTTGACTGACTATAACCATTACTCTATTTCCGAATGTGGATTCAAATGTTACATTAAGTATTAAGTTATTATTCCTGTGAAAGTATATTTTGCTATAAAACCAAAACTACAGGTGAGTGATCAGGATGTAATCATAGTGTCATATACAAGTTTAAAATAGCTTATATGTTATTATGCCTGCTGAGACAGCAAGTTTTATCTTGACAAACTATTGAAAGATCTGAAGCAAATGCTAAATACTATTTTTAAAAATGGAAACAGCAAACTATGAACAATGTTGGAAAAGTACCTTCAAAAAGAAAGACCATGCTGAAGGCTAGGAAAATATTTATCAATTCTTATTGAATTTTCAGTCTAGTCATGATCTGATAACTCTGGATAAACTAAAGGTAGATTAAAATGTCCCGGTCATTGAATACAGAGTCAGAGGGCATGTAAGGGAGGCAGCATAGAGTCAACAGGGTAGGCTTGAAGTCAGATTCTGATTTTGTCACTAACCAGATGTATTACATTAAGAAATAACTTCCCAATGGAAAAATTAAAAATGAAAATATGACTTACTTCAAAGTTGTTTAAGAAACATTTTATGTTTCTTTAATAAACATGTTTTTTAGGAAAACTCTCATAAACAAATAAAATTATATGTAGTTTTGACTAAAGTTTTCAATAAATGTTTAAAAATGTTTCTCTTTTTTATTAGCTATTTAATGAATTAAAATATAGACATATTTGATTCTTGAGTTACAACCAGTAATACTGTTTTTATTTTTAGTTACCTCAATGGCATGGCATTGTTCTTTGCAAATAATACAAATTTTATGCAAAAGGCACATTTATTTTATCTATTTAGTTCTTTATTTTTCTTTTTATTTCTTTGGTTTATGGGTGTGTTTTTTAAATATATGTCTCTGTATACACGATAACCTTTTTATTCAATTACATTTCCCAATTATGATAACTGGTGGAAAATTTAATCATCCTTAGAGACTGATTTCACCACAAGTACATTAATCAGTATAATGAATTCTGGTGAATAAAATTGTAAATATGTTATAGAAAATGGAAGAAAGATGCATAAGTAATTATATTATACAGCATTAAATATATATTTTTTACATATTAACCAGGAATAACAATATAAATATAGCTCTATTCATTCAGTTAAACACATTTAATGAACACCTTTGTGCCAGTTACTACAGTCTATAAACTAAGAATATAAAAGACAGCAAGACATAGGAGTCTCTTCCAACATAACTTAACTTTTGTGGGAAGGAGAGAAATACAAGGTTTCCACGTCCCTGTGAAGAGACCCCAAACAGGCTTTGTGTGAGCAACAAGGCTGTTTATTTCACCTGGGTGCAGGCGGACTGAGTCCGAAAAGAGAGTCAGCGTTGGGCTGGTTGGTCTGAGGACCCGAGGCTGTAGGTGGATCTTTCTCACTGAACAAAGAGCAGGAGGACAGGGGATTGATCTCCCAATGGATGTCCCCTGATCCGAGTCACAGCACCAAATGTCATGTGCGTCCGTGTGAAGAGACCACCAAACAGGCTTTGTGTGAGCAAGAAGGCTGTTTATTTCACCTGGGTGCAGGCGGGCTGAGTCCGAAAAGAGAGTCAGCGAAGAGAGATGGGGGTGGGGCCATTTTATAGGATTTGGGTAGGTAAAGGAAAATTACAGTCAAAAGGGGTTGTTCTCTGGAGGGCAGGGGCGGGGGTCACAAGGTGCTCAGCGGGGGAGCTTTTGAGCCAGGATGAGCCAGGAGAAGGAATTTCACAAGTTAATGTCATCAGTTAAGGCAGGAACAGGCCATTTTCGCTTCTTTTGTGGTGGAATGTCATCAGTTAAGGCAGGAACAGGCCATTTTCGCTTCTTTTGTGGTGGAATGTCATCAGTTAAGGCAGGAACCGGCCATCTGGATGTGTACGTGCAGGTCACAGGGGATATGATGGCTTAGCTTGGGTTCAGAGGCCGGACACAAGGTAATGAGTAAGCAAATCATATATGTTCAGATAGTGACTGACAAGTGTTATCAAGAAAATGAAATAGATGTGAGTGATCGAGAAAGTTGGTGGTTGAGGAATGTACACTAGTGGGGTCAGGGACAGCCAGGCCCTGCTCTCTCTGACAGATCCTCGTCCCACATAAGATAGGATGAGCTTGCTAGATCTCAAAGGCTAATGAAGGTTTGAGGATTAGAGAGAATGATGACTTAAATTCAACTGAATACATTTCTGCTTCTATTTTACTATCAAAGTATCAAAAATGTATGTAAATAAATTCAACTGCACAAAAAAATATATATGAGGCTATGTGGCTAACAGAGACACACCCGAAATTCAGTGTTGCATGAGCCCAGGTGAAGAAAGATTCTGCCAAATCAGAGATGCCTATGAACATGGATTCTACTGTCTTTTATATTGTTTTAGGAAAAATTGCTTAAAGATTATCCTGAAGACCTAAAAGAAATTTATTGCTTGCTGTAATTACACAATTCATTTTTACTTCTTGTTTCACTGTTAAGCTTACTTGGAATTTCAGTGATAGTACTCACCATGGCCAGGTAACTTTTGAGTTGAGTAGCAAATGATAAAATAGACACAAAAGTGTGACAATCTGGGAAAGAAAGCAAAAAAAAATCAGGAGATATAGATGAGTAAGAAGCTAAATATAGGTGTAGTTTCTTGATGACTGTGGAAAGGGGTATATATTTTCCTTAAGCACTATGAGAAGTTAATAGGACTCTTTAAGCCAAAGAATTTCATGACGTAATTTGTGATTTTGAATTATCACATTGGCTATTAAAATGAAAATATATTATAGGGACACATGTAAAAGCATGAAATCTAGCTAAGAAAGTAGAGGCAGTTATTGCTTGCAGTAAGATGGTGCTACTGGAATAAGTGTGAGGTTTAAGGTGATGAAAATAACTAAGAGTAATTCTGAGATATGAGAATTCAGTAAGAAATTGGAGGATTGTACCATTTATTAAAATGGGAGTAGAGTGATATAATGAGCAGAGGTACAATTATGATTTTTTTTGTCTGCCTTTGTGTTTTGATTTTTTTTAAGGAGAAATGTTTCTTTCATTTTTATGCCAATGGAAATGACCCAATATAAAAAGAAAAATTTAGGATTTTAGGTGAATATTATTTCAGGAATGATGTTCTTTAAGAAACTTAGAGGGCATGAGAATTAAATAAAAATTTTAGCAGTTAGACTTTGTTTGGAACAGCAAATCCAGTTCCCCCTGTAAGATAATCAAAGACAGGGACTATGAGTAGTATTAGTAGAGATACAAGTAGCTTTGTGTTGCAAATGTGAAGATTTGGGGAGATTTGTTTGTACTTTCCCAATGAATTATGAGGCAAATCTCAATGGAGGAGCCAAGGATGGAATCATAAGAAGTCTGAGGAGAGAGAAAAAGATAGGATCTTATCTTTATATGTAGAAAAATAAATTTCCTAGAAAAATGTAGTAGGATTGCAAGGCAGTGATATATTTTATGTATTTATTTATTTTTATACCTGACATTATTTTATGTATTTTACAGTAAGCATTCTTGGGTTCTGGAATTTTTATAAATCAAATAAAATTTTTAACAAACATATACAAACATTACTAACCTAAAATTTTGAAACAATTTTCCACCCCAAAAATGGCTATGAAGACAATGGTTGAATTTCTCTAACACAGTTCTATTAAAAATGAGAGTCTTACAAGGCCTTTAGAAATAAATAATCATAAACATGTTTTAATTTAATAGCTCTCTCCCTTATGAAAGTAACAATATAATTTTGGTCTTTTTCCTGGAACTGCTTAAGGCCTGAACATGTCAGGACTATTCCTTTATCCCTACTACATCTGCGACACCTCTAGACAAGAATTTTGTATATTTTAATCTAATGTGTATGTCTTTCAAGTATTGATTAACTTTAAAAATATATACCATAGGCCTTATATTAAACTTTTCTCTCACTTTTTGACAGCCTCTCATCTGAAATATTTTCTAAGTTTTACACACAATGATGTTAATAACATAATTATAATAACAACAAATTGAGAATAAGCTAAAAACACTAAACTAGTGCATGACAAAGTGAATCATGGAGGAATGCAACTTTATGTAGTCATTGAAATAATTTTAGGAAGAGTTTCAATAACACATAATTTTTTGTTATAATGCTAAGTGAAAAAGTACAACACAAATTGCATGTGAAGTATTTTAAACATTTGCCTCTTTGTTCCCAAAATTCTTAATATAGCTTCCAAAATTCCATACTATTCAGTGTGACAAAAAAAATTTTTAACTTGGGAAATGATTGAAAAAGAAAAATTACTGGGGTAAATAAAATGAAACCCTATTAAATTTATCATTCTAAAAATCTGCCAAAAGATATTATACATACTAGCTATTTTGGACACAATTTTTTTTTCTAACTATCCTTAAAACCATGTTTTCCTAATGATAAAACACAAGATCAGTCATATAATTTAGAGCCTCTGCTGAGGAAAGCAAACCAGCTGCTCCTGAGAAGTCCAGCTAAGACTGACGCAGGTACCTGTAAGACTTGCCTGTGCTATCTCATACTCCTTAGCATTCGTAGGACAGCTATAATTCTCTTCAGCAGAAAGGGGATGAAACAGAAGGGAAACACATTAACAGCTTTCCTATAAATACTATTGTCACAAATATACAGTTAAAAAGAGGAAATTACTCTCTGCTCTGGCTCATCAAAAGTCAATCGAAAAGGTCCTGACTCATTTATTTGCATTAAAGTGAGAATACCCCTGTTACTCTTGCTACTGTTGCTGCTGAGGCTGATATGATGAATGACTTTCTCTGCAAGTTTTTTTAAGTAGAAATAATAAGCCACTAATATGTTGGCCTACAATCACACTCTCTCACGAAGTGCACTATATTGATACTAATGTGAGTGAATTATTTCAGGCACAATGTCACTAATGCTTGGGACCACGTATATTTTGGAATGTATTTTTAAATTTTTTGAAGACTAGTAATACAATACATGTAATGCATACTATATGACACTTAATAAATCTGTTAATATTTCTGCAGAGAAACAAAGAAATATTCTCACTTGGTCAGATTAAAAAAAGTATAAATGGCATCACATTTAAAGCATGATTTGCTAACAAATGAATTTACAAAAACTTATACTTTGTTTTTTACTGTTTTTGTTTCATTTTACTTTATTTTATTTTGGAGTAGCGGACATGGGATATTGACCTGAGCATGCAGGGTGGCTATGAAGGTTCAGTGTTATTTTTTAAATTATTTGCCTGACACATAAACTGTGCTCATAGACATTACTTCCTTTGTCCATGTTCCTAGCAAGCCACAGGTCTCATCCAACACGCTATTTTTATAGACCTGTGTTATTCAACAAATAGGAATTTAGAACATCTTGCTAAATGCCCAACAGTGAAATAAGAGACAGGTTTTTATGTGTTACTGTTAGACTGTAAAACTAACAAGAACTTTCAATATTTCACTGTTATTTGTCTTTCATCTGATTTTTAATACAAAAGTAGGACAAGAGTTTATATTTTGATGTGAAGTTCTAATACCTAGAGATATTATATTTATTCATTCTGTAAGATTTCACAAGGTGTTTAATGTGTCTTTTATGTTCCTAAATCCCCAATTCTTCTCCAACTGAAGGACTACAATATGCCTCTGCAAATAATTTAGTGTGCTGGAATGCCCCCCTTCTTGTTTTAGTGTGTTGTATTTACTTAAGACTGATATTTACTAAATAACCAACATTAACATAGTTAACATTAATTCATAAAACTGAGTTCAAATCATACATATAAACATAATTTAAATTTTTCTCCTAAAGGTTTAAGAATTTTCTTGTCAGGAGTAATCTTTTTATGATATGTCACTGATATTATAGAACAAAGTAGCAGCAATAACCATAACAGTTTTGCTTTCTGTGTCTACCATTTCTTTTACACCATTCATGGGTAAATTATACAGTATTTATCACAATACTGAGATATAGGCTGTATTATTATATGCTTACTACTTTTAAAATATTTAAAACTTTTAAAACTTCTGTTTCTTTACACATTGCTAAATGTTCTTAATTGTGATGTTATAAAATAATGTTAACAAAATTCTTAAGATACTTAAAATTAGGGTAAAAAAATAAGCAGATATTTAATTCACATAGAACAGACTCCTGCATTTGTTTCTTCAGAACGTCTTTTCTCAATCCCCACAAGAGTGATTCCAATCTGACTAGAACACTTAAAATCATTATTCTTTCTTGCTTAATGCAAAATAAAAGGAAAAAAGAAAATTATTAAATAGGTCTTTAACTTTGCTTCTGTTTGAAAATTAGTGAAAATAAGTATCTGTTAACTTAAAAGAACACACATGACATGCATAGCACCTGTTTATCATCTATCTACCTACCTACATACGTAAAACTTTAATATTAGATAAATCCATTCTCTGTCTGTCTCTCTCTCTCTCTATCCATCTGTCTCTGCATATTTTAGGTATCTTTAGGAGGTTTCCTTCAGAATAAGGAAGTGAGAATTTTGCATTAAAGTGAGAATACCCTGTTATCCTTGCTGCTATTGCTGCTGAGGATGATCATGATCATAATTAATTATTTTCTCTACAAGCTTTTTATGTAGACATAATAAGCCACTAATATGTTGGCCTACAATCACACTCTCATGAAGTGCACTATAATGATAATAATTAGTGATAGTAATATAATGTGATAGTATCACATTAATTTCACATTAGTGATACTAACAATGCAATACTAATATAATATGTAATGTAATTAATGATACTAATGTAATGTGACAATAATCTGTTTACAACAGATTACTTGATTCTTCAATTCACTATGATATTTATTACTTAACTACTTCACAATGGTGATGACAAGGTTTCCAATTGATTTTCACTAAAAACCTAGCAATAAAGCTTGACTCACTATTGCCAATCTCATATAGTGACATTCAATATTATTATTAAAAATGACTTGACTTTATTAATAATACACTTCCATGCAATCTTTATTCACAGTTGAAGATTCACTGATGTCTGCTGGGTTTTGTTGTGTTACTCTGTTTATGTTAAAAAGAAATCTAACTTCTTGTGCTTCTGCATATGCTTAAATCCTTATTCTTTAAGAATCCACAAAAATATGTATTGACATAGATTTGCCAAAGAATAATGAGCATTATTTTGCAATAATAGGACCCATTCAATTAAAGAAAATGCTCATTAGTAACATATCCATTTTGCCTTGAGTGAGTCATTATGAATCATTATTTCATTTTGGAGAAAATGATATTTGAAAATTTCCAAAGATGTGTCAATGTGGGTTCATCAATTGCAGCAAATATTCCACTTTGGCAAGGATGTTGACAATGGAGGAGGCTAGGCATGTGTGGGTTCAGAGGATATATAGAAAATTTTTATTCCTTCCTTGCAACTTCTCTGTGAACTCAAAATTATTCTAAAAAAAAGATAAAGTCTTTTTAAAAATTACAGGAAAACTTCAAGCCATCATCATTTACACTAATCCAAGAGATTCAAAAAGCATTTTAACATCACAATTTTATACGTAATGGACCAAGAAGAGAGAAATGTTGTTTCTTATTTGCAAGCCTGCTGTGATAAGCTCCCTACAGTCACAAGAACCAAGGAAAATTGAGCAAAAACACCATTTCAAAGGAGGTGAATTGAGGTTGGCTGTTATGAAAGACACTATTTCATACAGAGAATTATTATGGATGTCTCCTTTAAGAATAAGCCCTGGTGACACTAGGATAGATAGAATTTGAGATTTCATATGTAATTTGTTTAGTGCACTTATTCTTACATAGTTTTAGAAAATACACATTTGAAACATTGTAAAGATGAATACATTGTTTTCAATGCTGTTGAGACTATTTGTAAAATTATTTTATGAGGGTAATGCTAATTTATTTTGTTTCTTATGTTACATTTTACTCATCTAAACTTCACAGAAACCTTAGGAAATAGGCACAATGTATATCACTGTTTTACTACTGAGGAAAAAGAATATAGAATAACAAAAACCTTGCCTGTTTATTTAAGCTAGGATTCAAATGCTAAGGGTCATAATCTTAACCACTAAACAATAGATATACTTACTCTTTTTCAAAAATTAATATTTGATTTAAAATATGCTGAGCAAATAATAACCTAGAGAGCTCTCTGATATTGGAACAAAAGACTGAGTTTTGAAATGGAGATCAAATCAATGTTTGAAAATAGATCAGCGCAATACGCTAAACCACTGTCTTATTTTAGTTCATCAGTTGGGTGACACTACACATATGACCTAATATCTTCTATTTATGTTTATGTTCTCTACTCTTTCCCAAACTAGTTTGGGCAAAAATAAAATAATGCCTGGAAATAGGTGGAAGAAAGTGGACAGAAAAAGGGAAGGATTGTCAAAATTGTAAAATTGTCTGGGTTCAGCTTCCATTTCCAGCCAACATGATCTAATAGAGATCAGGCTCAGCCTCTCCCTGAACAGATCAAGGAAAACAAAACAAACAAAAATACATGAAACAATTTTTGAGATACTGAATATCAGGCAATGAAGGACAGTGGTCTCTCAGAAATGGGAAATAAATGAACTGAGCCTTACAATTACTTAATTTACCACCTTGATAGAGTTTCCAAGTAAAGGAAGATATGAGTCAAAGATACATAGACTCCTTGACTTACGGAGCTGGAGCTGAGTCTGTGGATTCCATATCAAATAGAATTTGTAGAACAGGGTACCAAAGAGGATACAGGTAAACAGAAGAAATATTTTGGAGAACAACAGATGGTCTTTATAGAGTAGTCAACATAATATTGACAGGTAGAAAAGAGGAAAAAGGGAATGGAGATTGGTTGGGAGAAATGGAAAATAAATGACATGATGATAGATTAAACATAACTATATCAATAATTAAATAAAATATGATTCAGATTAAGATGACTGACTAGAGGCACCCAGAACTAACTCCCTCCACAAAGAAAGGACAAAAACAGCAAGTAGATAATCACGCGGTGAATATGGAATCTAAGAGATTAAAGAGAGTACACTATAATTCAGCAAGGAAGTGACAAACACCCTCTGAGGCATGGAAATCTGAGAGGACAGCAAGGAAAGGGAAGCAAAGCAGCCAGCTGGTATCAGCATCAGCGTGGAGCCAAGAGGGATTTCCCCATTGTGGGAAAAAGGTAAGTGGGAGGTCCCTAACAATTCACCTTTCCACATAGATACCTGCAATCCTAGCTACAGGAGAGCCCCTCAGCCTTCACAGACCCTGAGCCTATTTTAGGGAGCTGCCTGACTACATGCATCTACATTCAGAGAGGGAATTCACATCGGGCCCCCGCTCCATTCCCAGAACTCTAGCAGAGGCAGCATGGCATCATATTGAGAATGGAGTCACCATCAGACTAGATCCTGTCCTGCAGCCCAATAGCCCCTGCATATCTGTATCATTAAGGCCCCATTGACATCCCCGACATCCACCCAGAGGGTTTCTTCATTACAACACCAGCTGGACCCAGCATTGCAGTCATATCCCTGGCACCTGAGCCCATGCAGAGCACTAAACCATGAGGAATAGATGGTCCAGCACATTAGGAAGGTTACCCACAGGATATAGAAAGTAGAAGTGCCTTCTCCTCAGAGCCTGAGAACTGCTTGCCCAGGGCCATCACCATTGGCAGTGACCTCACCCACTCCAGTGGTGGAGTCACTGCACACCTATATACTCCACCTGAGGACCTGGGGACTGGTTCACTCAGGCTGCTTCTGCTATTGCCAGTGCCCAGGCCTGCCACCCAGGGAATCAATGACCATGCAACCCAGGACCTTCCGCCACTACTGCCTGACAAACCCACACCTTCCAGGAACAAGGCTGCTGCATGCTTCTGCACACTGTCCAGGAATCCAATGATCAGCTCATCCAGGATCCATGACCACTACTTCCAGTGTCCATGTATGCCCACTAGGATCCCAAGTATTGCAACACCTGGCATCCCTATCCCCAGCAAAGCCATGCCACAGCCTCCACAAAGAAGTGCAGCCTAAGCCACTGAAGGATATGCAGACAGCATTGATGTTGATTACAGCCAAAAAAATCATATGGAGACTACACTCCTGCATCCCGCTAGAAACAAAGCCAATGCACCCTGCTCAACCAACACTATAAATACATTTACAGGGCAATGTCTTACCATACAAAAGGTACTTGATAAAATTAGAAGAAGTGACTGTTACCCAAGATGTATAGATATCAATGTAGAGACACAAGAAATATGAAAAAACAAGGAAACATAACATCTCCAAAGGGACACATTAATTCCCAACAGACTCCAAAGAAAAGAAAATCTATGTAATGTCTGAAAAAAATAATAAAAATAATGTTCTAAAGGAAATTCAGTGAGATACAAGAAGACACAGACATACAATCCAAATAAATCAGGAAAACAATTCACTATCTGAATGAGAAATTCAACAAAATAAATAGATATTATAAAAAAGCACCAAACCAAAATCTTGGAAATGTAACATTTAATAAATAAAATAAAAAATACAATTAAGGGCTGCAACAATAGGCTAGATTGGGCAGAAAAAAAAATTTGGAAGTTGAAGACAAATCTTTTAGAAAAACTGAGCCAGAGGAAAAAAAGAATAAAAAAATGAAGAAAGCCTACATGACATGAGATCACATGAAGCAAACAAATTTCCAACTTGGAAATTCTGCAAGGAAAGGACATGGGAAAAGGCATAGAAAAAAATTAATAAAAATAATAGCTGAAGACTTCCCAAGATGTGGGAGAGATGTAGACATACAGATACAGAAAGCCCAAACATTCTAAAACAGACTAAGTCCAAAAAAGATAGCTTCCAAGGAACACTGTCAAAAGTCAAGGAGAGAGAGAACTCTAAGAGTAAGAGAAAAGCATCAAGTCACATATAAAGGAATCCCCTTCAGAATAACAACAGATTTCTCAGCAGACATGTTACAGGTTAGGAAAGAATGGAATAATATATTCAAAGTTTAGAAAGAAAAACAATATTCTATTATTTAGAAATAAAGGAGAAATAAAGGAGAAATGAAGCTTTCCCTGCCAAGAAAAGCTGAGAGAATTTCTCACTCTTCTTTGTGATAGATCAGCCCTACAAGACATGCTTAAGGGAGTTCTACAACTGGAAGTAAAAGGATAATATTTACCATCATGAAAATACAGGACAGTTTCAAACTCATTAGAAGAGCAGATACACAAGCAAGAGAAAGGAATCAACTATTATCACTACAGAAATCCACCAAATTGCAAAGATAAACAATAAGAGAGACAGAAAGGAATGAAGGTTATGAGAAACAATCAGAAATGATTAACAAAATGGCAGGAGTAAGCCCTCATATATCAATAACAATGTTGAATGTAAATGGTTTAAATTCCTCACTTAAAATATATAGACTGGCTGAATAGATAAAAACATCCAAGACAAAAGTATATACTGCTTCCAAGAAGCTCACTTCACCTGTAAAGACAGATACATTGCAAGTGAAAGGATAGAAAAAGATATTCCACACGAATGAAAATGAAATGTATGCAAGCATAGCTATACTTATACAAGACAAAATAGATTTTAAGTCAAAAAATTTATAAGTAGAGAAAGAAGATCATTATATCATGATAAATGGACATATGAGCTCCAAATGGAACATCCAGAAATATAAAGCAAATACTATTACGGCTATAGGGAGAGATAGACCCTAATACAATAATTGTTAAGAATTTCAATACCCCACTCTCAGCATTGGACACAGCATCTAGACAAGAGATGAACAAGGATACTTTTGACTTAAACTGCACTTTATACTAAATGGACTCAACAGATATTTACAGAACATTTCATTCAACAGATATATAATACATATTCTTCTTATCAACAATGGAACAGTTCTCAGAATAGGCCATATATTAGGCCACAAAATAAGTCTCAGTAAATTTTTAAAAATCAAAATCATTTAAAATATTTTCTAAACCACAATGACATCAAACTACAAATCAATAATGAGAAACTTCAGAAAATACACAAATACATGAAAATGGAACAGCATACTTTGGAACAATCAATAAGCCAATGAAGAAATTAAGAAGAAAATCAACAAAATTTTTGAAACAAATGAAAATAGAAACATGACATACTGAAACCTAATAATATAGCCAAATTAGTACTAAGAGGAAAACTTTTGGCAATAAATGCCTATGTCAAAAAAGTAGAAATATTTCAAGCAAATTACCTAACAATGCACCTCAAGAAATTTAAAAAGCAAGAATATATATCCGGAATCTACAAGGATCTCAAACAAATTAGCAAGAAAAAAAATAAAAAAACATTCCTATCAAAAAGTGGGCTAAGGACATGAATAGACAATTCTCAAAAGAAAATATACAAATGGCCAACAAACATGTGAAAAAATGCTCAACATCACTAATAATCATGGAAATGCAAATCAAAACCACAATGCGATAACACCTTACTCCTGCAAGAATGGCCATACTCAAAAAATAAAAAAATAAAAATAATAGATGTTGGTGTGGATGCCGTGAAAAGGGAACACTTCTACACTGCTGATGAGAATGTAAACTAGTATAACTACTATGGAAAACAGTGTGGAGATTCCTTAAGAAACTAAAAATAGAACCATTTCATCCAGCAATCCAAGTACTGGGTATCTACCAAGAGGAAAAGAAGTTCTTATATGAAAAGGATGCTTGCACACACATGCTTATAGCAGCACAATTTGCAATTGCAAAAATATGCAACCAGCCCAACTGCCCATCAATCAATGAGTGGATAACGAAACTACTATGATATAGTATGGAATATGATGGAATACTACTAGCTATAAAAAAGAATGAATTAATGGCATTTGCAGCATCCTGAATGGAAATGGAGAATATTTTTCTAAGGGAAATAACTCAAAAATGGAAAGCCAAACATTCTATGTTCTCACTCATAAGCGAGAGCTAAGCTATGAGGATGCAAGGCATAAGGCATAAGAATGATAAATGGACTATGGGGACTTGAGGGAAAGGGTGGGAGGGGGGTGAGGGATAAAAGGCTGCAAATTGGGTTCAGGGTATACTGTTCGGGTCATGAGTGCATCAAAATCTCACAAATCACCACTAAAGAACTTTCTCATGTAACCAAATACCACCTGTTACCAAAAACCTATAGAAATAAAAAATAAAAAAAAATCAAGCCCCAAATTAGTAGAAGGAAAGAAATTATAAATATCAGAGCAGAACAAAACAAAATGGAGACAAAGGAAATGAAAATATCAACAAAATGAAAAGTTGTTTTTTGGAAAACATAAATGAAATCAACAAATAATTCGCTGGAAAATTAAAAAAAGAACAGAGAGGATGTCATTTAAAACTACATACAAAAATAAGATATTAGAAGAATGTTGACTTAGGTGTTTAGAAACGTCAGCAATAAGCAGAGACATTACATGAGCTTCAAGGCTGAATGATTTGGAAAATATATAAAAAGAAGTTTTTGGAAATAGCAATGGAGAGCAAGGCATAGAGATGCAGGCACTAGCAATTTAAAAGTGCTAGTTCTATGAGCTGAACACGGCAGCATTTGCAACAGAGTTACTGAATTTTAGTGCATTTTTGCAGGAATTATTATATACTAAAGTAATTGAAGATTCCGGTTGAGTTGCTTGACTATAAATTGTACTCTCTGAGAATCTATGTACCTGAAATTTAGAGGGTATCTATTTCTATTTTGAGGAAAATAAAATTCAACCCTGTGGTTACAAAAAATCACTTTCCAATATAAAAAAAATTACTGAACCCCAGGCAATAGTTAGTATGTTAATTACTAATATCCACAGAGAATTTAGATCAAATTAGATTTAACATCTGCATTGATCAAAGCATAGTTAGCCCAAAGCCATAATTTCTTCACTACGCTGAAAAGTACTGGTTTATATTTCACTGCTGTATTTTAAGGGCAGTAAATAAAGAACAAGATGAGACATCACATTTTAATTCCACTAATCTAAGTTGATAATGTTACTGATTAAATTAAAAAGCAAGCATTACCTATTTAATATTATTTATGAATATATTTTTGCCATTAAGTCTACACTGCTTAAATGTTAATGAAAGTTAATTCAAACTAAAGTAGTAGTTGAATTGGAAAAATAAAAATAAGCCCCACAGATGGCAAATGAAAAAACAATGCATTTCAATTATTGATTCTTGATATTTGAAACTTCTGCCAGTAATTAGTCCAAAATACATGCATAACTCACATCATAATATTGTATATTAAAAAGATTAATACTTGGCTTAACATCCTGAACAAATCACAATATTGAATGAGTGTCAGGTAACTCTCTTCCAATTATTCACACTCTATATCCAATCCACACTGGAGATTTTGTTCCACTAACTGGGAGAGGCCATCACACCACCTTGCCTTTGTGTATGCTGTCTTCCAAGCCCTTCTTCACACTGCATTTCTACAGTTTCCTCACATGCCATCTTATGTATCACATTGCTCCAATATCAAGTTTCTTTAGAATAAAAGTAATAAACATAACATTTGGGCCGGGCACAGTGGCTCACGACTGTAATCCCAACACTTTGGGAGGGCGAGGCTGGCAGATCAAGAGGTCAAGAGATCGAGACTTTCCTGGCCAACATGGTGAAACCCCGTCTCTACTAAAAATACAAAAAATAGCTGGGCGTGGTGGCACGTGCCTGTAGTCCCAGCTACTTGGGAGGCTGAGGCAGGAGAATCTCTTGAACCCGGGAGGTGGAGGTTGCAGTGGGCTGAGATTGCGCCACTGCACTCTAGCAGGGCGATAGAGCGAGACTCAGTCTCAAAAAAAAAAATTACTCCAATACTTTAAGGTGCTTTTAGATAAAATGAACTTCCCCTAGGAAAATATCACAACCTTGCTTATATATTCCAAATTAGAATAATGTCTGAAACATAACAAGTTCTTAGTATTGTTGAATGAATCTTTAAATCTTTAATTTGCCCTTCCTCTATTTTACTTTGCATGCCTAAGAGATATTAGAGAGTGAAATACTTTTTTGTCCAGCATGATGAAATAGTTTCTACTTCAGGGCTTTTGTACCTGGAACGTTTTATCCCATTCTTTTGGCCTGGCTGGTTCAGTTTTATCTTTCGTCATAGTGGTTGATCTATTACCTTAGAACCAATCCAGAGACACCTACTGATCATATGAGTTACAGAGATTATTCAAGCTGTATAACAAACTGCATTATCAAGTACCGGGTTTCACACTAACATTTAAATTGCATGCATTGAGTTCTTTTTTTCTTATCTATAATTACTCTTTCTGTCAAGGTTTAGTAAGGTCTGCATTTATTGGCCTCCTATGGATCTAAGTGATAAAGATCTAATAGCTCTAACTGATCCACTTCATGTATGATTTTGGCAATATTTTAATCCAATGCAGGTTTTCCCATCTAACCTGGTGTAGGTTTGAGTTTCTGCTACCTTTATCTTATTGATGTTTTGTCAAAGAATTTACTGATTAAATCTAAAATAAATTTAGTATTATCCTGAGAAAAACTTAATTACAACATAAGCCCACCATAAAAAATACACCAAACATTTTCAATAAAATATTTATTTTGTTTTCCTCCCTTTGACTTGTTTTATAATTGTTAACACTGAATCTAAACAAGTTGGTTTAGAGAATGATTACAATGCTGCTATGTGATAATTTTAACTCTAAAATGGACACAGAGCAGTGCAACTTTTCCACCAATGTAGTACAATGTACACGAACATATCTTAAGTACCTATATTCCTTTGACTGAATGGATATTTTGATGTGGAACTACATGTTGCTCTATGGCTGTTTATTAATTAAGTATAAACAAAGAATAAATTTACTTAAAATCAGGTAGATAAGGAAAAAGTAAATGCTGATTTTCCTTTATTTACTGGAATGTATTTTATGTGAATTCAGTGTCTTTAAATAATTTATATAATAATGGGACAATCAACTTGCTGCTTTTAAGCTGTACAAACACTTTGTAAGGAAAACTTAAACGATATGTTTGATAGATAATTTTAAATATTATATTTTGCTTCAAAAACTTCCTAATAATTTTAAAGCCAGTATAGCAAAACATATAATTTCATAGGTCAGTCTACATTTTACCTGCAGAATTGTGCCAATAAATAGTAGCAAGCCTGACTTAAAGGGTAATTATATGTGGTTACTACAAAAAAAAAAAAAAAGAAAGAAAGAAAAACAAATAGTGGTGCATTGTTTAAAAGACTGAAAAGTGATGAAAGATAAATATTTCATATAGATTTTGTTAATAATAAATAGCTCATTGGACAAACATAAACGTGGATGAGAATGAAATACTAGTATAGATTTAATTGTCAAATTGAGCTTCACAATATTTAAGATGAAAGCATAATAATTATTAGTTTTCCCATATTGCTTTAGAGTTGGATTTCTTCTCACTCATAGTCATATTTGAAGTTAAAAATAACCTTGTCTGAGCATCACTGAACTTATCCCTCTTTTACTGAGGAAAAAATTAGAAAGAAATATTGAGTGAATTGTTTACAATCTGTAGCCAGTAATTTTTAATTTTGATTTGATTCCAGTTCTCCTAAATCTAGACCCCAAGGGCTTGCATAAATTTTTTGGTGAAACCAGTGGTTTGAATCATATACAGGAATACCACTGGAGAGTTTGTAATATGATGTGTTAAAATTATGAGAAAAGCCTAAATTTTGTTCTTGTTCTTGTATAGTAGTTTTTCCTTGTTTTGTTTTTGTCTAGCCTAGTTGCAGGATATGTTGCAATGGAAATAATTTGTGAATTCAGTATTTTTAAATACTTGTAGAAACCCTTGTAGTACTCAGAAGGAAGCTAGGAATTAAAACATTACCAGTCTAGTGCTACTAATGATTTCACTGGAATTAAACAAATCATGACTCTTAATTTACATTCAGATTTTTAAAATTAGGAGCCAGTTAACTAATTTGGGGGCACATGAAAGTACTAAAGTCTACAGATTTACCCAGTGCCAGGAAGAGCCCACCTGTTTGTATGGCTGGCTGTAACTGAATGCTCAGTGAGGTCTGTTTTCTTGGGATAACTCTGTAGAAACCAAACAATACCTCAGCGTTGCAAACGGGAGCTCTTCACAGATGCTTTTTGTTCTCCTGTCACTGATTTTCAGATGAATATGCAAATAATAACAACTATAAAGTGGTCAAATTATTCAAAGACCTTTTGGTTACTTGGATATATAGTTTGATGACTTGCAAATGACTGTGGTTTCACCAAAATTATGAATCAGTGAAGGCAAGCAAATTTGATTTGTGCCTAACAGGGAGTGTAGCAGCTAGAATGGTAAAGATGGGAACCTAAGAACCCTTCTCTCTCCACACCAGTTTTTAGTAATCTTTATTTCACTAACTCCACTATTCAAAGAAGTGTAGGCAACTGCTATAAGCTGAATGGGTCTCCTCTAAACTTCACATGTTGACGTCTTAACTCCCAGTACCTTATAATGACTATATTTGGAGATACAATCTTTAAAGAAGTAATTAAATTAAAATTAGGTCATGTAGGTATGCATTAATCCACTGGGCCAGAGGACATGTATTCTTATAAGAAGAGAAGATTGAGAGAGAGACAGAGGGGAGATCATGTGAATACATACGAAGAAGACTGAACATCTACAAGCCAAGGAGGGAGGTCTCAGAAGAAATCAACTCTATCAACACCTTGATCTTGGACTTCTAGCTTCCACAACTGTGAAAATATGAATTTCTGTTGTTTAAGCCACCCAGTCTGTGGTACTTTATTATGGCAACCTTAGAAAACTAATACAGTAACCTGTGAAGATAACAGCAAATAAAATAATTTATTAAGCAATTTATTATTTTTACTAGTACATTGTTAAAAAACCTTTTTAACCTAGTGATATAGATACTAGGGAAATGAAACAATTTAACTTCTCTTTGGTGAAAACATAATAGGCCAACTGAATACATTACCAAGTCCAAGTAAACCAGTTCAGTTTAAATATCTAACAGCTAGCAAAATACTAAAACAGAATGAATTCAAAACCACTCCATATATATTTCTAGGTGGTGATGAAGCATTTCTGTATTTTGTTTCTGGTGGTGGTTATACAAATTTATATTTGAAATAAAATTGTATAGAACTAAGCATACACACACACACACACACACACATACACACACACAAATGACTGTTTATAAACCTGGTAAAATCTAGAAAAAGCCTGTTCTAATTAATACTATTATACCAGTATCATTTTTTGTTTGCTTTCATATGGGACTACAGTTATGTACGCTGTTGCCTTTGGGGGGAGGCTTAGTAAAGGATACAAAAGGAATCTTTGTACTTTTTTTAGAATTTGCTACAATTATTTTTTTTTCAAAATACGGAGTTAAATAAATCTCAAATGTAAAACAATGTTTTTTCGTGTGGCATTATCTTTATAAATAGCATATAATCTCACAAGAAAAAGTATAGCTAAAACAAACACAACAGCCAAGATAATTGTAAAAGCCAAACATTATTAACATAATTTAAAACTTGTCCTTAATACTCTTTTACCCATGAATGAAAAATATTATTGAAAAGTTAAGTCAATTATATAATTATTTATCCCATCATTTTTTAACAAATATTTCTTGAAATCGTACTAGGTGCATAGAGTTTAGTTTGTAAACATCATCTGGGCTGTTTTTTTAAATGATGAGATAGCTAGATTAGAATAACAATAGCAGGAAAATTTAAAAATTGAGGTACTGAGAGGAGTAGCCCTAAGTTTTGACTATAAGTAACTATCAGTGAGGATAAATTCATATTAACAAGCACATAAAGACAAAATCAGACTCTGCTTAGTTATAAAGCATAGCTTATAACTTTATGATCTCATAAGCAATTTTTATTGTTAACATGATACAAAGTAACAGCACAGTAAATGTTTTATATCACATTAAATCTTCTTGTGCTTTTACTAAGAAGAATAAAACAGCTTGAGCTACTAGGAAAATTCTAGTGTTACTTTTATAACTATTTGTAAATGTTATTGTTTTTCTCATTTGTTATCTCTGTTAACTAGATATATTTCTCATTTCCCTGAATTTGCTAGCCTCTCTCCCATCACTTTGAAATGATGATATTTTAGCTCAGGAAACAATTACCTTCTATAATATATCATAGAAGTTTACTTTTGTCATTCATTCATACTAGCTTAACAGAAAAGGACTTCTGCCTTAATAGAAATTCTTAAGAATCATATATTTCAGAAACTATGAATAACATTAAACATACACAATAAGAACTGTTGACAACATATGCAATGAAACATTTTTGGAAGTGTAATTATAGAGAATGCTCTGTTCCTTTTATATTTTGGTTTTCTGCCACTTGTTTTGCCTTGAGTTTAAAAAATGCTGTTGATCATGTTCCTTTTGTTGTGTTTTGGAAGCCTTTGGAGAGAGAGGAGTGGCGTGCTTGGGAAGTCATTTATACGGAAACTAGTATGTGAATTGAAATAGCGCTGCACCAGTTCTCATTTTATTTTTCTGGCCAGTGTTCCTGAATTCAGTAATATGCAATTATAGTAACTGCCAAAACGAACACTAACTCAATAAAAAAAAAAGAAAACAGCCCTGATATTCTTGCTTCTGAAACATAATCACATAGCTGCATCGAGAAAATAAGAATCACTATGTAAAGAACACTAAGGATAAGCCTGAAAGGGCTACTGGAAAATTCTGTGGCAGGCTATAAAGCCTATTTGGACTGTTATGTGTAAAGTAGGTCAACAGAAACTATTTGACATAATGTGTTTGTGAATATCTCTGAACTGCTTTTTCACACTGTTATGTGTAGACTTTCTTAGGCCAATTTGAATCTGACATGGAGAGATACATAAACATTTTAAAAAGTGTTTCTAGTTTAGAAATCCTGTTTCACCTTCAGTATCTCCATAACCTACATCAAGGATTATAGTTACTGTATTCATTCGTTTTCACACTGCTGATAAAGGCATACCCGAGACTGGACAATTTACAAAAGAAAGAGGTTTAATGGACTCCCAGTTCCACATGGCTGGGAAGGCCTCACAATCATGGTGGAAGGTGAAAGGCAGGACTTACATGGCTGCAGACAAGAGAAGAGAGCTTCTGCAGGAAATTCTCCTTCATAAAATCACCAGATCTAATGAGACTTGTTCACTATCATGAGAACAGCATGGGAAAGACCTGCCCCCATACTTCAATTACTTCCCACTGGGCCCCTCCCACAACATGTGGGAATTGAAGATGAGTTCTGGGTGGGGACACAGCCAAACCATATCAGTTACTAACAACAGAAAAATGAGTTTTCTCCCTTGTGTGGTCTGGCTGTGTCATTTTGCACCTTCCAGCACATTTCTAGATCTCTGTAACACTGAGACAAAACAATAGCAATAACAACAACCAATACACCCTAGCATTTTCAATGGAGAGTTTCAACATCTCTCGTTCATAGGTGGATGCCATTTCATGACATCCACCTCAGAGGTTCAGATATTCTCCACGTTGTGCTTTTTCCTTTCCCTGAAGGAAGACAGACCTTAAGAGAACTTCTCTCCACTGCATAAAGTAACACCAGTCTGATAGGTCAGTTATATAATTATTTGTTATTAAAAAGAACTTTGTCCACAAAAATAACTCACTTACTTAAAAAGTTAAGAAAAGATATTAAATGTAAATATTTTACAAACTTTTGGAAACCATTCTATACAACATAGCGGAAGCCATATCTTGTTGTGAATTCGGCCCAGGGTCTAATTAAAGTCATGTCCCTAATTTGGGGTCATGACTGGCTAGGGTGCAGGTGAATCAACACACCCTAAGTGCTATTTGCCTTTATTGATGTTATATTCAAATCAGGTCACTGAAGAGATATACAAAATTACTTAAGAAGTGTATAATAATTGCAGATATTTGCTTCACTCCACAAGTCTGAAATGCCTCCTAAAAGCATTGGAACCAGACCATCACCACACTAGAACCACTGCCTGTGAGAACTTAGCTGTTTTTATTTGAGATGACTCAGCAGATGATACCTTCAATGAAGAAACCAATATTATTTTTATGTTAATTGTGGTCCCATTCTAGCTTCATAAATTGGATTGGAGAGATTTCTAATGTTCTCTATGTTTCTTTCCATGAATATTTGATAACACTCATTTATATGATAATCAAAGGCTTCTATGTTATTTAAGAAAATATTTTTTCTTCCTTGTCAATTGCATGTAAGGACTGCTTTATAGAGTATATGTTTTTCCTCTAGGAAAAAAGTCATCTTTAATTTTCAATTTATTAGCATAAAATTATACGTAATACACTCTCAGAGTTGTATCTATTTATTTTCTATCTGAATGTATTTTTCTATTTTTGATTTCTAAGATTGCACGTATTTATAAGTGACCAAATGTACTTGTAGTTTATTACTTTTTGTGCCTTTCTTCCCCAACAGATGAGGATTGGGTTTTATTGAACAATATTAGTTTTCTATTCTATTTAAAATTATTTTCTTTTGTCTTTTAAAAGTTCTTCCTACCTTTGAGTTTATATTTCATAGTAGATTCTCATAAACTAAATTTACTTTAGCATTAGTTAAATGTTAAATACATATTTTATTTTTTAAATGTACACCTTTTTATTTGTTATGTTAATCACATCACACATGTAATATTCTCATTGCAAAAAACTACTTTGAATTTTGATTTTCTTCTTGTCCAAGAATTAATTACAAGTGTATTTTTATTTAATCGTGAAATATACTTTTAGCTAATATTTTATATTTTAAAAAGTATCAATAGAAGTATGCTTTTAAAAATTATCTGAGGCTGGGCATGGTCCCTCACGCCTGTAGTCCCAGCACTTTGGGAGGTCAAGGCGGGCAGATTGCATGAGGTCAGGAATTAGAGACCAGCCTGCCCAACATGGTGAAACCCCGTCTCTACTAAAAATACAAAAATTAGCCAGGCATGGTGGCGGGCACCTGTAATCTCAGCTACTTGGGAGGCTGAGGCAGGAGAATTGCTTGAACCCAGGAGGCAGAGGTTGCAGTGAGCCAAGATCGCACCACTGCACTCCAGCCTGGGAGACAGAGCAAGACTCCACCTCAAAAAAAATAAATAAATAAAATAAAATTATCTCTGACTTCTTTTAAGACCTAAAACATGGAAAATATCTATTACTATTTCTATAACTGTTTAAAACCAATGCAAATGCTGTTTCTGTGGATATATGATTTCATATGTATCTGTTACCTGAAAATTTGCATTTGTGTTAATCAAATATTCTGCACTCTGTGTTGCTATTGTTTACTTATTCCATCATTTCTGAAAAAAATGTGTGGTCAATTTGTTTTTATACTGATTTTTATTGCTACATTTCATATCTATGTTACACACATGAAGGTCCATGTATATTATGAATTCTAAGTATATTATCTTAAAATAACTGCCTTAGTCTACTTAGCCTGTCATAACCAAATGCCATAGACTGGGTAGCTTAAACAGCAGAAATTTATTTCTCACAGTGCTGGAGGTTGGGAAGTTCATAAATTGCACTCTGTATATAAACGGTTTCTTTATATACTAATCCCTTGTGACCTGGACACCATCCTTAGGATCATCGAAACTTAATTCTTCCAAATACCTAATTTTCAAAAGCATCACATTGGAGATATGGTTTCAACATATAAATTTTGAGGGGACATGAGCATTCAGTCCATGAAAACAACCTGAAATATCTTGTTTTATCACAGTAATCATTTTTCTTTCAATTTTATTTTGCCTGATAATAATATTAACATATTTAAACCTTTTGCAAAATGCATATATTTGTCTTTTACAAGAGAAATTTAACGCATTCACAATTACTCTGTTTATTGATTCTTGGACTTATATTACTATTTGATGTTCTGTATTTATATTTTCTTTCTGTTTATTTTTCTGTCCTTTATTGCATTTATTTTATTAGTTCCATGTCTTTTATTTTACATATTAGATAGCAATATGCATTTAGCTTATTGTTTCTTGCACTTATTCTTGACTTACTAATATCCTTACTGTTTTTTTACAAATATTTTCAATTAAACAGCATTTATGACTTCATTAAACAAATAATACTATTACCGGGTTTTTTCTTTCCTTTTCCTATGCCCAGTCATATAAAGATCAAGGAGGGGTAAGCTTTAAAGAATTTTAGAAAGGCCGGGAGCAGTGGCTCACGCCTGTAATCCCAGCACTTTGGGAGGCTGAGGTGGGCGGATCACGAGGTCAGGAGATCGAGACCATCCTGGCTAACACTGTGAAACCCCGTCTCTACTAAAAATACAAAAAAAAAAAAAAACCTAGCTGGGCGTGGTGGCGGGCGCCTGTGGTCCCAGCTACTCGGGAGGCTGAGGCAGGAGAATGGTGTGAACCCGGGAGGCGGAGCTTGCAGTGAGCCGAGACCGCGCCACTGCACTCCAGCCTGGGCGACAGAGCAAGACTCCATCTCAAAAAAAAAAAAAAAAAAAAAAAAAAAATCTTAGAGTGATAAACTGTATAAATTTTGCATGTTAAAAATGTTATTGAGCACTCTATATAAACCATAATGTGGCTAAACAAGGAGTTCAAAAATCAGAAAAAAAAATTCCCTTCAGCATTTTGAAGGTATATTTTATCACATTCTAGAATCTAACATTAACAATGAGTCGTCTTCATGAAGACGTATATCTCATCCTGTAGTAGGAATTTTCCTCCTTTTTTCACTGTCTTTCATTGTGATATAAGTAGTTTAGAGCTTTTCTCTTGCTCTCACTTTTGCTTTCTCACTCTCTGCACTCTCCTGCACCCAATCCTGTGCCCTTATCTACTTAAGAATCTGAGGATTCTTTTAGATTGTGTTCCTTCAGCTCTGAAAATTGTTACTGCATTATTATAATTAGACCAGTCTTCAAACTGTTTTCTCACTTCTATTTTTGGAACAATTATTGTACAGATTTTGAAAAATTCTGAATTGATTGCTCGTTTAGATCTGTTTTCTCATTTTTCCTTTTCTCAAATTATTCATCTTGTTGACCTTTAGGTTGGATTTCTGTATTCTGGAAGTCCCTGCTACCTCATTTTCTAGCCCCCTGATTGACTCTTCAGGATTGATCGTTTTAACATCCATCTATTCACTGATGGGTTTTCTTTTATTTTAGACTAATAATTTGAAAGATTTTTGTTTTAAAATGCTCTCTCCTTGTCGTGTGTGAATATCATTTTCTCAAATTTCTCTTTTCCCTGTGCTATAACCTCTTATCCCCCAAATATCCCTTGTACTTCCATTTTGTCAACCTCAGAGATGTGTGGTGTCCAGCCACTGTCAAAGCCTGGTTCTCTGTCCCCCATTTATTCTCTCGGCTTGCATTTCTTTTCTCTTTGGTTGTGGTATCAAAATATGGTTAAGCAAAAGTTTACCTTTATAATGCTGGGATGATCACAGTACCTCAGGAGCATATATGGATACAAGAGCTGCCCCACAAAAAAAGTTTATGCCGATAAACAATGATTAATCATGTGTTCCGATACGACACAGATAAGAACTTGCCAAAATGCTTCTTACTTACTATTCAAGTTTTCCCTAAATGTCTCCTTTTCATGAAAGTCTTCAGTAACCACTTTTTTTTTATTTTATTTTTAATTGACAAATAATAATTGTATATACTTATGGGGTACAATGTGGTATTTAATATATTCATTGTGGAATGATCAAATCAGGCTGATTAACACATCCATTGCCTCAAAGATTTATTATCTACTGTTTTGTTAACATTTCAAATCAGCATATATAGAGAGAAAACATTCTGAGCAATTTTATTTACTAATTTTCACCCAGTCCCTGAAGAAATGCTTGGTAGATAGTAAAAACTGAAAAAAAAAAAAAAAGATTAATCAAGAGTTTTTTTTAATACTACAGAATTGTGGAAAGAAAGCATTTTGATCATCTGTACAGATGAGGGAGGAGAGTTCATATCAATGGTGATATCCCTACTTGGACTGCTTTTAATGTGAATACTGGAAATTGAAATAAAATTAATGTGACTGTAGTAATATTTCTATATTTATCATATGGACTAGAAAAACAAAATAATTATTATAAAAATACTTTCCCCTAACATGGAAGAAAGTTAAAAGGAAAGTTAAAAATGCTGGAAATCTAATATTCTTTTAGTGTTGATAACATATTTATCTATCATATCTTCAAACATCTTGATAAAGTTTCCATAATACTGTGAGAGTTAACTTTCTTTCTGAGTTTCATACTCAGAATTTAAAACAAAGCATATAATTATGAAGTTCCTACTGGACTGATTTAATACTTATTTGCCCTGATTTATAAAACAGAACTATAAATGATGTAAAAGGACATATATTTTTACGAATTATATGTATTTTTAAGAATTCTATTTTGTTTTGCTTTAAAGTGTTTTCTATTATTTCAATTCTAAACCCTTCAGCTAAATTTTAAATATTTCATTTTTCTTTGGATCCAATTTAATCAGAATTTTGCCCACACTACCCCAAGTAGAACATTTTATCAAGGTCACCATTGGTTTCCATGTTATTAAATCCAATGGTCAGTTCTTACTACTCATTTTACTGTCAAAAGATTTGACACAGAAAATCAGCCTTAATCATTTTCACTTGACCTAAATAATGCATCCTGTCTTGCGTTAGTCTCTACCTCACTGTGGGCTCCCCTTAGTTCATTTTTCTTCCTCTTCTACCCAGCTTCCTACTATTGGCAGAGCCCAGGGTTAAGTACTTACTTATCTTATACTCTACACTCTCCACCCACTTCCTCAGTGATCTCATCAGTCTAATGATGAAGAATCCTCAAATTTTTGTCTCTACCATGGACTCGCCCCTCAATCCAGTCCGATATATTTAACTATCTGGTTAATAACTAATGTTGTGCAGTCATACCTCAGAGATATTATGTGTTTGGTTCCAGACCACCACAATAAAGCAAATGTTCCAAAAAAGTAAATGTCACAATAAAGCAAATCATACAAATATTTTGTTTCCCAGTTTATTTAAAAGTTATGTTTGCACTACCCTGTAGTCTGTTAAGTGTGAAATAGCAGTATGCTTCAAAAAATTAACATACTTTAATTTAGAAAATGCTTCATTGCAAAAAAATGTTAACCATCACCTGAGCCTTCAATGAGTTGTAATCTTTTTTGTTCCTCAAGGGTCATGCATTGATTTTGATGGCTACTGACTGATCACAGTAGTGGTTGCTGATGGTTAGGGTGGTTGTGGAGATTTCTTAAAATAACACAAGAGTGAAGTTTGCTGCATTGATTGACTCTTGCTTTTATGAAAGATTTCTCTGTAGCATATGCTACTGTTTCATAGCATTTTACCCAGAATAAAACTTCCTTCAAAATAGGAGTTAATTCTTTCAACCCCTACCACTGCTTTATTAACTAAATTTATGTAATATTTAAATATTTTGCCCTCATTTCAACAGTGTTCACAGCATCTTCACCGGAAGTAGATTGCATCTCAAGAAACTACTTTCTTTGCTCATCCATAAGAAGCAACTCCTCATCTGGTCAAGTTTTATCATGAGATTGCAGCAACCCAGTTACATCTTCAGGCTCCACTTCTAATTCTAGTTCTCTTGCTATTTCCATAACTTCTGCAGTCTTGAATCCCTCAAAATCATCTATGAAGGCTGGAATCAACATCTTCCAAATTCCTGTGAATGTTGAAATTTTGGCCACCTGCCATGAATCAAAAATGATCTTAAAATAATATCTAGTAATATGAACTCTTTCCAGAAGGTATTCAATTTACATTATCCAGATCCGTCAGATAAATAACTATTATGCCAGCTGTAGTCTTGTGAAATGTATTTATTTCTTAAATAATATGAGTTGAAAGTCAAAATTACTCTCTGATTCATGGGCTGCAGAATGGACCTTGTGCCAGCTTGCAGGAAAGCAACATTAATTTTCTTGTACATCTCCATCAGAGCTCTTGGGTGACCAGGTGCATTGTCAGTAAGCAATATTATTATTATTATTATTTTTCTGAGATGGAGTCTTGCTCTGTTGCCAAGAATGGAGTGCAGTGGCATGATCTTGGCTCACTGCAACCTCTGCCTCCGGGGTTCAAGCGATTCTTGTGCCTCAGCCTCCTGAGTAGCTAGGATTACAGGCACCCACCACCACACTCAGCTAATTTTTGCATTTTTAGTAGAGAAAGGGTTTCGCCATGTTGGTCAGGCTGGTCTCAAACTCCTGACCTTGAGTGATCCACCCGCCTCGGCCTCCCGAAGTGCTGGGATTACAGGCATGAGCCACCGCACCCAGTAGGCAATATTATTTTGAAGGGCATCCTTATTTCTGAATAGTAGGTTTCAACATTAGTCTTAAAATATTCAATAAACCATATTATAAAAAAAGTGCTGTCATCCAGGCATTTTGGTCCATGTGTAAAGCACAAAATGAGTAGATTTAGCATAATTCTTAAAGGTTGTAGGATGTTTGGAATGATAAATGAGTACTGGCTTTAATTAAAGTCACCAGCTGCATTATTCCCTAACAAGAGAGTCACCCTGTCCTTAGAAGCTTTGAAGTCAGGCTTTTTCTTCTCTCTGGCTATAAAAGTTCTAGATGGTATCTTCTTCAAGTAGAAGGCTGTTTCATCTACACCAAAAATCTGTTGTTTAATGAAATCTTTGCTAGATCTTCTGGATAATTTGTTGCAGCTTCTACATTAGCACTTGTTGCTTCACCTTGCACTTTTATGTTATAGAGATTACTTATTTCTGTAAAACCTGTGAACCCATTCCTATGAGTTTCCAACTTTTCTTCTGCTGCTTCTTCTCCTCCTTCAGAAAATTGAACATAGATGGGGCTTGCCCTGGATGAGGCTTTCGCTTAAGGGAATGTCGTAGCTAGTTTAATCTATCTAGACCACTCAAACGTTCTCTATATTAACAATAAGACATTTTTGCTTCTTCTTATTTGTTTGTTTACTGGAGTAGCACTTTTAATTTTCCTCAAGAACCTTTTCTTCGCATTGACAGGTTAGCTAACTGTTTGGTACAAGTGGCTTCACTTTTGGCCTCTTTTGGCTTTTAGCATGCCTCACTAAGCTTCCTCACTAATTTTAAAGTGAGAAAAGTGAGACACTTCGTTTCACATAAACATTTACAGTCCATTGTAGACTTATTAATTGGTCTAACTTCAATATTGTTTTGTTTCAGAGAAAAAAATAGGCTGGAGAAGAGGGAAGGAGATAGGAGAATGGCCAGTGAGCGGAGCAATGAGAACATACACAACATATGTCTATTAAGTTCACCATATTTTATGGGCATGTTTCATAGTGCCACAAACCAATTATTATAGTAACATCAGAAATCACTGATCACAGATCACCATAACAGATACAATAATAATAACTTTGAAACATTGTGAGATATTAAAGTGTGACACAGACATGAAGCACACACATGCTGTTGGAAAAACGGTGCCAATAGACTTGTGTGGCCCAGGGATTCCACAAACCTTCAATTTTTAAAAACAAAAACAAACAAATAAACAAAAACACACACAAAAAGCCCAGTATCTAATGAGCATACTAAAGGGATGTGCAATAAAATGTGGTTTTGTCTGTCTATCTAAAAGATATCTCAAATACAGCATGTAAAAAAGAAGCTGATTTTAAACCAGTGGTAATGATTAATGACAATATTGTCATTTTATTTTCTCAGACCAAGAAATTTAGAGTCTTTCTTCAGTAGTCTTTTACTCACACCACACATCGAATTCATTAGAAAATTCTTATGGCTCCATCTTCCAAACATATTGATTATTCAACCATTTTATCCTACACATTTCAAATGCTACCAGTATAATCCAAGCCATTAGGTTATCTCATCTACAATAGTCTCATAATTCATTGTGTACTCACCCATACACTTATTGCTTATGTTCTACAACTAGACTGATTATTTCAAAAATTAAGTCACATAACTTCTTTCCTCAAAAACCTGCAATATGCCTGCTTTATAAAGAATAAAACAAAACCTTCTTATATTGGCCTATAAAGCCTTATTTGATCTGGTTTCCTTGTTACCTCTCTAACTTCATCTCCTTCATGTTCACTATTGTTCACTCACATCTAGTAACACTTACCTCTTGAATATTCTTGAAAAATATCTAGGAAATTAGTGTTAGTCATATTCTTTGCCTTGTGTATTCCTCCCCTAGATATTTTAATGACACACTTCTTTATTCCCTTAAGTCTTTGTTCAAAGATCATCTTCTTATACTCTCAAAACTGGTCACCCTACTCACAAATCAAAAACCATCTCCTTTTCCAATATCCCTAATCCCCCATGACATTCATTTTTCCCCATGTATTTATCTTCTAATAAAAATTGTTAATCTATTCTTCAGGACCGAATGGGTCCTTGAGACCTTCGTAGGTCATCTGTGAGGCTAAAACTTTCATAATAATAGAATGACATTATTTGCCTTTTTTACTGTGTCATTTGGATTGATGATATAGAAGCAATGATGGGTATAACTGTTGACATCGTGTCACTAATCAGAGGATTTGTGTGCTTGTAGTACTAGTGTACTAAGTCAGACTAGCAGACATTTTGTCAGCACTCATTACATTCTTCTCCACCATGTACTTGTAGTTTTTTAAAAGCCAATCTTATTTAACAATGCTGTTGGTAAAGCAATAATAACTCCTGTTTTTACTCAATCTTGATCCTCAAATAGACATCATTTTCATATCATGTATGATAAAATGGGAAGTGTCTACAAAGCACATTTTCTTCATAATGGTTGTCTTGAAGAAAACAATTGTGCAACTATTTGAGGTGCAAACCGAACTGGCCACTTTTTAATAAATATTTATTTTTACTTGAAAAAAAAAAAGTAAAAGCACTTTTTGTCTTTTGAAAAAATAGACATCCAATGGTCATGTAAACCTGGCATTACAGGCATTCATTGAAAATGAACCCAGTAAGCCTGTCACTTAAAGGAAAATACCTGACAAAAGTTGTTGCCAAAAATATATGTCAAGTTTTAAGCAAAAATTAGCATTTTGAAAAACATGTATTCACGTGGTTTTCCTGATGAGGTTAGTGGTGAGTTAACCATTGTGGCTTTTAATATTGTGTAATAAAATGTGTCAACATGAGAAAAACTCAGGGCTGGGTGCAGTGGCTCACACCTGTATTCCCAGCATTTTGGGAGGCTGAGGTGGGCGGATCATGAGGTCAGCAGTTCGAGACCAGCCTGGTCAACATGGGGAAACCCCACTCTACTAAAAATACAAAAAATCAGCCAGGCATGGTGGCAGGCGCCTGTAGTCCCAGCTACTCAGGAGGCTGAGGCAGAAGAATCGCTTGAACCCAAGACACGGAGGTTGCAGTGAGCCAAGATACAGCCACTGCACTCCAGCCTGGGTGACAGAGCTAGACTTTGTCTCAAGAAAAAAAAGAAAAACTCAGTGATTTTTCAATGGCCAGGACATAAACTTACAAAATCATGCATATGTAAAGCTTTCATTCAAACCACAGGAAACCCTGAGGATTTTAATGTAAGAAAATGAAGAGTTAGATTGATGTGGTTTATATCTACACTGCAAGTTGTATTAGTCTGTTTTCACTCTTCTGATAAAGACATACCTGAGACTGGGAAGAAAAAGAGGTTTAATTGGACTTACAGTTCTACATGGCTGGGGAGGCCTCAGAATCATGGCGGGAGGTGAAAGACACTTCTTACATGGTGGCTGCAAGAGAAAATGTGGAAGAAGCCAAAGCAGAAACCCCTGATAAAACCATCAGATCTTGTGAGACTTATTCACTATCATAAGAATAGAATGAGAAAAACCAACCCCCATCATTCAGTTACCTTCCCCTGGGTCCCTCCCACAACATGTGGGAATTCTGAGAGACATAATTCAAGTTGAAATTTTGGACACAGCCATACCATATCATGCCACCCCTGACCCCTCCAAATCTCACGTCCTCACATTTCAAAACTAATCGTGCCTTCCCAACAGTCATACAAAGTCTTAACTCATTTCAGCATTAATCCAAAGTCTGCCGTCCAAAGTCTCATCAGAGAAGAGCCATGTTTTTCTGCCTATGAGCCTGTAAAAATCAAAAGCAAGCTAGTTACTTCCTAGATACAATGAGTGTAGAGGTATTGGGTAAATACAGTGGTTCCAAATGGGAGAAAGTAGCCAAAACAAAGGGGTTACAGGGCCAATGCAAGTCTGAAATCTAGCGGGGCAGTCAAATTTTAAAGTTCCAAAATGATCTCCTTTGACTCTAGGTCTCATATCCAAGTCATGATGCGAGAAGTGGGTTCCCCTGGTCTTAGGCATCTCTGCCCCTGCGGCTTTGCAGGGTACAACCTCCCTCCTGGCTGCTTTCATGGGTTAGTGTTGTGTTTCCCTGGCTTTTCCAGGTGCATGGTGTAAGCTGTCGGTAGACCTACCATTCTGGGGTCTGAAGGACCATGGCCCTCTTCTCACAGCTCTACTAGGCAGTACCCCAGTAGAGACTCTGTGTGGGAGCTCTGACCCCACATTTCCCTTTGGCACTGCCCTAGCAGAGGTTCTCCATGAGGGCCTTGCCCCTGCAGCTAACTTCTCTCTGGGCATCCAAGTATTTCCATACATCTTCTGAAGTCTAGGCAGAGGTTCCCAAACCTCAATTCTTTACTTCTGTGCATCTGCAGGCTCAACACCATGTGGAAGATGCCAAGGATTGGGGCTTCAACCATCTGAAGTCACAGCCTGAGCTGCATGTTGGCCCCTTCAGCCATGGCTGGAGCAGCTGGAACATAGGGCACCAAGTCCCTAGGCTGCCCGCAGCGTGGGGACCCTGGGCCCAGCCCATGAAACCATGTTTTCCTCCTGGACCTCCAAACCTGTGATGGGGGAGGCTGCCATGAAGGTCTCTGACATGGCCTGGAGACATTTTCCCCATGGTCTTGGGGATTAACATTAGGCTTTTTGCTACTTATGCAATTTTCTGCAGCCAGCTTGAATTTCTCCTCAGAAAATGTTTTTCTTTTCTATCACATTGTCAATCTGCAAATGTTCCAAACTTTTATGCTCTGCTTCCCTTATAAAACTGAATGTCTTTAACAGCACCCAAGTCATTTCTTGAATGCTTTCTACTTAGAAATTTATTCCACCAGATACCCTCAATCATGTCTCTGAAGTTAAAAGTTCCACAGATCTCTAGGGCACGGGCAACATGATGCCAGTCTCTTTGCTAAAACATAGCAAGAGTCTCCTTTGCTTCAGTTCCCAACAAGTTCCCCATCTCCATCTGGGACCATCTCCGCCTGGATCGTATTTTCCATATCACTATCAGCATTTTGGGCAAAGCCATTCAACAAGTCTCTAAGAAGTTCCAAACTTTCCCGCATTTTCCTGTCTTCTTTTGAGCCCTCCAAACTGTTCCAACCTCTGCCTGTTACCCAGTTCCAAAGTCGCTTCCGCATTTTTAGGTATCTTTTCAGCAGTGCCCCATTTTGCTGGTACCAATTTACTGTATTAGTCTGTTTCCACACTGCTGATAAAGACATACATGAGACAGAAGAAAAAGATGTTTAATTGGACTGACAGTTCCACATGGTTGAGGAGGCCTCAGAATCATGTTGGGAAGCAAAAAGCATTTCTTACATGGTGGCAGCAAGAGAAAATGAGGAGCTTTTTTCATTTTTTTTTTTTTCAGAGAAAACAAGATAGCACAGTAGATTGAAGAAGCTGATGTAAAAATTTACTTGTCTTCTAAGTAGTAAGAGATTAAAGAGATATGCAAAAATGTGAAACAATGGCACTCTTCTCTATTTTTATTGTTTAGATATGAAAATATTAAGTTTTTATAAAAATATATTAGGTTAACCTATATTAGGTTAAATATTGTTACTTTTAAACAAATAAATAAATTTTTTTCTCAATTTCAATATCTAGTATGGTAAATATCAATAGACATTGCCCACATAAACAAAAGCTCTTGTAGCCCACAATAATTTTTGAAAGTGTATGGCAATGCTGACCCCAAAATAGTGAGAACTGTCCTTCTAATATATTACACATTATTTGAATATCATGCATCTTGACCTGCATCAGTTACCTATGGCTTTAAATAAACCACTCAACATTTTAGTGGCTGAATCCAACAATTCTTTAGTCTGTGGATCAGACAGAGACTAAAGATTTCTGCTAGGTAATCTGACCTGGGCTCACTCATACATATGCAGCTCGGCTTGGAGGATTAGCTGGCATTACAAAATAAACTGAGAAACAAAGGAAATATTTTACATTTATTTCTACCAATGAATCTCTGTAGCTTACAAGAATGACCTTTTCATGATGCATGATCAATGAATATTTGTAGAACAATAAAAAAAAGAAGTGCTAATGTGATAGAAAACTTGTGTTATATCATTGTTTATTCTCTTGGATATTGAAAATTATTATCATTTGCTAGATAAATATTACTGCTAGAATTTAAGCTCTTTGAGAATCAGAACTACACTTGGTATTTAATAATCCCTCAATAAATATTTGCTGGATTAATGAACAGAGCTCCCCAATAAATGAGGAAAAATGAAATTAGTTAAAAAAAAGAAAAGCTATTAATGAGATTTGAATAACTGATTTCTTATGTATATGCTTTTCTAACATTATTTAAAATTTTTAGGAAAGGTAATTATGTAGACAAATATTTCTAAAGAATACAAAATAACATTCCATGGCTTATATAAAAAAATAGAAAGATGAAGATGAACTCACGTTAGTGCTTTCTCAATCTCTTTTTTTTGCTTCACATTTGATCTTTTATTTCCTATTGTTTTACATACACCAGGGAGATAGCAGTTATTCTACAGATTCTCCCAGAAAAATTAAAATCACCATTTTTTATTGAAATAATATTTATAATTTGCAAAAATGCAAACAAAAATCAGTGCAGAGAAAATGCAATAAATAAAATAATGATATTAACATATCAATTATAAAGTTAGAATATGATAATTTTTTAGAAGAAAACAGAGTTGAAAATATCAAATTGAAATGAAATGAAATGTCCATAAATAAATATCTGCTAGAGATACTGTCACTTCTGAATGTGTGGTGAGTATTGTTGCTATTCTTCTTCCATTGCCAAATGAAAATAATAGTGGCAGGAGAGATTTTGATCTTCACCTCAAAGAAAAAGTGTGCTTAATAATTATATGACATATTCAAGTTTTCATTTTTTTCAGAATTCAATAATAATAGGTTATGTAAGTATAGGAAAGTATCCATTTCTTCTAAGTTTTCCAATTTATTTGCATATAGTGGCTCACAATACTTCCTAATGATCTTTTGAATTTCTGTGGTATCAGTTGTAATGCCTTCTCCTTCATCTCTAATTCTATTTATTTGTGTCTTTTTTTCTTAGTTGTGCTAAAGATTGTTAATTTAAAAAAATTTTTTAAATGGCTTTTTTTTTTAATCTTTAGTATTTTTTGGTCTCAATTCCATTTATTTATGCTCTGATCTTTATTTCTTTTCTTCTACTAATATTTGGGTCTGATTTGCTCTTGCTTTTCTAGTTCTTTGAGATCCATAGTTAGGTTGTTTGTCTGAAGTCTTTTTACATTTTCAATGTGTATTGTTATTGCTGAAATATTCTCCCTTATTGGCGCTTTTGCTGTATCCCATAGGTGTTGGTATGTTGTATTTTCATTTTCATTTATTTCAAAATATTTTTAATTTTCATTTTAATTTATTCATTGATTTACTGTTTGTTCAGGAGTATGTTGTTTAATGCATGTTGTTTTATTTCCATGTATTTGTATAGTTTCCAAAGTTCCTCTTGTTGTTGATTTCTAGTTTTAGTCCATTGTTGTCAGAAAAAAAACTTAATTTCTTTATTTAAAAAATTTATTAAGACTTGTTTTATGGCCTAACATATGGCCTATCCCAGAAATTGTTCCAAGTGCTAATGAGAAGAATGTGTATTCTGCAGCTGTTGTGTGAAATATTCTGTAAATGTCAATTAGGTCCATTTGGTCTATAATGCAGATTGTCTGATGTTTCTTTGGGTTCTCCATTGTTGGATACCTATATATTAACAATTGTTATGTACTCTTGCTGAAGTAACTCCTTTTTAATTATATAGTGACCTTCTTTGTCTTTTTTAACAGTTTTGTCTTGAAATCTCTTTTATCTGATATAAGTCTAGCTATTTCTGCTCTTTTTTATTTCCATTTGCATGGAATATCTTTAGAGAAAGTATATGTGACTTTTATTATACAAATCTCTTATAAATACTATTTTCAAAATTATTACATATAGCTCAGAACCAGTGAATATCTAGTTATTCACAAATTGTTAAAGATCAGAGTTATAAGATAAGACCGATAGGTAACTTTTATTCTTCCTGCCCATGGTTTCACAGAGGTCAGTAATCAAATGTGCATGGCCTAGTTGCCACTAAGTTAGACCTTGCTAATTGTCTAGTTCACATAAAATCTTCAGAGCACCACACATTGTATGGATTTTTAAAAAGGACTATCGGCTGAAGTATGATTGTTATAATTGCACTCAGTTCTGTAGTGTGAGTAAAATATCTGTCATATAGAAAAGCAGTGGAATTGACCTTCATGGGGCTTTTGGATAAGCACTATGCAAAAAAAAAAAAATAAATAAATCGTATAGCTCAGTTCTTAAATAGTAGTGAAAATCTTTTTTTATTCATAAACTGAGCTATTTAATCTAATAGATACTATTCACTTATTCTAATAAACACAATGGAAAATTAAAAATCAGACACAGTCTATAGATCTGAGAAAGCTGTCTCATTCACAATAGAATTCTCTTAATACTTGCTGGTTGTCTAACACAAGCAATTCTGTGTGACACAATAGGGAAAGAATCAGAAAATTATTGAATCTCCTAGGAAAAAACAGCAGGAATCTTCTCTGTGCTATTCTCAATTATTTCATATTCTCAAATATTTGTTCTTACTGACAAAGAAACTTAGAAAATTTTCCAATCTCACATTAATTTTCCAGTAAACCAATTTAGAGCTAATAAGCATAGAATAATTTTACTTGTTATTTTTCGGTCTATGTTACTGCATACTGCTACTAATAGAACTCTGGAAAATAAAATAGGACACGATTGCTCTCATTTCTACTTATAGAATGTTTGCAAAAACTGAAAGGTAAAAAAGGAAAAAAAATTATACTAAAAGAACTTTGGAGTCTGAAAAATAAAATATATAAACTAGAGTAATTGAAAAAGAATGCCTTTGCCATTATGTCAGTTTTCTGAAAATTTAGGCAGAAACCGTTTGCAATTTTGGGAACTAAGTTAGGATTAATAAAAAAAAGCATAGTTTTAAATTATTGCTTGTATTTTTTTCACAAAGGCTTACTAAGTCATAAAATAGTATTTTTTTGGTAGGTGCATTTATACACATACACACATACATGTATACACATACACATATATGCACTCATGCACAGATCTAAATAATATATTCTTCTCTAAAATACAGAAGTTTACAAAGTTAAATTATTAAAATCAGTAACTTCACATAATTTCAATAGAAAAATTAATTTTAAAAATAAAATATATGATTTTATGTATGTTATGATGTTTCTTTATACTGTGGTAGTAAACAAAGAATCTTCAGGTAATGTCCACTTCATTAAATTTCATAGACCTAAAAAATGTCTTGTGATTCTTTAAAACTTTACCTTTGGTCATGCTGTTCTCCTCACCCATCCTACTTAGCACAGTCGTATTCTTTATAGTCCATCTCCAAAAGTCTTCCCTGATCAACTTGGAAAGCAATAATCTCAACTGATGAGCACCTCTATCTCTTTTAGTTGCCCTTACTTAGCTTTGTATATACTACTGATATAGCTCTCATTTGTATATTTGCCTTGTTTTTGTGTCTATTTATTCATTCATTTGACAATTGCCTACTGCATTGTGGTTTCCATTGTAGACACTGGGGATAAATAGAACATTGGGGATAAATAGAACAAAATGAAGACCCTGGGCTCAAGGACTTTTCTTTTTATGTTATTCAAGCAATAAATGAGCATGTATGCCAGTTTATAAGGGGCTTAAAAGGAAAGCAACTCATCATCAGCTTTATGTAATTGGCACATACATGTCACATGGGGTCCAGGTCTTATATTTATTTATGTAACTTCCAGAGTTCTTTGCTATTGCAGGAGTGTCTATACTCATTGATGCTTATCCACAGTTGTTTCCTTCCACAGGGAGTAAATGTGTCACTTCTGGTTTCTCTTCCACAAAGGTATATATGATCTTTCAGTTTATGATGGTGATTCTGCTCAGGCTGAGCTCTGTCTTTTCTTCTCCTCTTTTCCTTGGAAATCATCTTTTGGAGAGAGCATTCACTCTCTCTTTTTCTCAGCCGATTGGTGAAGACTCAATCTCTGTGGGAGAAGACCTAGAATAGTTCTACACTGTTATAGACTAAGTAGCTCTGTCTATTTTCAGGATCATTATTAGGAAGACTACTTGCCCACATACATAAGCCAAAGTCTTAAATGACTACTTCATCATTCATAAATAATATATTCTTCTCTTATTGTCTAACATACTTCTTTTATTTCTCTATTCATTTGCACTCCAGTGGGGAAAAAGATGCTATTCAAAACACCATATTTAGGAGTTACATAGAAAAAGACAGGTCTAGAAATGAAGAAGCAGATAAATGAGGAAACCCAAAAATATAATCTATCAAGGTATCTAAACAAAACAAAACAAACCACGAGTATTTCATGTGACAAAGGTAGAATTAGCTATTGGATTAAATATGTCTCTGAAAGGGTGAGTAAAGTGAGGACGTAACAGACACATACTGTTGGTTTTGGCAACATGGAGCTCATTTGTAACTGGAAAGAATAGGTTCTGTGGAATGGAGGAGGAGAAAGCCAAGATGGAGGGAGGTGAAAAGTAAAGGGCATGGAGCAAGTGCCAATGACATTCGAGAATGCACACTTGGTGATGTGACGTTCTGAAGGCTGATGTGAAATTGAAGAAGGTTTTTCCGTTCAAACAAATTTTAGAGGAATTGGTATATTAATGAGATTACCTTTTAGAGAAAATGACATTGAAGATATATGAGAAAGGGGTGGAAATCAAAGGAGTGAAGTTTCTGAGAGCAGGAGAGTCTGGGATTAGAAAACACGTGGAGGAAGTGGTGTTTGCCAGAAGAGATAGTTTACTCATGGTATCAAAAAGAAGAAGAAAATTTCAGGCACACATTACAAAGATGAAGAAGCTCCTATCTAGCAAACTTTATTATCTTCACAAAATATGACCTGATAATATGTGTGAGAAGGGTTACAGAAGGAATGAGGTGGAATTAGAAACCTGGGTGCATCAGAAAATTTAATGCCTTTTCCTGAAAACAGGAGAACAAGCTTATAAGAGCTCATCCGAAGCAAATTAGAATTACTGAGAGTGGTTGAGGGCCTATTTGAACTTACTGTGAATTTAGAGTAATGCTATTATCAGCTCTGTGATATTTGCCAAGAATTTTCATTTGCACTGAAGTCAACTTAGAGGCTTGTCTCTCTGGATTTATATCCTCTGTCTTTTATTTTTCCCTTTTTCTTCAGTGTTTTACCTGGTTGTGCTTCCTCTTTATTTTTTCCTTTATCTAATCATTTCTTACAGAAATAGCCTTACTACCAATGGCATCCTTAAATTAGCTACTATATATGAAAATATTTAACCGTGTTCTTGATAAAGAATAGTTTAATGCTAGATAAATGCCAGCTTTCTTCTAGAGATATAATTTGCTTTGAGAACAAACTATTCAGCTATCCAAGAGTGAACTCTTTAGCAAGCACATATGCTGCTTCTTAAATATTACACAGAGACAGCTGTTAATCAGTTACATAGAAAATTATTTAGACTGACACCTGCTATATTCCCAACAAAAGCGAAGTACTTAAACCCATGCGATGTTTTAGAAAATGATTCCTTTAAAATTCTAGAGTACTGAATCAGAAGCATTTTACTAAATTAATGATAGCTTGTTAAATACAAAGTAGAAATTCATAAAACCTTTTAGCTTATTGTTACGATTGAGAGATAAAACACCTAACACTAGTTGAAAGAAAAACACAAGAATGTTTACATTATCATTTCACTTTTTTCAGAAAACTTTGCTAAATGAAAATTAGCTGTAGGTTAATGATATTCATATCACCCATATTCAACTTTTATTAACCAAATTTTGATAAATTTATATGTGAAAATGGGTGGTGGAGACTGCTAAATGTTCATCAGTATCAGTATTCTTGTCTTCCATTTAAAACAGCACCCCCTAACTTTCACCTGGGCAAATGACAGGGAGAGGGCATTTTTAATTCCAGCTTCTACAGCTCCAGTAAATATGTGATTAAGTTTAGGTCAAAAACAAATGAAAGGGATTGAAGAATGAAACTTCTCGTTCAGAACTGAAAATATACAATTGTTTTCCATTTGTGAGAAACCTTGTAACTGCTCAATTTGTAGCTAGTCAATGAACGCATTCCCTTTTCATGCCAGGACACAGCTAGATTAGATTTCCCAGCCCCCTTTTCAGTCAGGTGTTGCCATGGCACTGCATTCCAGAGAGTAAGATTTGTGGAGAAATGATCTGGTGCCACTTCCGCTGCTCCATTAGTAGCTCCCAAGTTGCTTCTTCATCATCGTGTCTTCTCAGCAGGCCAGAGGATGACAGGAATGACAAGCCTAGAATTCACATGTCAACAATAATAAAGTCACAAGGAAGTGGGCCGAGTCCTTGAAGAAGCTCCTGAAATAGATCTATCTACTAGACAGAGATGTCTGTTTAGGACTTCATGTGAATTAAACAATAAACTTCAAGTTATAAATGCAGTAAGATCTAGAGGTTTCTCTTTGGAGCTCCAAACATTGCTCTCACTAACGGTTCCATGGTCTTTCCCACTTTTCCAGGCTGAAATATATCTGCATGTTTGTGAGGTAGTTTCCAACATTCTCAGAAAGACACAGCAACTGGGTCACTGTATCAGTGTCATATGTATCCAGGGCACCATGGACTGATGTTGCCTGCCTACATTGGGATCTTGTTTGAGGAAAATATATATATATTATATTTGAGCCACTGCATCTTGGGAAACATCTTCACTCAGAATGGTTAGCTCATATTTTAAATCAGTAGTTCTCATAACTTGGTTTGCATCAGCATCACCTGTAGGGCTTGTTAAAACATAGACTGATGTTAAACATAGATTTCAACACCAAGTTGGAACAACAGATATAGCATTGTGGCAGAATTTACAGGTTGTTTTATATTATAATCATTGAAATGAATAAGAAATGAGGTATGAAATAATTAAAAAGCTAAACCTTAATATATGACTGTGACACTAACCATAGTACACTTCACTTACCCGTTGATGAAAGAGGGCCTGTGGAATGTTGTTGAAATGCATTTTCTTTCAGTGCACCACACCTTACACTTACTTCAAATATTCAAATATAAAACTTTGAGCTTTTTAATCTTAATACATTTTATGAAATATAATAAGGATATTAAGATCATGGCTTCTTACTATTGGAATGGAATCATATTCATTTCATTCTATGGTCACTTTGATTTGCTTTGAAACAGTTTGAATTCTAAAGACATCTTAGAGGAAAATGTGAGCACACATTAATGTCAATGAAAACAAAGTCAAGTTCATTACCTACTGATAAATGGTGTAGAATAATATGCGGAATATTGAAAGAGGTGGACTAGAAAGGAAAGAATCAGGAAATTGATCTTGACCCAGATATTAAGGGAAAAAATAATTCATATTGTTTGGCATTTTTCTGTCATTTTTAAATGACAATATTATTTCTTGCCATGTTGATTTCATTAAGTTTGTATTAATAATGGGAAAATGTCTTAGGAAGTGCTATGCAAATGTGTTTATTTGGATGGCTGTGTTCATAATTGAAATATAGGTTAAACCAATTGAGCACATGCCTTTTTATTAAGAGTATTATAGCCATTAATTTATGTTTGAATATTGTCTATTTTCTAAAATAAAATGTGAGCTAATTAGAAAATAAGTTACTTAATGCCCATTTGTCTGAGTGTACATTTGGTCTCTTATTACACTTTTCTTTGCCCATAAAGTGAAGAAAATAGTGTTTTCAAACATGACAAATCTGTGTATCCAAATGAAAACACTTACACCAAAGGGAATAGTTTTATTTTATAAACAAATTAAAAACCAGCTGTGCCAGACATTATGGAAAACATTACACAGCAACTGATTTGTCCACAAATGAATCACTTCAATGAATGTAATACATAATGTTGCAGGTGGCATTTATTTTGAAAAACTAGGTTTATTAAGGCAGCTGAATTTAAAAAAAAAAAAAATTCTCTGTAAGAGAATTTCAAATTTCTCCAAATTCTGTCTTTTAAGCTTAAAAGGAAGAGTCCTTCCTTTACTTGAGTTTCTTAGATTATCTATTCCCCTAGCATAGAGATACCACATAGACAATACAGAGAAATGCGTAGTAATTTACATACAAGTTATCCAGTGCAAAGTGGAAAGTCTTCAAATAGGAGTCCCATCAGCAACAAGCTATTCTTACCTAATATAGATAGATGGAAAGATAAATACAAATAGAAAGATAGTTAAGTGTTCATATATTGAAACAATATTTATTGAACTCCAATGTTGAGCAGGGGGCTGTCCAGATTACCGACAATTAAGTACTAAATAATGCAGAAAAGCTCTTACCCCATAGAATTAACAACCTAATAAGGAGAAAAATGTATGTCAAACAAAAACTTATTATACTAATATGTAATTTTATTTTTAACATTTTTAAGTATACATTTACCAGGTGACCCAAATTAATGCATTGCAATTTGATCAATATTGAAAATACATATTGAGCCTCTATTATACGTTGTGCATGACTGCAGAATTTAGAAATGTAGCAGTAAATAAAGCAATAAAAACAATCTCTGTTCTACTGAAGTTTAAATACTTATGATAGGAGACAGACAATACTAAACATTTATAAATTAAGTCAACTATTACGATGGTTAGTGTTATGAAAATATAAAGCAAGTAGGAGACTAATAACATTGTGATATTTAATAGAAGATCTAGGGTAGGATTTGCTGAGATCAAGCAAATATTAAAGGAGTTGAGAGAGTAGACTATAGAGGTAATTTGGGAGAATATATTTCCAGGAGATGGAACAAGAAGCATTAAAAGCAGCCAGGAAGAAGTGTGTCTAGGGTGTTCAGTGAATGGAAAGTTTAGTTGGGTGTAGAGGAATAATGAAGGGAAGATGAATAGAAGATGAATAGAAGATGAGGGTAAATAAGTGTTATGGATTGAACGTCTGTGTCTCCCCCTAGGCTCATATTTTGAATCCCTACCCTTCAATGTGATGGCATTTAGAGATGAATCCTTTAAGAGGTAAACAGATTTAGATGAGGTCATGACAGTATGGCCCCAGTCTGATGGGATTGGTGTCTTTACAAAAGAGGGAGAAACAATGGAGCTTTCTTGCTCTCTGGGCTAGCACAAAGGGAAGGCTATGTAAGAATGCAACAAAATGGCAGCTGTCTGCAATACAAGAAGAAAGTCTTCCTTAGGAACAGAAGATCAAAGGTGGTACCTTGATCTTGGACTTCCCAGCCTCCAGACACTGATAAACAAATTTCTGTTGTTTATGCCACCCAGTCTATAATATTTTGCTATGAGTTCCTGAGAAGACTACTATAATATTGTTAAGGACAGATTGGGTACAGTTTTGCAGACCACTGTAAGGAAGTTTGCTTTTATTCCATGTGAGTTAAAGAACAACCATAGGTTTGAATACAGGAGTGATACAGTCTCATATGGATTTAATTGGATCATTCTGGCTGTTTTGTTCAAAACAAACTATAGCAGGGCAAGTGTGGTATCAGAAAAACCAGTAAGGTACTATTCAGTAATGCAGATGTGATGCAAGAGTGACTCAGACTAGGGTGGTTGCATTTGGGATGGGGATAATTGATAATATTCTAGATATATCTTGAAAGTAGAGTTGATAAGATTTGCTGATGATTTGAATATGGAGTTAGAGAGAAAGTGAGAAGCCAAAGGTAACTCCAATATTTCGTGGCCAGAGCAACTGAGAGAATGGAGTTGTAAATAGCTTAGTTGAGAAAAAGTGCAGGAGGATTTGGTTTGGTTGGTACCAAGGAAGTATGGGAAAATCAGCATACGACATAAAATCTAAGTGGAGATTTTTATTAGGTTATTTGATAAGCTAGTTTGTAATCCAAGGGGGAATTATTGACTAGAAATTTGCATTTGGTTTCAGTAATGTGATAAGTTTACTAAGAAAATGAATTTAGATAGAAGAGCGATCCAAGGAATGATTAGTGAGGATTTTCAATATTTAGAGGTTAGGAAAATGGGAAAACAAAAAATATACCAGAAAAGGATATTAAAGAGTGGTCAATGACTTAGGAAGGATAATGGAAGGACATAGTGTCCTTTAAATTCACTTAATTCTTTTTAATTTTGTTAACTTCTATTTGTTTTTATTTTTTCCTGGAAAGATATTAATCAGTGTCTTGAAGTGCTGCTGATATGCAAAATAAGATGAAAATTTTTTAAAAAATGAATTGATTATCTGATTTACCAATATGAAGATTATTACTGAGCACAGTAATTTTTTAGGAGTGGTAGAAGTGAAACACTGTCAGAACTTGCATCAAAAGAAAATGTTAAGATTTTACTTGCAGCATGGCAGCAAAAGGAACTCCATGGACCCACTTTTCAGTGAACTTGGTAAAAATTAAAATACAAAAGCCATTTGAAATATCTTATAGACATTTTGCTTCTATGGTGTCAGAGTCCTGGGGACTGCCAATACCCAGAGTTGTCAAAATGTATGCCTAAAATGTCCAATTTTCAACAAGAAGTTGAGGCATGCAAAGCAACAGTGAAGCATGACCCGTTTCCAGTAAAAAAAAAATAATAATAAAAAAAGTAGGTAAAGAAACTTCCTGTGAAAACAAATATTTCAGATTTAACAAAGACTTCAAAGTTTTCATCATAAATATGTTCAAAACAATAATGGAAACAATGATTTTAAAGGTAAAGACAGATACAACTACAATGTCATATCAAATAAAGAATATTGATAAAGACAGAAATTATTTAAAAAGGAAAATTCTGGAGTTGAAATACAAAATAACTGAAAAAAAACCTCACTAGATGGTCTCAACTGTAGGTCTTAATTTGCAGAATAAAGAGTTGGTGAATTTGAAGATAGATATATAGAGATTATACAATCCAAAGAACAGAGACAAAAAAACGAAAAAAAAAAAGGAACAGACTCAGAGACAGGTGAGTCTTTAATGTATGCACAATGGGAAAAAGAGGACTATCATGAGAGGAGAGATTGAAGAACAGAAAAGAATTAAAAGAAATAATGGATGAAAACTTCTCAAATTCATTGAAAAGCATTAATCTTCACATTCAGGAATCATAACAAACTCCAAATGTGATAAACACAAAGAGATCTATGGTGTCGGAACCCAATTGTAACAATCCCATGGGTTTGAACTAATAAATTTGGGGTGCCTGCAGAACCAGGAAGGTCCATGTTTAGAGAAAGACTCATTTGTAGTATTCAGTCGCACAGCAATCAGATGTTTATTTGCAAGACTGAGTGGTGGGTGATATATACAGTAATTTGTTTTTTTGGTTGTTGTTTTGTTTTTTTCCACCACACCTGGCTAATTTTTTTGTATTTTTAAAATTTATTATTTATTTATTTATTATTATTATATTTTAAGTTCTAGGGTACATGTACACAATGTGCAGGTTAGTTACATATGTATACATGTGCCATATTGGTGTGCTGCACCCATTAACTCCTCATTTACATTAGGTATATCTCCTAATGCTATCCCTCCCCCTTCCCCCCACCCCATGACAGGCCCCAGTGTGTGATGTTCACCATCCTGTGTCCAAGTGTTCTCATTGTTCAATTCCCACCTGTGAGTGAGAACACGTGGTGTTTGGTTTTTTTGTCCTTGCAATAGTTCGCTCAGAATGATGGTTTCCAGCTGCATCCATGTCCCTACAAAGGCCATGAACTCATCATTTTTTATGGCTGCATAGTATTCCATGGTGTATATGTGCCACATTTTCTTAATCCAGTCTATCATTGATGGACATTTTGGTTGGTTCCAAGTCTGCTATTGTGAATAGTGCTGCAATAAACACACATGTGCATGTGTCTTTATAGCAGCAAGTTTTATAATCCTTTGGGTATATACCCAGTAATAGGATGGCTGGGTCAAATGGTATTTCTAGTTCTAGATCCTTGAGGAATTGCCACACTGTCTTCCACAATGGTTGAACTAGTTTACAGTCCCACCAACAGTGTAAAAGTGTTCCTATTTCTCCACATCCTCTCCAGCACCTGTTATTTCCTGACTTTTTAATGTTCACCATTCTAACTGGTGTGAGATGTTATCTCATTGTGGTTTTGATTTGCATTTCTCTGATGGCCAGTGATGACGAGCAATTTGTTAAATTCAGGGTGGTGGCAACTGCCTGAGAGAGATGTATTAAGGACTCTGGGAAACTGCAAGTCACAAAGCCTGCTGTGTGGAACAGAGAGGAGAGAGGGACAAGAGGTGAGATTCTCCAACTTCTTCCTCCCCCCGACGCAGGCTCATGGGTACCAAGGTGCTTATGTGCTGTGAGTGGAGGAAATATTTCTTCATTGACTGCAGTGTAGTCAGTCTGTCCTGTACCATGAGAAAGGATGGAACTCTTTAAAATCCATTCCACATAGTAGTGAATGAAATGTATTTGACTTGGTTCTTTGGCCCACAAAATTGATGTTTATTTCCATCCCATGTGGCTACCTGTGGCAAAGCAGCAAGACTACTTTAAGAAAAATAGCTTTAAGGTTGGACTGGAAACCCCAAGTGAAGTTCAGTACTTTGAAGTTCTTGTGGACAAAAATCTACACTGTGCACCTGAGGGACAAAGTAAAAAGGTTACCATCTCCTACTCCTCTTTGTTGAATAACCATCCTCATCTCCAATCTATTTGAGTTTTCAGAGAGATTTTAAAGGGATAGAAGGCCCTTGCAAGGCCTCCGAACCCCGAGACCAAAGTGCCAATAATTGTAAAGAGAAAGGTATATATTGAAGAAAACCTTAGCAAACATGTGGCTCTAATGAAAAGTGTCTTTGTGGGGAATTGCTGCAATGAGACTCCAGACTATTTACCTAAAATATATAGATCCTGTTTTTTAGCTGCTAAAGCTTGTCTTTTAATTGCCCATCAAAATATTCAATTATCACCATGCCTTGTGGGGGTACAGAGCATAGAGGGTTCACCTGCTCCAAGATTGAGCCCACTGAAGTGTTGCTTAAGTCACGAATCTGGAATTGTCTTCATGTGAAGTGTGCTCAGGAAATTAAAAAAATCAAGAAACAAATATGATTATATAAGGCCTACATAGTGTGGCCAGAGCAAGTGGAATGCACAGGAACAGCTAGGCTAAAACCCAGAGAAACTATCAACAGCAGTCAGAATCCCGCTGAACCTGCTGGATGGGGCAAAAGGCCTAATATAGCCTACTTGCTAAGAACGTCCTTGCTTTTTGGCTCAAGAAATTTGTCCCTGGGAAGTGTTTTTGGCCTTAGCCAAGAACTGGCATATGGGACAGCTTTTCCATGTTGTTTCAATGTCTTCTGAGAACACTGCCAGCCTATGTGTAGAGGCCCAGTCCAGAATGATGTCTGAATTCCCCGGGCCTTCTCATGACTCCGGGAGGTGATCAGTCACACATCTTGGTCTGGAGTAGAGGACATTTGCATTTAAGTCTTTACATTTAGTTGACAAGTGTGATTGTTTATTGGTAATTTCTCCCCTCATTAGTTTAGGAATTTTCCTGGTAAGTATCAGCATGGCTTAAAGAAAGCTTTCTAGGACCATAACTGTGTTTTCACCGAAATGTCTCATCCCTACAAGACAGCTTGTTTTTCATGATAATCTAAGCCTTGCTAGTGGCTTGACCAAATGACCAAGCCATTCATCATATGACTCAGTGAAAATACATCAGGGATCCTCTGTTGGGGTGGCCTGGATGAACTTCTGCCCATTATGATGAGCATCTCTCACCATGTTAAGTAACGGACAGATCTCTCTCAGGTTGGGTAGCAGCAACATTCCATTCCAGCCCAGCAGAACTGAACAGAGATGAGCCATCAGTGAACCAGGTCAATGTGTGGTCCAGGAGGTTATATATCTGGGTTCCCATTTGGCCAATGGAGGCAGAGACACCTCAGGAAATATTTAGGGGAGACAGAGGGATACTTCTTGTGAAGCATGTTCACTCCCATGCTCTGCTTACCAACTTGGCTGAGTCTAGTGAGACAGAACATCTACACACACAACAAATTACATGAGGTAGTTTTATTACTTACAGATAAGTAGTGAGAAAAAATAGAAGACTGGGACTTATTGCCAGCCAGCCCTCCAAGGCTATGGAAAGCTGCCTGGGGCAGATGGAATTTTGCCTGCACTTGCCTTACTTGCACCTCATCTGAGTGGGGCTACAAGTAGAAAGCAACCCATATTGCAGTTTTATATTTCTGGATTATGGGACATGCTGAACCAAAGCGTTTAGGACATCCTGTTCTGGGGTAATTGGAACAGAGCCTGGGCTGCTATTGTCATTCCTTTCCTATCTCAGGTTGGTACATTCTCAGCACATTCCACAGCTATTTCTGAGAACTGCAAGTGAGAGATGGGGAAGCTAGATCAGCACAAGGCCAGCTGGAGAATGGTCCTGTACTTCTAAAACTTTCTCATGGAGCTGTGGGACACCAACTAGGCTAGGCTTTGTTATGAAAACTTCTTGAGCTGGCTTCGCTCTGCAATTTGAGACCCTTGTTTGTACCCATGACATGGATCTCTAGTCTTAAGATTCCTTCATGGCCATTAGTTATGTGCTTAGTACCTATCAAGGTCCCATAATGGGCCAATAATTATCTCTTAAGAAGTATGTACCTTTTAGCTGACTCAAGGTCCTTATAGGTCCAAGTGGGCACCTCTAACCTGTGGCAGTCTTTTGCCTTTGGTGAACTGAGAGGATGCTGAGATCTGTAACTCAAATGACAAGTGTATATATGTGGAAAGCAGCAGAAGGGCATTCTGGATAACCAGCTGGAGGGCTTGGAGAGAATCCTGCTGGTCGGGGCCTCTGTTCAAAGGTAGCAGTTTTTCCAGTAGCCCTGTATATGGATGCCATCAAGATCCCTGCATGCTGAATGTGAGAACTCCAGTAGCTCAATAGCTCCACCAATCTCTTTATTTGTTGGGTAGGGAAGGTTAAAATTTTGGCAATCATTCCCTCTGGAATGTTCTTTCCCAGATTATAGTCACAAATTTTACTTATTCGGTTCTTGTATTTTGTCTGTATTAGCGGCCTAACTGTATTGTGGCATGTGAGTTAAAAGAGTATCGAGTCCTTATTGAATGGTGTCCTAGGCCCACCAGGAGAATGTCATCATCACAATGGGAAGACAGTGTTTCCTACATAAGTGGCACTTATTTTGAATCTTGATCTACCCATAAATTTCAGATAGCCAGAAAATTTATAGAGCCTTTTGGAAGGAAATTATAGGCGTATTGGACACACTCCACATGAAGGAAAATGAATTCTGATCATCCAAGTAGAGAGGGATGCCAAAAAGGGCATTTGCAATATCAATTTCTGCATAGCAAGTTTACTTTGCTTGGGCAGTATCTTCTTTAACAGTTACAGTGTCAGCTACATATTTGTATTAGCCAGGATTCTCTAGAGAGAAAGAATAGGATGGATAGATGGATAGATAGACAGATAGATACATAGATAGATAGATAGATAGATAGATAGATAGATAGATAGACAGACATATGAGAGGAGATTTATTAGAGCAATTGGCTTACATAATTATGGATGCTGAGAAGTCTCACAGCAGTCCATCTGTAAGCTGAAGATCCTGCGATACCAATGGCATGGCTCAGTCCAAATCCAAAGACCTTGGAACCAGGGAAGCTGATGGCATAACTCTCAGTCTGAGGCTGAAAGCCTGAGAATCCAGGAGTTCAAAGGCTAGGAAATCTGAGCTTTTGACATCCAAGAATAAGAAAGGTAGAGTGTATCCCAGTTCAAGCAGACAAATAGACACATTAACATTTTATCTGTTTGTTGTCGTTGTTGTTTTTCTCTTCGGGCCCCAAGCCAATTGGATACTGCCTGCCCATATTAAGGGTGGATCTTACTCACCTTGTCCACTCAGATTCACAAACTAATCTCATCTGGAAACACTTTCACAGACACACAAAAAACTAATGTTTTTCCAGGTTTTTAGGTATTCCTTAATCCAGTCAGGTTGACACTTAAAATTAACCATCATAGCATTGCAGGCGCCAAACACCCGACTAGTACTTTGAACTATCTATTATCAATGGTGACTATCTAGGTGCCTAAGGCCTTTTCACAGGCTAGAAGGAATGATGGAATGGAAAAATACCGTGGTCTTACCGAGAACATTGGCTTCTTTACCCTCAACAGTGAAGGAAGTTATTATTTTTTCTCCCTTAGGCCACCAATACTGTTTCTGAGAGACAGTAGCACTAGGAATATGTATGAGGATAGGTTCATGATGTTGCATATGCCTCAATATAAGGGTCCTAATCAAAGCAATTTCTATCACAGTTGGGGATGAAGGCAAGCAGGAGTGAGTTTGGACAGGACATCTCTACATTCAGTATAGAGGGCCATAAAAATGGAAGTTTGTAAAGGCTCTAAGGAAGCTATTCATAGTCAGGCTTGAGTAATGGTCCCAGTAGAGGTAGTGACTTCAACTTCCAAACCAGAAAAGTGATCTGTTTTACCCTTATCTTGGTGCCAGGGGTTGTGGAGACCATAGTCGTCTGTGTAGTGGTATCTAAGAGGCCCAACAAGTACAATCCTCCACAACCTCCCCATTGAACTCAAACCTTGGCGGAGGGCCTTCCGTCCTCCTGGGAACAGAGTTACAACAGCCAACCCCTGGTCTTTTTTATTTTAGAAAACCAAGACATCAAAGTAAAAGTTGCCAAGGCTCCTCCAATTCATCTCCAGATTCATCAGAAGAAGGGTCGGAGGAAATCGTACTTGTATTAGACATAAGGATCATCACCCTAAGGACTCTGGCGGGGCCATCTGTTGCATTTTTTGCACCCAGACCTAGCACTGAGGTTCATCAACCTCCTCTTTTGAGTCCTGGTGTTTGAGAAATCAGACACAGAGCTCTCTTTGGAAAGTCCTTGGCCAGATATTCCAGGAGGGGGCACTCAATTACTATTTTTACCTCGTTCTTTTGTTGGTCAGTTTTTGCTATGTTGATACTAAAGGCCTTCTCCATGACACAGAATTTGCCAGTTAAGATCGGGTTGTTTCACGGACCAATTGCATTGACTTGGATTAGTGAATAATAGTAGACAATAGCTAAAAGATCCAGGGTTTCTTTGTTAGGTAATGGAAATGTTCTAAAATTCACAATCATATGGTTACGTATACCTGCGTATATACTAAAACATTGAGCGATACATTTTTAAATGGGTTAATTGTAATTATGTAAATTAAATTATGTCTTAATACATCTACTATAAAAAAGAAATGCTAGATGAAGAATTGGAGATAGAGAGAAAAGGCAACTATTTTCTGGGATTTTACAATAAAAAAACTTAATGGGGCTAGAATTAGAGGAAATAATGTAATTGGGAGGATTTTTGTTTGTTTGTTTGCTGTTTTTTGAGGCTTTTTTTAAAGGTAACATATAATAGAGAGGAAAAGAAGCAAAAAAAACCATGGAGGATATTGTTTAAGTACTGAAAACAGCATTTACATATATTTAACACAGATAATGGCTTTTTAATGAATATATTAGAAAACTTAGCTGTTTCTTGCTTAAATGAGTATCCATTTAACTTGTAGTAACTTGAGCTAATAAAGACAGGTATATTCCTACTTATTTTATTCAGACCATAGCAATATACAAATATAATTTCATCTTGGCTCCTATACTTTGATTCATACTATAATCTACATAGTTTCTCACACCAAATAAGAATACCAACAAGGCTTTATGTTCTTTCATATCCTTATATGAAATTAATCTCTAGATTCAGCTAGTTTTACCTTCTAAATATATCTCCAATCCTTTCTCCCCTTTCCATTTCTTCTGACACTGTCTTAATTCAAGTCTTCAACATATTTCAGTTTTGGAAAGGGCTTCTATCTGTTTCTCCTGGTTCTTCCTCTTTAACTCATCCTTTGGATTGCTTCAAGAGTGACAGTTTGGAAGGAAAAAAATGACTCCTCTGTCTCCTGACTGAACCCCCTTAATTGCTCCATGTTTCCTTCCAGAGAAAGTCTAAATAACCTAGGGTGCTGTGAGGTGGTCCTGGCTACATCAGCAGGATTATCTCAGCTGTATCCTACATCCACATTTAATCATCAGATGGTTCCATTCTTCTCTAACTGCCAAATACTATTTCTTACCCCTTCCTGAATAGTTATAATCTCTTATGCACTTCAAAAACTCCCATCCGTCTTTCTAAATGCAGGTTAGAAATGACTACAAGAATATGTTATCTGACCCTTCTACTGTTACAGTCAAGGAATTTCACTTTTATTTGCTTGCGTATCTACGTTTCCAACTAGCCAATGAATACCTTGGAAAAATGTTTTTTCTCATTTATTTCTACATCTGCAGTACTGTGCACAGGGCTCAGATTTTAAGAGAAGCTCCATCTATATTTATTAAATAATGAGGGAGAAAAAAGTAAATAAATATATGAAAAAACTAAAAATGAATAGACAAAGAGCTTTTAAAATTTAAATAAGTATACTTGTTTTAAGCCTGACTTCATGAACTGGGTAAGATATATCTCATATATCATTGTTATTGATGTTTGAATTTGTGACTTGTATACTGAAGAGTAGCAGGATATGCCACTCGTATGCTCTTTTTGCATAAGGATCATTTTGGTCTAAAGACACTTAAAAAACAGCAGATTCATAAAATACCTTCTGACTTCCCCTTTTCCTCCTGAAAGTAGAAGATAAAACCCCCATGTGAGAGATGATGTCTCCCCATACCAGGAGGAAATAAACATTCTTATCACCAGACACAGGGAATCGAGAACAAGAGAATTCTCTAAAAATAGACCTTGTTAAAATAAGTCTTATCTTCATTTAGCCTCCTCTTACACTGTATTTAAGCTTTTTTTTCACTATTGCTTTCTTTGTTCAACCTAGCATTAAAACATTTAGGTTTTGCCACTTCTTTGAGTCTCCATTTCCTTATGAAGGCTACCATATTATGCAAAACTTATATTAAGTAAATCTGTATTTTTTTCTGTTAATCTATTTATGTCAGTTTAATTCTCAGGCCCAGATGAAGACCCCAAGAAAAGTTTTACCTCCTGTATAATACCTTAACCTGCCTTTGTCTTTCTCTGCACTAAATTTCAAAGTTATTAGAACTTAGTTGTGAATTCAAAGGATATAAGGACCTTACAAAGCAAATTAAATATTCTGAACAGGTTTATTTAAGATAGAAATAATTGTTGTTCAGAAAGATGGAATGAATGAGATTCAGGAGGTCTATGAACATCTTAGAATTGTATACATAATGTGAATCGCATAAGTGAGGGAAAAATTTAAGATTTGATACAACACAGAAAGAACTGTTCCCAAAGAAGCTTCTAATTTGGAAATTTAACTACTAAAATCAATAAACTAAGCCATAAAATTTCATCAAAATCTGCTCTATTTATTACTGTAGAGGAAAAACACCATAAAACATATTAATAGTTATTAATAATTGACACACTATATAGTTTGGTATGCACATTCCTTGTGAGTTAACTGGACTCAGATGGACAGTTCTTGTTTGGAGTACCTCATGCAGTTCCATCAGATAGCTGCAGGCTAGAACCATCTGAAGGCTTAACTGGGCTGGACATTGAAGATGACTCACTCACTTGGCTAGAAGACTGAGAGATCATTTGGAAATGTCAACCAAAGCACCGACATAAACCCTCTCCATTGAACTTAGGTTTTTCACAGTATGGTGGCTGTATTAAGAGTGACAGTATCCCATGCACAAATGTTCCAAATGTGCAAAATGTTCTAAATGTACAAAAGCTGCCAGTCTGGTTTGGAGTAAACCTGAACCACACACATTCTTCCCCTCTGTATTCTATTGGTCTAGACAATCATCAGACCCTCCAAGAGTCAAAAACAGAGAGAAATAAACTTGACTTTTTGGTGGAGAAGGGGCAAAATCAAACTGCCAAAGAGAGTGTGGAATGGGAAATACTGTTGTGGCTACTCCTGGGTGATACAATCTGCCAATATTTGCAATTAACTGAGAACTTCAGAAAAGCTAACTAATGCCTTAGGTAGGTTTCTTACACTGAGACAGAAGGCAAAGAAAGAGAAAGACAAAATGGCAGAGGAATTTGATGTGAAATACCACTAGAATTGAAACGCAAGACAAAATATTTAAAATCCTATAAGCAATATTAAGGATTTTGCATCTTATCAAAAATTAATGAGAATCTAAAAGTCTAAAGCAGATTGATAACATTATAAATGTGTATGTATATAATTTGAAAATATATGTTTTCATATAAAAATTTTATAGTTGTATATATTGGCTAAGCACTGTGCTATGAATTAATCAATTATCTAAATATTAGAACTATAACAATAATGTCAGTCAGAGAGGTACTAAAATTGAGACCATTATACAACTGAGAAAATTGAGGCTCAGTTACACTTAAAAAACTTACTCATATTTACACATTTAGTAAATATCAGGGCTGAAATATGAGTGAGTCCTGGACAGGTGACTCCAGCACAAGATCACTTAGCCACAAATTTACAAGTATTTTTCACAGCAGCTGAGCTTGCTTTCCCTAAACACACCCCCCGTTGAAAGGGAAGATAAAGCCTCACCAGTAAAAAAAAGAATCCAGCGGGGTGATGAGCCTTCTCCTCCCTCTGAGGTGGGAAAAATGCCTCAAGATAGAGCTAGTTTCCAATCCAAATGTTGTTTCCTAGAATAAACTTTTAAAACCACGAGGGCAAGAATTTGTTGAAAACCCTCATTGAAACACCTTAACATCTCCCCATGGAAGCCAAATAAAAGCAAAATGAGTTGAAGTAAAGTAAGTAATCTCATGGACAGACACAAGTACTGCAGCACAGCACGTAAGGTGGGCAAGAAGAGGAGGACAAGAGGCTCTTCATGGTAGCAGCCCAGTCTGGGGAAAATCAGAGCTGAGACAGCTCCTCTGTCTTTGTGGCAGTGCCAATAGTAATCTATCAGGGGTAGTTGCTGCTAAACTCAGAAATGAAGGAACAGAAAACCAATCTGAATTCACACTGGAATATGATCACCTCATTGAGATGGGGTTCTGACTTCAGAGCACAGAAACTGAGATCACACAATCATGGGGCAATGCCATAGATGGAAACAATAATGGCAGGAGAAGGGGAGGCAGTTGATTAGTCCAAAGAATGGACTGCCCTCATACTCTCTGGATTGTTTGTTCTGGTGTTTGAGGGAATTTTTGCTCCAGCCACTCAATTTGTCTACCATTCTCCTCTATAAAGTTGGTGCCATTATTAGGTCAGGAAAGAGTAAATATCACAGAAGATATCTCAATGCAAGCCCAACACACTTGAGTTAAATCTGTCACAATTAATGTTTGAGGAACCTTCCTATGTCTTGAAAATAGTACCTTCCATCATAGAGTTAGATGAACTTGGATTCCAAATTAGTGAGAGGAAGGCATTATTCTTTTGCTTTTCATTCTCATTATCATTTTATACTTAGTAATTCATGATCCACTTGCCATGAAAACCACCAATAATTAATAGGAAGGTGGCAGGGGGTATCTTTGTCTCTTTCTTGTTCACTCATTTCCTGTTCTCTGAACACAATTCCAACTTTATTATAGAGATTTCTAAGAAGTTTACTTCATATTACAGAAAACTTTAATTTCCTTTCAAAAATATATGGTGAACCATTTTATCACGTGATAAATCTGATCGTTTTATATAAGTAAGTATTTTATTTAAATATTGGTCACCAAAAAATGATGAGTGATTACGTCAGTATGCAAAAGTATGCTACTTTTGAAATCATAATAATGACTGGCATTTTGACCACTATTTGAATTAATTATGCCCTTATACACCCATTTATTAAAAACAATAAAATCATTTTATTATAATATATACTTTTTTATATAAGTATATTATTCAATTAATAAAATAAACCTTTAGGGATTCAACATTCTATTATTTTATATAAATACAGAATATGAAATAAAATTTAATGTCTATTCAGGGAGCTAAAATGACAGGAATTATTCTGACAAGCAAACTAAAAAAATGTTTTCTCTCTGGGAGAAGAATTCCTTTTAAAATTTGAAAAATTACCTTAAAAATACATAACTAATTTGCATATTACTTGTTATTTAACTTTGTATACTGACACATAAATTTCAGAAAGGTATTGGTAGCCATTTAGTCCCAAAATTTGTTCCTTTTTCATTTTCAGTTTCATTTCAGGAATCTGAAATAAGTACATTAACATAAAACAAATATAAAAAAAGAAAAAGGGATTATTTTATTTAGTATTACATTATCTCTGTTCAAATACTTGAAAGTAATAGTAACGCCATGCTTCCTAAACCGGAATACATATTACGGTAGGCAGAATTCTAAGCTGTACTTTTGATTTCCACCCCTTCACTTCCATGTTGCTGTGTAATCCTAACCCTTTAGTGTGGGTGACACTTATAACTTGCTTCTAACCAAATTAATATGGCAAACGGCAAAGGAATTTTTCAGATGTAATATCCTTCCCTTGTTTATCAAAAGGGAGATTATTCTGGGCAGGCCTTACCTAATCAGATGAGCCCTCTAAAAAAAATTCAGCTCTGCTTTTCCTCAGACTGGGCTGCCGCCATGAATTGGCTGTTGTCCCCTACATCTTCCTCACCTTGCGTGCTGCAGTACTTGTGTCTGTTCATGAGATTACTCACTTCATTCTACTTCAAGTCATTTGCTTTTATTTATCTTCCATGGGAAGGTGCTAAGGTATTTTAGTGAGGGTTTTAAAAAAGTTCTTGCTCTCACGGTTGTAAAAGTTTATTCCAGGAAACAACATTTGGATGGGGAACTAGCTCTAGCTCAACACATTTCCCCACTCAAAGGGAGAAGACTCACTGCCCCCCTTATATTACAAGGATATAATCATGCATGCAATAACAAACTGTTTTTTTTAAACAAATAACACAATGGTATTTAAAGTCTCTATACTTCCGTTGAGGTAAGCATCATTCCTAGAAATGCTCCTAACTCGTTTCCCAAGACTAGTCATGTAATCTCACTCTTTCGAGGTACAGTTGCACAGCTCACAGTTTATCTCCTTCAAAGAAATTGTTCAGGCTGTTCATATCTTAGCCTTTCTTGGGTCCTCCTCTTATGACTTCCATTAGTGTCCTATTATAGAAATGAAAACAGATATTGTGATGTTATTTATCTTTGTAAACCTAATTAAATAGACATGCCATGGAACATGATATTTCCTGAATAAATGAAAGCAAAAACTACATCTGACTCCTCATATTAGGGAAGTTATATTTATATTTATGTCATATTGGTTTACATATTTTCTTCCACAGAGGTTTATTATGTATATTTCATTTTTGAATTTAAAAAGACCCTTTTTTTTTAAAAAAAAAAATGAATATCTGAAGTGATGTTTGAAATTGCCCCTGAAGCTTTTATTTTTCTCTCTTGCATATATTATTTGTACAAAAGTATGGCTGGGAACAAATTCTCATGGTGAATAGAATCTCTAATATGTCATATGCTAAGGATATGTTGCACTCCAAGCAATCACTGAATTGAGCCAACTTTTCAGTTCGATTATCTGTTTGTTAATTAGCCTGGTTGGTATACTGTCAACAACCTACTGCCTCTGAAATGACTTAGTGAGTTCATTTGGGTTTTGTCTTAGGAAGTTGGAATTTTCCAAAAATACTTAGGGATTAATTCGTTTATTTTAATTAGAAAATTGCTGTTGATTTTAAGGATCGTGTAGGAAGGTCCTTCGCTGCCTGAGGCCATATTTAGAATGGTTATGGAATTGGATTTGTCCAAAGGAGTGCAATCCGAGTATGAATATGCCATCCTTATAGTTTGTGAGTTTATGAGCAATGAGACAAAAAGGATAATGGGGATAAAATAGCACTGCCAAATCTCCTGTTTTAGTTATATTTATATTTAATCAAAATGTTTATTTGAAAAATGTTTCCTCACATTTTCAAATGAATGTAAAAACATTCTGAGGGCTGCCTGAAATGTTACCTAAGTTTGAATGTCATGTTGTGGCTCCTATAAGTAGAAATGATAAATGGGCAAAATTACAGAGAGGTAGTTTTCATGTCTGTGGAAGAGATATCATCAAACCTGCAAAACTGTAGAGAAAGAAAATGTGCCTTACTGTGAAGTGACCACTTCTGATTGAAAATTTGCTTAATTAATTTGTTTTCTAATTTATGTATGGCAAAATTCACTCTTTCTGGTATACAGTTCTGTGTTTTGACAAGTATGGTATTGTCATTTTTGTTATTTTTTAGCTTCTGTAATACATTTGAAGTGTTGTCTCATGGTTGTTTAATTTACCTAAATAATGAGGTTGAGTATATTTTGATGTTCTTGCTTGCCATTGATATAGGTGTGTATGCTTTAGCAATTTTCATTGCTTTGACTTTCTTTATTACTATACCTTCACAGTAGGTCTTACATCAGATAGTATGAGTGCTCCAACTTAAAAAAAAATTTCTTGATTACTCTAGCTCCTTTGCCTTTCCATACAAATTTTAGAATTAGTTTGTTGTGGTATACAACAAATTATACTATTTTAAAATTGGGATTGCACTGAAACTATTCATGTATTAGAGGACAATTGACATCTTATTAATTCTTACATTTAATACCTGACTATAGCTTATATTTCCATTAAATAAATGGAATATTTTGATTTCTTACATTGATGTTTTGAAGTTTTCAATGTACAAATCCTGCATAGATTTGGCTTGACTTATATCTATTTATTTTATTTTTGGTGCTATAATAAATAATATTGTCTTTTACTGTCAAATTACAAATACTTATTATTAGTATACAGAAATATCACCAAACCTTGTATTTTGCAAGTGTACAAACTCATGCATTAGTACTTGGAGATTTTCTGTAGATTATTTTGTATTTTGTATCTAAGTAATTATGTCATATAAGAATATTCACAATTTTGATTTTTTATTTTTATCCTGCATGCCTTTTATTTATTTTCTTACCTTATTTCACTGGCTAGAAATTCCAGTATGATATTTTAAAGGAATGCTGAGAGAGAAAACCTTTACTTTGTTCCTGATCTTATGGAGAAAACATTTAGTCTTTTACCATTGATTAAACTATAGGTAAGATTTTTTCTTTTTTCTTTTTGTAGATGTTCTATCAGGTTAAAGAAGTTCCATTTTATTAATATATTTTGCCACTATTTATCATGAATGGAAAATGAATTTTGTAAAATACATTTTCTGCATCTGTTGAGATGTTAATATAGTTTTTCTTTTTCAGTTTGTTAGTTGGGTGACTTATGTTAATTAATTTTCCAATGTTGAAGCAGCTTTGCATTCCTGTATCAAATGCTCCGTCTTAGCCAGTACAGCTGAAGATTTTATGGCATAAATTATTCCAAAATAAAGTCATCAACCAAGGACCTGCCCCATTTGAACACCTGTGCTAATGGAGTATAACCAAAGAAGGAAAAAGAATATTTTGAATAAGAAGTTAATAAAAGTGAAACCAGAAAAAAGTCTCATTTCAAATCACTTTAATATTTTATTTTATTTTTTTTTTAAGTTCATATGTCTTTTAAGTTTGTGTGTATAAGTTAACATCATGCTAGCTACTCTCATACACACATGCAGGTATATACACACACACACACGCACAAATGTATAATGTTTCAAATATGATAAGCATTCATTTCATTTCCTTAAAAACTAAAACTATTTTTCATATTAGCAGCCACATCTCCCCTGACTGGTGTTGGAACAACTGAGTCTTCAACACTGGGCTCTGCCATACTCAACTCTTCATTTCCAGCATCTTCATGTCTTTAAGCAGCACAGTGGCCAAAAGCACAGAAGATCATGTATGGAAGGCCTTTATGGGACAGGCCTGGGAGTGACAATCATTTTGCCCTTTATATCCCAATTTAAAGCACTTAGCTACTGGACCATACCTTACTGCAAGTTAAGCTGGGATATGTGGCTTAACTGAATGCCTAGGAAAAAGAGAAATCAGTTGAATACATTGCTGGCCTCTCTCATAGCCAACTATGATTTCATGGTTGATCTTGAAAATTGGTTTTCTAAAACTTAAATTTACAAATATACCACTTACATTTTTTGAGTTTTCTTTGATTTTAAAAACAGCATCCTGTAAACATGAACATTAATAGAGTTGAAATTAATGTAATGTTTCCATTCTTCACATATAATTCTGTATAATATTTGAAGCAATGCTAACTTATACTAATGAAGTATATATCTATGTATACCTATGAATTGTTTTTCTATTTATGAATGCTTAAATTTTTCTTCATTATAGCATAGTTTTAAAAATTAACATAGAGTGGTTTCCTATTTCTTGAATACACAGGCATACACTACATGCACATTTGTTATATACTTGTATATGTGATATATGTAAATATAGCAGTCCATATAAAATATTCACATGCATGCATGATCAGTTTTATTCAGTGTTATAATTTTTGGAAATAAATTTTATAAGGTAGTATAATTTATCATAAATTATAATTTAGAGATTTTAATATAGTTTTATTAATATCAACCAACAAGCTGATGATAATTTATTCACATTTGCCCGAGTACAGTTTTGCAAAGTTACCCACTAGTAAGAATTTAGATCTTTAAAATTAGGAACACAAAATGCTTTCCAATTTTTCTTCAAAGTACTTTGGTTCCCTCATTCTTATTATCATACCAAGAAAGAAGTAGAGAAAGTATCAAAAGTAAGCATGAATGAAAATATGGGTTAGTGATGATAATTCAGTAAACTTAGCTTGAGAAAAATTTTCCTCAAAACAAATATTTAAATTTTAGTGTACTGTAAATAATTGAGGCATTATTGATGTTAGTATAATATAAATTAAATTACAGAAACATGCTTTGTAGAATCATGATATTACTTTTTAAAATTATAATGGGAAACAAAATATTTGGCATCTAAGTCTAACTTATTTGTATGAGATGATCCTAGGAAAAAAAATAGTAGAACATCATTTTAAAATTATACACCATCAAAGACTGGATTTTAATGTGTTTCAGAATACCTCAACAATGATATCAAATACAAAGTTTTTACAGTAAAAATTTTTCATTAACAAGCATTCTATTAGTGCTATGTAATAATATTTACATTCATATTTGGGATTTATTATGTTGGTGTTTTATTTACACTTTGAGTTATAACATTAATAATACGAGGCTATGGCACATGTATACATATGTAACTAACCTGCACAATGTGCACATGTACCCTAAAACTTAAAGTATAATAAAAAAAGAAAAGAAAAAAAAATAATACGAGGCTAAATCAAGTTTATCCTAATTTCATGTTTCACAAACTTTGCTTTTATACATATTTGCATAATTTCTTGCAAACAGTAATCATAGTAATTCAGCTATGTTTAACCTCCTCTAACCATGTCATTCATGATTGCAGAAAACAGAAATTAACATTTCTAGGAGCTCAGTAACATAATATTGGCTACTCTCAAGGAAAAGGTAGCAGGTGTGGCAGTGGGCAACAGCCATTTGTCAACTGAAGAAAACCATAATGGTGGCATCAAGAAGAAAATTATGCTAATGTAAAAGTAATGCTTCTCGGTGCTATTATTAGTACTGTGCACCATCAGAATGATAATGAAGACTAAAGCCCTTCTGAATTTCCAAATAAATTTTTTCCTGTAGTAGTGTTTTTCAGATTCTTTTTCAGATTCTATGAGTCCAGAGTTAGACACATAGAAGGCACTTAATTGTAAATAAGTTGAATGTAAACTAGAGTAGTCATAATTAGCTAATATTGTATTCTCTCATACAATGAATGTATTCTTTTTTATGAATCTAAGTTTTCAGTGTTTATGTAACTTGAATGTTTCATAACACATTACAGTTCCTTCTTTCCTTCACACATGTTTAAGTTTCTTAGGAAATGACACATCAAAAATATTCTGTTCTTCCTAGTGACTCAAACTTACAACTTGACTGTGAGGCCTGAACTTGCCTTGGCAATGTGAACTTCAAAAAGCAAATTAATCTCTCTTGACTTTTAATTTCTGTATCTATTGAAAAAAGGAATAGTAACCAGTCTTTTGATTTTAAATTGTCATTGTAAGGGTCGATAATACTATATGTATCAGATCACTTACTGAATTTCAAAGCATAATATGTCATTAAAATATAATTGTTACTTAATATTGCATAGCAAAAATTAAACTCCACTAAATTAAGTCACTATTGAGAGAAAATATGTAATCCATCATTTGACAAAACTAAATATTGATATCTAACTGAATATGCTTAAAATTTGCTAAATCAAAAGGTATTTGTTTGAGATGGAGTTTCGCTCTTGTTGCCCAGGCTGAAGTGCAATGGCATGATCTTGGCTCACTGCAACATCTGCCTCCTGGGTTCAAGTGATTCTCCTGCCTCAGCCTCTGGAGCAGCTGGGATTACAGGCGTGTGCCACCACCCCTGGCTAATTTTTTTTTTTTTTTTTTTTTTTTTTTTTTTTTTTTTTTTTTAAGTAGAGACGAGGTTTCACCATGTTAACCAGGCTATTCTCAAACTCCTGACCTCAGGTGATCCGCCTGCCTCGGCCTCCCAAAGGGCTGGGATTACAGGCGTGAGCCACATTGCCTGGCCTCAAAATGCTTTTAAATAGCAGAAAAATCTGGTTAAATGCAGAAGCTTTCTCTCACCTACTTCTACTTGGCAAAGGATTAGACTAAGGGTAAGCATGATCACGTTTGATAAAATTCCGATGTCTGAAATAGGCATATGAGTCCCCATGATGAGAAAGCTGAAGAGCAGAAATATACCCTCCAGTTGTAGAGCTAGATGAGAGAGCTGGGATTTTCTCACAGACTACTGTGTTGCCCAAGACAAAGTCTAACATTCCTAAACCAATGATGCACAATTTCTCAATCTCTATGAATCAATTAAACTATATTCAGCAGAATTGTAGTCAAATAAACGTGGCCGCGAAGTCTTTGCTATTCCTCCCATTGAACGGCAGATTTTATTTCCCCTCCCATAAATCTTAACTAGTTTTAAAGACTTGTTTGGCCAATTGAATTTATTGGAAGTGACATTCTAGAACTGGCAAGGCCTAGTCATATGACACCTGATAGGCTTCACTGGGACCCCTTGAAACACTCATTCTTAGAGCCCTGTTTTGCCATGTAAAAGTTGGACTACACTGCTGAACAGATCACGTGAAGAGGCCCTGGGACTACCTAGAGCATATGAGGAGTCCACCTGAGCCCAGCCTTCCAGACATCCCTCTCAATATGCCAAGAACGAATATCTTGGAAGCTGCAGATTAGTGAGCTGCCTGCTGAATAATATTTATTGATCCGTGTCGATACCAGGTAAAACAAGAATAATCCAGATTATCCTTGCCTGAATTTCTGACCCACAAAATTATGGGATATGATAAAATATTTGTTGCATTATGCCATAAATATTTAGGGTAGACTTTTTACAGCAGAATATGTAGATGACAAATTTTAGGAAACCAAGTGACTTCTCTACCATTTTTATAATAAAATAATACATACGCTAAGGGTAATATTCTTTGCAGGCTTTCAGAAAACTATCACTATCCAGCTTAGCGATACAAAGCCTATAACTAAAGTATGCTTTCACAAGTTCATCCTTTTTAAAAATTCTAACTTAAAATGATTATAGAACAGGAAGATTTTGTAAATATTACATGAAATATTGAATACGTGAATCAATCCTAGACTAAGAAATTTGGAGAAACTTCTCACTGAAAGTTACTTTCTTTTGAATGGCAGATGCTATCCAGATCTCAAAATAAGAAATGCAGCAAGTGGTTTTAATCTACTCTGATAAAGAAAGTTTTCTGTTCTTTTGGATCATTTTCCATGGGTTTTATGTTAAATAATTCTATATTCCTTTCTTGACATGATGAGGGAAAAAAGAAATTAACAGCTACAAAAACAGCCATTTATAAACAAACCACTGGAACCAATAATTGGAAACACTCAGTATCTTTTTCTCAACTTCAAAACTAGTGATATCACCTTTTTATGATTGGTTTAGGTTGTGTTCCTATGAGTGGTATATTCAGTGCTTCTTTTATAAAACTCATGCACATAATATTTTGAAAATCACTGTCTCAAAAAATTCATAAACAAAAATATCTCTAGCAAGTACAAGTGAAAGAGCTCCAAAATGAAAACTGTAGAAAAAAGTCCATAAACACATGATTTTTGTAATCAGGACACTATACTGTAGTAAGTATAGTGACACTATACTATAGTAAGCGGAATTTGAAAGTTGGCTAAGAGTATCATTCCTTTCAACTCAAGTGCTTCCAAAAGATATTGAATCTCTTTTTGATATGAGAAGACATGAATATGAATCTCATAAAGATACATCAATTTTTAATAATTAAAGAGATTTTTTAAAATTAAATCATAGAATTCTCATTTTAAAAGCAGTCAGAGTTACCTAAATTACATATACAAAATCCTTTTGGGAAGAAAGTAATAGTGGTAATTACAAATTTCTACACTTACAGTGTGCAGGAAATCATTTTCCACATTACCTTTTGACAAAGAGAGAACAAAATCAAATACACCCTTTATGTTTTCCCATCACATGCCATATAAAATGGAAAGAATTCCTGCATTTTCAAGTAATAATAACTTTCCCATATCACTTTGAGAAAAAATAATCATATATGTATATGAGAAAATATATGTATACATATATACATATATGTATACATATATACATATATGTATACATATATACATATATGTATACATATATACATATATACATATATACACACACACATATGTATACGTATACATATATATACACACACACACACACACTCAGTCTTCAAACCACAGCTTGTCTAAACATGGCTCGTGATGCCCTTTCTAAAATCAATGCTCTTCCTTTTCTACAAGATAGTTTTCAAAAGTAAGGGTCGACTCTTGCAGCAAAATGCATAAATGGCTTTTTCTATTAATATCACATTGTCAAGGTCATACTTAGGTATCCAAAAAATTTTGGAAAAGAAGAAATGCAGAAAAGGAGAATTTATTTTACCTTTGTTTTTGTGTTTACCCAGTGATGTCTATGATAAATTAATTTCTCTAAGCTGGAGGATATTCTATTTCTAAACAAGGATTAGGCCTCTGGGGCTACCTAAATGTAGAAACACATGAATATTTATGCAACACATGAATATTTCCATCGAAATTAGAAAATAGATTGCTGTAAATATTATGACATAGAAGATTTACATAGTAGTGTGGTGGTGTCTAGGCAGATATTAGCACAAGATATTTGAGTTTATAGTTTATAATTTGGCCAGCACAGTCTCTCAGTACTCAGTGCCTAAGAGTGCATAAGGTCTGAAAGTTGTCTAAAAATGCATTTCTGCTAACAAAGTAGTGTCAAAAGAAATCTCATCTCTGTTTGACAGAAATGGAAAGTGAGCTTGAAAAGTGTAGCAGTCTGCCTTTATCAGTATTCAAAATCATAGACTGCAAGAGAAACAAAATCTTTCTTAACTGGAGCTTATACATTTGTAGGTAATCTTCAACTGTTTTAGTTAGGATTTGGCTTAGCTAAAAATAATGAAAACAAAATAATAGGGCTTTCCTTCTAAAAAGACAGACATTTGTTCCTCTTCCACATGAAAGAAGTTTGACTATGGTCAGTCCAATGTTGATATGCAGAGTCCGCAATCATCAGGAAACTAGGACTCTCCGGATTTCTTCTCCAGCAATACTAGTGTGCAACTACTGTCCTTAATTCCTTCATAGCTGCTATCATTCCAGACATAGTCACTTTCCAAATAGAGAAGGGAGAAAGGAACAAATATTTGCCTTGTCTCTGCTAAAGGCACATTGCAGAAGTTACAAACAACTCTTCCACTTACATCTCTATTACGAGAAAAATTCGGGACTCTAACATCTTTCCAAACTAGGAAGTAGCTGAGAGACCAAAGAATGACTTGGAGAAGTCCAACTTGGCAAGTAGATAAGTTTATTAGGACCTTCATACAGGGTACTTCTGGGCGGCAGCAGGACAGCTTCAGAGATCCACCTTGCCACTCATCACTAACCTGCTTTTAAGCTAATTTTCTGGCTTTTTGTCTACTGTGTATATACGCTAAGACTATTTTCCATGGGATGTTCCCAGCTATGCTGTGGGATGTTTGGTTTCTCAAGGACACCTGCTGTTTGGTTTGGCCTGTTGGCCTTGGCTCACTACCCAGCCTTGAGGGCTGAAACGGTGGGTATACACCCTTAAATAACCTTGTGGGGTACCTGTCCCACAGCAATCTCATTAGCCAGTGCTAAGTCACATCACATCACTATAACTAGCTGCAAAGAAAGCTGGAAAATGTAGTATTTAGCTAGGTAAATATACACAGTAAAATACTGGGATTCCATAAATTTGAGGAAAAAAAGAATGAATATTTGATAAGGAAACCATAGTCTCTACCACAACCAGTATAATTTCAATTAGTTTCAAAATCATATACAGCTGACACTTACAGGGGATGAAATTGACTTCCATGTGTTAGTAAAATTAATTGGGTCAGATAAACAGACCACTATAAACCATAGAAACTTTTGTTACCAATTTATAAGTGTTATGATGGTAAGTTTTTCCCTTTATCATTCTAAATCTTGATTTATAGCTTATCCTTCAATACTAAACATATAATTGAATATAGTAGGAAAAATAAAGATTGCTTATCTCTTGCCAGACTAGTATGTGTGTGTGCTTCTACAAGACACCAAAAGGATATTCAGTGGCAGCAATTTGATAATATTCATAATTTCCTCAATTTTCTTCCACCCTGAAATAGAAGGCAAAACATTAACAGTTGTTCTCTGAAGTATAGAATGAAATAACATTCAGGTAGAAACTGTCATTCACATTTTGGAACATTCATTTTTTTACTGTGGTAAATAAACCTAATATAAAATTTTTCATTTAATCCTTTTTAAAATTTACCATTAATCCTATGGCATTAAGTACATTCACATTGTTGTTCAATCATCACCAACATTCATCTTCAGAACTTTTTCATTTTCTCCAACTGAAACTTTGTACTCATTAAACAAGGCTCCATTCGTCCCTGTATGCCACCATTCTACTTTTTGTCTCTTAGAATCTATTTTAGGTACTCCATATAAGTAGAAACATACAATATTTGTCTATTTGTGATTGAATTATTTCACTTAGCATAATGTATTCAAGGTTTATTCATGTTGTAGCATATATCAGAATTTCCCTTATGTTTAAGGCTGAACAATTTTCTGTTTTATATATATATCATATTCTGTTTATCCATTCATCTATCAGGGGGCACTTGGATTGCTTCCACCTTTTGGCTATTATGAATAATGCTGCTATGAACATGGTTGTAAAAATGTCTCTTTGAGTCCCTGCCTCCACTTCTTTTGGGTATTCCATTTTCAATTTTTTGAGAAATTGCCATACCATTTTTCACAGTGGCCGCACAATTTTTCATTCCCACGAGCAATGAGCAAGGGTTCCAATTTCTCCATCGTCATCAATGCTCGTTATTTTCTGTTTGTTTATTTACTTTTAAAAATAGGCATTCTAATAAGTGTGAAGTGGTATCTCTTTGTGGTTTTGATTTGCAACTCTTGATGTACTCATTGATTTTTTAAATACATTCTTTAGACAAATATCAGTTCAAGTCCTTTGCTCAGTTTTTTAATCATAGTGTGTTTTTTTGTTGTTGAGTCATAAGAGTTTCTTTTTATTTTGTTTATCAATCCTTTCATAAATATGTAATTTACAAATATTCTTCCCATTCCATAGGTTGTCTTTTCACCCTATCGATGGTGTCCTTTGATGCACAAAACTTTTTAACATATGTATTTTTTGTGACCTGACACATTCATTTTTATAGTTATGGCTAGTGTCCTATCAGATTAGTCTTAATACACTTTTTACACCAGACAATAGTTTTCAAGCAATTATTACTTAATTTTTGAAAACATCTCTTCTACTATAACATGGGTTTTGAGTAATAATTTTTAAAGTATCACTTTTCCTTTATTGCATCTCAATAATTTTGTTCAAAAATTAAATGATTGAAATTCCTCTCAAATATTGTATGACACTGATATTGTGTTTCTTTACTACCACATTTTTCAGCAGTTTACAAATAGTTTTACAAGCTTTATGTTAATAATAGGATGGGAGTCCTTATTTGTATCTATATTTATAATATAAATCCAAAGTTTGCATAAATTATACTTGCATAATGATTTAAATTTCAATTAACTACTTTTCATCCATTTATCAATTTTTGCATATTGGTTTTATAATACAATACAATAGCCTGAGAGCAGTGGCTTATAACTGTAATTTCAACATTTTTGGAGGCTGAGGTGGGAGGATTACTTGAGCCTAAGAGTTTAAGACCAGCCTGGGCAACACAGAAAAACCTTGCCTCTACAAAAACACAAAAATCAGCCAGGTGTTGCAAGGCTCACCTATAGTCCCAGCTACTTGGGAGGCTGAGGCAGAAGTATCCCTTGAGCCCAGGAATTTGAGGCTGCAGTGAGCTATGATTATGCCATTGCACTTCAACCTGGGTAACAAAACAAGACCGTGACTCAAAAAACAAAAGAAAATAAAACAAAAAACAATACAATGAAAGCAGCAGAATGCAAGCACATACTAGCATATAAAATTGAATGTTCTCTCAGACAACTGAACTAAGCAGTCTAAGCACATGGACAACAAAGGTAGCCTTCCTCAGCATAAACCTAAGCATGTCCAGCTTGCATTCCCATCATAAGGTTTTCTACTGGCTATTGAATAAAATACAATACTTTTGTTGTAATATACGAAGCCTTTTCACATATTATTCCAGTTTTATGCCACTTCTACTATGTCATACACTTCTTTTCCTCCAAGTTTAGGGGAGTATTGTACCTAAATAATACCTACATTCAGTCAGCCTACAAAATCCTATGTATCATGTAAGCCCCAATTTAAGTGTCATTCTTATGTAAGTGTATATAATTATTTTTTCATGTATTTACCAGAAAACAAATGGTTCACTTACTGTATTAATTGATAGCGTGACAGGAAAAATAGTAGGCTTATAATACTATGCAATAATGTATCAGTAGTATATTATATATTATGTAATTTTTACTAATAGGCAAAGAGTAGTAACTTTTTCTGATATATTATTTTGAAGGCTTTAGCTTTGGCAGTCTCAATAATATTTGAAATAAGTGCTTTCAGTCTTTTAGTTGGTTAATTTATGAAATTTTAATATTTTTCTATTGTGTATAAGACTGAGAATGTAATGATTTTTAGTAGAAATATTATTACATCAGAAGTCTTTATTATATAAATAATTCATGTAATTATGTAAATGGTCTATTTGGACCTTGATATGTTTTGGATCTGAGTCCCCACCCAAATCTTATGTTCAATTGTAATCCCCAATGTTTGAGGTGGGGACTGGTGAGACATAATTGGAACATGGGAGTGGTTTCTCATGGCTTAACATTGCCTCCCCTTGTTAGTGAGTTTCTCATGAGATCTGGCTGTTTAAAAGCATATAGCAATTCTCCCTTCTCTCTCTTCCTCTTTCTCCAGCTATATAAGACATACCTTCTTCCCCTTTGCCTCTGCCATGTTTGTAAGTTTCCTGAGGCCTCCCCAGCCATGCTTCCTGTACAGTCTGTGGAACCATGAGCCAATTAGACCTCTTTTCTTTATAAATTACCCAGTCTCAAGTATTTCTTTATCGAAGTGTGAGAACAGACTAACACAGAAAATTGGGGCCGGGCGCGGTGGCTCACGCCTGTAATCCCAGCACTTTGGGAGGCCGAGGCGGGTGGATCACGAGGTCAGGAGATCGAGACCATCCTGGCTAAAACGGTGAAACCCCGTCTCTACTAAAAATACAAAAAATTAGCCGGGCGTAGTGGCGGGCGCCTGTAGTCCCAGCTACTTGGGAGGCTGAGGCAGGAGAATGGCGTGAACCCGGGAGGCGGAGCTTGCAGTGAGCCGAGATCCCGCCACTGCACTCCAGCCTGGGCGACAGAGCAAGACTCCGTCTCAAAAAAAAAAAAAAAAAAAAAAAAAAAAGAAAATTGGTACCAAGGAATGGGGCATTGCTATAAAGATACCTGATAATGTGGAAGCAGCTTTGAAACTGAGTAAGGGACAAAGGTTGGAACAGTTTGGAGGGCTCGGAAGAAGACAGGAAGATGAGGGAATATTTGGAATTTTCTATAGACTTGCTAAATGGTTATGACCAAAATGCTGGTAGGGATATGGACAGTAAGGCCAGGCTGAGGAGGTCTTAGATGGAAATGAGGAACTTATTGGGAACTGGAGCAAAGGTCACTTTTGTTCCCTAGCAAAGCAATCGGCTGCACTGTGCCCCTGCCGTAGGAATCTGTGTAACCTTCAACTTGAGAAAGATGATTTAGGGTATCTGGTGGAAGAAATTTCCAGGCATCAAATTGTTCAAGATGTGACCTGGCTGCTTTGAATAGCCAATGTTCATGCATATGATCAAATAAATGACCTGAAACCGAAACTTATATTTAAAAGGAAAGCAGAGTGAAAGCTTTAGAAAATTTGCAGCCAGCCATGTGGTAGGAAAACAAAACAACTCACACAAAAACAAAACAACAACAACAACAACAAAAACATGTTCAGGGGAGAAATTCAAGCAGCCTGCAGAAATGTGTATAATTAAAAGAAAGGTTATTGCTAATAGCCAAGACAATGGGAAAAATATCTTGAAGACATTTCAGAGATATTTGAGGCAGCCCCTCCCATGACAGATCCAGAGGCCTAGGATGTAAGAATGGTTTCCTGGGCCAGGCCCAGGGCCTTGCCAACCTGTGCAACCTCAGGACATTGCACCCTGTCTCCCAGCCCTGAATCCCAGCAGCTCCAGCTCTAGACATAATTTAAAAGACCCAGATACAGCTCAGGCTGCTGCTTCAGAGGTTGCAAGCCGTAAGCCCATGCAGCTTCCACGTGGTGTTAAGCTTGCAGGTATAGAGAGTGAAGAGTTGAGGCTTGGGAACCTTTACCTAAATTTAGGAGGCTATATGGAAAAGCCTGCATGCCCAGGCAGAAGTCTGTTGCAGGTGTAGAGCCCTCATGAAGAACTTCTACTAGGGCAGCATGGAGGGGGAATTATGGGGTTTGAGCCCCCACACAGAGTCTCCACTGGGGCACTGCCTAGTGTAGCTGTGAGAAGAGAGGCACTATCCTCCAGACCCCAGAATGGTAGATTCATCAACAGCTTTCAGAATGCACCTGGAAAAGCCGCAGACACTAAATATCAGCTCATGAAAGAAGCTGCAGGGGCTGTACCCTGCAAAGCCTCAGGGATGGAGCTGCCTATGGTATTGGGAACCCACTCCTTGCACCAGTATGCCATGGATATGAGACCTCAAATCAAAGAATATTATTTTGGAGCCTTAAGATTTAATGACTGCCCTGCTGGGTTTCAGACTTGTATGGGGCCTGAAGCCCCTTTCTTTTGGCTAATTTCTCCCTTTTGGAGTGGGAGTATTTATCAATGCATGTACTCCCATTTTATATTGGGAGCAACTAACTTGCTTTTGATTTTACAGGCTCATAAGTGGAAGGGAGTAGCCTTGACTCAGTTGAGACTTTGGACTATGGACTTTTCAGTTAATGCTGGAATGAGTTAAGACTTTGGGGGACTGTTGGGAAGGTATGATTTTATTTTTCAATGTTAGAAGGACGTGAGATTTGGGAGGATCCAGGGGTACAATGATATGGTTTAGATTTGTGTTTCTACCCATATCACATGTTCAATTCTTATCCTGAATGTCAGAAATGAGGCCTAGTGATTCTGCCACCATGGTCCAATCATCTTGGTGGTGTCTCACGGTTTACCATCATGACCCCTTGGTACTATAGAGTTTCTCATGAGATCTGTCTGTTTTATAGTGTGCAGAACCTTCCCCAGACCCTTCCTCTTTTTCTGACTGTGTGAGACATGGCTGCTTCCCCTTCGCCTTCTATAATGACTGCAAGTTTCCTGAGGCCTCCCTAGTCATGCTTCTTGTACAGCCTGTGAAACTGTGAGTCAATTAAACTTCCTTGCTTCATAAATTACACAGTCTAATGTATTTATTTATAGCAGTGTGAGAACAGACTAATACAGGGCTATTGAGACAAATGCTGTGTGATTGTAAGCCAAATTTACTTTTACTTAAAGATTATTGTTTTAATGTTTGAAAATTATATCAAGGAAGTTTAAAAAATATCTCCATTACCTATCATCACCTATATTTATCTAAGATGATTTTAAGGAATACAAATAAATTAGTTATTAAATTTTAATAATTTAAGTATTATAACATTTCACAAAATACCAATTAGATATTAGTCTGAAAAAATGACAAAATGAATATGGGACAAAAGTTGTCTTTCTGTAATTGATTTTTAGAAAAGGAAACACTGAGTCAAAAACATCGTGAAATTTTAAGAACTTTATCATCTACTATGAAGCAAACGTAGGAGAAGGGATAACAGAATAAAACAAAGAATATTTTGTATTGTACCAGCATAGATATAATAGTTACATAATTTGTTGATTGAAAATTAGATCACTTCGGCCGGGTGCAGTGATGCATGCCTGTAATCCCAGCACTTTGGGAGGCCGAGGTGGGTAGATCATGAGGTCAGTAGATTGAGACCACTGGGTAACACAGTGAAACCCTGTCTCTGCTAAAAAAAAAACAAAAACAAAAACAAAAAAACAAAAAAATTAGCCGGGTGTGGTGGTGGGTGCCTGTAGTCCCAGCTACTTGGGAGGCTGAGGCAGGAGAATGGCGTGAACCCGGCAGGCGGAGGTTGCAGTGAGTGGAGATCGTGCCACTGCACTCCAGCCTGGGCGACAGAGTGAGACTCTGTCTCAAAAAAAAAAAAAAAGAAAGAAAGAAAAGAAAATTAGATCACTTTTTGTAGTTGATATGTAATTAGAAACACTTTCACAATATGTACATTTTTTCAGTAGAGTGAGGCTAAAGTCTGCTAGCCAGTACTCAAAAATGTTATCTATCGAAAAAATATACAGCATCACAAATTTCCAAACTTATAAATAAAATTGCATAATGAACAGGTAGTTGAGTTTGTTGACTTGAATTGAAATAGGATGTTCTGTAAATTTTGTTCATATAGATAATAATGCATATTTAACAAAAAGTAGCAATATTTTATTGTAGTTTTTAATGCTTTAACAAAGTAACTTTTTGAAATAATTTATACAATTTATATTAATATAAATAAAATGATGTGAAACAATAGCAATATTTGTTGCTTTCTCTCAATATATTAATTGATATTAAAACTGTTAAAAGTACTTATACATGTTAAGACATATGCTGAGGTAGAATACATGCTTATGAGAAATATACATGTTCAATTATTGTTTAATATCACTGATAACAGCATATTTTCTTGTTATATATTCTAGAATTTAACCATCCAAAGGATCACACAAGTAGAATAAAACATGGATTGCTTTAAACAAATCAATAATATTATTCTTTATAATCAATTCAGTGAGAGGAAACCATCACCAAAGTGATAACTATGTTGTAATAACATTGTATAATCTGACATACTTACTTATATTTACATCTGTGAGTTTAAAAAATGAAAGTAAAATGTCCCAAGGCTGAAATTAAAGAAATAATTCATTGTATTAGATTTTGGTCATGATTAAATAAAATACATTTTTGGTAAATTCACACTGTGGAAAATTTTCTATATTTGTTTTAATGTTGCACATACATGCTAACACTAAAGAGAATATTGCTAGGTTCATTGGTAAAATTTTCTGTATAAATCATTTTAGAAGAAAACAAATTGTTTTATCTTCTCTATGATATTATTAGTCACTTATTTTATTTTATGTAATTAGAGTTTGAGTTGATTGACCTGTATAAGACACAAATCCACTTTAAGAATCTGACAAAGAATAAGTTAATAAATAAACATATAGACAAACAAATTTATCATTGTAGAGTCCACAGATATTCAATGTATTTCTTATTTTTGACATAATATTTTCTGCTTCTAGAAATTTGAACATTTTGAGTACATGCACTATTTCATATGTGAGATTCTATCATTAAAACATAATCAACCCTAATGGGGAAAGTGCTGCATGTTTCAATGTATGTGTCAGTTTGAATATACTTCACAATAATTTTAAAAACTAAAAATAAATGTTTTGATATAATGAGAGAATAGTTAAATAAAATATGCATTATATACCAGTATATTTGATGGAAAATCATGTATAAACACTAATTACACAGTGATTTCAGTAAAAAGATGAGGGACAAATGTAGATTTGTATCATTGGAATACAGATGAAACAGGAGGAAGGATTCCAGCTATATATTGTTAATTATTTATGATAGCTCTTAAAGATTAAATACAGACATTTCAAAGAGACAGAAATCTAGATTTTGGGTTTCAGCAACTACTTGGTAGAGATAGGAAAAATAGGGAGAAGCATAATTTTTTTTGAAAATATTAAAGTTTTATAATTGATAAGTTTTAGCTGCCTATCAAATATCTAGTTATTGCTATTAAGATACACATATGGAAGCAAAAAGACCACGAAATTATATATATCGTGCACAATATAATTGTATAATATGCAATTATCACACATAAAAAAATATCTTTAATGAGAAGAAAAATAAACCAATTGAAGTTGACACAGAATCCAGAGATGGCAGAATTAATACGCAAGAACATGAACAGAGTTATCATGGTTATATTCAAAAGCATTGTAAAACTAGAGAAAAGATGCAGCAAGTTACAGATAGACATGAAAGATAATTACAAACCATCCAGTTGTAACTTCCAGAGATGATCATTTCAATGCTGAAATGAAAAATTCATTAGATGGTATTAACAATGTATTGGACATTGCAGTATAAAAGATTAGGGAACATAAGTAGCCATTGAAAATAATCAAAATGAATGTAGAGGGAAAAAGAATTTTAAAAAATGAACAGAGCATCAGGGAGCACTGAGACAACAACAAGCAAACAAATACAAAAAAATGGAGTCTCTGATGGAAAAAAAGGTAGAAGAAGTATTTAAAGAAATAACCCTTTTTAAAAAATATTTTTAAAAATATAAGTGCATGCAAATCATAAACCCACAAATCCAAGAGGCTCAATGAGCCTGAAACATAAAAATGAAAGAGAGAAAGCACATCATATCTAAATTGTTGTGATGCAGTGATAAAAGGAAATGTTAAAATCAGATAGAGGAAAACAGACACATTTCATCCAGAGAAACAAAGATAAATTGAGAGGAGAAGAAATTTCCTACTGAAAACAATACAAGCTAGAATATAGTGGAACAATATAAGAATCTAAAGAACACATTTCCAGTCAAAGTACTAGTAGGTGTTTATAGATATTAACGAGCTGATTAGAAAATTTGTCTTGAAATGCAAAGAATTTAGAATAGACAAAACAATTTTGAAATAGATGAATAAGTTGGAGACCTTACATTACCTAAGTTCAAGGCTTAATTTAAAGCTGTGGATATTACTAGAGTGTGGTATTACTGCAAAGACAGACAAATAGATCAATGCAATCAGAGTCCAGAAAGCCACATATATACCAATGAGTGGCTTCCAACAATGAGAAAAGGAAAATGGGGTGGAGAAAGAACGGTACTTTCAAAACAAAACAACAATTATTTGGAAAAACTGGATATCTATATGAGAAAAAGAAAAGAAAAGAAAAGAACTTTAGTTAACAGCTTATAGCATATAAAAATCAACTTGAAATATACCAGAGATATATTTGTAAAACCTAAAATTATTAAACTTCTAAAAAAAAAACATAAGAGAAAATCTTGTGACATCTTAGAAAATCCTTCTAGAATGAAATGTCAAAATATTTCCCCATAAAAATTGATAAATTTGACTTTATCAGAAGGCATATGTTCTTCAAAGACATTATTACTAAGAGAATGAAAAGACAAACCACACATGGTTAGATTATATTCACAAATAATATCTAATACATGTCTTGTATTCAGAATATATGAAGAACTCTCAAATCCCCAACAATTAGATGTTAAATAAATCAATTTTAAAAATTGGGCAAAAATTTTAACAGACACTTACTTCAATTTGGATAGCAGTTAAACACATAAAAATATGTTCAACATCATTAGTCATAAAAAAGTGCAAATTAAAACCACAATAAGACACCAAAATCTACTAAATAGAACAGCTAAAGTTAAGAAAAATTGACCATACCACCACATGTTGGCAAAGATGTGGATCAGATATATATATATATATATATATATATATATATGATGAAATTTCTTAAATTGTATACTTTCAAAATTTGCAAATGTTACCTCATTATAGCACGTAAAAAACTGTCAAGTCATTAAGTCATTTTTGGAAGTTGGCTGCTTAACAAAGGTCTATACTTCCCAGCCCTTCTTGTATCCAAGTGGAGTCGTGTGGTTAGATTTTTTTACATTTTTAATTAATTAACTAATTAATTATTATTATTTGAGACACAGTCTCGCTCTGTTGCCCAGGCTGGAGTGCAGTGGCGCTGTCACAGTTCACTGCAGCCTCAATCTCCTGGGCTCAAGCAGTCCCCAAACCTCAACCTCTTGAGTAACTGGGACTACAGGTCATGCCTCTGCCTCCCAAGGTGGATGGATCCAAGTGGTGAGATTACAGGTGTGAGCTACCCATCTTGGCCTCGAATGGTTTTTTTTAAATGGCATATATGTATTTCTCATTCTCTCTCATCCTTTTCACTAGCTGGAAGCAAAAGAGTCTGAGGCCCAGCAAAGAAAGAGGAATCAGGGTTTTTATCACTAGGACAACCCAGAAACACCACATAGAATTAATATTTGACAGATAATTAAAACTTATTGTGTTAAAACATCAAAACTGAGTGTACATTTATTATAGCCTTTAGCATTGACTAGCAAATACTTCCATCAAATAAAATGTTATAATTATTCAGTTAAATGGGAGTCAACAATTATATCTTCCTTTTGGTAATGGAAATAGATTGAGAATTAATTTCTTATGGCTTATAAAAACCCAATATGTGTTATAACTTTATATATTGTAATGCATCAATTTTACTATCTAACATAAAAAATCAACTTTATGTGAAAAAGAAGTAGATTACAACTTTAGAAAACACTGAAGTTTTCTGGGTTTATGTAATTAATAAGTGGAATGAATAAATGAATCAAAGTTTAATAGAAAAAATATTTTCCCATTTCCAAATGTCAAATGCAAATTGCCTAGCTTATTCTCATATACAATTGTAGTTAAATTAAGCAACTATCCTAATTATTCAATAGAAGTGTAATGGCAGATGGCCAAGAATACAAAACTATTTCCAAAAGGCATATTTTGAATAGGAAGAAATGTTGATTTTCTAAGACAAATGATTTAATCTTCTCTGCATTCATTTAAGAAAAAAAAAGGTTTGATGTAGGGAAAAATCCGTATATGAAGTATATTATTTTTATTTTAGCTTCGGATGCAAAACAAAAGTGTTTCAGAGACAAATAGTTTACAGAGATAGCTCCTGCAACATTTCTGTTTCTTCTTTTCCTTTAGAAATTGTAGTCAATGCTTTAGGTAACCTCTTTTGATATTTTAATATCAAAATCCTCCAAAGTTTTAAAGGCACATCCGAATAGATTCTTAAAATTTTTACCCAAACTTACAAATCCCAAAAGATCTTGCCCTAACGACCTTTTTACCTCATCACATAAGGTTCTTATAATAACCTACTGTGTTCCAATCGCAACATCCTTCTTTCTGTGCCTGTAACATTCCCTCTTTAGAAGTTTATGCTGGCTTTTTCTCTAACCAAAATGTTGATCAACTTAATCTTTAAAAGGCTAGACCCATCTTGTCACTAGATAACAACCTGTCATTAATTATCACTACCTCAGAAGAGTTTACCATGACATCTTACCTCTTATTCAGAGACATCTTGTTTTCATTTTCCGCATATCACTTATCATAACATGATATTTTGAATTTACATAATAGAATATTGTTTTTCTCCTTAAGACAAGCAAGTTTTATAAAAGCAGATTGTTTGTTTGCTTTGTACACCTCTCCATTTCAAGCATGTAGAACCATGTCAAAGGTATTATAGGCATAACATATTATTGAATGAATAGATAATAAATTGATGTTTACTACAAGAGGTACAATGTAATCATGGGTTGGAAAAGGATCTACCAAAAAAATGTTTAAAAAAATGGTAGCTGTATAAGGTCATGAAAATTAAACAAAGAAAAATCTTTCATGTTAATGAACATTCTTTGTTTAGAGTCATGGAAAAATAGACATAGTGCACCCCTGAGTAAAAAAAAAACAAGACTATATATAGCCTAGGGGTATTCCTCTTTCTTTTTTTCCTTCTTCTTCTTGATCATGTCTCTTATTTATAAAAGCCTGTTTCTCTTTTTTTTTTTTATTTTTTTTTTATTTTTTTTAATTTTTTTTTTATTATACTCTAAGTTTTAGGGTACATGTGCACATTGTGCAGGTTAGTTACATATGTATACATGTGCCATGCTGGTGCACTGCACCCACTAATGTGTCATCTAGCATTAGGTATATCTCCCAATGCTATCCCTCCCCCCTCCCCCGACCCCACCACAGTCCCCAGAGTGTGATATTCCCCTTCCTGTGTCCATGTGATCTCATTGTTCAATTCCCACCTATGAGTGAGAATATGCGGTGTTTGGTTTTTTGTTCTTGCGATAGTTTACTGAGAATGATGGTTTCCAATTTCATCCATGTCTCTACAAAGGATATGAACTCATCATTTTTTATGGCTGCGTAGTATTCCATGGTGTATATGTGCCACATTTTCTTAATCCAGTCTATCATTGTTGGACATTTGGGTTGGTTCCAAGTCTTTGCTATTGTGAATAGTGCCGCAATAAACAGACGTGTGCATGTGTCTTTATAGCAGCATGATTTATAGTCCTTTGGGTATATACCCAGTAATGGGATGGCTGGGTCAAATGGTATTTCTAGTTCTAGATCCCTGAGGAATCGCCACACTGACTTCCACAATGGTTGAACTAGTTTACAGTCCCACCAACACTGTAAAAGTGTTCCTATTTCTCCACATCCTCTCCAGCACCTGTTGTTTCCTGACTTTTTAATGATTGCCATTCTAACTGGTGTGAGATGATATCTCATAGTGGTTTTGATTTGCATTTCTCTGATGGCCAGTGATGATGAGCATTTCTTCATGTGTTTTTTGGCTGCATAAATGTCTTCTTTTGAGAAGTGTCTGTTCATGTCCTTCGCCCACTTTTTGATGGGGTTGTTTGTTTTTTTCTTGTAAATTTGTTTGAGTTCATTGTAGATTCTGGATATTAGCCCTTTGTCAGATGAGTAGGTTGCAAAAATTTTCTCCCATGTTGTAGGTTGCCTGTTCACTCTGATGGTAGTTTCTTTTGCTGTGCAGAAGCTCTTTAGTTTAATTAGATCCCATTTGTCAATTTTGGCTTTTGTTGCCATTGCTTTTGGTGTTTTGGACATGAAGTCCTTGCCCACGCCTATGTCCTGAATGGTAATGCCTAGGTTTTCTTCTAGGGTTTTTATGGTTTTAGGTCTAACGTTTAAATCTTTAATCCATCTTGAATTGATTTTTGTATAAGGTGTAAGGAAGGGATCCAGTTTCAGCTTTCTACATATGGCTAGCCAGTTTTCCCAGCACCATTTATTAAATAGGGAATCCTTTCCCCATTGCTTGTTTTTCTCAGGTTTGTCAAAGATCAGATAGTTGTAGATATGCGGCATTATTTCTGAGGGCTCTGTTCTGTTCCATTGATCTATATCTCTGTTTTGGTACCAGTACCATGCTGTTTTGGTTACTGTAACCTTGTAGTATAGTTTGAAGTCAGGTAGTGTGATGCCTCCAGCTTTGTTCTTTTGGCTTAGGATTGACTTGGCAATGCGGGCTCTTTTTTGGTTCCATATGAACTTTAAAGTAGTTTTTTCCAATTCTGTGAAGAAAGGCATTGGTAGCTTGATGGGGATGGCATTGAATCTGTAAATTACCTTGGGCAGTATGGCCATTTTCACGATATTGATTCTTCCTACCCATGAGCATGGAATGTTCTTCCATTTGTTTGTGTCCTCTTTTATTTCCTTGAGCAGTGGTTTGTAGTTCTCCTTGAAGAGGTCCTTCACATCCCTTGTAAGTTGGATTCCTAGGTATTTTATTCTCTTTGAAGCAATTGTGAATGGGAGTTCACCCATGATTTGGCTCTCTGTTTGTCTGTTGTTGGTGTATAAGAATGCTTGTGATTTTTGTACATTGATTTTGTATCCTGAGACTTTGCTGAAGTTGCTTATCAGCTTAAGGAGATTTTGGGCTGAGACGATGGGGTTTTCTAGATAAACAATCATGTCGTCTGCAAACAGGGACAATTTGACTTCCTCTTTTCCTAATTGAATACCCTTTATTTCCTTCTCCTGCCTGATTGCCCTGGCCAGAACTTCCAACACTATGTTGAATAGGAGCGGTGAGAGAGGGCATCCCTGTCTTGTGCCAGTTTTCAAAGGGAATGCTTCCAGTTTTTGCCCATTCAGTATGATATTGGCTGTGGGTTTGTCATAGATAGCTCTTATTATTTTGAAATACGTCCCATCAATACCTAATTTATTGAGAGTTTTTAGCATGAAGGGTTGTTGAATTTTGTCAAAGGCTTTTTCTGCATCTATTGAGATAATCATGTGGTTTTTGTCTTTGGCTCTGTTTATATGCTGGATTACATTTATTGATTTGCGTATATTGAACCAGCCTTGCATCCCAGGGATGAAGCCCACTTGATCATGTTGGATAAGCTTTTTGATGTGCTGCTGGATTCGGTTTGCCAGTATTTTATTGAGGATTTTTGCATCAATGTTCATCAAGGATATTGGTCTAAAATTCTCTTTTTTGGTTGTGTCTCTGCCCGGCTTTGGTATCAGAATGATGCTGGCCTCATAAAATGAGTTAGGGAGGATTCCCTCTTTTTCTATTGATTGGAATAGTTTCAGAAGGAATGGTACCAGTTCCTCCTTGTACCTCTGGCAGAATTCGGCTGTGAATCCATCTGGTCCTGGACTCTTTTTGGTTGGTAAACTATTGATTACTGCCACAATTTCAGAGCCTGTTATTGGTCTATTCAGAGATTCAACTTCTTCCTGGTTTAGTCTTGGGAGAGTGTATGTGTCGAGGAATGTATCCATTTCTTCTAGATTTTCTAGTTTATTTGCGTAGAGGTGTTTGTAGTATTCTCTGATGGTCGTTTGTATTTCTGTGGGATCGGTGGTGATATCCCCTTTATCATTTTTTATTGTGTCTATTTGATTCTTCTCTCTTTTTTTCTTTATTAGTCTTGCTAGCGGTCTATCAATTTTGTTGATCCTTTCAAAAAACCAGCTCCTGGATTCATTGATTTTTTGAAGGGTTTTTTGTGTCTCTATTTCCTTCAGTTCTGCTCTGATTTTAGTTATTTCTTGCCTTCTGCTAGCTTTTGAATGTGTTTGCTCTTGCTTTTCTAGTTCTTTTAATTGTGATGTTAGGGTGTCAATTTTGGATCCTTCCTGCTTTCTCTTGTAGGCATTTAGTGCTATAAATTTCCCTCTACACACTGCTTTGAATGCGTCCCAGAGATTCTGGTATGTGGTGTCTTTGTTCTCGTTGGTTTCAAAGAACATCTTTATTTCTGCCTTCTTTTCGTTATGTACCCAGTAGTCATTCAGGAGCAGGTTGTTCAGTTTCCATGTAGTTGAGCGGCTTTGAGTGAGATTCTTAATCCTGAGTTCTAGTTTGATTGCACTGTGGTCTGAGAGATAGTTTGTTATAATTTCTGTTCTTTTACATTTGCTGAGGAGAGCTTTACTTCCAACTATGTGGTCAATTTTGGAATAGGTGTGGTGTGGTGCTGAAAAAAATGTATATTCTGTTGATTTGGGGTGGAGAGTTCTGTAGATGTCTATTAGGTCTGCTTGGTGCAGAGCTGAGTTCAATTCCTGGGTATCCTTGTTGACTTTCTGTCTCGTTGATCTGTCTAATGTTGACAGTGGGGTGTTAAAGTCTCCCATTATTAATGTGTGGGAGTCTAAGTCTCTTTGTAGGTCACTGAGGACTTGCTTTATGAATCTGGGTGCTCCTGTATTGGGTGCATAAATATTTAGGATAGTTAGCTCCTCTTGTTGAATTGATCCCTTTACCATTATGTAATGGCCTTCTTTGTCTCTTTTGATCTTTGTTGGTTTAAAGTCTGTTTTATCCGAGACTAGGATTGCAACCCCTGCCTTTTTTTGTTTTCCATTGGCTTGGTAGATCTTCCTCCATCCTTTTATTTTGAGCCTATGTGTGTCTCTGCACGTGAGATGGGTTTCCTGAATACAGCACACTGATGGGTCTTGACTCTTTATCCAACTTGCCAATCTGTGTCTTTTAATTGCAGAATTTAGTCCATTTATATTTAAAGTTAATATTGTTATGTGTGAATTTGATCCTGTCATTATGATGTTAGCTGGTGATTTTGCTCATTAGTTGATGCAGTTTCTTCCTAGTCTCGATGGTCTTTACATTTTGGCATGATTTTGCAGCGGCTGGTACCAGTTTTTCCTTTCCATGTTTAGCGCTTCCTTCAGGAGCTCTTTTAGGGCAGGCCTGGTGGTGACAAAATCTCTCAGCATTTGCTTGTCTATAAAGTATTTTATTTCTCCTTCACTTATGAAGCTTAGTTTGGCTGGATATGAAATTCTGGGTTGAAAATTCTTTTCTTTAAGAATGTTGAATATTGTTTCATTCAGGGACCCTTAGCATTCCCATTGCATGCATGCCCCTTCTATACATCTTGTGGACTAACGGTTAACTCATCACACTCAATACTGACATGAGCCATTGAAAACAGAGATAAAGTAGGGATATAAGTTATCAGTCCAGGAATACTGAATATGCTAGAACAGAGTTTAGTAAATTCTCTCTTTAAAAAAGCCAGATAGTAAATATTTTCTGCTTTGTGGACCTACAGTCTCTGTTGCAACTACTTCACTCTGCCTTTAAAAGCACCTATAAACAACATTTAAATAAGCATGGCTGTGTTCCAATGAAACTGAGTTCACATGCACTTTATTTATAGACACCGATATTTTAATTTTATATAGTTTTCGTGTGTTGTGGAATAGTATTTTTTTCACAATTTAAAAATGCAAAAACCATTCTTAGTTCATGGTCTTACAGAAGAAGGCAGGGGTCCAGATTAAGTCAGTAAAACATGGTTTTTGAGTCCTATTTAAGATATAGTTAATTGGGTTTAGCTCATATGTAAAAACCAAATGGTTTCTGTATGCTCTAGCACTATTCATTATCATCCTTAGTGAATCCCAATTAGCATTTCACACTTTTCTAATGACCACTAGGAGAGCCCTGCTTTTTAATTTTTGAGAAATATACACTAATGCTGGGTTTTGGTTCTTATTTAATGCTTGTCCATAGATACCAGTCATAAGATTTGTTGAATTTGCAAACATTTTGTTTTATTGCTGCATATAATGTCAGTTTTTTATTGCTAAATACAATCCAGTCATTTGTAAGTCTACTAAAGTAAAATAATCCTTAGGTTCCTAGGGGGTAAAAACCTTATAAAATAAGCACTTCCAATCTTTGTTTAAATTTATATCCATCCCATTACAAGCTTCCAGTGTTTTATATTCACTGTTATTTTGTTTGGTTTGGCTTGTTTCTTATCATTTGGTACATTCCACATAATAAAGTATACAAAGTTCTATTTTTGAGATCCAAAGTATTAGACATGATAGCATTTGAATAAGTGCTAAGGCTGTCTCCTAGCATCTTCCATCACTGGCTGCAGACGTATCTGGAAATAATATACAAAGTGTTCATCCTTTTAGTATCAATCATTCTTAAAGAAAAAGTGTCAAAGCAGAGTTTCGTGGGACAGGAATCCATCTAAGAGTGCCAATTCCTTCTGCTACCATTCCCCTTTCTCTGTGAAGAGAGCCTCCTGATCTGTACTCTTTTTTTTTTTTTTTGAGGAGGTTTTGAACTGTCCTCTACCTCCATAGTCCTCAATAGCTGGCAGCAAATATATACACCCCAAATTACTCTTTCATCCAGTCCCAAGGTACTTTAAGCTACTTAAAAGTTACATTGCCACTGTAGGGTCCTCTCTACTAAATAGAGCACATCCTGTTAACACTATTCCTGCTTTAACCTCCCATGATGCAGACTAAATCTGGCCCAATTTTGTACCGTTAAAGTTCAAATGCTACATTCATGTAACTATCAGATTTAGTTATGTTTCTATTATTTATGAGTTGGAAAATTTTATTTTATCCATCTTCTTGGAAAATAGGGTCTGAAGTTGTTTGAAAAATGAGGTGGATACATAATTAACAGTTAGATTGTCCATCCCCACCTTTATTCCAAACCAACTACTTCCATAAACAAAATGTTTGCAATCATTGATACTACTACTGTCGTTCAGGTTTTCTTTCATAATACACTCTCCTACCATAAAAAGTCAACCATTTATGACTTTGAACCAACATCATACCTTGCTTCCTTGTGTAGAATTAGCTTCAATTTGTCACATCAATTTTTAATATTACATTGCTTTTAGGATAAAAAAAGAACATAAAAAGACTTAATATGGATTTCTTGATGCTGTAATTGTGTTCCAATATTCATTGACATAAATTTGGAATCAATTATATCAATGGAAAAAAGTATTCAGTGCTTTTCTTATATTCTCTGATGAGGCCTTAGTACCAGACAAATAAAACTCTTATGTTCTTCTGCTAGATTCTCTCTCAGCTGGACAGATTATTTCAACCTAAATATAACCTAGCTCAGTTTTTCAGGCACAGTCAACTATAGACCAAGCTCAGTCACACTTTTCTGAACTCAATAAAATTCTGCAGTCTGTCTAAGACCCTATTTTTACAGGTAGATGGGACAAGTAAGAGAATAGACAAGAAAATATAAGCTCCATGGGATTGAAGACATTTTTGTCTGTTTTATTCACTGGAGTGTCCTACATCCCTATAATACTGTAATAAACATTTGTTGAATGAAAATGTTAGCCCCAAACCAGCACTTGTTATTTATATATGGATCCCATGCTGCCCTCTTCAGCATAATTCTGAATGTGCCGTTTCTTTTCATTGTGAGTTTTGTTTAAATGTCTGTTCTTTTTAGGGTCTTTTAAAAAATATAATTTACAACATTACTGGGATTTCTTGTCCTAGAGCTAGTTAGTGGTTTTAGAAGTAGACACAGTCTCAGCTAGGACTCAGTGGCTAGCTAGGAATGATCACTCAAAATAGAAGTAGCAAGAAGATGCATAATATAAACATAAGGCCTCAAGCTGGGACTGTAGACCTTCCTCTGCTGTCTTTAAAAGGTACCAGTCAGTATGAACATTTACAAAATTATGAGAATATTAGACTCTAGGGGGCTATAGAGCCACTTAACCATTAGATTTTTGGATTTCATCAGTGCTTACCATCACTTTTTCCTATTTTTACAAATTTTTAAATGTGATTTGTTATACAGATCCCAAACTACATTCAGTTATGTAATAATATTTGCATTATGAAAATATGATCCAGGTTCTGTGTAGTGAATAGAAGATGGAGGAGGCAGAATGAAAGTATGAGGAATGATTATGGGGATATTGCATCAGTCCAGGTGAGATACGTTAGTGCCTTGGATTGGATACATCCCACTGGAAAGCATGAATCAATTATGTTTAGGTTGCAAAAGTCAAGAATGAAGTGGAGAACAAGAGAAACCAAAGATGTCTCTGAAATTTTCAGTTTGATCAAGTGGGTGAATTAGGGTATAGTTTACAGAAATGGAGAATGCCAGTGTGGCAGAATGCAAAAGTGGCCACAATCCTTTGCAGTTTCTCCCCTCAAGAGGTGGAGTCTATATCCCAATCCTTAAGCCTAGATTGGTCATGGGACTTGTTTTGACCAACAGAACATTAGCAAATGTGACATATTAGATACTTGAAAAGCAGCTGCATATTTGGGCTTACTCTCTCATTGAACTTAAAACTCTTATGCCACCTCGGGAACACATCTGGAATACCCAGCTGGATGATGAGAAATCACATGGAGAGGAGAGACTTCCCAGCCAAAGCCTTTAGAAACCATTCACAGTTGCTTACCTACCAGTTGACCATAGACAAATGAGCCAATAAGTGAAGGTAAGAATGATCCATCTGGGACAAAACCAATTGCCAACTCTTATAATTATGAGCTCAGTGAACAGTTGTTTTAAACTACATGATCTGGGGATTGCATTAGTTACCATATTGTACAACAAAGTATGCAATTTCGTCCAAATTTTTTGTGTAAAAAAATTAAGTCTAAGTTTGTTACCTAGACAAACCATGACTTAAAACAACATGTATTTATTATTTCCCAGACTTCATAAGTCAGGAGCCTGGGTATGGCTTAGATGGGTCGTCTGCTAGGAGTCTGTCAAGGTTGCGATTCAGCATTAGTTTGGCTGTTTTTGTCTGTAGGCTTAACTGGGGAAGGAAGAATCTACTTCTAAGCACACCCACACTGTTGGCAAAATTCATTTCCTTGTAATTGTATGACTGAGGGCTCACCTTCTTGCTGGCTTTTCACTGGTGGTTTCCCTTAGCTCCTAGAGGTTGCCCACATTTCCTTCAGTTCAGCCACTATACCTAGAGGTTACAGTTCCTTGAGTTTACCCACTCTATCTAGAGGTCACCCACATGTTTTAGAGGGTGCCCACAGTTCCTTGCTATGAGAGCTTTCCAAACATAGTTGCTTACTTTACTAAGCCAGTAAGGACAGTTTCTTGAGTGACTATTCCAGGAAGACTGAGCCTCATGTAAAGTAACATAATCAAGGAAGTGACATCCCATCACCTCTGCCATATTCTGTTGGTTAGAAGCAAATCACAGATTCTACTCACACTCACTAGGAAAACAGACAGGAGTATGGACACCCTGGAGTCCATCCCTGTAAGGTCATTTGTTACACAGAAGTTAATAGATAGAACCAGTTAAGAGGCAGTAACTTTTAGAAAGACATGATATTGTAGTTAAAAAGTAGATTCTGAAGGTAGTCTCCTGGGTTTTTATCCGAGGTTTGCCTCTTAGTTGTGGGAAGCTAGACAATTCATCTAACTTCATCATTAACTATATAAATAATTACAATTTTAGGAATGTTTGTAGAATCTTTACCTCTGGGAAACCTTATTAAAACAATAAAAAAAGACTCACTCATACTGATACTTTCTGCCCATATAAAAAGCAAAGGAAAATTAAAATGTGATGTTGTGTAACTTTTACAACTTTTACCAAAACACAACTTACTAGTTGGAAAAAATAAAAAATATCTATCAGCACTCTAGAAAACAACACAGTGCAAAGCGGTGCTACTGCCTCAGGCAGCTTTCAGTGACATAAATATTGAAGCCATTGAAACATTAAGCTATAATTTGGGATTCATGCTGGAAGTGATTATGCTGTATTGCCACAGTCTGCTAGGATTTCCCACCTGTTTTTTTCCATAAAACTGAAAGTAGAAAACTGCTGAAATTTAAGTAGGTTTCTACTTAAACTTTTTTCTTACTTGGAACATCCACAAGGTAAGATGTAATAGGCAAAAGAAAAAAAAATCTGATGTTAAGAAAGTAATTCTTTTAAATATTATTCTTCTACTTAGATTGGCAAGTAATAGCTATAAGTATCCTACACTGCACATATTATTTACCTATATAATTTATAACACACATTACCCACTTGGTTGGTATGCCATTACTATATTAGGTTGACTATAAAAATGAAGCATTATTATTCCTATGTTTTAATCTTAAACATTTCAGTAATTCAAGAGTATGTGTAAAAAGGCTTGAAATTTCATAATTTTAGAGAAATAATTCAATTTTTACATTTGAATAAAAATTGTGGAAACATAAATACATCACTTTAATTTAAATGGCAAGTGTGTGTCATTATGGCCTTAGAAATTCTCTCTACCCTGTTAATGGTAGCACATGGAGTTCTCACATGTTTCTTGATCTTTTCTTAAGCAAAATATATTTTTCTAATATGTAGTTTGCTACTTTCTGATATCCAAAAATCACTTGGTATTCATTGGCCTAGATTCTTTTAATGGTTCATTGTCATTACTTATAAATATGGGTTAGTCAAGAATTGTTCTTTAATGGAGACTGTCTGAAATTTAACTTTTATTTAATGTGACCAAAAAAATCATATTACTAAGCAAATACACCTTCATTTAGGTCACTGCAAACTTATGAGTTGAAAAAAGTAACTTGTAGAATCATTAAGATGCTAAGACGTAAGAAAGAGGGAAAGAAAACACTGATTATTAAGGATAATGATCTGCACCTGGTTTCAATCACGACTTTCTTCCGAAGCATCAACCAACTTGGAATACAAATTTCAGTGCTTGCACAGCTGGAATATAATGCTACTTTCCGGATACTGAAAAGTCATTAAGAGTTCTCAGATAACCACAATATGATTTTGTAAGACTGAACTATGAAATCGACTAAGGGGTAGGATTGTATAGAAATTTTCGGTTTGTTTAGAGCTACTTTTCTTAAATAGCCTAAAAGTAAATATAAAGAAGATCATTTCATTGCCTGTCTGAGATTGATTTACAAGGAGTCTATAAATACAAGAGTGATTACCATCTAATGTGGGAGCTATTGCTGTTGTCCGAAAATAAGCCTCCCTGTATAGCTCCAAATGTTCCCTGCTACTAAGGGAACAGACTTGATTTTCCACTTATCTTTTAATGACTTCCTGCAGGCAAAAACCTGGAGCCAAAATTCTACTGACATCTGTTTGTTGGTATGGGTCTTATTTAGAACCCCAGTACTAGGTAATTATTCATTATTTGTTGGCGCTAGGATCGTGCAGCACATAATGTTTTGCAACAGTTAAGCTATAATAAATAAAGGAATAAACAGAACTCTTCTTCTAAATACTCGTTTATATACAGCATCAACAAAACAAACAGGAGAGCTTCCAACAATTTATTGCTAGATAGTCACTGCTTAAAGTTCACATTTATCATGAACAAATACAAAGAAAGAAAACTGTTAGCTTTTTCATTTTAAATCAAGGCTGAGATTTTAATGATCAAGGGCACTTTATATTGTAATTTATGTTAATATGTAAGTCATCCTGAGGAGTATTTTATTTTATCTTCCTAATATTTATTTTAGAGGCACTATGATTTCACTGAAGAAAAACGGGGTTTTGGAACCTTAGATCTGACACTAGAAATCTTAGGAAAATCAATGTTTCTAAACCTGTTTACTCATGTATTATATGGAAATAATAATATTTATCTCATAAGGTCATGGTGAATAATAAGCTAATAGACAAAGTATATGACATCATGATCTTAATAATTCTTTATTTTCTTCATTAAATTTTCTACTACTTGCTTTGAAGTATTTAGTTTTAAGCATAAATCAGTGCTGACCAAATAACGTGTAGAATTCCAAGACCACCCAATTTCAGTCAATTCAATTTCAAGATAGGTTTGTGGGCCATCTATATGATAGAAATATCAGCTATGCATTCACAATGTGACAGTGATCCAAATACGAATCCTGTTTATGGCAGGCTAAAAAACATCCCCCAAAGATATCAGGACCTAATCCTCAGAGCCTGTGAATATTAGTGTATATGACAAAAATATGTGATTAAGTTAAAGATTCTGAGATGGGTCGGTTATCCTGGACTGTGCAGGTGGGCCCTAATGCAGTCACTTGTGTCTTTATAAGAGACAGTGGGCGAGTTGATAGAAATGGGAACAGATGATAGACATAGACACACAGAGGAGAAGGCTCTGTGTTCACGGAGGCAGAGACTGGCGTAACATGGCTGCATGTCAAGGAGTGCTGGCAGCCACCAGGAACTGGAATAGACAAGAATCACACTCTCTTCTGGGGTCTCCAGAGGGATCAGAGCCCTGCTGACATCTTGATTTCGGTCTGGCAAAAAAGATTTTTGAGCTTCTGATGCCCAGTACTGTAAGAGAGTATATTTCCTTTGTTTTACATCATCAAGTTTGTGGTAATTCTTTGGAGGAAGTCTCCAGAAACTAATGCAGTATTGTTCAGTATTTTATAGATAAATGGGATTGACTAGAAAATGATCCATGATATGGGAGGGGATAAACCCTACATGACCAAAGTGTAAGAGGATCATAAGGGACTAACTGTTGAGTCACAAATGATCATAAACGTGATATCTGCAGGGGCACTGAAGGTTGTATAGAGTTCACAGGAATGGCAAAGAATGGGAAAAAATGTATTACATACATTAAGGAAAAAGATGGCTAAAAAGTAAAATAAGCACTAGTGTTGATTTTTTTCTTTTTTTAATGTGAACTTCTTCCACTAGGATGGAGGAATTGTGTGATGAGAAATTAGACTTTGAAGTCCAATAGTAGAGGACATAAGGTAAATGTTTTCTGGTAATTGGAGTGATGCGACTACATGAACAAGTGTGTGAGCAAATAGAAATACATTAAGCTGAAGAAATCACAACTGATAGACCAATGTTCCTTAACTTTAACATTTAAACCTTGTTCATTACAGAGAGGCCTTAATAATTGTTTTTATGTAATATATCTGCCCTAAAAAAGGAAAGTAACTTGTCAGATCAAGGGTACCCTGTGGGGCTCAAAGTGGAATGGGATGCAGGCTGGTATAGGGTACAGAATCTAAGTATGATGCATAATGGAGGTCCTAAAAGAATGCAAAGCAGAGAAGTTGAAAAGAGAGACATACATCCCTTGGCAAGATCTGGTAAGAGTTCCAAAGACTCCCAAGTATGAAGAAATTGAAGGAGCATCAAAACCACATTGTTTTAGATGTATATATTAACAATAGTTTTGTTGATGGTTTTACTATGTGGTGAATATGAATGGGTGATCATATTCTTAAATTAACTGTTTACTTAATTTATGTTTATTTCATTACTTTGTGTATGGTTTTCTGTATGTGAAGTGAACATTTGTGTTACTTTCCTGGAGTACAAATAAGTAGTCGTTAGATTAAAGAAGAAAAAAAATATATATTTTTTGAGATGGAGTCTCACTCTGTTGCTCAGGCTGGAGTGCAGTGGCATGATCTCAGCTCACTGCAACCTCTGTCTCCCGGGTTCAAGCAATTCCCTGCCTCAGGCTCCCGAGTAGCTGTGATTACAGGCACCCGCCACCACGTCCAGCTAATTTTTGTGTTTTTAGCAGAGACGGGCTTTCTCCATCTTGGCAAGGCTTGTCTTGAATGCCTGACCTCGTGATCCACCTACCTCGGCCTCCCAAAGTGCTGGGATTACAGGCGTGAGCCACCGCGCCCAGCCAGAAAAAAAATGTTTCTAAGAAAATAGTCGAAGAATATGTATATATATACATATATATATGTACGTAGAGAGAACATTTTTTAATTCCGGCATATGTAAATTGGTGGGTATTATCATTTTCATAGTATCTCAACGAACTTTATTTCCTTCTAAATTTGAAGGAGCTTATGCATGCAGAGGATAGAGTGTCTACAAAGACACTGACACATGTATACACATAGCCTTTTGGGAAAAAGTATAGATACTAGTGCCTGAATATTGGGTGAGTGGCCACAGTAAGAACAGAAAAAGACTCAACAGATGATTTGCAGCAATATCAAGATCTTATAAGGTAAGCTAAAGTGTTTAGGAGCAATATAATAGGATTAATTAAGGGAGGAAAAAAAACTGGAGACACAGTAATCATATAAGGCAAAGTAACCTAAAAGTAGGAAATAATTTTAAACAAGAAAAAAATGCAAGCTTAAACTAGAATAATAACAATGCCACACACATACAAAGTCATATTTAGTGTACAGGACTCATTTTGCAGATCCTGTGGAATGACAAAATGGGGCAGTAAATTAATATCTTCCTTTTTTTCTCTCATTATGGTTTATGGTTTAATTATTAAGATAGTACTTAGATCTTCAGATTTGGCTATGTCAAAGATTTGTAATAATATTGGCTTTATATTTAATATTTTAAACTCAGTAATATGCCAATAAACAAATCTGAATGTTACCTTATGCAATGAAAAAATGGAAAGCTTTAAATTTTCTCATCAAGGTATATAGGATTTTCCAAAATAAAAGCAGACATTCTCAAGAAATAGTGTTCCCTGCAATAGTTAGCAGAGACATCAGAAATTGTATTTCATTATAATCCAATCCAAGTTAAAATGAAAAGTCTGTCACTTCAAAAATCAAGAGGACAGTAAAAACATGTAAGTAAAGTTAGTCAAATGTTTGAGACTATTAACATTGATATTGAATAAAACTTTGTATGAAGGAAAATATTTCAAATAAACTTGATTATTGATCTGGAACAATAGTAACAAAGAAACAAAAAAGTGTGTGTTTTCCTCACAACAGCTGGGTTTAAATTAATAAATGTATAACCTAAAATTCATTATTTTCCAATTTTTAAAACATTTTACTGATTTAAATATACGGTATAGGCAATAGCTGTATAAAAATCATTAAAATTAGACAAGACTGTTACCAATTACAGTAACTGGCAGAAAAAACAATTGGCTCTGGAAGTTAAAAATGTTGCCTAAAAGGAGTTATGTGTAGGCCATTTTAAATAACTAGTCAGAGAAAAAAATTATTTTTCATTTTTCACAAAAGTTTGAGGTAGAAAATGCTGTATGTATTGAGTTTGGCTAATAATAATTTGTTTTACCCTTTTGGAAAAGTATTTTAAATGCCTCAGCCAATAAAGTTTGGAGTTAATTTTTTTATTTTAAGATACCATCTGTATAGCTACATTTTTTATACCAGCTTTTAAAATATGTTGAAATTAAAATAGCAGTTTTCATATTGGAGGGTTTTAATACCTTCCTAAACATGATAGTTTTCAACTATTAATCATATTATCATATGATAATATTAAAATGTGAAAGTATCCATGAGGTAGACCAAGGGTAAATCAAAATGTGAAGATATTTTTAGTTTTAACTGTCCAAAGGCAATTATAAACAACTTTCCAGTGAAAGTGAAAATCATGCCAGTTGTTTTAATAGTGTACTTTATGTATAAATAATAGAGGGATATTGCCAAATATTCTCTATTCTTCAGTTTCACAATTGAAATGGCATTTGTGCAAGAGAAATATCAACATCCCTAAGAGTTTTTGTGGCCTTGCTGTGTTTACTTCAAACCAAAAATCTCTGCTGTATACTCCTAAGCTCACAACAGCATCCTCAAATGCTATTTGTTTTACATGCGTTTAACTGGGTAACATAATGTCCAAATAAAGTTGATTAAATCAAAGAAGTTGATACTTTCCTAGGAAAAATAAGTCGAAGGGTAGCTTTTGGTTTGGCCCTTGAATAGCATCAAAGTTGCTAGTTCCTCTCTTCCACTCTGCTATCGCAGGGCATCAGGAAGTTTTCCCTCTTGGTCACAAGGTGGAGGCAAATGCTTAAAGCTTCACAACAATGACCAAAACCAGGAGTCTCTGTAGCAAAGGGGCCCTCTTCATATTTCTTTTTTCAAGAGCCCTTTTTTGTTGTTGTTTGTTAGAACTGGGCCACATGGCTAGCTGAATGCAAGTCTGGGGAAAAGATTGTTTGGGTATTTAGACTCTACTGTGGAAGACAAAGCTCTGCCAATAGAGAAGATTGTTGCAGTGATTAGCCATTGAGGACATAACTAAGCAAAACTACCATCATTACCATAGGCTCACTAAAGTCTTCCATGACCAAATGTATTTGAGAAACACTGGGTTAAACAAATTCAACAGGTTTCTTTACTGTGTGCTCTCAAATCTCACTAAAGACTTTGCGTTATCAGTCTCCAACAACAACAAAAAAATATGTTCCTTTTTCCATGTTAACTTTATTATAGCACCAAAATATTTTTATCTCATCAAATAAGATTAGAGGTCCTCACAAGCAGACTTTCAAAAATGCTGAAATAAGCTCATACTTCACTGGAAAAAAATCATAAAAAATGTAAAATTTCAAAGTAAATTTCATTTGCTTCCAAGGGACAGAGATCCACTCAATGTAAAATGAGAATAGGGAATAATTAAGGGGTATTAAGATATTTGCAAAACACAATTGAAAGATTTGAGGACTAGGAAAAAATGAGAATGAGGCAGCTACTCTTTTCTAATTCTCAAGCTCAGATTCTCCTTCTGGTTCTTTTGAGAGACATAAATTACACATAGATTAATTTATAGGCTGCCAATTAATCATATAGATGAATTATATAGATTATATATAATCTATAGGCTTCTTTTTAGTTATCCAAAATATGGACAGTTATGTTTCTTTCCCCTCTGTGACTTAGAGGGGAAAATATCTTTCCAAAGTCTTCCTAAGATTGGGTTTAACAGATCCATTTCCTATTTTGTAGTGTTAAAGCTGTTCTTATCAGATTCTAGATGACAAGCCTACTTCAATGCCTATCTGTCTGTTTTGTCTTTCTACCATTCTCCCTGTATCTCAGTCTGCCTTTTTGGTGTGTCATGAACAGAGAGCAATCACTCTCCACTTGAGGTCATTGAACATAGTTTTCTTTTTCTACTAAAACTTTGACTTTTATTTTTTTCGGCTGATGATTGTTAAAAAGAGTCAGATTCATCTGAGAAAAGATATATGTCTGGCCAGCAACTTGTGGTGGGATAATTTAGAGTATCAGGACAAGTTTTCTAGAGGCTCCTTTGTAAGGACACATTACCTGTTGACAGTCGAGGTGGATGCAGAGGAGCCTATGCTCTGAAAAAATTAGGAAAAAGTAATAGGAAGATATTTTTCTGGTTGTAAAATAGGATAGGTGCCCATTTGACAGATTTCTAAGGTGCAGTAAAATACAAAATTAGCTATTCCTAGTCAGATGGAGAAAGCACATAGTCATTTTTCTATGTTTCTAACCACTGAGTTTCAAACTCAGAGAGTGTGTAGAAACAAAGAAAATTTCTTGGGGAGTTTCACCATACAAAAAGATCATAGGGTGGGGAAAAAGTCAGTTAACTGAATGTGATTCCTGCAAATAAGATTATTTAAAAGATAAAGAAGAATAGAAAACTTCTAAGAAGAGTATGGAAAACTAACATTGTATAAATTTAGAAAACTGAATGATTAATTTGTTAAAAATGTGAACTAAAGCATAAGAAGAATATAGTGGATATATAACTTTAGTTTCCCCACATTGTACTTTTTTTTTTTTTTCAGTTAGTTCCTTCATTCAACACTATACCCAACTAGATATAGACATGCTCTTCAGAAACTTACAGTCTAGAGAACTGAGAGTCTTAAGGATCTAAAGATATAGGTTAAATGCTGCTTTAAGACCCCATGCTGAGTGCTTCACAAAGACTGCAACAGAAGCTGTCATACTTTACCCCATAAGTGGAATGAAGAGATCAGACATAACATTATCAAAGCTAAATCTTCTGACATTGGAATATGCCTTTAAACATTCACAGCTCAAAGCCACGAAGGCCAACTACTTCAGAAACCTTAGGAAAACCCTAGTATATGAAGTTACATTTTTTTCTCTACCATCATTCTCTGGTTTCTTATTCTGCTTTCAACCTCCTTTCTGTTTCTGAGACATGCCAAGTATATTCTCATCGCTGAATTTTTTTTGTCTTTTTTTTCAATAGGATTTTATTCTTAAACTTAAGCATTGTAATAGTTACTGAAATATGGCTTGAAACCTATTTCTGTGTCCTTCAAGCCCACCCACTCCACACCCCCAAGACACACACAATGGCCCTAATCTCAATCATCATCTTCTTTTTATTCTACTCCTAGCATTTCCCCTTCTTATATACAATATTTTGGAGCTAGACCCTATATCTTTGAATCTCTTGTCATATGTTTCAGCATGGCACTTTCTTCCAAAGGAGAAAACATATTACATTAATCCTAGCATTTTCCCTCCAATATTTTGGAACAAAACCTATATCTTTGAATCACTTGTCATATGTTTCAGCATGGCTCTTTCATCCAAAGAAGAAAACACATTACGTAAGAAAAATGAAATACCATTGAGCATAGTTTTTGGAATGTATTGGCTATGGTCTGAATGAAAGCATTCAGACAATAAATATATTTGCCCTTCACACATAAAGGCTTTGTGCCCCAAAATTTATGTATTGAAACCTAGTAATCAATGTGATAGCACTGGCAGGGTATGGCCTTTGGGTAGTGATTGGTTCATTAGGACAGAGCCCTTATGAACAGAATATACCCTTATAAAGGAAAGGAAATTAGGGTTTTCTGTTGAAGAACTATTAGAGTGACTATAAAGAGTGATTTGTTCTTTTGCTCAAGAGCAGTAAACAAAATTCAATTTTTATATTATTTTTGGTGACTAATGCAAGCAGATAGAATTGGAAAACACACACTGAGATGCTTTCTGTCCACACTGGACTGAAAAGCCTGTATAACCATCAATAATACTCAAGAAGTATTAAACAGGTGTGCAATCATACACCTCATTTTGCATATGCCCTTGAAATCCGGTGGTAAGAACTGGAACGTAATTGTTGTCTAGTTAAGTATACGTACACATCTGCACATGATTACTTCTAACAAAACTAGAGGGAGAAGTGGGAGAGTGAGACTGATGACAATAGAGAAAATGTTATATGAGGACACAATGAGAAAGCAGCTGTCTGCAATCCGAAGAGAAAGGCCTCACAAGAAACCAACCCTGCTGGCACATTAATCTTGGACTTCCAACCTCTAGAATGGTGAAAGCATTAATTTCCGTTGTTTAAGCCACCCAGTCTGAGGTATTGTGTTCTAGCAGTCCAACCGGACTAATATGAGTCCTGAGAGCAAAATGATCCTAATCGGCAGACATTCAGTGTGGAGACAGACTTAGGAATAGGCTCAGAGGATGAGCTAACAGTGGATCAAGCTTCAGTATGAGGCTCTGACTGGGAAGGCTTGCACATTCTTAGTTGTCCAATTACTAGCACTAACAGTCTAAATAAAGTGATTCTGCTGAAAAAAACTATCACTCAGGTCTGGATACTATCGTAAAAATAATCTTATTACTAGTGGCCCAAGCCATTGATATAAAATATCATCTTAAAAAAGATGAATACACGAAGAAGGTAACTTTTCTATATATGTCAGAAAGAATGGTGAGCCTTGGACTTGGGTGATTAATACCTCCAGTCATTATCATCAGTACAGTAACATCTCATTACACAGGAGTTTTGGAGAAAGTACTCTGCAAAGAGCCAGGCATTCATGTTGATGTGACAACACATATGTGCATAGACTGGTGAAGCCTATGATGCAAATTGGAAATATGCAACAAATAATTTTTATTTGGCATAATATTCTGAAGGTAACTAGTAAAATTATATTCTTTACTGATATCATTAATAATTATATTTTAATGGACATATTTTAGTAATTCTTCAAGAAGTATCCAATGAAAGTCAAATTTTTGAAGACAGATGATGTGGGGCTAGAGATGGAGAAACTATTACGTAAATTAGTTAGCTCTTCATTTTAATTCCCAGAGCATTTTACACTTAAAACATGCATAACTAATCAATGTACCCTCAAGGTAACATTTCCAACTTGGTATGAAGAAAAAATACTAGGAAAAGAAAGCCCCATTTTTGTTAACAAAGCTATTTGCTGAATTAAATGAGTAATACTTAGAAAACATATCTATAAATGTCAGAAATTTGATTTTTAAATACTATAAAGCTGCATTTAGCCTAAATTTGCTGTCATAAATCATGTCATATCAAATACATCAGTTTTTTAGATAAAAGAATCTATATACTTCTATATTATTGACTCTATATATGTACTACCTTAATTATTTGGCATTTAAGACTTCAAATAATTTCTTTAATTAAATTATTGACATTAGTTAAGATTCTTAGACATCTTGTAATGAGTTTTTGAAGACAAGTGTAATGAAGACCAAAAGTATTAACTACGTTTTCCAAGACTACAAAGGTATTTGAGCCATAACATACTGATGATCCTGAAAGGCCAGTGAGGCTCTTGAGATTTCTGGAAATGTATCTTTTACTCTATCAAGATCCTAAATCTATATTGAGATTTTGACATTACTATACTTTATGGGAAAAATTGCAAAGCTTTTTATACTTATAGTCACCTTCTCTAGGGTCCATTTTGAGAGGACTTTATATGAATACTGAATCCTTAAAGTCAAGAACTGTCTATTCTACTTCTTCATACTCTCAGAACATAGTATATAGTCTATTATACCAAGTGTGCTCAATAAATATTAGGTTAGTGCAAACTTAGTTGTGATTTTTGCCATGTAATTGCGGCCTTTGCCATTAAAAGTAATGGCAAAAATGACAATTAATTTTGTATCAACCTAATATTAGGAAAAGAATAAATGAGCATCATGAAGTTCCTTGCCAGTCACTTTTTCCCAGAAAAGAAGAACCATCTTCCCATGGAATTCCTCCCCTAGTGAGAATGGAAGCACAGTTAGACTAGGGATTAGTATACACTGCCAAGAAGTACAGCACTTCATAATTACAGATAAGCCAAATGATAATAATATGTAAAATGGTAAAATTCAAATCATTAATATCTTCTATGCACTTTCTTCTTATAAACATTGTTGGAAAATTAGGGAGGAATGCATGGGTGTTCAGAGGATTTAAAAAGTTTCACCTTGCTATGAGAATTAATTATAATTTATATATCAATCTGAATTGATAATATATAAGGTACAGCTGACCTTTCCCTTTCTCTAAATGCTTGTGTTTTCTTTCAAATGCAGATTTTTGCAAATACAATTAAAGAGATTGCTTAAATCTTCAACTTCATATTAATCAAAATAAGAAATTATGTACCTAAGATGGTTAGAAAGAGAAGACAAACTTCCAGTTAGTTTATTATTACATTTTGCCCTTTGAAATATTAACAGCCAATTGCTTAGCTTATTTAGAGGAATGATCACATTTCAAATAGATTATATTGAATATGAATATTTACATTATATTATCTGAAACATCTAATTTTTAACAAATGTACAGATTCTCAGATTCTGAGTCCTTGAAAGTGAGATTTAAAAGTCTGTAATTTAATTAACTACCCAGGATTCAGACCTGCTGCTGCTGGGGCAGCTCAGGCACCCTTTATTCCTGTTCCCCTCCTTCAACACCTTTTAGTACCACTATTTTGAAGCAGAAAACATAAACCTTGAAAATGAGCCAAGGAAACAGTTAGTATACTGTGCTGGAAATGCTAATGGGATAAGGAAAGGGATTATAAATACATTTAAACTGAGACAAGCAGTATCTTGGCCTCTCCTCTGAGGATATTGTCTTCTTTCGAATTTATTCCTCTCCTCTTTGTATTGATTCTTTTTAATTTTGTCCATCATGCAACTGGTACAAGAATACAAGTCTCAGGCTAGCTACCATTTTGAAAAAATGATCTTTGAATTTTGTAGGACAAAGTGGGGCCTCTAAGAAAGGACGTCTCAGACTGCAAAATATTTTCTTTTCTAGAAATTATGGAGAAATATTTTCTTTTCTGTCTGGGTTCATCTGAATGTAATTCTTCCCCACTCATTTATTCACTTACTCAGTTAGCAAGTATTTATCCAGTTGCAACCACATGCCAGGCAGTGTAATAAACACTATTGAACAGGCTCTAACAGTGTTCACAGAACCTACGCTCATAGAGCTTATGTCCCATGGCAAGAGTAGACAATAAACAAATAAGTAGACCTACCATAATTGAAGATTCCTGTGAGGAAAGAATATCATCAGGTAAATTGGGATTTAGGGCTTCTGCTGGAGTAAGGGATCAGGGGTAATGTTTTGGGCAGGTGGTCAGAGAAGATCTCTGATAGAAGATTTAAAAAAGAAAAAGAACAAGTCACAATGCTATCTGGGGAAACAGCAGTCCAGGTAGAAGCCACAGTATTTAAAATCTGAATTTGGAGAGTGTTTGCTCAGCTAAGCATGAGCTAGGCCAGTGCAGCTATGCTGGAGAGAAAAAGGGACATATGACAGGAAAACATGTCAAAGTTAAAATAAGGAACATTCCGTATACAGCTTTGTAAGCACGGAATTTCACTTTTGTTCTTAGTGACTTGAGAAGCCTCTAGAGTGACTGTCGGAACAGAGACCTCACTTGCTAAAACTAAGTTAAAAACCCTTGGTTAGCCTTTAGCATATGTAGTAAGAATCACTGATGTCTCCAGCCTGGCTTACGTTTAATGTGCTCCCTCAAATGGTTTAATCTGTTAGCTGAATATTAGTTACAGCTGGTAATTAATTAATATCATTTCCTGGTCTAAGATGTCTTCTTTGATAAGGAAATGCAAGTTATCTTACACTCAATAAAAACAAAGCAATGTGAGTCTCATAGCTCAGCCATCATATCAATTAGTGTTTCATCAGGAATAATCAAATTCAGATGTTTGAAGAGGCTAATTAAGATAACATTTACAGAAATGTGAGAGCATTATAATGAATCCAACTAACTAAAATGTTGATGCACCTAGAGAATAGCAACAACAGTCAGCCATTACGTCTCCCAGGGCTGAAGGTATCAAGTAGCCCAGTAAAGGGTGAGGCCATGAAGGAAGAGCTACCTACTTGAGCTATAGTTGTGCTGGAAAACAGCCACTGCCAGGTGACTTAGTTGTGAGAGAACAGAGCAAAGACCAGACCTATGTCTTCTTCCACCCTCTGCTCTTTAGTGGATTTTATGGGGCTCTAACTAGATCATCTCTTAAAAACCTAGGCACGCAGTCCCCTGCTGCTAGGAATATTTAACTGCTGGTGCAGAATCAATGATTGGATGAAGTGGGGCTACATAGGTCTGTCCCTTGCCTCAAATTGGACCAATTCAAACTGGAACAATTCTGAAGGATCATCAGAGCTCCAGAGTTCCCCTTAGGATGGCTGAGTCCTCAGATGTAATCATACTGCAGGTCAGCTTCTCCTTTGGTAATACTGCCTACTTTACTTCCTTCCAAGTGTATCTTTTGAGAGAATTATGCATGAATTCCCAAACAACTCTCCATCTCAAAGCCTATTTTCAAGGAATTCAAGCTAAGACACATTAGCTGAACCAACCTGAAATCAGCCAGTAGGAGAGCCTAGGCAGTGAACTTGATAGCAGCCAATCGGCCTGGGCTCAGGGCAGAGGATAAAAAGGCCATGAATGGAAATCGGAAGTGAGCTTGGGGTGCCGACATTACGGGAACTCTGGGGTGTTGATTTTTCTGGCTGGAAACCTACGTGGCCACAGCGCCTTTGTCCGAATTCTGGCCCTGCATCCAGGAACAATGAGGTATGCAGACAAGGGAAGGGTGAAGAAGAGTTTTAGTTAGTGTTAGAACAGCTCAGAGGAGTGGGTAGGTCCTCTCTGTAGGCAGATCACTCCTTTCGAGTGTTCAGCTGAGATCTCAGCAGGGCCTCCCTGGAGAGGGTGGCTCCTCTCCACAGACAAGCCATTCGGACATCTCTGCAGGTCTCTGAAGATCTCAGGAGAGAGAGTAGCTCCTCTCTGCCGGCCAGTGGTCTTCGCACCTCTCAGTGGAGAGGGTACACCTCTCTGCAACTCGTCGTCCTGTCCCATCGTCTCTCTGCCCTCTTCCTCCTCTGGGCGTCCTCTGCCCTGCTCTGGCTGAGCCCAGGAATTTTATGGACCTCAGAGGGGAGGAAGTGTGTGCCAATTGGTCCATGGGCAGCCATGGGCGGCTGATAGAGGCACAAGTCCCCACTCCGTTTGGCAGGACTGGTAGCCCAGCCCCCAGCCTTCAGGCCCTCCCTGGCCTGAGGATGAGGCCCTACTGGGGACCTCGCCCCTTCTGCCCAGGAGTCTGCTTCCCGCTGCCATTCAAAGCTCTGGGGCTTGGCTCCAACCCCACTCTGAGATCAGAGCGGCCTCCGGAGCAGAGAGAGGCCAGTGGAACAAGACACCCCTGAGCCTGCAGCGACAGGGGAGTCCTTCCTGGGGCACCCGAGGTGCAGGCTGAAGAGATGCCCAGGTCCTGCGCCTGGGAGGGCAGCCACAGCTGCACCCAGGAGGAACTTCCACCACACCAACTCAGAAGATGCAGGGCTCCCGCTTGTCCCTGGCTCCTGCCTGCTTCATGGAGCGGGAGGCCCAGGTCTGCAACCCCCCGAATTCCGCGGCTGCAACTGCACCCGGGAAGGCAGATCCTGCCTGCTCCCCCAAGAGCATAGAAAGGCTGAGACCCACAGCCGCAGTTTGGGCAGTAGGCCTGCCCTCCTGGGAGTGTGCAGCCCTAGTTGTGCCTCCCTGCTGCAGCCAGCATGATGGCAGCAGCCACTGCCATCACAATTATGATATGATAAAACAAATCAACAAGATTTGGAAGTCATTTATATTTTAGAAGTCATGACTTTCTTTACTGCAGCTAATGTTTAGTAGCAAATTTAAATACAGATAGCCCTCAAATTTCAGTAATACATAGGGTGCCATTCTAGCACACACATACCCAACATACCTGCATTTTTACTGCCCTTTAATCATTCTATCCAATTTCAGCCCCTGCCTAAATGTGAAAACAATAATTTTGCCATGGCACACGCAGAAAAAAAATGTGATATATTCGAAGCTTCTCTTTAGAATTCTCTGATTCTTCCAAGGACTTCTAGTTATACAAGTATAAACACAGATATAAATAATGTGTTCTAAATATATAGATATAAATTAGATATAAATAATATGCTCTAAATGAGTTGTGGCAATGCTAAAACACCTGTTCAGTATTCACTTAATTATGCACATAAGATGTATAAAGATGAGGAGGACATGATGGAAGTATAGAATGGCCTTTTAAAAACCCAGTTATATAATGCTGAGAAATGTTCTCCAATTTAACAACTGTATTTTCTATGACTTAGATGCATAGCAGAGGAGACTGTTCAAGATGAAGTATAATAAATGAGGTAGATGAAGCAATATTTAGTATAGCATCACACAATGAGCTTATGACTTATGGGACTCTTTCATGAACCTCATTAACCTCACAAATGTTCAAAAATAAGGAAAGATTTGTACACAGAGCAGAAAAATAACAGACGCAGTAAACAATCTTTTGAATCAATCTTCTGTACTTCCACACTCTATTATACAGAAAATAGAAGACTGCCTCTAATAAAAAGTGAGCTGGGTTTATAGACATGTTTTGTTTTGTCTTTAATATGAGATAAAATGTTTATGCTGATAGGAATGCTCCAGTAAAAAGAAAAGGATTTTTGATCAGTGAGAAGAATCTCTAGAGTCATATTCCTTGGGGAAAAATTGGTGGGAATAAATATATTAGATGACAGCACAGGGAAGTCATCTATAAAAGAAAAGGTAAAGTATTTAAATAAAATAGAGATGCTAGAAGATGAGTAGGTGTATTATAGGAGCTTACAGAAGGGTTTTTTTTGTTGTCTGTTTTTAGATCATTTATATTTTTGAAGAAAAAAGCAAAATGGTCTCATAAGATTTTTAATTGTTATATTTTGCTTTAGACAGCCTTTGTCAGGTTAAGGAAGTTCTCCTCTATATCTACTTTGCTAAAGGCCATGAGATTGTTATTACTTTTATGATGAATGAATGTTGAAGTTTTGCAATAACTATTTCTGCTTCTAGGGGATCACAATATTTTATGCTTTAATCAGTTGAGATATTGACTTATGTTTATTCATTTTTAATGTGAAAGCAAACATATTTCTGAAATAAATCCAGTTTGTTTAGGTTGTATTTTTCTATTTGCATATGGCTGTATTGGGTTTGTACTTTTTTTTTTTTAATGAGAATTGTTATGCCTATGGTTCTATGTAAAAATGGCTGGCAAATTTTCTTTCTCATACTATCGTTGTCAGATTTTGGTGTCAAATTTTTCAGCCTCATAAAATGGTCTGAGCTTTCTTTTTCTATTCTCTACAAAAGTTTCTATAATATTGGAAGTATTACCTTTTTGTTTGGTAGAATAATAGGCCATCATGACCTTCAGTTTTGTTTGTAGAAATACATTGATGACTTATTCAATTTCTATAAAATACAGACTACTAATTTAAATTTTTCCAATGTCAATTTTATAAAATTATCTATTTAATATATATTTTTAACTATATTGCTATTATTTATAGCACCTTTTCTATTGTGTTTAATATCTACCCCGTTGTTCATCACTCATTCTTTGTTATTACTGATATTTATATGTTTATACCTTTTTTTCTCTTCTTTGTTTTTCTTCATCAAATAGCCACTGTTTTATCAATTGTGTTATTCTTTTTGAAGAAACATTTTTTGTCTTTGTTGAATTTCTTAACAGTGTGGGCATTTTTATTTATTGTTCTCTTAAATGTGTAGTTTTCTACTGTCTACATTTTAAGCCCATTTTGCTCTTCATTTTGCAAACTTCTGAGATGATACTTTATTACTAAGTATACATTTAAATTTTTAAATATCTTCAAAATGTTGTTTTATCTTTTTCAAACAGTACTTCATATACATTACTTTTTATTCATTAAAATATTTTCTTAATACACTCATATTGCTTAATATGTAAACATATGTGGATATTTTAGTTGCAGCTTGCCATTAATTGAGTATAATTGAATTGTGTTTTTTAAAAACATACATTGATTTCACTTCTGAAAAGTTTTTGACATATGCATAGGGGTCTAGTATAAGATCAACATTTGTAAATGTATTGTGTATACTTGAAAAATAATATAGACTTACTAGGTACAATATTCTAATTTGCACATTAGGTCAAAATCATTCATTGCATTGTTCAAATCTTTTTTTCTTTCTGAGACAGGGTCTCTCTCTGTCACCCAGACTGGAGTGCAGGAACCATGACTCCCTGCAGCCTCGACCCACAGGCTCAAACAATCCTCCCACCTCAGACTGCCAATAGCTGTCAGGCACCTACAGGCAGGCGCCACCACTCCAGTCCAATTTTTTTTTTTTTTTTTTTTTTTTTTTTTGTATACATGGGGCTTTGCTAGTTGCTCAGGCTGGTCTGGAACTCCAGGGCTCCAGGGATGCTTCCACCTCCATCTCCCAAAGTGGTGGGATTGCAGGTGTGAGCCACTGTGCCCAGCCATTGTTTAAATTTTCTGCAGCTCAACTTGTTTTGTCTTCTTCCTGATTTTTTTTCAAAATAAATGCCTATATTTATGTAAAATCAATGATTTTATTTTTGTGATGAAATAAATTATATACACATCAAAGAGGCTTTACTGATATCTGAAGAAAGCTTTGCAAGATAGATCCTTACTGAGAGAACTCAAATTCATCTATCTTCCTACATATTTCTACCATGTTAGAAACTAGTTTATAGGACAGCCTCAGATTAAAAAGAGTAAATGTATTTGAATCCATTCAAATAGATTCAACCCACTTCGCTTCTGCCCCACCATAAAGTTTATTTACAACACAACAGATAATTTCTTTAAAATTCAAGATAATGTGTATATGTGAATTTTATATAATGAATAATATTTTACCATAAATATGACCATACAAGATTTTGGACACAATATTTTCTAAAAATCATTCACTGTTTCAGTTCTAATTTAATTAGGCATCCTGTGTGTTTACTTACTAAATCTAGATGGTCATCATTTGGTCAAAATTTTTCTTTTTCTTTTCTTTTTTCTTCTTCTTTCTTTTATTTACTTATTTTTTCTTTGAAACAGAGTCTCTCTCTGTTACCCAGGCTGGAATGCAGTGGCACGATCTCAGTTCACTGCAACCTCCATCTCCTAGGTTCAAGCTGTCCTCCCACCTCAGCCTCCCAAGAAGCTGGGAATACAGGCATGAGCCACCACTCCTGGCTAATTTTTGTATTTTTTGGTAAAGACCCGGTTTCACCATGTTGGCCAGGCTGGCCTTGAATCTCTGACCTCATGCAGTCAATCTACTTTGGCCTCCCAAAGTGCTGATATTACAGGCATGAGCCATCATGCCCGGTCAAAATTTTTCAATGGCTTCCCATTTCACACAGTGTTAGATATAGCAATATATGCTTTGATCTGGACTAACTCTCAGATTCCACTTCCTGTCCTAACACACCAATATTACTGCAAAATATCCAGTGATCTTCTTGCTATACTTGGACTACACCAACCCACTTTTGCCCCAGACCCTTGTCATTTCCACCCTCACTTTCTTCAGGTGCCTGTTCAAATGTGTCACCTTACAAGAAAGACCTTAACTAGCTAATATTCAATAGCATTAATCCCATATTCCATGTCCACACACACTTATCTGTCTTTGGACTACTTATCATCACCTGATATTATTAAATTTTTTGTTACTTTCTGCCCCTTTGTTTCTGCAAAACAGTCTTTGACCCTATGGAATTCAAACATAATTTTGAACAAGATTACAAAGAATTCAAATTACATTTGAACTCTGTAGGGTCAAAGACTATTTTTGGTCACTACTCTATACACAATGCCTAGAACTAGAACTGCACCAACATGTAGTTTAGGCTCAATGTATTTCTGCAATTGAAGTAAATGGGATAAAATTTGCTTATCTCAAAGTAGCACAACTGTTTATCATTTATAATATTGTCCTCCAGTGTATTATCATCCTAAGCACTGTGTATACAAATCAAAGTGATTTTATTAAGAGAGTTAAAATGATTTAAATGATCATTTCACTCCAAATTGTATGTAACTTTCAATTAGAAAGTTTAATCTTATTTAGATGAGAAGGACAGAGATACTTATTTATGCAACTTGATATCCTCTTAAGCTTTATTCAAAAAATATTTAAACAAATATACAAGATATTAAAATTAATGGTTATTCTGCTAGATATAGTGTTGAAAGCAATTAAGATATTCTTATGAATTGCTTTTAAATCTACCCATGAACAATTATTTTGACCCCTCAACTTTTATATACAGCTGTATATAGATTTTATGTTCTTAAAATCTGATTTTAAAAGTAGTATGAGGTTCTTTTTTTTTTGAGACGGAGTCTTTCTCTGTCGCCCAGGCTGGAAAACAATGGCATGATCTTGGCTCACTGCAACCTCTGCCTCCTGTGTTCAAGCATTTCTCCTGCCTCAGCCTCCCGAGTAGCTGGGATTACAGGTGTGTGCCACCATGCCCAGCTAATTTTTGTATTTTTAGTAGAGACAGGGTTTCACCACGTTCACCAGGCTAGTCTTTTTAAATATCAACATATTGCAGGATGATATAATAGTATAAACTCAGAGACACACATAATCCTATCCCTACAAATGATGAAAACCAGCCACACAAGTCCAGAAATACTTAATGATTATGTCCTTAGATACTACTCTGAGATCAGGGTTGGGGTTCAAAAAACCCAGCTCCTTTAAATATCACTTGTATGCTAAGGTATAGTTTTTAAAAATTAATATAGTGCTAGTGTGGTTGTGCCCAATGGCTTATAACCTCAGCTCCACTGTGCCAGCCCCTCTCACTATGTAAATAGATCATTGCAGTCACACATAGTAGTGAAGGCCTCTGTTTCCTCTGCTATGGTGTGAGTGTTGGTGTCCCACCAATTTCATATGTTGAAATGTAATCCCCAATGCGATTGTATTAAGAGGTGGGGCCTTTAGGAGTGCTCTCCCCTCTTCAGTGGAATTTGTGATCTATAAAAGAGGTGTAAGGAAGCTGTTTGCCCTTTCTATCCCTCCTGCTATGTGAGGACTTTGGAGAAAGAACCATCTAGGAGGAATTGGCACTCACCACACACTGAATCTTCAGGAACTTGGTGTTTTGATCTGGGTTTCCCTGCCTACAAAACTGTGAGATATAAGTTTCTATTGTTTATAAATAGTCCTTTCTATAACACCACTATTTATAATATTGATAGGGACAGGAGGCAGGGAAATTCTATGCAGAAGAGGGAAGGTCCCTGGCGAGGGACCCACCCTCGAGCTGAAAAGCTTGGAACTGTGGCTCAAAGTGAGAACTTACATCCCTCATGACTCAAATGTTGCCTTTTCTAAAACCAACATGGCCTGCCTGCCCCCAATCCTGTGTGTATAAAAATCCCAGGCTAAACTGGCAGAGAGAGAAGTAGCCAGACATCAGAGACTATGGTTGGATATTGGAGAGAAGTGGCTTAACTTCAGACGGACAGGTTGACAGTGTAACTTCAGAGAAGAATCCAGCCAGAGACAGCCAGATTTCAAGGGAAGGTTATCTTCTGGCTCTATCCGCTTTCCAGCTCCCCTTCCCACTGAGAGCCACTTCCATTAGTGATAAAATCCTCCACATTTACCATCCTCCAATTTGTTTGTGTGACCTCATTTCTCCTGGACACCGGACAAGAGCTTGGGTGCCATGAGTGCAGATGCAAACGGCTGTCACACTGACCCTTTACCCTAACTGGCGGAAGGCAGCTGCCTCACATGAAAAGGCAGAGGGCCCACTGAGTTGTCAACACTCAAGCTGCCCATGGATGGTTGAGCTAAAACAGCACTGTAACATTTCCTCTGGGGCTTCAAAGGTCACAGGCACCACACCCTAGATGCTGCCACAGGGCTGGTATGGAGTTCACTCCTGCCGGTGCCCAAAAGCACTTGCCTGGCTCCTTTACCTACTCGCTGGAGAGGCCAGCTGACTCCCGAGCTCCTGTACTCCAGTTCCCGCCCACAAAGGGGTCAGGGAAATACCCTGTTTCATTATCACTGTTCATTTATTTTTATTTTTATTTATTATAATACTGTTTATAATACCAGTGTTATCCAGAAGTATACAGAGTAGTAGTGCTTTTGTTGCCCCACAAATAAATCATTAAACCATTCCCTAGGAAAATGTTTTCCTAATTGCTTTACATTTGCACAACTGGTAAGAAATCCATTCCAGGTCCAGGTAAATTGCCGGTGTTTGGTCTATAAAGAGAAAATGCATTTCTCCAGTTGCCTAGTTATATCATTATGAAAATATAATCCAGAAGAGATGTAAACACAGATGTATATTTTAAAAAAACAGCTACTACTATTTGATGTCTTAATTCAAATATTGCTAACATTAACACTAACACTTGGCTTAAAATAGCATATAGGAATGAAGATTAAAGATAAGATCTAGTCTATTAGTGTAGAGACTAAAATAAGTTGAAAGTGTCTGGAGATCTTATGTAACAAAACTATTCTAATTATTAAAATACTGGGTATAAAGAAGAAAAAACAAAATTGTCTATCTGGCTCCTTTCAAATACAGTTGACCCCTGATACACAGGTTAGGGGCACCAACTCCCACCCCTACTGCTACACACAGTCAAAAAACATCTGCGTATAATTTTTGAATTTCCAAAAACTTAACTACTGATAGTTGACTGGAAGCCTTATCAATAACAAAAAATCAATCAACACATATTTTGTATGTTATGTGCATTATAGACTATATTCTTGCCAAAAAGTGAGTCAGAGAAAGGAAAATGTTATGAAGAAAATCATAAAGAAGAAAAAATAAGTGTACTGTTCATTAAGTGGAAGTGGATCATCATAAAGGTCTTCATATTATCCTCTTCACATTGAGTAGGCTGAAAAGAAGGAGGAAGAGGAAAGGTTGGTCTTGGTGTCCCAGGGGTGGCAGAGGCAGAGGGTAAAGGAGGTAAAAGAAGGGACAGGAGAAGCAGGTATGCTACGTGTAACTATGGAAATACAACCTAATTTCTGTCTGACTCTTTTTGTGCTTTTTCATTTCTCAAAAAATGTTTCTATACTGTATAATCCTTCTTCTACCATTTGATTTTGTTTCATTGCCCATAGAAGGGTCCATGTCATAAAAGAAGTCATAAACAGTCACGAATAAACAGAACGCTTCTGCCAGATTGTCTGTCAATTTGTTTTCTGGTACCACTTCTTCTACATCTTCTTCTTCATTGTCTGACACTAGTTCAGAAGCATTTATCTCTTTTCAACTAATAAATGTTCTTTGTGGGATTTTTCTTTTCCAGAATAAGGCACTGTTGTCTGCATTAAAAACCTGTTCAGGCAGATGTTCTTTCTCTTCCATGATTTTTTCAGTGGCGTCTGGGAACTTGCCTGCTGCTTCTTGGTTGGCTGAAGCTGCTTCTCCTGTTATCTTGACATTTTTAAGTCAAACCACTTTCTAAAATTATCAGATCATGCTTTGCTGGAATTAACTTCTTCAGCTTTGGATCCTTCACCTTCTTTTACCTTAAGTTGTCATATAATAATTTCACTTTTTCTCAAATCATATTAGAATCTATAGATATGCCTCTGTTATAACAATCCTGTACCCACATAAAACCTGCATTTTTAATAGGAGATACAAAGGTATTTTGCAAGAAGCACAAGATTCTCACACCTGCTGGCATAACTGCAGCCATGACTTTACAATTTTCCTTTTTTTTTTTTTTTTCTCACAATGGTCTTTACACCGTATTCATTTATCTTGAAATGTTGAGCAACCACAGCTGGAGATCTTGATCTATTGTACACATCAAACAATTCAACTTTTTCTTGTAATATCATGACTTTTCTGTTTCTTGGGAGCGCTTTCAGCATCACTTGTTCTTTGTATGCATCTCACGATGTTATTCAAGATTTACTCTATTTCACTAAACACAATGAAAAATACAGGGGAACCATGAGGGATTACTTTTAACTGCAATATGCAATTTACTAAAGAGAACTGCTCACATGGAGATAATTAGCATCACAATTTTGAGAGATACTCGCAACATTTGAGCTCACTGCAATAGCGACAGAAGACAGCTATGAAATTACAGCAGTAGTGCACTACATACTACAGTTAATTTTATGCTGTTATGATTTAATATAAATTCTTACACTTGTTTACATTTACTTCTACTGCGAATGACACCACGTGAGGTCTGTGTTTATGTGCATTCATTTTGATAAATTTTAACCTTTCATAATAGATTTGTGGATGTTTTATTATAATAAATAACAAAATAGACTAGTACTACATATATTTTACACATTCGGACATACATAAATTTTTCTTAATTTTTTTTGACATTTCTAGGCTACGCAGTTCACCTAGGAGGGCTTTCAAATTGTTGCAAATCCTCAAAAGTTTTTCCAGTATAGTTATAGAAAAAAAGTCTATGTATAAATGGACTCATGCAGTTTAAACCAATGTTGTTCAAGAGTCAATTGTATCACTAATATCCATTTTTAATAAAACTGTTACAGAAAACTTTAAGTTGTATAAGATTTTACAAAATCCCTACAACTACTGAACAGCAGCATGCTGTGGAATAACTATGGTTTATTATATCTCTGGTACTGTTTTTTGTGGTGGAAGAGATCTTTTAATTATTCTGATTTCAAGGTGAAACCAGTGGTTTAAATTCTTAAAACATTTCTGAAGACAAAAATAGCATAGGTTAGTTCAAATTACAAGCAATAGAACAACCTCAAGTTATATTTCATGATGGGAATTTATTTTAGAGAGTGTGTACTGGAAAATAAGGAAGCAAAGATTTTTTTTTTTTTTTTCAGAAATCACACATGGAAGCTTTACTAATACCTCAATTCAGGTATCAAACTGACATCCCTTTTCTGGTATTACCTCCATCTTAACAACCCTGCTGTATTCCCGCTCTGTCTTCCTCCTCCTGTTCCCAGTACTGATTCTATTGCCACACTTCCGTGGCTGTCTGTCTAGGTATTATATTTAAAACTCTCAACCAGAAAGGACGTGTCTGAACTGCATTGTCACCATCAAAGGGAGATTATCCCCACTGGGTAGGCGTGTGCTTGCTTGTTTGATTTTTGCCATTTATTATTACTCATAAGTCTAGTCTAAGATTGCCTTTGTCTAAGATGCTAACTCCTGAATCAGTCTCTGTGGAAAGGAATCACAGTCAAATGTCAAATCAAAAGACTGAATGTGAGTTATTTAAAGTCTCACAGTCTGTCTAGTACAGTAGCCATATTTAGTTATAAGTGTGAAAGACTTTTTTATATTATTTTAGATGTATTTTTCATTAGTAATATTTGTGAAGAATCTCTTCTAGAATCTGTTACATCTGTGGCCATATTTACAAAGCATTATCTATTTGAATGCATGCTAAGTGTACTCTTACTTTTATAAAGTATTTAAAGTACTTCTTTTTGAATGTATCTCTTTTTAAATCTTTTCATCTTATCAGCATTTGTAAAAAATTAAATCAAAAATGTAATAACAGTTTTGTGGAATGCTCACCAGAGCCATGGTTCATATTTATTTATAATAATACTGTAACTGTAATAAACTAAATTTTTATAATGGACAGAGAGATTATCACTTTGCCCTTATATAAAAGTAAAAATTAATTTATTAGAAATGTTATGGGCAGTTGCTATGGCTCACGCCTGTAATCCCAGCACTTTGGGAGGCTAAGGTGGGTGGATCACTTGAGGTCAGGAGTTTGAGGCCAGCCTGGCCAATGTGGCAAAACCCCATCTCTACTAAAAATACAAAAATTAACTGAGCATGGTGGCATATGCCTGTAAGCCCAGATACTCAGGGTAGCTGAGGCAGGAGAATTGCTTGAATCCAGTGGGCAGAGGTTGCAGTGAGCCAAGATTGCGCCACTGCACTCCAGTCTGGGTGACAGAGCGAGACTCTGTCTCAAAATAAATAAATAAATACATTTAATTAAGTTAAATTTAAAAAGAGAAAATTTATATTACTTGCCAACATAATTATTCCACAATACCAACTTTTTAATATTATTTTAATAATTGTAATCCTTGATACAATAAATTTCTCCTAATCATGAAAATGTTTTCCTTCATTAGAAATCTGTTTGATTAGTCTTCTTTTTGCTGATTCTCTGCTTTATATTTAGTTTCATAACTAACATAATTGTTTTATTCAATTATGTGTATATTTATTTATGCAAGTTTCTAGTCTAATTTGAACGTTATAATAATAATGATATTGAAATTTATTTCTCTGATAAATAGTTGAGTGCTAAATATATGGGAAACACAGTTCTAGTCATTGGGGAAATAACAATTATGAAAACTGAGTTCTTGCCCTCATGAATGTTTCGCTTACCGTTTGTTAAGTATTTGTGTTAAGCCAGGGCCTATGCTAGCACTTTTTATGCATTACCTCAACTGATCCTCACTGTTATTCCTACATCCTTCTTTCAAAGAAGAGGAATTGAAACTTCAAGAAGTTTTTTAACTTGATCAAGTTCACACAGCTAAAACCTGGCAAAGCTGAGCTAACACCACCTGACTTCCAAATTTCCACTTTTAATTCCTACATTCTTTTCATTAAGATGAGTTCTCCTACTCCAAACTCAATTTTCTTTCATTTTGCAAAATTTTTTTTATTTTTTAGTAACTGTTATTTATAAATGTTTTAGAAGTTTTACACACACACACACACACACTTTTTTTTTGAAAAAAACTGGTTTTGTGGAACTAAATATAATGAAAATTATAAAAGTCAGTTGTATTGCATTGGAAAAGAGAACTTGAAAATACTGCAGCCAATAATGATTTCATTAGCTATTTCATCCATTCTCAAAGGAAAAATGAATACAATATTAAAGTGATTGTGAAGATGGTCAAGATATTTGTAAAACATTCTATAAAAAGTGATATGATAGATATAATGCTACCCTATATTTTCTCAAACGTAGGGCCGTATAGTCACATATTAAATGCTTAGCAAAAAAAGCCTTTAATTATATGATATTATTTTCTCTTCTTTTTCCCCAAATTCTAGCCTTTATTTCAAAATACAACTTTCTGAGCACCTATGTTTTAATGACAGAGCAAAATGGGCAATGTGGAAAGATCTGTGCATTTCAACTCCAAACTTTTATAAACAAAACCCATCTGATTTATTAAAGGAGTTTAACAGCACTCAAAGAGATTCCAAAACAATTTACACTTACATATTACTTGCTATCTAGAACACTTTTCGGGCCCCAAAGAACGCAAAAGTGATCAGGCAAACACGTTTGCCCAAAGACAAAAGGCAAAGCAATACAATAACAAGGAGAGAAGGCGGGGCCCCCTTGCTGGTCCTCACCCTTAGAAGAGAGAGGAAACTGAGAAGATGGTGTGGAAGCTCAGTGAGCCTGAGGAAACCCGGTAACTAGGAGAGTCTCAGATCCCTCTTCCTAAATATAGCATGAATCATTTCCACACTACTGAGACCATTTCACAGAGCCAGGGACTCTTTCCAGGGTTGACACTAGGGAGAGTCCCAACCACAAATTCAGCACAGACTCTGTGCTCTAAAAGTCCTGAACAAACCTAAGGTGTTTTATCATTCTCTAATAAGGGTTTTGACCCCAGGAGCAGTCAAAGATCAGACAGGGATCTTTTGGAGCACTCAGTAGTGATTACAGTAGAGCCCCCAGTAAGTGGCACCCAACCTTCTGCTTGCCATTTGCAATCAAGGATAAATTGTGTGGCAGGAAAAAAACACTTAGGTCCACTAGGTATTTTATAGTCCAAGTCATCCTACCTCTCAAATTTGAGATCAACAAATATTTTTATTTTTCAAAACGTCAGACTTCTGCAAAAAATGGTAGCTCCAGAGCTTTTTACTATGAACGTGTAACAAGTCTAATTTGAAACTCATAAATGATCTATGACTTATTTGTCCAATGCTATATTACTTCCACTGAGGCAACAGTTGCTACTAGCTTTGTAAATCAAGGGTTGGAGAGTGTATATAAAATTCAAAAAGGAGCATTTCTGTTAAACATTTTCACGTATTATCTGGCTCCGCTAGTCTTGGTAGTTTTAAGTAGAAAGGAAAAGATATGTAAGGTATTCACAAATAATTTTTGTAAAAAATAAAAATACTGACAAACAAGAGTTTGCCTCAATAATTACATACTTTGTGTGACACAAATTTATTTTGTCCCATATAGTTTCTACATACTCAAAGTAAAAATCTGAAATTCAGCCTGCAGAACTATAATCTTCTTCTATTTTTAGAATTTAAATTCAATATTTGTCTTAGATTCCAACAAATCCAACTACTGAAAGTGAGATACTGCATTAGGCACTGTATCTAAAGAAATGACACTCTCTGAAGACAAGTAAGACAGGCATAAGAGCATCTTAAGTTTAGCATACAAAGTAATAATTTTAGAACTGATAAGAATAATTTGTTGTAGAAAAAGGAGCAACAAATTCAATAGGCCTCCTTCTAAACCGGACTCTGACACAAGAGATGTCATTTCAAGAAACTGTTTGCTTCTCTAAATATCTGCAGGTAATTCCTTTGATTGAAGAAAAAGGTTTTCCTCAATATGTAGGTTAGTCTACCTGGTAAGAGAATTATTAGACTTACTAGACATGATATAGGAAAACAATCTTTGATATATTGTGAGTTGAAAGTTCTTTGGACTTACCTGCTTTGGAAATCCTGAGGGAGTCTGTGACCATTTGTTACATGATAAAATATTTATCATGTGAAAATACTTGAATTTAATGAGCAATTATTGGGAGATCATGATATGGCAAAATCTGAGGCATGAAAATCACCTGGAAAAATTCATGTCACAATAAAGAGAGGAAAAGCATGAACTAGTCTCAATCTTTACATTTTGAAATGTCAGAGGATACAAGAACATTTCTCTTACTGTCCCAAATGAAAAAAGTAATGCTATAATTGGACACTGACACTGTCAGTCATCTTAAGTGTGTAGTGAGGCAGATGATTTCAGGGGTGGGAAATAGCAACCAGTTGTGTTGTCCATCAACCAGCTCCTTTTTTTTTTCCACCTGTTTGCCTGAGATGGGGGTTTCTAGTTCTGCCTGGATCTTTTAAATAATACAAAAAAAATGAGATCTCACCAACAGAAGGCTATGGAAACTCATGCTTTAAAATGTATTTGCAGGATAGAATTAACCAAGATATGCAAAGCCAACACTAAACTTCAGAAACCACCTTTTTTTTCTGTCATTCTTTATATATCCACAAGGAATAGGATAACACGACATTTTCATCACTAGCCAAAGAAAATTTGGACTAAGAATTGTTTTTATGAATTTCATCCCGGAGAAAATGGTTTTTTTTTTGATCATCTACATGATCAAAATTATCAGGCAAGGTTTTATATTATAGTCATTCCTTAGGGTTAAAACAGGACATATTCCATATTTCTAAAAGTATTACACATTTTTACTATTAAAATGGTATCATTAAACCTTAAATTATCCTCTACTCCAGAGGTCCCCAGCTTTTCTGGCACCAGGAACCAGTTTTGTGGATACAATTTATACATGGACTGGGAAGGGGTTGGGGATGGCTTAAGAATTAAACTATTCCACCTCAGATCATCAGGCATTAGTTATTAATAGATTCTCATAAGGCACGCACAACCTAGATCCCTTACATATGTAGTTCACGATGGTGTTTGCACTCCTATGAGACCCTAAAGCCTCCACTGATTTGACAGAAACCGGAGCTCAGGCAGTAATGCTTGCTGGCCCACCGCTCACATCCTGCTATGCAGCCCATTTCCTAACAGGCCATGCGTGGATCGGTACCAGTCTGTGGCCAGGAGCATTAGGGACCCCTGCCCTACTCCACTAAACTAGGGACTCCCCAAAGAAAATAATAGTCCTTTAAGTAACCCCTTTATCTAACAGTCCTCAACATCATCGCTGCCGTGTTTGGTAGGTTTCCCATATACTAGGAATCCCAAAGACCTTATAAAAAGTATATATCTTATAAATATAATAATGAAACTGGGCATTCTGTGCTCAAAACAATCAAAATTTTATTTTACAGAAGTAATAAAACAAAAATAAAAAATAATTTTAAAATAAACTTGTTTTGATCTGCTAGTGCTTATCTTCATATTTATTAGAAAATGATATAAACATAATTTTATGGTAATTCTAATTGATATTTTCATTTAATACAAGACTATTGTTGATTAATGATAATATCTTTATAACAGTTATGCTTATTTTAAAGCTTAGTATTTTTCTGTTATTTTGCTATTGGTGGATCATTGGCAACACTAAACCATATTGATAAAGATTAAGGTAACATTGTGCTTTTACTTTAAGAATATAAAGAAAAACAAAAGCAATGGTTAAAGGAATCCACAGGTATAATTATGGTGTGGTATGCCTGTTACTTTTCCAAATAATTTAGGGAAACTGAAGTTACTTAGAAAAAAAAAAATTAATATCTTAGATTCCACATTTCCTCAGGTCAGCTGTCCTCCAGTTTTTACTGCTACTGAAATCATGGTAGATATTAACCAAAGTAATGACATACAGGCCAGATATAAAGGCAGTCAAGATTTGGAGTTGGCTGATAATATGCCTTCTAACCAGGCGTCTAGAGGAAACGATTTTTTTCATATGTCACCCACAAAATAGTGTATATATCTCATTTTGAAAGTAACAAAGTATCTTTCTTTTAAAAATAAATTATACACGTTTTGTATTTTTTGTCTTTCATTTAAATGACAATGTTATTCCATGAGTTAAATTCAAGGACTATAAGAAAGAAACTCCATGAAAGGAGGGACATTTTTGACTTGTGCAGCAGAGTGTATTCAGTACCTAGTAACACACAACAGTCCACAATCCCCCATGAATATTTTTAATATAAGGGAATATTAGTGTACGAGTAATTTAAGATTTCTAAAGGCTTTGAAAAATATACATCAAATTCTTGTAAAAACATAGCTTATAACTTTTGCACTAAATATTCCTGAAAATATGATAAAATAATATTTCTAATATAGTAAATGATAAAATTATCCTTAATGGTATATACCCTATTATTACAAATGCATTTGTAAATGATTATATATTTTATCCAGTAGTTTGTTGTGACAGTATTCTGGATAAAATCTCAGCTCCAAAGGACAATGGTTAGTTAAATAACTTAGAAGTCTAAATACCTCAATTTGTATTTTGTCTTATTTTAGATAAATACATATGAATAAACATTTAAAACCTAATATAAAATAAAATAACTCTTCTGATGTATATAAAATCAGTGAATGAATCTGAGGCAGTTCAGAGGCAGTTCATTTCATTCTGCTACAAACTGAAGAAAAACAAACTGGCATAAGCAGTAATTAAATTTAAGGCAATGTTTTGCAATGCATGTTCAGTTTCTGAAGAATAAACAGCTGCTTGTAAAATGTGACAGTTTCTTCCTCTTCAGAGAGAAGCAGAAAATCTCTTGAAAAGCAGAAAATCACATGAGTGGAATAAAATTCAAACAAATTTTATGCATGAATAAATACAGTAAACTTTAATTTGTACAAACAGGAAAACTGTTATATCAGTGTCTGTAAAAATATGATAGATGTTAATATTGCTGTTAATTTATTCTTATAAATTTTCAGATATAGAACAAATCTAAATATTTTAGAAACTGTAAACCATATTTTATCCTATCTGAGACAAAATCCAACCTCAGGGCACGCAATATTCAACATAAAATATAAAACCATCCTGACGTAGCTCAATAGATAATGCTAATAAGTATTTAAACCTATTTTCGGATTAAATCTGCTGCCACAGTTTCAAAATAAAATACCATATCTGAAATCTTAGCACGTCTTTTATTTGAACTCAAACTACTTCAAACTGAGTCACTTTTCTCTGATTAAAGCCTTGGCAACCACCACTGAGAACTTGTTTTTGACATGTCAATTCACAGAACCCAAGAATTCTCTACTCTGTACAGTTCAGTCATAGTTTTAACAAATAATTTTCAGATTCCAATTCAAGGGAGGAATGCAGTCAAGGGAACATACTTAAAGATGATCACCTTTTTTCATACTCTTTAGCCAGTTGAGAAAAACTTATACATACAAAAATAAAGAATGACAAAGATAAAAAGTTTATCAAACTGGATTTGACTAGCCCATCTAGTCTTCTGCTGGCGATATACGGTAAGGATGCCATTGCCAAAATACACTAGCATGCATTGGCACAGTGAGTATGTTCAGTCTGCCGGGACCATGGTTTGGTAAAATGCGTAAATATCCCTTACTACCCAGCCCAAGGCTGAGATATTAGCTTGGGGGTCAGAGGCTGGACTTGCAGCTGGATGATTTATAGGGAAGGAAAGGTGATAAGTGGAACATAGTCACCCCCCACTCCCTTCCTACTGATATGAGTGAGCTGGCTGTGTGTATTGAGACAGAGAGACAGGAATGTGGAAACAGAGGAATGAGGTCCGTGATCTCCTGGTTTTTGGGCACTTATGCAATCGCTCATCCTTGGAGGATAGCTATGGAAGCAAGTGATCAGTGAGACCCTGAGGTACTTGAAGGATTATGGGACAGAGGTACTCAGATTGTCTTTGAGGCACTTGAGAAGGAATCAACATGTGCAGGAGCACATGGATGATGGAGTTGCTTAAAACAAAACCATCAAGTGTGTTCCTTCACAGAAAGAGAAATTGTGATCTCAAGGGGCTGGTGGTGGCAAAATCCAGGAGAGAACATGTTGTCTTGGCTATTTGAGGTAGTCGTTGAACAGGGGGTAGAGTGTTTTGCTGTCGGGGAAGGAATGACAAAGCTTGGGTAGATTGGCTCTAAACCTAGTGTTGGAGCACATGCTCAGGCTGATCCAACTAGCCACGGCTGCAGATTGCCAAGGTGACAAACCAGAATCTTTCCTTTTTTTGTCTGGCATTTAGCATTCTAACCTCTTACCCCACGCAGTATGATACGCCTAAGCTTCCTATACACTCCTGGCATAGGGAGGGTGAGGCTACCACTGCCTTGTGCAGGATGGCAATGGGCTTATGGTTGTATGGGCCCAGGAGTGGGGAACTGGATGATACTCAATTGCCTAGAAACAGTTTTGATTATTTTATAGGCAGTGGAGGAACTGATATCCACCTCAGCCTCTCCAGGAGAGCCATCTTCCCAGACAGAGACATTAAGATCTTCATACTCAGACTTCCCTAAACTGAAACAGGCATAGAAGTATGACCAAGGTCTCCACCTGTCCTCTAGAGACTGGAGGCCTCATGAACTTGTTAGAGTGAATATGGTGTGGGGGAATTTAACTTACATGACTCTGCTAGACACTGGGGCCCATGTCACTGTGGCCCCTGGTCCTGCAGAAGGGCATTGACACTGGGTGGCTTTAGATTTTCAGGGAGCTAAGGGGATGCTAGGTGGAAAGCTGGTTGCTTGCTTATGAGTGGGTCCATTTGGGCCATTAATTGACCCAGTGGTTGTGTTTCCTTTAGCTGAATGTATTAGAAAATTGATCTCCAAATACAATGTACAATCCCACAGTGCCTACTGAGTTACATCCCAAATAAAGTAAACATTTTAGCCATCCCACTAGGATAAGTCTATAGCTTAGAGCCACCATGTCTCCCCAAACCTCATAATATAATACAATAAAGCCAATATCACATTCCTGTGGAGGAGAAGGTCATCATACTCTTCATTATGTGCAAATAGCAGGCAAACTTCTCAGTTTTAACAGTTAGCTTTAACCACTTAAGAAAGACAGTGGGACCTGTCACTTGAAAGTTGACTCTTCAGGGCTAAACACTATGACAGACCTATTAGCACCAGCAATTTTAGATATCATCACAGTGACCAAATACAACATGGGGACCATCAGCAGATAGTACGAAGTCATTCTTCATGCATTCCTGATCCCTTTGAAAGATAAATACAAATTTGCATTTACATATCAAGATACATTTGCATTTGTACCTTGCCATGTAAATGGAAATGCATATACAATTGCATTTGCATGGCAGGGTAAATATAATATACATTTACAGTGCTGCAACAGGGGTATTTGAACTCACCTGATATGCCATCTATGAGGCAGATTGGACGTGACTACTGTGCCCTTGCCCAGAGGAGTCCTATGTATCCATTACACAGATTACATACTCACTGTGGCCCTCAATGAGCAGACCACACAAGAGGCCTCGGACTTAATAGTCACAGATATGCAACAAGCAGCCTAGGAAACTGACCCCAACAGAATCCAGGGACCAGCCCAACAGGTGACTTTTGTAAAGTTCACCTGGGCCAGAATCCAAACTGGATGCCAGAGCCTGGCTGTCAAAAATTGTTAGCATTAACCTGACCAAATACAATAAAAGAAGAACCAATATCTGATTGGACTTTTTAGATATTGGTGACAACATGTAACCCACCTGGGAATTCTGATGGTCCCTCCCCGCCGGATAACCAGAAAAGCAGCTATTTTCCATTAGGGGCCCAGGGAGGCTAAGGCATTCCAGCCTTTACAGGAATCTATTACTCAGGCCTTGCCCCTGACCCATTAGAGCCTGCCTACCCTTTTGAATTACAAGCCTAAGTGTTGGGAGATCAAGCTGACTTAAGCCTTTGGCAAAAATAAAAAGAACACTAGGATTCAATAAGCCCTGAGTTTCTGAACTTGTAGGTCCCCAAAATAGCCACGCACTACATCCCATTTGAAAAACAGGTTTTAGACTGTTTTTGGGCCCTGGTGGAAACTGAAAGGCTGACCCAACATGCTGTGGCTGTACCCTGACTGGAAGTTCCAATTTTGTCCTGGGTTAACAGCAGCCTAGACATTGGAGAACATCAGGCGAGCAAAGCTGCGTCATCAAACAGAAATGGTACATCCAAGACTAGGCCCAGATTAAGCAAGTTGCATGAGAAGGTGACCAGATATCCTGCAGGTGGAATGGTGTCTAATCCATTCAAGAAACTGTCAACTCCAGTGGCAAGTAAGAATCACAATTACAGGATGCAAGACTTGATACCTTCCACTGGATTATAAATGGCTTTACAAAGCTGAAGCCTTGAGGAGGGAAATGGATTTTAGCTACTGTCAGCATGAAAACGGGAGGCATCATCACAGAATGTAGATGGTTGCATTGCCTAATGTGCTGAGTTATATGCAGTTTGGCTAGTGGTGTCCCACACCCTTGACACTGAACCATGCTACATCTTTACTGACTCTAAGGAAGTAGCTAATGGCCTGGCCACATAGTTAGGATCTTGGCCAGGATAATTGAACAATCAGAGACACCCCAGTGTAGGGTGCTATAATTTGGCAGAAACTGACAATATACTCCAACCTATTTGTCACTCATTTGGATGGACACAAGAAAGGTCCATACACCAACAAACATCCGTAGAATTAGCAATCAATCAAAACTGCACTGAGGGGCTGGGCGTGGGTGCTTACGCCAGTAATCCTAGCACTTCGGGAGGCTGAGGCGGGCAGATTACTTGAAGTCAGGAATTTAAGACCAGCCTGGCCAACATGGCAAAAACCCATCTCTACTAAAAATACAAAAATTAGCCAGGCTTGGGGTGCATGCCTGTAATACAGCTACTCGGGAGGCTGAGGCACAAGAATCGCTTGAACCCAGGAGGCAGAGATTGCAGTGAGCCAAGATCAGATCACTGCACTCCAGCCTGGGTGACAGAGCAAAACTCTATTTCTAAAAAATAAAAATAATAATAATAATTGCACTGAAGAATTGGAGACAGTAGACATCAGGGAAGTGGCAGACGTTGCACATATTGTCCCAGTTACATTTTGGGTCCATCAGCAAACAGACCAGGACAACACTGCCACTATTATTTAGTGGGCCTGGAAATAAAGAATCACTTTTCCACATTTGGAAGCCACCACTGCCATCAAGAACTGTAAGTCTTTTCAACTTCAGGCCTGTGCACAAAACTGACAATCGGGGTACATTCCTTGAGGACAGCCCCTACACGAGTGTGGCACTTGGAATCTATACGTAACCTTCCCCAAGCTCTCAAGGATATAAATATGCCCTTACTACTGTGAACACATGCACTAGATATGAACTGACCTTTCCACATTTCCAGGATGGTGCCCTTGCTCAGCAAACACCATGACCTCCCTAGAAAAGAGGCTGTGCCATGTCTTCAGATAGCCTGATGACATTCAAATAGATAGAGGCCCTGCATTTTTTGCTGAGGCCATGCAGTTGTATGTTTGAGTATATGCAGAGTATATGGTATCTGTCGGACCCTTTTCAATAGACCACTGAAAAAAGCCTTAAATAGGAACACACAGAAAGAACTTTGCAAGGATGGACTATGCAGCTATTAAGGACCCTCTGGATTTTAAATACCTCAGTTCAATGCAAAGGGAGCACAGCCCTGGGTTGCTTGATAGAGCAGTCTGCAGACAGGAGGATAGAAGTACCGAGGCTGTGGACATGGGTGGTAGATATCCAGGTGCAAAAGGGGTTAAGGAATGATGATCAGAAGTATATATGGAGCCCATGTGGGTATGAGATGTAGGCTATGCTGATAGTCCTAAGAGAAACTCTTACGAAACCTCTTTCCCACTACAGCTGTTCGCATTCCTCCCAATATCGTGACAGGTGTAGCCACCTGGCAGACAGACACATTGGAAGACTGTAACCTTGAAGTGCTGACCCCACAGGGCACTGTTATTTAGAGAATGGATGTGCCCACTGGCCCCATGGGCTCAGTCTCTGACCTAATGGGATGACAGGTGGCCCTAGTGGGGCTCCCAGTTCCCACAGGGTATGTCCTAGGTGATCTAAAAGTAGTGGATCTAAAAGTAGTGCATCCACCCACGGTACCCTCTGATTATGCTGGGAGAAGAGTGTGGGTCAGGGTAGACTTGGGAGAAGTGGTGGTAGAAGGACAGGGACAGACAGACCTGATCACCATTCATTGCAACCCCCATCTGAGATAGGAACATCTGAGACCAGGGGGAGGGAAGAATGATTGGCAGGTGGTAATCCCCTGCCAGTCTGTTCTTTCTACACAAATGAGGCAGCAGAGGCCTAAAGGCGTAACACTTTTCTTAGAAGTTCCCAAGCTGTGGCCACAAGAAACCTCATTCTGTCACTGACTAAAAAGTGAACCCCTAGTCTTGCCAGCAGTCAAGTATGCCAGCATTCTCAAGGCCACAGTATATACTAATAGGACCCAAGCTATAGCTTTCTGTGTGAAGATCTGGAACCAGCCATATGGAATGGAACCAGAAGAGCCTGTTTTAACTTGACTGATTTAAGATGGCAAATGTCACAACCACCACTAACAAAGTCATAGTGGGCTACGTGCTGCACCATACTCCTTTGATTTACTTGAACAAGAAGCGTCCCACTGATGACAACAGAAACAAGAGCTGAACTATTGTTAGCCCCCTGAACAACATTCCAGGAGGGAAATTGAGTTAATACCATTATGCAGTTAACGAGGGCTGGATGGTGAACACTTATGCCTACATACCTATGAGTGGGGCGCTGAATAAGAAAATGAAGAAAGGTGTGTTATGCATCTGTTTCTTTGTGGGCAGTCCAGGGTGACCCAAATATGGAATGGCAATGCCATGCCTGTATTGCTGAAAGATTGTGGGATCCTGCATGCTGGGCATCATAGGGGTGCCAGTGCCCTTGGATAGCGACCCTAACAATAAGATCCACCATTGGGCTAACAGCCTAGTGTATATACCGGGCACCCTAGAAACCTGCCAAAAGAAGTAACTGACTCTGGATTTATGTCCTTTAAAAGAGCTTTAACACTGTATCTGGGAGCCAGTGCTCAAGAAAAAAATGAAGAGAAATCTGTCTCTGACCATGACAAGTATTGCATCCTCTATGGCCACTGCTTTCGTAGCTCAGCAGACATCTCTCAACTCACTTGGAAAAGTTATTTTAGAAAACAAAACTGTTCTAGACTTCCTTTTAGCCCAATTGTGGGGCGTATGTGCCATTGTCAACAGCTGTTATACCTGGATAATTAACTCAGGCATTGTAGAGACACAGGTGGAAAAGACGCAGAAAGGCAGGTTTACTGGCTGCATAGTGTGGGACCACCTGAATGATTGTTCTTCACTTCTTATCAACTTCCTAGCTGGATTGCCATGGCCTAGGCTAGGTGACTGCTGCGGTCAAGTATGACCATCTTACTTGTCATAGTAGTCCTCATGGATCTGGTAAATTGCATTCTGGCTATGACTCAATGATATGGCAACGAGATGGTATTCATCAAGCTGCTGTGTCAATCTGATGAGACAAAATTTCACCTTCATATCTCGGAAGGCCAGTGGACATAGGAAATGAACTAGCTTTGCCAAGGAGGATATCTAGGTCAGGGGAATAGACTGTTCTCCAGGTGGTCTTGAACCAACTCACTTCTGCTCCCCTTTCTCACTTGCAGTTCTCAAGAATAATTACAGAATGTGCTGAGAATGCAATAACTGATACAGAGATAGATTGCCTGAAACAGCCTGGATCTTATTCCTGTGCCTTCTAACAAAGTAATGTCTTGAGTTAGGGAGGAACTGCCCAGAACAGCCTGGGTTTTGCTTCTTCTCCCCCTGGAATCAGGATGTCTTTCAGAACTTTTCCCAGTGAGTCATGTTTCCACTGAGGGTTATAAACCTTAGTGGTATGGGTTGACTTTCAAAGTCCCTCAGCTGTAATGCAAGCAAAACATGTGCAATCAGGACCCCATTTGCCCTAGGCAGCTTTCTATAACCTTGGAAGAGTGACTAAATAAATCCAGGACTTATTTTGTCCCTTGCTGCCATCTGTAAGTAACAAACCTGCTTCATATAACCTGCTGTGTGTGTGTGTTCTGTTCCCAGACTCAGGCAATTGGTAGAACTGTAGCCAAAGATGCAATGGGAAGAAATGCTCATGCTTCTGTTCCTGACGGTTGGCATAGGTGATGGATCTTTGCTATCCTCCATGTGGTGGGAGTCTTCCCTTGCACGTGGTCATTGGAGAACCTGCTCTGCAGGATGCCATCTAAATAATGTAGCATTACTCTTGTCCCACAAGTCAAAAGCTCAAATATTTTCCACTGTTCTCCCTTTTTGCAGAAACTACACTAACTTTTCTTGCCATTTAAAAATGCAGCGAACACAGTAGACCCAGGAAATAAGGGATCTAAACTTAGTTAAAATTCTGTATCCAAACCTAAAACCTTGACTCTGTGGAGGACTCCCTATGATGGTTATTCAGGATTTATTTACTTTTCATTTATACACCATGAATAACTGATTTATAACTGATTTTTCATATGGCAGAAAATACTCAAAATAAATTTAAATAGGGTATTTTATAAAATCGGAGACAATGGCTGCAAGGATGAAAACAGGCAAATGAAGTTTTTCAATACAACACAAACAAGTCGGAATGACAGCCTAAATTATCAAAAAGGTAGAATTTTGGTATAGCATATTTTGTTTAAGAAAACACAGAGGCATGCATTAAATGACTAAGAAACATTTCCAAAACATGGGTAATTTTTAGATTGTTATCAGTGGTAAATAAGAAGAGGTCTTTACAAAAACAATAGATGAGAATGTCAATTAATCCATGAGGCTGATTTTTAAATGAGAAGTGATTCCCTTAGGAAATTTCTTCTAGAAAATGTAGGTTGATGTGTTACGTAGCCTACTGTATACTTTGGCTATAAAGAGAATTGTTTGAATGCATTTGAATCAGGCTAGTCATGAGAAATAATAATTCTAACATACGTCTCCTTGTTAAATAAGTAATTCACTCAATAGTCAATTATAAATTATGTGGATTTCTGTGCACTTTTTGGAAACACTTGAACTAAGAAATAAGTAATTTTCTTTACTGAATTATGTTTATAAAAAATATGTATATTTGGAAATTTGGGATTACACATATAAAGCAATGAAATTCAAAAACGTAGGATTCAAACTGCAATTAAAATACTTAATATATTTTCTAGTTTAAATAAATGCAGTCATAATAAAGAAAACATGTGTTATTCTCTTCTTCCTGCTTCATATCTCTATCTGCCATTCTAACCTATCCTTTCTAGTTTGATTCCAGAATAAGCTGCCACAACACAGTGGTGAGTTAAACAAGGAAAAATGATTAATATATAAATATAGAAAGTAAGTGTACCCTATACCACTGTGTCAGGGCTTTAACTTTTAGTCATCGTGTGCATTAATTTAAAAACCTCTGAATTTCAAAACTTAATTAGAAACCAAAAAGGCAGTATCAATGAGTCAACACTTCAGTTCATTATATTTGCTCTCTCACAAAATATTGTTTTGCTCTGACAAATGCCTGACACAGGAAATGAAGTACTGCCCCTTCCTTCTCCAAAACAATTACAAAACCTTTAGCCAATATGTTTTAATGGATGGCTTAATGTACCAAGAATAAATAAAAGTGAGAACAAGGTATGAGATAATATCTAAGAATATGTTATTGCTCCTCTCATTTATTGTAGAAATGTGACTGCAGAAGGGATGGGGAAAAGAGCAAAGATCTAGCCAATAATCCCTAGGAACTTCTGTATCATCCAATTAATATTGTTGGAGGAAAAAAAAAACAGCACTTCTATAGAATTAACGCTTTAAAGATAAGATTATGAGAACGAATGTTTCCACAATCAGCTGATAACTCAAAAGAGATAGTAGTTACACCAGGACTCAACTATTCTGGCGTATATTTAAATGTGTTCATCAGAGGAGAATATACCTACTGGCATCTTCTTTTTGAGGTTTAGGGAAGAAGCAAATGTTCCATATGGGATTATTATTCTTTGTACATATTGAAGAAGAGGCTTCATTGCTTTAAGAATTTCACAAACCTAAATAACAACTTAAGAAAAAATACATTCTAAAGCAAAAAGAGTTTTTGATCTTGTGTATCATTGTCAGACTTTTCAGTATCAGGAAGACATAATTATTCTCACCATGATGCCATATGAGTGCAGAGTCCAAAGACTTTTTTGCAGAAAGCAAGTTTATCATAGTATTTCCTCAAAATAATTTACCCCTGAGATGCAAAAAGTTTGCTTGTAAGTTTACTCTTGGTTGGGTTGGATTCTAAATCAAAATTGTATGTGGAAAACAGTAAAAAATGATATAACTTCATAAAATGTGACACTCAAATGAGATTTTCGGGAAGAAAGTGTTTTGAACAAAATTAAGCACTATATAAAAACCTTCCATTTCTGATGATGATCACTAATAATGATAATAAAAGTCTTTGTTTCAAGATTTTCTATTGCAAAGTAATGATAGTTTTCAGAAAATTAAAAATTACAAGTTTATCTGACAACATCAAGTTATTTAAAATGAACAGCTTATTCCACTACAGTCATCAGCCAATTATATAATGATCAGGTTCTCAAGAAGGAAATGTGAATTAAAAGAAAATTTTAATGTGAAATAAAGATAATAGAAGATACAATAAGCAAGACAAAATAACTTTCAAACATATTTTTTAACAATTCAGTAATATAAGCCACTACAATTTTAGGGAAATGTATATATAAAAATCACTGTAATGTTCTATTGAAACTCTGAGAGTATTTATAACACAATATTCTAATTCACTTAAATTATTGAGCCTCTTAAGAGTGTTTGCCTTAAACTATCGCAACAACAAAAAACCAAACACGGCATGTTCTCACTCATAAATGGGAATTGAACAATGAGAACACATGGACACAGGAAGGGGAATATCACACACCAGGGCCTGTTGTGGGGTGGGGGGAGGGGGGAGGGATAGCATTAGGAGATATACCTAATGTTAAATGATGAGTTAATGGGTGCAGCACACCAACATGGCACATGTATACATATGTAACAAACCTGCACGTTGTGCACATGTACCCTAAAACTTAAAGTATAATAAAAAAGAGAGTGTTTGCCTTAATACATTGTGTCTCAGAATTATTACTTTGTCATCTTGCAAACATGTTATATATTATTAAGTACATACAAATTTAAGACAGTAATTAGTTTTCTTTAATTTTAATTTTTGTGGGGGTGTATAGTAGGTATATAGATTTATGGGGTACGTGAGATGTTTTGATACAGGCATACAATGCGTAATAACCACATCATGGAAAAAGGGGTATCCATCCCCTCAAGCATTTATTCTTTGTGTTACAAACAATGCAATTATACTGTTTTAGTTATTTTAAAAGGTATAATTAAATTATTTTTGATGTTGTGCTATCAAATGCTAGGTCTTATTCCCTCTAACCGCTATTTTTTTTTAACCCACTAACCATCCCCTCTTCTCCCTGTCTCAACAACCTCTACCCTTCCCAGCCTCTGGTAATCATCCTTCTACTCTCTATCTCCATGAGTTCAGTTCCATCCCTTTGTTGCAAATCACAAAATCTCATTCCTTTTTATGACTGATTAGTACTCCATTGCATACAACTACAACGTTTTCTTTATCCGTTTATCTGTGGATGGACATTTAGGTTGCTTCCAAATTTTGGCTATTATGAACAGTGCTGCAACAAACATGAGAGTGCAGTATTGTTTCTCTCTGATATACTATCGTTTCATCATTTCTCTCCAATAAAAAGATTTCACTTCTTTTGAGCATATAACTAGCAGTAGGATTGCTAGGTTATATGGTAGCTCTATTTTCGTTTTTTTTGAGAAACCTCCCAACTGTTTTCCATAGTGATTGTACTGATTTAAGTTCCCACCAAACAGTGTCTGAGAGTTCCCCTTTCTCCACATTCTCACCAGCATTTGCAATTGCCTGTCTTTTAGACATAAGCCACTTGAGCTGTAGTGAGAAGACATTTCATTGTAATTTTGATTTGCATTTCTGGTGATCAGCAACGTTGAGCACCTTTTCATATGCCTGTCTGCCAGTATGTCTTCTTTTGAAAAGTGTCTATTTAAGTATTTTGCCCATTTTAATTCAGATTATTAGATTTTTTTTCCTAGGGAGTTGTTTGAGCTCCTTGTATGTTCTGGTATTAATCCTTTGTCAGATGGGTGGTTTGCAAATATTTTCTCCCATTCTGTGGGTTATTGCTTCACTTTGTTGACTGTTTCCTTGGCTGTGCAGAAGCTTTTTAACTTGATGTGATCCCATTTGTCTATTTTTGCGTTAGTTGCCTATGCTTGTGGGGTATCACTCAAGAAATTTTTGCCCAGACCAATGTCCTGGAGAGTTTCTTGCAGTATTTTAATAGTTTGAGGCCTTAGACTTAAGCCTTTATTCCATTTTGACTAGAATTTTGTATATGGTGAGAGACAGGGGTCTAGTTTCATTATTCTTCATATGGATATCCAGTTTTACCAGAACCATTTGTTAAAGAGACTGTCTTTTCCCCAATCCATGTCCTTGGCACCCTCATCGAAAATGAGTTCACTGTAGGTGTGAGGATTTGTTTCTGGGTTCTCTATTCTATTACATTGGCCTCTGTGTCTGTTTTTATGCCAGTACCATGTTGTTTTGGTTACTACAACTGTGTAGAATAATTTGAAGTCAGGTAATGTGATTCCTCCAGTCTTCTTCTTTTGCTTAGGATATCTTTGCTTATTCTGAGTCTTTTGTGGTTCCATATAAATTTTAGGATTTTTTTCTATTTTGGTGAAGAATGCCATTGGTGTTTTGATAGGGATTACATTGAATCTATATATTACTTAGGGTAGTATGGACATTTTAACAATACTGATTCTTCCAATAAATGAACATGGAATATCTTTCCATTTTTTAGTGTCCTCTTCAATTTCTTTCATCAGTGTTTTATAGTTTTCATTATAGAAATCTTTCACTTATTTAAGTTAATTCCTAGGTATTTGATTTTATTTGTGGCTATTGTAAATGGGGTAGCTTTTTTACTTATTTTCAGATTGTTCACTGTTAGGATATAGAAATGCTTCTGATTTCTGTATGTTGATTGTGTACTGCAACTTTAGCAAATTTATTTATTAGTTCTAATAGCTTTTTGTGAAGTCTTCAGGTTTTTTCAAATATAAGATTATATCATCTGCCTCAAAGATAATTTTATTTATTTTCCAATTTGAATGTGCTTTACATCTTTCTCTTGTCTGATTGCTCTAGCTAGGACTTCCAGTGTTCTGTTGGATAACAGTGGTGAAAATGGGCATCCTTGTCAAGGTCCAGATCTTAGAGGAAAGGCTTTCAGTTTTTCCCATTCAGTATAATACCAGGTGTGAGTCTGTTGCACATGACTTTTATTATGTTGAGGAATGTTCCTTGTATATCTGGTTTTTTAAGGGTTGTTATTATGAAGGGATGTTGAATTTTTATCAAATGCTTTTTTAGGATTAATTGAAATAATCATAAATTTGTCCTTCATTCTGTTGATATAATATATCACATTCATTGATTTGCAAATGTTAAATCATACTTGCATCCCAGGGATAAATCCCACTTGGTCACAATGAAAGATCTTTTTACCGTTTTGTTGAATTTGGCTTGGTAGCATGTTGTTGAGGATTTTTGCACTAATATTCATCTGAGATATTTGCCTGCAGTTTTCTTTTCTTGATGTGTCTTTGATTTTGTTATCAGGGTAATAGTGGCCTAGTAAAATGAGCTTGGAAATATCTGCTGCTCTGTTTTTCAGAATAATGTGAGTGGGATTGGTGTCAGTCTTTCTTTTACTGTTCAGTAGAATTCAGCAGTGAAACAATAAGGTCTCTGGCTTTTCTTTACTGGGAGGCTTTTTATTAAGGCATCAATCTCATAATTTTTTTTGGTCTGTTGAGTTTTGGATTTCTTCCTTGTTCAATCTTGGTAGGTTGTGTCTAGGAATTTGCCCATTTTTTCTAGATTTTCCAATATATTGACATAGAGTTTCTCATAGTAGCCACTATTTGTATTTCTGTGTTATCAGTTGTAATGTGTCCTTTTTCATTCCTTATTTTATTTGTTTGGAACTTCTCTCTATTTTTTTAGTTGGTTTGACTAAGTTTGTCAGTTTTATTTAACTTTACAAAAATAGCTTTTTGTTTTATTGATCCTCTGTATTCCTATTTATTGTTTACTTCATTCCAATTTCATTTATTTCTTCTTGGATCTTTATTACTTCTTTTATTCTACTATTTTTGCATTTGGTTTGCCTTTGCTTTTATACTTCTTTAAAATGCATCATTAGGTTGTCTATTTGAAGTTTTGCCTCTTTTTGATGTACTTGGAGGCACTTATAGCTATAAAATTCCCTCTTAGTACTGCTTTTGCTGTATCCCATAGGTTTTGGTAGGCTGTGTTTCCACTGTCATTTGTTTCCGAATATTTTGTTTCCTTCTTAATTTCGTCATTGACTCACTGGTCATTCAGGAGCATATTGTTTGCATTCCATGTGTTTGTATAGTTCCAAAATTCCACTAGTTATTGATTTCTAGTTTTATTTCATCCTGGTCAAAGAAGATGCTTTCATATTATTTAATTTTTGGAAAGTTTTAAGACTTGTTTTGTGATCTAACATATGGTCTAACCTTAAGAATGATACACATGCTGAGGAAAAGAATATGTATTCTGCAGCCATTGGATGCAATGTTCTGTAAATGTTAAATATCTGGGTGCTCCAATGTTGTGTGCCTCCCCAGTCCACTGGCCTAGGACCAAGTTCAGCACTAGGACTCGCCTAGGAGTTGCAGTCTTTGTGGCCTAGACTGTCTTTGAAGTTTACTTGGTGCCCCAGTGCATGTTAGCCCATAGTGATGAGGCTTGTGGGAAATCAAGTTGGTCTGCTGCAAGTGGCAATTTCCTTCTGGAAGGAGCTGGTTTAAATGCTCCCTCAGTATCAGCTGAGTTTGGTCCAGTTTTGTTTTCTGCTATAACAGGGCAACACTGAGTTCAATGCCTCACAATAGCTTCACTCTTCCCCTCCCCAGTGCACAGAAATGCTCTCCATGCTGTGTTGTCATTGCCAGTGCTTTGGGGAGGGGTGCTGTCAGTGATTCAAGACTGTTTTCCCACCTCATCAGTGCCTGTCTGGGTGCTATGAAGTTAAAACCAGATACCATGAGTCTCACCTGATTTTTGGTTCTCATGAAGGTGTTTTATTTATTTATTTATATATTAATTTATTTTTTGTAGATAGTTATTAAATTGATGTCCTTGCCAGGTGGACAACTGGTGAAGCCTTCTATTCTACTGTCTTTCTCTGTCCCTCTCACCAGTAATCGGTTTTTAGTGTGTTTGATAACATACTGCTTTACAAAGTATGCAGCCTCTCAGATGGCCCCCAATGCTCCCAGGCTTCTGGTATTTGAACCTTTGTGTAATGTCCCTACTTTGAGTGTGGGCTGGATGTATGGACTTGCTTTGAAAGAGCAGAATATGCCAGAAGTGATGGGACATCACTTCTGAGAATAGGTTACATAAAGACTGTGGCTTCTGTCTTAGGTGTCCTCCATCACTCTCTTGCTTGCTCTGAAAGAAGCCAACAGCCATGTTGTGAGTTGGTCTCCAGAGAGACCCACTGTGGTGAATCTGAGGATTTGGAGACTAATTCAGGAAATGACAGAACCATGATATGGCAGTATTGCAAAACTTTTATTAGGTGGTGCCTTGACAGAGTTGCATGTGAAGTAAAGTCCTTCACAGTGGGAGGCTTTCCAGAAATAGTGACCTGGGACCACCACCCAGAAAAGGCAAAGGGCAAGGGAGAGGAGAATCAAAGAACGGGCTTACATGTTTAGTGTTGTCACTCAGTGGCAAAGTGGGGAGACTGTGGGTCAGAGAGCTCCAAGGTTTGTCTAAAGTATGGCTAGCTGATTTTGAGTGCAATTTCATGGGGTACATAAAGGAAGGAGGCTCTAAATGGCTAAAAACACACTTATTTGGGTTATTTCATTTAATGGATCTGTAAAAATTTGAGTTTGTTGTCAGTAGCTTTGAGCTACTTGTCCTAGCCTTCTTGTTTAAAAAGTAAACAATATTAGGCCACTACATTAACATAAGGGCAATCTTTGGTGCGTTTATGTAACACCCACATGACATGAAACTGATTTTTTTTCAAATAAGAGTCAAAGAAAATTTAAGGCCTGTCAACAACCACCTGAGTGAACTTGGAGGCAGATCATTCCCCATGCAAGCATTGAGATGACTTTAGTTTCAGTTGGTAGTTTGATTGCAGCCTCATGAAAGGTCTTGACCCGGAGGAATTGAGATATATCATGCTCAGAAGTTAGATCCACAGACACTGTAAGATATTCAATGACTGTTGTTTTAAGCCACTAAGTTTAGAGTAATTTGTTTCCCAGTAGCTATTACCAGAGAGGATAACCTTTGGCTATCTTTATCTAGGGCACTTTGAGATGGTTATTGCTGTTTCAAATTTATATATATATATCATTTTTCCAAGTTGAAGTGAATCATAATTCATTTAGTAAAATGAATGCTCACTATACTATTCACATGCAATAGTATAATTTTGTATTAAAGACTAAATATCTTTTATTATGTATTTATTAAGATAATGATAACACTTAGAGAAGTTCAAAAATACATAAAGCATCTAAGAAGAAAAAAATATTTCTTGTCTAATGGAGTTCAAAATCACTATCATGGTTGGTGACTGGCTTTCTTTTAGGCAGAGATGTAGGAACAGGCTTCTTCTATTTACCACTTTCCAGAAATGTTTTCCAAAGTTACCATCCTCATTTGTATCAAGGTAGCATAAGGAGGAAAATTGAAGCCAAAATAAAGAGTGGAAAAGAAGTATCTACTCCTTAACTGCTTTGTTCTAAAAATGTTTCCTTCCATCAAATGCAGTTAGTAAGTTTTAGTCATATTATTCCATCTAAATAAAAATGTAGGGCTAGAAAATGCAGTTTTGGGCCAGGCATTTAATTTCCTGACAATACATTATTGTTAAGAGAGTATGCATATTTGGTTCCCCTTTATGGATACATATATTTCCAGATACTGAATGGGATATATTTGCCCCCTCCCCAAGAGTAACAACACAAAGTATAACATGATTTAGACTGTAAAAATTGTTGGTCTTTGTGCTGGTATGCCTGATGACAAAAGGACAATATTATATTGAATATAGAAAGATGTAACAATATGTTTCATCAATATTCATTTTTCATCCATCTTTTAATATTCAGATGTTACTTTGTTCCTTGCTGTGAACATGCATAGCTCAAGATTTTCTTTATGTGTATGATGGTTAATGTTGAGTGTCAACTTGATTGGATTGAAGAATACAAAGTATTTTTCCTGGGTGTGTCTGTGAGGGTGCTGCCAAAGGAGATTAATATTTGAGTCAGTTGACTGGAAAAGGTAGACTCACCCTCAGTCTGGATGGACACCATCTAATCAGCTGCCAGCACGGCTAGAATAAAGCAGGCAGAAGAAAGTGGAATGAGGCTTGACGTGCTGAGTCTTCTGGCTTTTATCTTTCTCCCGTTCTGGATGCTTCCTGCCCTTGAACATCAGACTCCAACTTCTTCAGCTTTTGGAATCTTGGACTTACACCAGTGATTTGCCAGGGACTCTAAGGCCTTTGGCCACAGACTGAAGGCTCCACTGTCTGCTTCTGTACTTTTGAGGTTTTGAGACTCAGACTGGATTCCTTGCTCCTCAGCTTGCAGACAGCCTCTTGTGAGACTTCACCTTGTAATCATGTGAGTCATTTCTCCTAGTAAACTCCCCTTCATATACACATATATCCTGTTAGTTCTGTCCCTTTAGAGAACCTTGACTAATACTGTGCTTAAGTCTTCCTTTAAATCAAGACAAGAAAATGCCAATAAAGTTAGATGCATGCTTTTTAAAGCCAAGAAGTTTGAAAGAGGAAGCAGTAAATACCTAGTTAGCAAAGGTATGACTACACAGGGTTTTTTCTTTTTTGCATTTAATGCATGTATGGTACATTTGGGATATCAAAATAATAGGTTTTAAGTTTGATATATGCCACCTACATACCAGATGTGGAATTCCAATGTCTCCATATGAGATTACAGTTCCAAGGAAATTCATTTTGACAATAAAATGTAACACTCCATTGTCAGCTCTTTACCACAATCTTGCCAACCTATGCCAAGAAAATTAATTATAAATAAATCAAGCAGACGCCACAGCACCTTATATCAGACTAAGTCTACAACCAATATAAATATGAAGAATGAAAAAAATATTTAGAACCACTTGAAGAAATTTGAGGGAAACATATACAGGCAAGGCTTGAGGACATTACTTAACAGAAAGAACAAGCAGGTTAAGCTTCATATTTATGATTGCTTTGTCTTTGAGGAAATTTTCCAAATCACAGCAATGAATAAGTAGGTTCCAAGCTGAAGGCAGCACTTTTTACAGGACTGAAAGGCAGAGTTTAAAGTGCAAGTCTGTCTCAACATGACTAGGACTTGAAGATGACAAAATCCCAAAGAGTGGGGGAAACATATTGTAGCAGACAGACTCTAAAAGGCCCTCCAAATCCTCATCTCCTTGTATTCATGGCTTTGTTGAATCTTCTCTCTTAGTTGTGTGGGCAAGATTCATAATTTGCTACCAACCAATGGAGTAAAGCAAAGATGATAATCACTTCCATGATCATATTACATGAGATTGTATTTTTCATCTTGCTAGAAGACTCTCTTTTTTGCTGGCTTTGAAGAAGCATAATGTCATCTTGGGGAACCCAAGAATCTGAGAGAAGTCTCCAACTAATCATCAGCTAGGAATTGGGGTAACCTCTTCCTGGCAACCAGCAAGAAAATGAGGCCTCCAACCTTACATCAAATAATTGAATTGTCATAACTACCATGTGAGCTTGGAAGTGAATCCTGCCCCAGTTCTGCCTTGAGATGAGACTACATTACCAACCAACACTTCTATTACAGCCTCATGAAGCTTTGAAACAGAAGCGCCAACTAAGTTGTAACCAGACTCCTAATTAACAGAAGCTGTGTGGTAATAAATGCATGCTATTTTATGCAAATAATTTTGTGGTAACATTGTTATGCAACAATAAATAAATAATGTAAACAATTTAAGAGTCTATTCACCAATTATCTTCAATTATCTTTTCTACTCTGTTTTATGCAAAGAATTGGCTAGTAGATATCACAGGCTTTGAGGATGATATGTTATATCTGGCAACAACTCAACTCTGCTGTTGTTATGCAGCAGTCATAGGCAATACATACATAAATGAGTGTGGCTGTTTTCAATATGAGTTTATTTAGAAAAGCAGGTGATAAGCTATAGCTGGTCTTTGAGCCATGGCTTGCTAATTCTAGGTCTAAAACTACCAGATAAAAAACAGATTCAGAGATTAAATATAAAAACAAAAGCCAGCTCTATACTTTCTCTGTTATTAATAGAGTAAGCAGGTAGAATATCAATATCAAGTAAGCAGGATATCAAGGCTATGGATGACCTGGAGACAAACAACAAATTTGTCCTAATAAACATTTATATAATACTTTATGCAATAGCAGAACATACATTTTTACCCATGTCATAGGAAGAATTAACCTTAGCAATGTTAAAACCATAGACTTTAACAAATTTAAAAACTAGTACAAGTCATATAAAATATTTTATTGGTTCATAACAAAATTAAACTAGATACCAGTAACAGAAATATATGTAAAAATTCCTAAATATTTAGAAATTTATGATGCATTTCTAAGTGAGATGAACAAAAACTATTTTAGGCTACGTGAAAACAAGAATGCAACTTATCAAAATTTTAAATATTCATGTTAGATGATAATTTATAATATTAAATGCATTTGTTAGAAAAGAAGAAATATCTAAATCAGTAAACTAAACTTTTGGAAAATGAAAGTAAGAAGAGCAACTTATATCTAGAATAAGCAGAAAGAACAGAATAATGAATATTATAGCAGAAAACAAAAAAATGGAAAGAGAAAACAACATAGAAAATAATTGAAAGCAAAAGCTCAACGATAGTTCTGTAGCCAGCCTAAGGAAGAAAAAAGAGGGAGAGGAAGAACACAAATTGCCAATATCAGAAATGAGAGAAAACCATCACTACTGATCCCACAGACACTAGATGAATAATCCAGAAATTTTGTGAAATCACTATAAGCTAAATAATTCCCAGAGCTCAAAAATAATTCCTGGTGTTAACAAGCCAGCATGGAGCAGTCTCATTGAACACTGGAGCTATCCATAGTAACACCAGAAAGAGGACTGAAATATATGAAGATTAAAAGCTATTTTAGACCTGTCCTAATAAAGCTTAAAACTGGCCTAAATGTGATAAAGCTGATCTGAAAGTAATTTAAGTGCCTTTCATTTAAAAAGTAACATTTTATCCAGAAAATCATAATGTAAGATTAATGATAGGCAATAGTCTTTCAAAAAATATGAGATGCAAAGTAACAGAAGAGAAGGACCCACAAGCAAGTGAAAAATCAGTCATAAAATCAGGCCTAAAAAAGAACTGAATTCATGGAATTGGAAGATAAAGATGTCAAAATATTTTAAATAAATTACCTAAAGAGTCACGTAAACTTAGTGAAAAAAGAAAAAAAAAGCCCTTCTAAGGGGGTAAAATGCAATTATCTGAAATGAAAAATTTATTGGCTATGCTTAATGCCAGATTAAAGAACTCCTAAGAAAAGATCAGAAAATGAACAGGGTGCAATTTTACTCTGCTGCTCAGTTTTCCCAGCACCATTTGTTGAGGAGACCATTCTTTCCCCATCCTATATTCTTGGCACTCTTGTGGAAAAGCAGTTGATTGTATATACTTGGGTTTATTTCTGGGTTCTCTATTCTGTTCTATTGGTTTATATGGGCCCCATTTTTATGTCAGTAGCATACGGTTTTAATTACTGTAGCACCATAATATATCTTTAAATCAGGAAATTCCATGCCTCCAGCTTTGTTCCTCTTTCTCAAGATAACTGGATATTTGGAATCATTTGTGTTTCCATGTAAATTTTAGAATTGTTTTCCTATTTGTGTAGAAATGTCATTATTATTTTGATATGGACTGCATTGAATTTGTACAACACTTCGGGTTTGGGGCATTTTAGCAATAGTAAACTCTCCAATCCATGAACACAGGGTGTCTTTCCATTTATTTGTGTCTTTTAAATTTTCTTTTATCAATAATTTATAGTTTTTAAGGTATAAGTCCTTCACTTTCTTGGTTAAGTTTGTTTCAAAGTATTTTATTCTTTTTGATGTGATACTAAATAAAATTATTTTTTAATTTCTTTTTGAGATAGTTTGCTGTTAATGTATAGAAAGAAAACTGATTTTTTATATTAATATTTTTAACCTGCAACTTGGCAGAACTAGTTTATTAGTTCTAAAAGGGGTGTGTGTGTGTGTGTGTGTGTGTGTGTTTAGTCCGTAGGATTTTCTGTTTAGAAGACCAAGTCATCTGCAAGCAGAGATAATTGTACTTATTCCTTTCCAGTTTTGATGTCATTTATCACTTTTTTTCTAATTGTTTTGGTTGACTTCCAGCACTAAATTAAATAGAGGTGGTAAGAATGGGCATCACCATATCCAAAATCACCTCAGAATGGATTAAAGAATTATACATAAGACCTAACACTGTAAAGAGGTATCTGTGTATTCACATTAATTGCACTGTTATTCACAGTAGCCAAGATATGGAAATAACTTAAATGTCTGTGGACAGATGGATGATTAATAAAAATATGATATATACAGACAATAGAATATTTTCAGACTTTTAAATGAAGGAAAGCCTGCCATTTGTGACAACATGGATGAGCCTGTAAGACATTATCTAAGTGAAATAAGCCAGTCACAGAAAAAAAGAAATGCAGCATGGTTCCACTTTTATGAGAGCTTTCTCACTTACTGAATTAGTTTATTAGTTCTAACAGATTGTTTTGTATATGTGGAGTCCTTAGGATCATGTGAAATAGTCAAGCCCATAGACACAGAAAATTAAATGCTGTTTAGCAGGACTTGGGGACAGGTAAAATTGAGGAGCTGTTCAACTGGTATAAAGTTTCAGTTATGTAAGATGACTAAATTCTACAGATCTCCTATAAAACATAGCACTTATAGTTAACAGTAAAAGTGGGAACACAAGAAAATTTTTGAAGGTGATGTACACATCTATTACCTTTATTGTGGTAACTGTCTCACAGATGCATGCATATGTCCAAACTCATGAAATTGTATACATTAAATATGTGTAGTATTTGCATGTCAATTATAACTCAACCTGTTTTTTAAATATTAGTGAACTATAAGATATAGTATTCCAGTTATCCAGACTATTAAAACAGAGAATGTTTTTTAAAAAGAAGAAATGAAAAAAGAAAGATATTCTTTGTGAAATAGTATGGTTTACTATATATGTAATTGGATTTCAAGAAGAAGAGTGGGAGATAGAAAATATTTGAATAATATGTGAATAAATAGTGGCTATGATGGTTAATTTTTGTCTCAACTTGACAGGACTAAGGGATGCCCAGATAGCTGGTAAAGCATTATTTCTGGATGTGTTTGGGAGGGTGTTTCCAGAAGAAATTAGCATTTGAATCAATAGACTGAATATCTGCCCTCATCAATGTGAGTGGGCATCACCCAGTATGTTAAGGGCCCACTCTAATAGAATAAAGAGGAAGAAGAATTCTCCCATATTGAGCTGGGAAAGCTACCTTCTCTTGTTCTGGGACACCAGAGCTCCAGGTTTTTGGGCCTTTGGATTCTAGGACTCACCAGTAGTTTTCCTGAGTTCTCAGGTCTTTGGCCTTGGACTCTGAGATGCATTATTGGCTCCCAGGTCCTCAGGACTTCAAACTTGAACTGAATTATACCACCCATTTTCCTGGTTCTTCTGCTTGCACACAGCACATTGTGGGACTTCTCCACCTTCATGATCATATTCATGTCAGCCAATTCCCATAATTAATCTTTTATAGATCTTTTAAACATAAATATATCCTATTGGTTCTGCCTCACTGGAGAGCCCTAACTAATAGAGTGGCTAAATAATGTCCAAAACTGATGAGCATTATAAACTCACAGATCCAATAAATTTGTGGAAAAATAAACTAAGTCTTCTAGAAATATAGTGTTCTTTTGTTCTGAGGCAAGAAATTGGTGTATGTATGTCTGGAGTTAGCGAAAGAAGAGACAACAAATGATGCGTCTGTCTTGGAATGTCTGCAGTACTGCACAAAAGACATCCTTACATTTTTTAATAGAACATCCTATTAACACATCACATATATCCATCAATAGGATGTAGGTAATCAAAAAGATAAAAATGCAAAAACCAATTTATAAAAATAAATACAAGTACTTGTAAAAGCAACACAAAATAAATCTCTTCAGTAGTGAAATAAATGCAAATGTAAACAAAAGATAATTTTTACCATAAAACTGAGACAGTTTGATTTTTTTTTGTTTTTATGTTTACTTGAGTGATGATATCCAATCTCTCCTAACTGTTTGGAATAAATGCAATGCCATATAGTATTTGCAGACATTGACTTATAGGCATCATATAGAATACTATAAATACTTGAGGAATCAACATATAGAAATTATTAGCAATCAAATAAAATTAATTATCTCAATGTGTATGCTCTTGAGATGGCAAAAACAGTTTTCTTTTATTCCTTGCCAGTCAAAATATATAAATATTATTTATATGAGACTTTTGCCATCTTCCCAAGATACAATATAACGTGTGTCTAGATTTTCCTCTAAACCTTGATATTTTTGTATTTACAAAAGCGGTTATTTACAAAAGGGTATATAATTATTTGGTGTCAGTATTTGGTATTTATAAAAGGCTATAGACACCTTTTGTGTGGACTATATGGATATCTATTAACATATTACTTCATTTTAATTTATGAATTCCTTAAATGCTTTGCTCTCTTAAAATGAGTCCCAGAAGAAGCATCAGACTCTTTATGTCTGAATATACATCTATATTTTATATGTATATTGACATAGGTTGGATATTTGTCCCTGCCCCAATCTCATGTTGAATTATAATCCCCAATGCTGGTGGTAGGGCCTGGTGGGAGGTGTTTGTATCACGGGGGCAGATCCCTCATGAACGTCTTGGGCCATTCGTTTGGTGATAAGTGAGCTCTTGCCCTGAGTTCACAGGAGGTCTGGTGGTTTAAAAGTGTGTGGCACCATCCCCTCACTCTGGTTTGCTTCTGCTCTTGCCACATGACATGCAAGCTCCCACTTCACCTTCCATCATGAATAGAAATTTTCTGAGGCCTCATTAGAAGCCATGTTTCCTGTATAGCCTGCAGAACCATGGGCCAATTAAACCTTTTTTCTTTACAAATTACCCAGTCTTAGGTATTTCTTTAAGCAATGCAAGAATTGTCTAATATATATATAGTCTATATCTGTATCTATATAGATACAGATAGAATTATCACAGTGGATATAACATATAAAATTAGAAAGAGAAAATTTTGATTATTAATGCTGATTAAACATCAGCGACTTACCACTCTGTTTTAAAAGAAGGGATTTACCTGTCCTTGAATTAAATTTATTATATATTTCTTATAGATTAGTTCATGAAATACTCTCTCATGTGGACTGCTACATTTTAATTAGAACTATAATAACTGATCTCAGTCGAGATAAATTTGCTTCAAGTTTATATATTTTCAAATTGCTTTTGTATATAGAAGCTCACTTCATCTTAAAAGTACCTTATATATCACCAGCAAATGTTTTAATAAAACCATTTTAAATATAATTAATCAGGTCAGTAAGTTTGTACCAAACACTGGGATATTAATCCACTTAATCCAGTATTCTTTTCTCCTTAGCAGTGATTTATGAATGTCTTTTTAAAGTTTCACAAGGTACAAAGAAACTCAGTAAGCATCATTTTTGCCTCTGATTACCACTCATGATAATATAGGTGGTTGTGAACCTTTGTTTTCAGATGATTCATGCATTTCAGAATAACAAGAAATGGAAGAGTGTCTTTAATTTTAAATAATAGTTATAGATTTAATAAATTTTTGCCAGCAACAGAATTAGAACTATATTTATTGTAAGTATTCATGAAGATTTTAGACAATGAGCTAGCCTTTTGAGTCCTACCTAAATTTCAGCATAAGCTTAAATGACAATATTGTTTATTTATGTTTCAATTTCTCATTCTTTATACTTCACTGCCTTCAGATATGTAGAGAATCGGAGCTTAATTACTCTGATAGGCTTATTCTAATTTCCCTAGAGCAAATTAAATATATATATATGCAAATAGGATGGTGTTTCACAGTTTGACTATGATTAATACTGGAGGTTATACTATACAGCATATATATAAGAAAAATATGTTGTATGTTATAGTATTATATCAAATAATCCTTATATATATTTCAAATCTTTCTATTTATATGCCATATAGTAAGTGCATACAGAACATATGTACATATATAATGTATAATACATGGAATTTATAATTAATATTATACATAGCTTATTATATATTTTATGACAAATATGAATTTTATATAGTATGCATTCTTATGTGCATTTTTAAATGAATTTAGCATGAATTTTATTTGCGCTCAGGAGTCAGAAAAATACAAATATCTGAAGATACTCAATCTCATTTTCTTTGTAGACATGGCATCTTATTCAGTAAGATATCAGAGATAAAAAGATAACCAATATTTTTATAATCATAAGTGCTGTAATGAAGAAGAGAAAGGTTAGTAAGCTTTATTTATACCCAAAACCAAATATACCCAGGATAATGACAAATATTAATAGGTTTTGAGGAGTGACTTGAAATCTTATCTGCAGATTAGTACCCTCTCTTAACTACTGCATCCATGAAAAATTTTGTGTATGCCATGATGAGATTTAGATAGAGACCCCTTTATCTCTCATTCATTCGAGGATTACATAGAATTGTGTTGAGGGAGCCCTGACACAGGATACCTTTGACGTGTCCAATGGTTGAATTACTTAAAAAGGAGATTAAAGACAGAGTAAATAATTAAGAATTTAAAAGTATTTTCAAACTCTTTTAAGCCTGTCATTTCATTTCAAATTTCAATTAGAGAATATAATTAGAATAAAGCTGAAATCCCAGACATTTAAAGTGTTCCAAAAAAGTCAATAAGGAATGTTTTGATTACTAAAGTTTTTATTTTATAAAAACTATGCATAGACTAGTCTGATGCATAGTCCATGTACAAAATAGCAACTTGTTTTGTCTTGCTTTAAAGCTCAAATTCAATGTACTGAGTTATTCCAAATGAATTAACCATTTGTATTACTCAGGGTGCTCTAGAAGATCAAAACTAATGGAATATATGTGTGTGTGTGTGTGTGTGTGTGTGTGTGTGTGTGTGTATATATTTATATATGTATATATGTATATGTACATATATTTATATATATATGTATATGTACATAAATTTATATATATTTATATATGTATATATATTTATATAGGTATATATATTTATATATGTATATATTTATATATGTGTATATATTTATATATGTGTATATATTTATATATATTTATATATGTGTATATATTTATATATATTTATATATGCGTATATATTTATATATATATTTATATATGCATATATATTTATATATATATTTATATATGCATATATATTTATGTATATGTATATATATTTATATATACACACACACACACACACACACACACACACACACACACACACATATATAGGAGTTGAGGAGCAGGGACAGCCAGTCTGAGTTCCAAAACTGAAAAACTTGGAGTCCAATGTTCTAGGGCAGGAAACATCCTGCACGGGAGACAGATATAGGCTGGAAGGCTAGGCCAGTCTCTCTATTCAAATTTTTCTGCCTGCTTATATTCTAGCCACACTGGCAGCTGATTAGATTGTGTCCACCCAGATTAAGGGTGGGTCTGCCTTTAGCAGCCTACTGACCCCAATGTTATTCTCCTTTGGCAACACCCTCACAGACACACCCAGGATCAATACTTTGTATCCTTCAATTCAATCAAGTTGACACTCAGTATTAACCATCACACCATTTAATTAGGAGCTATAAGGGTCAGTATGAATGTATCATATACTTCCTGTGCAAACATAGTTAATAAGCATGGACTAGAGAAGTACAGAGTGATGTAAAATTATTAGCTTTCATTATGATACTACTGATAAGGGTATATAGCTTTAAATTCTCATTTGCAGTTTGCCAAAACTTAAACCATTAAAATTGCTAAAGTAATTTCAAGAAAAACAGGTAATCTAAATTATCTAAATTTCAAAAAATATAGGTTATCCAAACTAAAGTGACAGTGTAGTGTAATAAAAAAATGAGGGTGCATTTATGTTTATTTATATGTGTGTGTGTGTAAATTTGAGCCGGACTAAAATAGGTTTATTTTTAGCTCTGGAATTTATTTGGTGGCATTGTGAAAGTTACTTAATTTCTTTCAGACAAAGTTTTCTTTTCTCTAAACTAGTATTGTGACATGGATTGGCTGTGTCCCCACCCAAATCTCATATTGAATTGTAGCTCCCATAATCCCCGTGTCTCGTGAGAGGGACCAGGTGGACCTAAGTGAATCATGAGGCAATATCCCTGCATCCTGTTCTCGTGATAGTGAGTTAGTTCTCATGAGATATGATGGTTTTATAAGGCGCTTCCCCCTTTGCCGAGCACTCATTCTTCTGCTGCCCTGTGAAAAGTTGCCTTCTGCCATGATTATAAGTTGCCTGAGCCCTCCCCAGCCATGTGGAACTGTGAGTCAATTAAACCTCTTTCCTCTATAAATAACCAAGTTCTTTATAGCAGCATGAAAATGAGCTAATATGTATTGATAATAACTACATTGCAATATTTTTGTAGATATTCATATTAATATATGTAAGTCTCTCCCTCAGTGCTGGGCACATAGAAAGACTCACTATAAGCTATCAGTTATTTTCAACATAGTCAATCAATTACTGGGAAAAACTAAAAAGTAAGCTTAGGAAATGTTCAACTCCCAAAACTCAGATAAGAGTTCTGAAATCAATCTACATTTGGTAAAATCCTGTTTATCACTGATCTAATCAATGACCCCAGAAGTCATTTAGAAAGCCATAGATACTCTTTTATCTAGTGTTTTCTAAATGTCTCATATCTGTAGGCAAATATAAGAATTAAAACAAGGTAATGTACAAGATAGGTAACACGGCAAAACTGCTTATGGTTAATGTCTACTCTTAGTTACCCATGAAGTCCACAGTAATTTAGAATTTTAGAAGAAGGATTTGCAATCTGATTAGAATGATTACGTAGGATAGTTTCTACTCCTTTCTTCTGCTCCTCTCACCCACATATACTCTATTCCAGCCATTGCAAGTTATTTGCAATTCTCTGAACACCGCAAGTTATTTTGCAACTTGAGCCTTTAATTATGCTGTTCCCTCTGCCAGGAATGTCTTTCTTTTCTAGTCTGTAAGCTACACATGGGTAGAAGTTGTCTCTGATTTTTAGGGTTCTATGCTCTGCATAACACAAAAAGCCCACTATGTGCCATATACATAAAGATATCTGTGAAAAGAATTAATATCCCTCAGGAGACTTCCTATTTCTCAAGACTTGTCTCAAGACATACTCAAATCCCTTCCTTAGTGAATCTTTATCTTGTACATTTTTTACAGCCATCTACAAAACTATGAACTTCATATTTTGAGCTTCCAAAACATCCCATGTTTATGGCTACTATAAAAAGCAAGATTAACACAGACTTTTTAGAAGTGAGAATATAAAAGGAGAAATTATCACTAACCTCTTAGAACTCTCTGTTAATGTTTTTAAGTATGTATGATCCTCCTGAAATAGTCTAAGGTCATTTAAATTTAATTATAAAATCTACTGCAATGTTTCTGTATAGACATTATTGAAACATATTTATACTAGATTGTGAAAATGTACGTAGATCAGTAGCTGTAGAATCCAAACAGTAAAAACACAATTGATACGTATTAATTTTGAATCTTGTTATCTCAGGAATTTCAGATTGTTATTAGCTTTTCTAAAAAGAGCATAGCCAATTAGTAATTGTAAGCTGAGTTATTTGGAGAAAAAAGAAAATCCAAATATTACGGAAATTTAGCTAGTGAAAGAAAAATAGTGAAATAAAATTAAATTACTGTATAATAACAAAACTATTTGAAATTTAAGTTGAATTTAAGGCAAAACAGAATGAATCTTAATTATTTCTGCTTTTCTAGTAGTGTTATAAAAAATTAACTTGGTGTTTTTTTAGGCATAAAAAGTAGTAAAAACGTGCTCTTTTAAAATTCCTGTGTATCACACATTTTGTGCATAGTAGGATGTACCAACTGCTACCATCCTTTGATTAGAGATGGAAAGTAAAAATTCATTGCCTCTTGAAATTTTCTATCATTCTCTTTGTTTTACTATAAACTGCATTAGCAACATGTCCCAATTTATTATCATCAGCTTCTATTAAAAAAAAATGTTGGTCAGAGTCAGTCATGGTTGATGTTAGGCTTTTCTAAAGTGATTTATATCATGTTTGCTTTACTTCTCTGAGTTTTATGCTTGTCTTACTCTTTTACTTTTACTTTTTCACACTGTATAGGAAATAGCCTCAGAATAACCTGAGAAGTTGTACTTGCAGAGGATTTGTGGATCATTCATTATATTCTATGTTCTCTTTCTATGAGCAGCAGTTACATTTTTAACTGTAAATTTTTGGACATGTTGATAGTGAAGAAGTGAGAGAAAAAACAATTATTTATAGAAAATTGTCTGTGGTAGACATGATTTTCCCTTGGAGACTCTCCTAATTTTTCATGTAAAAATAGCTTTTCTTTTATGGAAGTGAATTTTATGGTTTGGTAATTGTAGCAAATCTCAGATATGTTTAATTCAATAATGTTCTAAGCCTGGCTATTCCTAAATAATTTGTTATTTAGTCCACTAGTCTAAAATTTTATTTATTCCATTTGTAGAAAATTCCCTTACTGCTTAAAACAGTAAACTTTAACTCTCAGCTCATATCCTGTAGTTTATGCATTTTCTATCATTATTGTTTTCTTCTATAAGGATATTAAAATAAGATAGAGTCAGCTAATTGAATAGTAGTGTTAAGTTCATTTAGTGTTTCTTTATGGTCTCAGGTTACATGTTTTCTTTTTTTTTTCTTTTTCTTCAAGTTTGGATTTTCTGTTGGGCTTGGTTTCATTTTGGTTTATTTACAAGGGGCATTACAGCTTTGAAACTAGTTGACAAAACTGAAATGAGCTTGATATTGATAATTGCAAATAATTGTATGCCCACTATTAGCTAAATCTGGCCAATCTGGCATAAATTAGGCCAATGTAACATAGAGATAGATTGATTTGCAATAATACTAAGTAATCACAGTAATAGCATAATTGGTAAACACAAATATATTAACTGTAACTTTTAAATCAAGTCCTAACTTATTAAACAACTGTCGTCATTAGCAAAAAGAGTATATTCTCCAAATCATTCATTCATCCATCCATTGAATAAATAAATATACCTTAAGTGATTTTACCAGTCACTGTATCTTTGAATAATGGCCTGAAAAGAATTTTATATCATCTTACAGCTGTTTGTCCTAAAAGTAATATTTTAATATGTGCAAATTTTAAAATAGCAATTTCCTATTTTTATATGATATGCTTAAATGTGTAGGATGCTATTAGGTAAGAGATTATTATAAGATATCCCATGTACTCCCAATTTATATCACTTTTGTGTTATGTTAATATTAATAAAGTAATCTAGATGTTTTAACTCATCATACTTGAATTATCACGAAAAATTGATTACTTATCTTATATTTGCATTCATATCTCATATTCTGGTAGTATTAGAAGCCTTACGCTTATTAATCTAATTGCTTTTAAATTATATTTTGATAAATAATTTTTCATCTGAAATCTTATTAATATAAAATTTTGAAAGATACACACAAGAAGCAGAAGAAAAGTTAAACATCTGCAATTCCATTTACCATATACAAAACACACTGTTAGTAGTATGTATTATTCATACAAATTTATTCTACTGGGTGAAACGATGAACATTCATATGCATCACTTTATAAGAATTTTGCTATCCATAAATAAACAGATTTTTTTGCAAAACAGCCATGCCCCCACATGTGAATAATCTCTGTTTCCTACATCTTCATATTAACATGATAATTATAAACAGTTTCCAATATTATCAAATATTCCTTGAAAATACAGTCACCGTAATGTGTTGTACTTTGTGGTAAAGAGATCTAAGTATGTCTTTCAAAACATTATTATAATTGTTATTGTAGTAAAAGGTTTTATGCCTATCTTTTTTTACAGTTCTGTTTTTTTATATTTGAATATGTAAATATATTGAGTGAAAATGCAACTCTAAAACTTCAGTATACATTGTAAAAATAATTTCCAGTAATGCCTGTCTTTGAGACTCCTCTAAAACTACTTTCTCATGTATTATAATGCAACAATCAAATGCTTGTTACATTTTCCACATATATCTTGCTGTCATTTGTTTCTGGAGTTTTGCCTAGTTAAATTATACTCAGTGATTAAAATTTAGTCAAAGAATTGCTGCAGAAAGCTTTACGCAATTTCCCCGGGCTAGGTGAGATGTCCTTTATTGTCCTCCTGTAATAGGGCTGTGCATATCCCAAAATAAGATGCACTTATTTTTGCATATCGCTGTGTCTCACTCGTGAAGGTTTGCCATACTTCTTTTTGTATCCCCTGTGACCAGCAAGATGTCTAGCATGTGATAGACATCATATAATGTATTTGTAAATTAATCATTAATTTATATATTATTTAATGAATAAATTGTAATTTTCAACAAACTTTCCATATAGGCAAATATTATTTCCCATATTTAGTCTGAGAAAAATAAGTGTAAAATGGATGACTTGCCTAGAGTCATATAGCTAGAAAATGTATTCAGGATTTTTCTGGGGCTAGATACAGACCTATGAATTCCATTATATTAATATTATCAAATAGTAAAATTTGACACTGGATGATCTGTGATGAAATGGTCAAAGGATTTTAAAATAAGTCTAGAACTTAGGATGCATAAGATCACAAAAATTATTGCTCTTGTTAGATATATAATACTAATAGTGAATTTATACTATCTTTTTCATTATGTCTTATTTCTACATTTTAAATTTCTTTGTCATTAAACATAATCGGGATGGGCCATCATTAAATAATACACGATGATACATGTTTATTAAAAAATTATTCACATATGAATTTAAGGAAGAAGGATATGGTACATGCAATATTATTGACAAATATTATGCACCCATACAATATTTTTAAAAAACATCTGGTTGGCATATTAGGTAAAATTATTCTTTTTTTTAAATTTGGACTCAGCTAAAGGAGTATTTTTAGAAAGCTCATTTTTATCTACCATAGTAACTCTTATTGTTTTAAAATTGCACGGTTTATCAGTAAAATGGTATAGTGGAAATAGCATGAGCCTTGAAACCAATTAGACCATAAATGTGAATCCCATGTTACCTCCCATCAGGATGTATGATGATAGAAAACTTATTTCACTTTATGATCCTCATTGTAAAATTAAGATAGAAATAAATGTCCTAATAATGTTGCTATAGAATTTTAAAACATAATAAACTTAAGGGTCTTATATATTGTGGATATTAAATAAATGAGAGTTTCACTGTTTCTATTTCATTGACAGGTAGATGCTGATGCAGGATAAAACTGAGGAAAATGGATATTGTGTCTGTTTTTACTGGCGTTTATACCCCATATAGTGTGTTTTCCTTTGCGTGATCATCAGATTTACAATAGAAGAATGTATGCTTTTAATTATAAACAATTTTGTTATTAATGGGTAAAGTTGGTTTGAATTTGGGAGTGTGATTTGTAGTGTAGTGTAGTGTAGCAGTGAATTGGCTTGGGCTTTTTAGTGGCAGCTGATAAAATTCGTAGCTTTACCTAGTTAGCTGCACAAAGAGAATTGCCATATTTTCCTTTTAAGACAGCTTGATGTAGCAGTTACAAACTTACTATTGCCAGAAATATTATCTCTCACCTGACTAGAGAAATAACAGCTCTTGACAACTCAAAAAAGCTATAAGCTCCTAAAATGAGTTCCAATTATTTTATCCTTTGTCAGGTGTGGATTTCATGTGGCCAGAAAATGTATTTCTTTACCAAAGCCCAAATATGAAGAAACATAGTCTGTATCATGTGGGACTGCCAAAACTCCAGGAGAAAAATCTACCTTTCTGGCTTGAAGAACTAGAAAGGAGAGTTTAGGGTAACCATAGCCAGTCTAATGAAGAATGGGAACTCTAGAAAAGAGAGACAGATGGTAAAATCTAAAATATGTCAAACTCCATAAAAACAGATATCCCAATAGTAATATTTGTAACCATAGTAAAATGTTAATTTGATATCATTTATAGTTTACAAAGCACTATTACATACTCAAGTTAATCCTCATTAGAAATTGTAAAGTGCTTAAAAGATTTTTTAACAGAGCAAGACTCAGTGTTTAATAAACTTGCCCAAAATAAAAGAAAGTGATGTACATGAGTACCAAAAGCAGATTATCTAGTTTCAAGTTTTCTGTTCTTTTTGCTTTGATTCAGAGTTTGACTATGCGGATCTTAGGTGGGGCCCAGACTTTCACATTTTAAAATAAAAAAATTAAAAAAGAATATAAATATAAAATATATATTATACAAATAGATTTTTTAAAAGGTGCGGCCTAGTCAACAGGCATAGTTGGAAGACAAAAACAGATTTTGAGAGGGAGTGGTTTGACTCATACAGCTCTTGGATAAGGAATCCAGTGAGGATGGAATGGGTGATATTCATTGAGAGGAAGAGGAGTGATTGCAGAGGACAAGCCTATTACTGGCAAAAGGTGCCCGCTATAATTCCTGCATTTTATTGGCAAACCCCTCCTTCTGCATTTTAAGTTATTTATAATGTGTCAGGCTGTGGTGGTTAATACAGAGTGTCAACTTGATTCGATTGAAGGATGCAAAGTGTTGTCCTGGGTGTGTCTGCGAGGGTTAGACTAACATTTGAGTCAGTGGACTGGGAGAGGCAGACCTACCCTCAATCTGGGTACCATCTAATGAGCTGCCAGAGCAGCTAGAATGAAAGCAGGCAGAACGTGGAAGGACTAGACTGTCTGAGTCTTCTGGCCTCCATCTTTCACCTGTGCTGGATGTTTCCTGCCCTCGAACATCAAGTTCTTCAGGTTTTGGACTCCTGAACTTATATCAGTGATTTGCCAGAGGTTCCTGGGCCTTCGGCCACAGACTGAAAGCTACATCATCAGCTTCCCTACTTTTGAGGTTTGGGGATGTTTACTGGCTTCCTGGTTCCTCAGCCTACAGACAGTCTATTATAGGACTTCACCTTGTGATTGTGTGAGTCAATTCTCCCAATAAGCTCCCTTTCATATATTCATCTATCCTTTTAGTTCTGACTCTTCAGAGAACCCTGACTAATGCAGATTTTGGTACCAGGAGTGGTTCTAGATAAACAGAATTTTAACGATGGATTTCTTTAGTTAGTTTTGGGGTTTCTGGACTTGGCTGCTTAATATGATTAGACCTAAGAATGCTAGAACTCTACTTCTAACAGTATGGAGAACACTGATAGTCCTTAGTGTGAACTGTTTAGAAAGTCAACGCAAAATAAATGCATTTAATACTCTTGATTCACCACTCACAGGAGGCGGTACATTCCTCATTTGGGTGTGTTACTCAGGCCATTTATCAAGTGACCCAAATGGCTGCCAGTTTTGAGTGGAGTCCAGAACAGGAGAAGGCCCTGCAACAGGTCCAAGCTGTTGTGCAAGCTGCTCTGCCACTTGGGCCATATGACTCAGCAGATCCAATGGTGTTTGAGGTGTCAGTGACAGATGGGGATGCTGTTTGGAACCTTTGGAGCCTTTGGCTGGCCTTCACAGCAGAGGCCTCTAGGATATTGGAGCAAGTTCCTGCCATCTTCTGCAGATAACTACTCTCCTTTTGAGGGATAGCTTTTGGCCTGTTACTGGATTTCAGTAGAAACTAAATGTTTGACTATGGGTCATCAAGTCACCATGTGACCTGAACTGTCTATCATGAACTGGGTGCTTTCTGACCCAACAAGCCATAAAGTGGGGAATGCACAGCAGCATTTCATCCATAAAATGGAAGTGGTATATATGTGATTGGTCTCAAGCAGGTCCTGAGGGCACAAGTAAGTTACTTGAGGAAGTGGCTCAGGTGCCCATGGTCCCCACTCCTGCTGCCCTGCCTTCTCTCCCCTAGCCTGCACTAATGGCTTCATGGGGAGTTCCCTATGATCAGTTGACAGAGGAAGAGAAGAAAAGGGCCTACCCCAAAGTGGACAGCTGCAGCACTACAGCCCATTTCTAGGACATCCCTGAAGGACAGTGGTGAAGGAAAATACTCCCAGTGGGCAGAACTTTGAGCAGTGCACCTGGTTGTGCACTTTGCCTGGAAGGAGAAATGGCCAGATATGTGATTATATACTGATTCATGGGCTGTAGCCAGTCATTTGGCTAGATGGTGAGGGATTTAGAAGAAGCATGATTGGAAAAATGGTAACAAAGAAATTTGGGGAAGAGATATGTGGATGGGCATATCTGAGTGATCAAAAACTGTGAACACATTTGTGTCTCATGTGAGTGCTCACCAAAGGGTGACCTCAGCAGAGGAGGATTTTAATAACCAAGTGGATAGGATGACCTGTTCTGTGGACAAAAACTCAGCCTCTTTCCCCAGCCACCTCTGTCATTGCCCAGTGGGTCCATGAACAAATGGCCATGGTGGCAGGGATGGAGGTTACGCATAGGTTCAGCAACATGGACTTCCACTCACCAAGGCTGACCTGGCTATGGCCACTGCTGAGTGCCCAGTTTGCCAGTAGCAAAGACCAACACTGAAGTGGTTGGTTTGTTCCTCAATAAGGCACCATTCCTTGGGTAGATCAGCCAGCTGCCTGGTGGCGGCTTGATTATATTGGACCTCTTCCATCATGGAAAGGGCAGAGGTTTGTCCTCACCCAAATAGACATTTACTGTGGATATGGATTTGCCTATACTATACTCAATGCTTCTGCCAAGACTACTATCCGTGGACTCACGAAATGCCTTCTACACCTTCATGCTATTTCATACAGCATTGCTTCTGACCAAGGCAGTCATACTTTACAACCAAAGGAGTGTGGCAGTGGGCTCATGCTCACGGAATTATTGGTCGTACCATGTTCCCTATCCTCCTGAAGCAGCTGGATTGATAAAATGGTGGAATGGCCTTTTGAAGTCACAATTACAATTCCAACTAGGTAACAATCCTTTGCAGGGCTGGGGCAAAATTCTCCAGAAGTTTGTGTATGTTCTGAATCAGCATCCAATATATAGTACTGTTTCTTCCAGAACCAGGATTCATGGGTTCAGTAATCAAGGGGTAGAAGTGGAAGTGGCACCATTCACCATCACCCCTAGTGACCCACAAGCAAAATTTTTGCTTCCTGTTTCTGTGACATTACATCCTGCTGGTATAGAGGTCTTAGTTCCAGAGGGAAAAATGCTGCCACCAGGAGACACAACTGTGATTTCATTAAACTGGAAGTTATGATTGCCACCTAGTCACTTTGGGATCCTCCTACCTCTAAGTCAACAGGCTCAGAAGACAGTTACGGTGTTGGCTGGGGTGACTGACCCAGACTATCAAAACGAAATCAGTCTACTACTCCACAATAGATGTAAGAAAGAGTATGTGTGGAATACAGGAGATCCCTTAGGGCATCTCTTAGTATTACCATGCCCTCTGATTAAGGTCAATGGGAAATTACAACAACCCAATCAAGGCAGCACTACAAATGGCCCAGACCCTTCAGGAATGAAGGTTTGGGTTACTCCACTAGGTGAAAAACCATGATCTGCAGAGGTGCTTGCTGAAGGCAAAGGCAGTACAGAATGAGTAGTAGAAGGTAGTCATCAGTACCAGCTATGACCACGTGACCAGTTGCAGAAACGAGGATGGTAATTGTCATGAGTATTTCCTCCTTATTTTGTTAAGAACATGTTTGTGCATGTATGCACTTGAGCTAAGAAAATATCTACATTTTATTTCCTTTCCTTTTTCTTTATCATATGACATAAGATTTATTGACTTCATATCAACATTTAAGTGTTGTTAACTTTACGTAATAGCATTTAGGTTAAAGATTAGTGTGCTTCTGGTTGTACGAAGGATAGCTGGATTATGTTAGGCATAATTATGACCTTATTATTGTCTTTATTTGAAGATTATATCTATAATTTCAGGAGATGTGTATGGGTTCAAGTTGACAAGGGATGGACTTGTGATGATTAACATTAGGTGTCAACTTGATTGGATTGAAGGATGCAAAGTATTGTTCCTGAGTGTGTCTGTGAGCGTGTTGACAAAGGAGACTAACATTTGAGTCAGTGGACTGGGAGAGGCAGACCCACTCTCAATCTGGTTGGGCCCAATCTAATGAGCTGCCAGTGCAGCCAGAATACAAATAGGCAGAATGTGGAAGGCCTAGGCTGTCTGAATTGTCTGGCCTCCATCTTTCTCCTGTGCTGGATGCTTCCTTCCCTTGAACATCAGACTCCAAGTTCTTCAGGCATTGCGGGATCTGACCAGCAGCCCGCAATGCAACGGGGCTCTCTCTTTGTTCCCAGGTGGATCGGCAGGTTGAGAAATAATAGACACACGCAAGATAGTGAAAGCTGGGTCCAGGGGGGTCACCACCTTCTGGTCCCATAGTGCCAACGATGCACTGGATATACCAGCATTTATTATTAAGTTTAGTGAGGGTGGGTTTCGGTTAGTGAGGGATTTAGGGTCATTTGATTATGAGGTGAGATGGTCACATGGCGATGAAGTAATTCTTTAACATAACATTTGTATGTAGAAGTACAGTACATTTGTATGTAGAAGTACAGTATACAGAGATAAGAATTTACAATATAGTGTGTGCGTCACCTTAGAACCTTAAAACAGAAACACAATCTTGCCATAACCTATGATTAGCAAGATATTAATCAGCAGTAATAATTGCAACAAAGGGTGGTTACAAACAATCCATGGAAACAGGCCGTGAAGCTAGACAACCGGTTAGACCAGAAATTCTAAGGGAGTATGCCTTAACCCTAAAGAGGCCTAGAAGAGCCATGGCAAGATGAGGGCCTTTATAGCCCTATCTTATCCATATGGACAGGCACCCCCCATGCGTCCTTTTACAGGCTCTCCACAAGGGTTGCATTCCATTCCCAGAGCTATGAACATCTGCTTTTCTGGGATAGGAATCTTGGTGATGTGAAACCTCCCTGACTGCACGTGCATTCATAGGCTCTCTGCAGGGGGAAGCACATCACATGCTGTTGGCTTGTTCTGGCAGTCCAACCTGGCGTTGTCTTTACACAATCCTGCATGCAATTTTGTATTTACAGTAATCAGGAGCATTTCATCTTTTATTCCATAGCAATAGTTTCAGGGGATCTCCCTACATTCAGGTTTTGGACCCTTGGACTTACACCAGTGCTTTGTCAGGGGCTCTCAGGCCTTTGGCCACAGACTGAGGGTTGCACTGTTAGCTTCTCTACTTTTGAGGTTTTGGGACTTGGAGTGGCTTCCTGGCTCCTCAGCTTGCAGACAGCCTATTGTGACACTTCGCCTTGTGATGGTGTGAGTCACTTTTCCTAATACACTCCCCTTCATGTATTCACCTATCCTATTAGTTCTGTTCCATTAGAGAACGCTGACTAATATGCAGGTCTAACACCCAGAGTCTACATACCTTTCATCTACTAGTGCTCAAGACAACCTATCCGTGTCAGTGTCACAAGCTCTATAAGCAAATCTGTACTGCAGACACATTAAGTAATTTGAACAAGGATCACGGGCAAGTAGTATCTTAAATTCAATGCTATTAGGCTCTATTCTAGTATGCCACGCTGTTATCCTAAACCAATCCTAACAGTTTAGCTATTTCTATGAAGGAAAATCCAAAATACAAAGATAATTTATTTTCCTTGAAGTCCTTTCAAAATATTTATTATAAATAGGTGGAGAAAATTTTTTTTTCTACATCTAGTTGATTCTTTTGGGGGAAACTTTTCTCAACCTCTGATTATACTAACATCTTAATATTACCTCTACCTTTACTCCAGTGTAAAAAAGGAATTAAAATATTCATTCCACAAACTTACTGTGATAAATATTAGATATGTGTACCTATAGTTTTTGTGCAGTAAAACTATCATTGCCTGTGATAGATTCTTATTTACCATGTTAATATTTGATTTTGAATGGTTTTGACTATCCAGGTAGAAAGTAATTGTTTATTTTGACATGAGTAATAATCACTGAGGTTTAAATATTGTATTTTTCTAAGGGGTGAATGTTGGAGAACCACACTAATTCATCAGGATTAAATTCTTGATGTTTTACTGCTGCGGAGTTTTAAAAGTGTTGTCTTTTGGCCATACTGAACCCCAACTATCAAAAGTTCTTATCTAAATTATTTACAGCTGTAAAGAAATTTCAGATCAATTATTAGTATTATCAAATATTTCTAAAAGAAAAGAATAGACCATCTGAACTAAATTTTTCATCTGAGATGTTCTCGTGGATAGGTTAAATATTCATTTTTGACCTTCTTAAAGATATCTTTACCTCTCACGGTTAATACTGGGTAATACTGAATAATAGGAAAAGATGTAAGATATCTCATTTATAGAATTTGCAGCACGATTCCAGTTTTCTAAAATGAAAATTATAATTCTCTAGTCTATTATAATCACAGGACTAGATCATGGAAACACTTAACATTACTGAACTTACATTCACAAGGTTAACTTTATATTTATGGGGGAACCTGCCCTGATATTCATGTAGGTTCTTTTCTATTTTTCCTTTGCATCAGCCGGCTTGAGAAATAAAGGGACAGAGTACAAAAGAGAGAAATTTTAAAGCTGGGCGTCCAGGGGAGAAATCACATGTCGGTAGGTTCCGTGATGCCCCACAAGCCACAAAAACCAGCAAGTTTTTATTAGAGATTTTCAAAAGGGGAGGAAGTGTGTGAATAGGTGTGGGTGACAGACATCAAGTACTTAACAGGGGGTAATAGAATATCACAAGGCAAGTGGAGGCAAGGTGAGATCACAGGACCACAGGTCCAAGGCAAAATTAAAATTGTTAATGAAGTTTCGGGCATCATTGTCATTGATAACACCTTAACAGGAGACAGGGTTTTGAGATCAACTGGTCTGACCAAAATTTATTAGGTGGGAATTTCCTCTTCCTAATAAGCCTGGGAGCGCTATGGAAGACTGGAGTCTATTTCATCTCTGCAGCCTCAACCATAAAAGACAGGCGCACCTGGGGGGGCTGTTTATAAGCCTATACCTCCAGGCGCATATTCTCTTTCTCAGGGATGTTCCATGCTGAGAAAAAGAATTCAGCGATATTTCTCCCATTTGCTTTTGAAAGAAGAGAAATATGGTTCTGTTCTGCCTGGCTCACTGGTGGTCAGAGTTTAAGGTTCTCTCTCTTATTCCCTGAACAATTGCTGTTATCCTGTTCTTTTTTCAAGGTGCCCACATTTCATATTGTTCAAACACACATGCTCTACAATTTGTGCAGTTAACACAATTATCACATGGTCCTGAGGCAATATACATCCTCCTCGGCTGACAGGATTAAGAGATTAAAGTAAAGACAGGCATAGGAAATCACAAGGGTATTGATTGGGGAAGTGATAAGTGTCCATGAAATCTTTACAATTTATGTTTAGAGATTGCAGTAAAGACAGGCATAAGAAATTATAAAAGTATTAATTTGGGGAACTAATAAATGTCCATAAAATCTTCACAATCCACATTCTTCTGCCATGGCTTCAGCCGGTCCCTCCGTTTGGGGTCCCTGACTTCCCGCAACTATATTTTTTCTTCTTTATAATATAATAACTATTTTAGTCCATAATATTATTTGAAAAAATACATATTCTGATAAAGTGACTTCAGGTTGTAGTATTAACTGGCCTAATAGCATTCTGAACTTGTCAGTGAGTAGTCATGTACTACTCTAAATCAAGTGAAATTACATTTCCAAGTATCCATTCACCACTGCTAAACTAATAGCCGGTCATTTCAATTCTGTTTATTAGTGAACAGAATTTTGTTCCTACTATTTTGAGTAGACCTCCTGTGGTTAATGAGTTTACATAAGCATCAATCATATCCTCTATCAAGTAGCCTAATGATGCTGAGAGGTAGTATCATTATGGTGCTAAATTGTCTTTTGTCTGATGGGAAGAATATTCTCTTCTAGTAATTATGTAAGAGATAGGTCATGAAAATTAGAAAGTTATATACAGAAAGTGTTATTTTAATTTTCCTTTAGCAAGAATGAACTGTCTTTTTTATCTCATTTTCCTCAATTCCTATCAGGGTATATCATGGCCCATGTTATTAAGTTCATGGTTCAATTTAGAAATGAGAAATGTGCTTTCAAGGTACTTTGAAGAATTATTCTTTTCTTACACTAAGTCTCATTTGTAAAACTTAAGTGGATCATATCTAATATCAAAACAATATTTTTACTTGGTTTACACATGTGAAAATGATTTCAGAACTGCAAAGCGCTATATAAATGGGCAGGCAATCAATGATAGTTTTAAATTTTACCTCACAAATAATTAAGGCCTATTAAAGAAAAACACCAAAATAATAATAATAAATCAAGATATTTATTAGAATCTCTCTATTTAATAGAGAGACTTCAGAAGAATAATATCAAAAAGAAAATGAATAGTTCAGGTTAGTATTTCTGGGGGATAATTATAATTGGAATTTAAGAATAGTTTATCTTCCTTTTAAAGTAAAGGAATCAAAACGATTCTGTTTTAAAATCCAATAAATTATGGAAGAATAGTGAGTCATTCTTGATACTCTCCCATTCCTTATATTTTATATCAAATAAACAATTACCAACTCTCATTAATCTTACCTCCTTCACACCTTTTAAATCATTGAGAGAGTCCTCTTAATCAAAACAATAACAATCCAATTATCACTATCATCTCTAATCTTTATTCATGCATCATTCTCCTGATGACATTTCTATCTTCATACATGCTCTCTCTTCCATATAGTCCCCCATTTCCCGAAGTTATCTTCTAAAGCGCAAAACTCATCTTGTCCTGGATTAAGAAGTTTCTGCTCGGCCGGGCGCGGTGGCTCAAGCCTGCAATCTCAGCACTTTGGGAGGCCGAGGCGGGCGGATCACGAGGTCAGAAGATTGAGACTATCCTGGCTAACATGGTGAAATCCTGTCTCTACTAAAAATACAAAAAATTAGCCGAGCGTGGTGGCGGGCGCCTGTACTCCCAGCTGCTCGGGAGGCTGAGGCAGGAGAATGGCGTGAACCTGGGAGGCGGAGCTTGCAGTCAGCCGAGATCAGGCCACTGCACTCCAGTCTGGGCGACAGAGCAAGACTCCCTCTCAAAAAAAAAAAAAAAAAAAAAAGAAGTTTCTGCTCCTACAGCAACCTTTGCTTACCATTATGATACTATTTATCACACAATAGTCATAGATTTATTATCTAGCTTACCACTGTAATTTTCTCAAAGGCAAAGTCAACATATTTTTCTGTGTATCTCCAGAGTGTGTTGCTATACTAGGAGCATATTCATGGTTGGATAAATTAGTTTGGAATAAATTCAATGGATCATGTAATTCCACCAAGCAAAGGCTATCAGATAGGTTCCCTCTTTTTCTTTCCTGTTAATTTTATTCATTTACAGACCGGGCATGGTGGCTCACATGTGTAATCCCAGCACTTTGGGAGGCCGAGGCAGGCAGATCACCTGAGGTCAGGGGTTCAAGACCAGCCTGGCCAAAATGGTGAAACCCTGTCTCTACTAAAAATACAAAAAAAAAAAAAAAAAAAAAGGTAGTCTGGAGTGGTGGTGCACGACTGTAATCCCAGCTACTCAGGGTGCTGAGGCAGGAGAACTGCTTGAACCCAGGAGGAGAGGATGCAGTGAGCCAGGACCGTGCCATTGCACTCCAGCCTGGGCAACAAGAATGCAACTCCATCTCAAAAAAAGAATAAAAAAAAATTGGAAGAAGAAAAAATGTGGCATCAGAACATTTTATTCCGTGTGTTAAATGGAACTCTGTCAAATGCTGTTGTCTAAAGAAGAAAATACACTGTAATGATAAAGTGTTTATTGTGTGTCAAGCACTCATCTTCATACTTAATGAAGTGAGGTATGAGAACCCCATTGGGTAGATATTGATACTATCATCTCCATTTTATAGAAGAAAATTAAGGTACAAATAGTTTCAGCAATTTACTGAAGGTCACATAGAAAGGGGCAGAATTGAAAAGATGAACTCACAAAATATAGGTTTAGCATCTTTAGGTTTAACCATCCTATAATGTCTCAATTTCTGAGGCACCATGTACACATTCAGGGAATAACAAACACGTACCCTCTCTTTAGTCTCCTTACTACAAATGCCCTTTGAACTTGTGTAGTTAAATATTTGTTAACTGGCTATCCTTCAATTTCTACTACTTCAGCCACAGACTATTTGTGTAATAGCCATTGTTAAATTTACCTTATTTAAGTCATTAAGCAAATAATAATATTGTGTAAATAGTGACTATAAACTTCTGGTTATTCTCTTTCTTATGTTTATTTTTTAAATGTATGTGGCCCAGACTTCTAAAGGAACTTCAAATACATTGTAGCCAGAGAAAGGTTATATAAAACAAACCAAACCAAGCAATGTAAAACAGGTAAACATAAACAAAACAGGTAAACATAAAACTTCATCATGTCAGTATCGTGCTACCTGTGGTAACATAGTTTAATTTGGGTGTTAATTGCCAGAAAGGAAGATATAATATATATTTTTCAAAGGTTTCTTATTCATTGTGGAGTTTGTATTTAACACTGGTGATACAATGTGGTTATTTAGTTTCACTTGCAGAGAAGAAATCTGTTTCTTAGACATTCTTAACATTGAGTACAACAGATAAGAATCTATGTTTAATGCTAGTAATTATTTGTGAATAGTGACTTAAGTATTAGCTTCTTTACAAATCCATTTTCAATTAGCGAGTGACAGATATGACCCATTTGCATGGAGGTTGCTTAAAATGAATTATATTGAGATCGTAACAATAACAATATGATTATTGTATCACTTTATCACAGAGATTAGCCAATGATAAAAATTAAGGCAGGGGCGGGGGGAGTTTTAATTTTTTTTTTTTTTTTTTTGAGACTGAGTCCTGCTCTGTCACCCAGGCTGGAGTGCACTGGTGCAATCTCGGCTCACTGCAACCTCCATCTCCCAGGTTCAAGCGATTCTCCTGCCTCAGCCTTCCAAATAGCTGGGACTACAGGTGCGTGCCACCACACCTGGCTAATTTTTGTATTTTTAGTAGCGACTGGGTTTCACCATGTTGGCCAGCTCATTCCCTTGACCTTGTGATCCACCTGCCTTGGCCTCCCAAAGTGCTGGGATGACAAGGGGGTCTTAATTCTTTTTTTCATGCTACTTAAGGATTTATCTAAGATATCTTTTATTTAGCTATTAAAGAAAACAGAGTAGTGAATAGTTTCACTTTTACAGTATTTCTAACTTATAATAATATACTTTTAAAAATAAAATATATTTTTGACCATTATATTAAAAATATAAGATATTGAACAGTTCCAAATTTCAGTTCTTAGCAAAGACCTTTGATAGCTATTTGATCTTGGCCATATCACTTGTCCTATTGTATCTATCTGGATGTGATTAAAATTAACCAATATAAGGCACATAGAGGAACATTCAATGTTTGTTTATTTCTATTGTTACATGAAGTATGTCTAGGCTGTTATTTTTTAAATATTGATTATCAAAGAGAAGACACCTTGTTCTCAAAATGTGTAACCAGCAGTAGAAATAATAAAAAAGTCAATGGTTTGATCTTTCTAAAATTTTTCTTTCCTCTCAATAGTTCTTCCTTGGAGAGAGAGTTTATCTTCATAGTAAGTATTTCTGCATTTCAGAGCATTCCTCTATCCATTAACAAAGAGCTAGCTCTTCCCTATGTTCTAAGTGATGAGTCTTTTATTCCCAGGTGACTGAACAAATTAGCCCATTTGAACACTTTGGTTGTTTTCATAACTTGGCTATTGCAAATAATGTGGTTAGAAGGGGAGAGGAGGTGGGGGAAATGGAGAGAGGTTGGTCAAAGAATACAAAATATTAGGTAGGAAAAATAAGTTCCAGAGATCTAATGCACTGCTTGATAACTAAAGTTAACAATGCCATATTGTATACTGGAAATTTGCTAAGGGAGTAGATTTCAGATGTTTTCACCACACACACACAGACACATATACGCACAGGCACAAACACAAGTAGTTATGTTGGAAGATGCATATGTTAATTAGCTTCACTGTAGTAAATATTTTACTATGTAGATCAAAACATCATGTTGTATGCCTTAAATATACACAATTTTCATTCCAAATAAATAATTGAATAAACATAAATACTACTTAGTTTCTACAGCCCATATAATGGCAAAATCCAACAAGGGATTAAAGAACCCGGGTGAGAATTTCTCAGAAACATATGTGAAACCATGTTCTCATTGGAAGGCCCATCCTTCTTCTCTGGGATATTGTTCTTACATTTGGAGGGTGCTAGACACAAGTAGATGGTGCAATTAAGGTTGGGAGTTAGTCTATAAACCTTATAATATGTACTGCTTTGAATGAGGCTTTAGGCACCCCACAATGCACCCTCTTGAACCAGAATGCAGTATGAAGTTGGTAATTCTTTCAAAGGTTTTGTGAACTCCATTGCTTTGTTTCTGCACAGAGATTACATAGCTAACAGTGAACTGACCAAGCATAAGTAATAGTAGCAAAGTACAATAATCCATTTCTTTAAAAAAAAATAAAGCAATGGAGACAAAGATAATTAACTAACTTCACTAAGGTCACTTTGTCAGGTAGAACTATGACACAACTCTTTTAAATAGCATCATGGGGAAGAAAACCTAGGCTGGAATTTTAAAAACTACTCTTAACTACTGAAATTAAGTTTTATATATGAACCCTTATGACATATACAATTTTGGATTTCTGGATTTTTTTTTCTTCATTCTCTACTTATTTTTTACACTGAAAGGTTAAAATTTTCTGGCATAGCTCTAACACATAATGGATAAAAAAAACTTAATTAGTTCTTCTCTTCAGATTTCAGGTCAAAATCACATACTGACTACACATTAAAAAGGGGCAAAACATTTTCAATGTTGGCATTTATGTGTAGATCTAGTACAATTATTATTGAAGGCAGACATCCCAATGCAGATGATAATGAAGGAATGGACTGACTATACGATCCTGACTATTACAGGATAAAACATTCATTTCCACCCTGCTTATCACATTAGATATTCTCGTAAGTTCTCAGTTGCTTTATTATCAGCATATATGACATCCAAATTCAGGCCATAAGTATTAGTAATAATTATAGATCCATAGAACTTAAAGATCAGAAATTTTAAGCAGTAATATTAATTATCCAAGACTATGACCACATATATAATTCATTTACGCTGTACAACTAGAAACTCAACTACCATGTGGCCCAGAGGAATATTTGAAATCTGCCCTATACTGTTTGTTGCTTGTTATCCAAGCGGGATTGGTTCCAAAGCTCCCCATGGATAACAAAATCAACAAATGCTCATGTTCCTTAGACAAAATGGTGTAGTATTTCCGTATAACCTACATACATCCTCCCATATACTTAAAATCATCTCTAGATTATTTATAATACCTAATACAATATAAATGCTATGTAATTGGTTGTTATACTATATTGTTTGGAAAATAATGACAAAATAGTCTGTACATGTTCAGTACTGATGAAATCATCCATTTTTCCCCCAAATGTTTTCATTGTTGGTTATATCCATGAATGTGAAACCCATGGATATCAACTGTATATTAAATGGTGACTTCCTGAAAAAGCCTTCTCATTCTCTTCTAAAACAGAGTAATATAAATTTTAAAAAATTGTTAACTCAAAAAATATTTTGGACAATTAATAGACTATCTATTTAGCTAGGTAAGTTTTGAAGCTTTGTCACAAAAGAGAAAATTTGGACTATGAAAGAAATCAAAAGTGAGATTTACAATATTGATGCTCAGTAAATGAATGTTGACATAATGAATAAATGAGATTTTGCCAGAATAATAATTCGAGGTATTATCCAACATGCCATTTAAATCAAAACTTATTTTTAAAGTATAATTTTAAAAATATTTGCTGGCATAAAAAAATCAATGATGAAGGCAAGATGAAAAACACAGTAGTTAGGCTTTATTTTTGGGATTTACATCAAAAAACAAAAATTTTGATTGCTTCTTATTTCTATCCAGTGTATTGGTTTTCTAGAGCTGCTGTAACAAAGTATCACAAACTGGGATAGCATAAAACGATCAAAATTTTATTCTCTCTGGAGGTTCAAAGTCTGAAATCAAAATGTCAGGAAGACCATACTTCTTCTGAAGGCTCTAAGAAAAATTTGTTTCTTGCCTCTGTCCTAGCTTCTGATGGTTAAGAGCAATCCTTGATATCCCTTGACTTGTAGTTACGTCACTCTAATCTCTGCCTCTGTTATCACGTGGCCTATTTCTCTGTTTGTACCTGTATTTCTGTGTCCAAATTTCCCTCTTATTATTATATATCTGTCATTGGATTTAGGGCCCTTTCTGATCCAGTATGCTTTCATATTAACTAATTACATCTGCAAAGACCCTATTTCCAAATAAGATCACATTCACAGGTCCTGAGTGGACATGAATTTGCGGGACCACTCTGTTCAGTACACAAAGTCTCTATTGTAAATATACAATGGTTTTCAACTTGAGTCTATAATCAAAGTTCTCTTTTGGAGTGTGTTTGTGGTAGTGGTGTTTCTTTACATATAAACTAGATACATTTTAAAACTGTTGAAGTTCCTTGTCCGTTTCTTATGTTTAAATGCTTTCCTCTCCTAATTCAAGTAGTTTATTAATCTCAAGTTGATTGAGGACATATAGTTAATTTTCAATTTACTGGTTATAAAATTATTGTATACAGTGTTCCTAGTGTCTTCATGGAGACACTTAGACAATAACTAGTTTCCTCCTTTTCTTACAAGTGCACAATCTTTTTCAAACTGCAGTTTCATTTTCCCCAAAAGGTTTGTAATACTGCAGCATTTTCAGATGATTTAAGGATTTTTTTTCTTTTACATTGACCCATCTCTAAAATAAGGGTGCTTTTCAGAATGCTAGAAACCCATGCATCCCACTTCAGTCCTATATTTTCTTTGGCCAATAATGGGTGAACAGTTGGAAATAACTCTTTTTTTCCCCCAAACATTTGAAGCTATCATCTCTTATTACTATTGCTTCTTTTCTCATTGTATTTCTAGAGAAAGAGAGCTGAAATGTAGTAACATTCCAGCCTCAAAACTACTTATATTGATTTTGGTACACCAATAGAAGTAACACTTAGGAAACTCCGTATTCTTATCTCTGGCATTTTTAATAAAATATTCAGCAGAAATACGTTAAATTCTTCGGAAAATGTAAAGGTTTTTAAAAGCAAAAATAATCTTAAACTAAAATTCTTATTTCATTACTACCTTATGAGAATAAAATGCATTTATTTTAGGTATTTTTTATATGCCTAGCAGTTATTTTAATTAAAAAATAGTCTTATAATAAGTTAAATATAAAAACAAACAGAAGGGAAACATACATATGTGTGTGGTTAAATATATATGTATATGCACTTTGTATATATACTTAACACTTTGTGTAGTTAAATATATATGTATATGAACTTTGTGTATATATACATATATATACATATACCTACATATGATTATATTATTATAACATATAATTCAGACCTATGTGTACATATATGTTTATAACGTATATAATACAGATATATGCATATTATGTAGTTAGTATAGCCATTGAAAGAAAAAATTTTAATTACAATGAATGTTTGATATTTGATGCTCTACACCATCTTAGTGGGAAGAAGAGGGTGTTAAAATATCTAAGTAGAGTCCTGTGATTTTTCCCACTTCCTCCATAATGTCCCAAGACCTCTGGTTCCTTGAATGCCCTAGTGGTATCTAATCATAGAATTTGTAATTGATGAGCGCAGATCATTTGCTTGAGCTCTGGCAATGCTCAACTGGCATTATAATTTGAGCTTTGGCTATAACCCCTATTAGGTCTTGATGTGCATAGACCTACCTCCTCTCCATTTGTAGTGACCCAATCAGTGACATTCATCAATCTCACCTATAACTCACTAATGTATCACTCTTTAAGTCATGAATGAACTTCTGCATGCATTCCAGACCATAAAGCTTTCTTGATGTTTAAAGTCAAGACCTCCCTCTGCCAAACAGTGATGTGTCGAATGGTATACTTTGATCAGGTCAAACCCATCAGGCCTTCTCCTTACAGAGTTTAAATGGGAAACATCTGTTTTAGTTTCCCTCATATCTCCTTCATACCTGTATGTTTCTAAAGCCATATCCCAGGCTTAGTCATGAAACAGAAATAAGAAAAAGCAGGAACCCTAACACTGGTCTACAAGCCTTTTTTAGAAATGCTTGGGGCCTGATGTGTTTCCGAATTCAGAATTCGGGGGATTTAGAAAGGTAATTATGTAAATATATTATATATTTAATTATACCTTCAGTGGGATTTGAGGTAATACTCCCAATGACATATATTAATATTTCTGTGTGTATATACCTGCACACACACACACACACACACACACACTCACAAGTGTAAAACACAGAGATGATAAGATACAGCCTCTCATCAGTACAAGTCAGTTTCTGCACATTATTCCTATACTAGAACAGAAGATGGATAACTAGATGAGGCCCTGATATGCTAAGAATATCAAAAATACCTCTGCCTTCTGAGACACAAAACAAGTTTATAAATTATCTTTCCCTTTTCACACCCCAACTTTCAAAGACAGTCAGTCCTCCATAATAACCATGGGTTCCACACCCACAGATTCAACAAACCACAGATTAAAAATATCTGAAAGAAAAACAGCACAGATAACAATACAACAATAAAATACAATACAAATTTTTAAAATCTCATAGGGTTTAACACCGATTTGCATATCCTTTACATTGTATTAGATATTATACATAATGTATAGATGATTTAAGGATATGGAAGGATATGCATAGGTTAGATGCAAATACTACATCATCATTTGATATAAGGGATTTGAACATCCATGGGTTTTGGTATTCCAGGGTGTCCTGTAGCCAATCCCCCACAGATTTGAAGGGATGACTGTATTTCCTTACTCAAAAAGGCCAAAACCTGTTCTCTCCTGCCTTGGGTCCATAAGTATTCTGGCTCAATCTTAGATGGGGAAGGCTGCAAATAAACATTATTTAAAAGATAAACATGTCAAGTGAAAATTAAATATGATAGTCAATATAAATTACTTTGAAAAATAAAACTGATTATAAATATAATAAATATTTTTATTTTACTTATTTCCAATTAACAATTTAAAAATTAATACAGGAAAAATTATTACTGGATGCTACAGCAAGCTCTTGGTTTAGTAAACCAGATATTCACACTTCACAGACTACTGTGAAATAAGTATCATTTCACAGACTACTTACCAATTGCAGAAGGGAAAATAAAAGCCCCTTTACAATGGATAAATCTGGGGCATACTATCTTAAAAACTGTTAATCAAAGTTAGTACTACTATGCCTGTAATCCCAGTAGTTTGGGAGGCCAAGGCAGGTGGATCACTTGAGGTCAGGAGTTTGAGACTGGCCTGGCCAACATGGTGAAACCCTGTCTACCAAAAATACAAAAATTAGCCAAATGTGGTGGTGCATGCCTGTAGTCCCAGCTACTTGGGGGGCTGAGGCAGGAGCTAAGATAGTGCCACTGCACTCCAGCCTGGGTGACAGAGTGAGATTCTGTGTCAAAAAAAAAAAAAGCTGTATTACTAATAAACAAATTGATGTTACATTGAGGATATATCACCTGCTTAGTATTCTTGAGGAAAAGGTAATTTTAATTGTGAGGAAACATTCAGACACTTTCAAATTAATAATCACTCTAGAACACAACTATCAAGGACTCTAAATAAAAAAAAGACTCCCTCCCCAGAAAAGCTGTACAGCATCTAAGGGAGGCTAAAGAAACTTGATAATTAAATGTGTGACTTTTGGCTCCTGGATTAAAAAGTGTAAAAAAATTATTTGTCCAATGAGACAAATGTTGAAATTATAGACTCTAGGTTAGATTGTATAACAATGGCAAAATTGTATTTCTTGAATTTGATAAGGGTATATTAGTAATGCATAACAAAATGCCCATGTACTTAGGAGATGTATGACGAAGTAACTAGGTTGAAATTACTTCCAAACGGTTATAAAAATTAAAAAGGTGCCTGTATATAAAGAAAAAAATGAAAGGAGAGTAAGGAGGAGGAGGAGAACTTGAAGATATAAAAAAATACAACAAAATATTAACAGTTTGTAAATCTAGTTGAAAAAAAGAACTGTATGGGTATATCTTATACTATTCCTTTAAGCAGAGAAAACATGTTTCAATATGAGTATGATTGTAAACATTTAATGTTTATTTGTGGTTTTCTGAAAGGATTTTTGTAACAAACACAGTTAGGAAACATGAGCTGTAATGATGTTACTAATTACTAGGATAACTTTGCTGCCTAAACTTTTCCTCAGTTTCTACATTGGTGAATGAATCTCCACAGTATCTTTATCTCTAAAATTCTATGAACACGAAATATCTAATTTGAACTGATTTATACAAGTACTTGGGGGAAGAGTCAACTAAGGGAAACAAAATGTTTACTGTGGCGTAGATACGATCTTAAAATCAACTGAACACAGTATAGAAAAGAGTGTAGAAAAAAACTGTTGGAATAGGATGTGTCACGTCAACCATACTTCTGCCTTTCCCCAGTGTTTCCCTATTGTATTTCAGTTTACTCCCCTTTTATCAATAATTCTAATTCAAAAATAATCTAAACAATGAGTGGCAATTTTTATAAAATATTTTTTAATGTAGAATTCCTCTCAACACAAAAATGAAATACCAATCATCAGTGTATTATTTATTTACAACAAATTTAGACAATTCGATAAATCTGTGTAAAGCATTCAGGTAATCAACAAAGAATTTTGACATTCATAAAAAAACACTACGCTCAACAGACTGTCATGACACTATATAATAGATTGATTTTTAATGTAGTGTAGAGATTAGTCTCAGTGAATAGAGATTACTGACTATAATTAGTTTTGGTGACTTAGAAAAATATTATCTATGATGATTGATGATACTCCAGCCATGTATGTGAGAGCCAATAATTAAATTAAATTACACACATGACATGAAGGAATTTTATGCCATTTTATTTGTGCATTGTAAGATTATCCTTATCTAAGAATTATTCAGTAATGTTTTGGCCAATCCAATTTTATTTTAATAGATTTATATAAAAGTTTTGTTAGCTACTAATTAGTTGGAAAATTTTAAATCTGCTGTGTTATGCTGCTTTATGTGTACATTTTCGATAGACTATTTTAAAACAATTGTTCTTATCCAGGGACATTTTAGAAAATAAATTCTATTGCAAGCAATCGTGTGTTTTTTCATTTTTTTTTTCTGACACTGGGATTATGCTATGGTTGTGTTAACTGAACACTAACTGGATCCGTTCAATTAACTTCTTCAGTCATGCTATAGAAACCTTCGCCTAATATAGAAAATCATATAATTTATTGTCACACTCTAATATACATTCAAGTTTTTGAAATAATGAGCCCTGAATGCTACTTTTCTAATTTATGTGCAATCAAGTTGCATAACCTCCCTTCATATACTTTATAAAGAATCTATGCACAGGATAGAATGATTGACTGGTGAGAAATATTCTAAAATATAGACATTATCCTGTCTTTTGTTTTCCATATACCTTTTCCTATGCTTTCCTTTCAATCCTACAAAATGGTATCACACAAATTTGGCATGGCACGAATAGCTCATACCAACCTGACCCCAACAAAAGTTTCCATCTAATCCCAGCATATATGTGACATTCATGTCATACCAGACCATCAGTCTCAAATACTTTATTCGTTTTCATGTTCTAATGCCTTTCTTTACACTGAGGTTGGTAGTCATATCAGAGTCATAAGGGTTCTTGTTCACTATGTTTTCAAAGAAAATGGTAAGAATGTACCTTTCTGCTCCTTTTGAAGAGTGATGTGGATACATGTCTTACTTCCATGAGTCAACCATGAACATAAGTATGTCACTTCTGAGAGGAAGTCATAAGAGCTGATAAATTATTTATTGTATTCTCTTCTGCCATAATGATCACAGAAGCATGTATTGAGATGAGTCTTCATCAGTCAAGGGTTCTGAGTGCCACAATGTGCAGAACTCCTTTGTCAGGTTATTGACATGAAATAGAATTCAACTCACTTTGCTCAAATAAATATAATTTAATGAAGGTAGTACTTAGAGAGGTGGGAACCAGACTAAGGGAAGTTACAATAAATATTGAGGCCTCCAGAGACAAGGCCTGTATTAGTTCATTTGTTCTGCTATAACAAAATTCCACAGACTGGGTAATTTCTAAACAATAAAAATTTAGTTCTTATGGTTACAGAGGCTGGGAAGTCTAAGATCAAGGTGCTTGTAGGATTGGTGTCTGGTGGGGGCTGCTTTTTGCTTTCAAATTCACACCTTGCTGCTGTGTCCTTTGTAAGGGAGGAACACTCTGTCCTCATATGGCAAACGGGACAGAAGCCAAGAGGCTGCTCCTTAGCTCCCTTCAACGTAGAACTCTTTTATAAAGGTGCTAATTTTATTCATGAGGGGAGGGTCCTCATGACTTAATTACCTCCTAAAGGCCACAGCTCTTAATACTGTTGCATTGGAGATTAAGTTTCACCTTAATTTTGGAGGGGGCACCATTATTAAAACTGTAGCAAGTGCTGAGTAGATAAAAGAGGAAATAGCATGATAGTAGCTCAGTGATTGCTAACATTATGGAAAAGGATCCATCCAGCCTAGGTCCAGGGGACATAGCCACTGGCAGAGACAAGACACCAAAGCAGGAAAGATGTTTTGAGAAAATGTCTAAGACTCCTTCATCCCACAATCTGTTCTCCTTTACATGCTTTCTATTTCCTACGTCCAACCAGAAGCCATCCAGCAAGGAACCTCAGAAGATACTAATTTAGTGCTGAGTTTCCTAAAGCATTAAGCCTCTAACATTTGTGGGTTATATCACATTACAATATAACCTTTTATGATAATAAAATTACTACAAGGAATGGGATGCTACTGTAACCAAAACCCAAGATATGTAGCAATGGCTTAATAATTGGCAGGAGATGAGGAAATGCCATCAGAGACTAGAGAGATAACAATCTGCATAACACAGTGGCAAAATATTTGGTAAAATTTTACATGTGATAACTTTAAAAACAGATTATATACCTAATAAATTTGTAGCTTTAGGGAGAATTGGTGGGAAAAACAATATTGGTTGCGCCTTGTTTTCTATTAGCTATTAGTTGCGTCCTATAAGGTGACACAAAAGAGGTGAGTTTAGGAATGAATTACCCAATGTGCAAGCAGGAATGAGAAGGAAGAGAGAAAGAGTTCACCAATTCAGTCTTGTAGCACTGAAAGAAGCAACTCTCTAAATTCCTATTACTGTAAAAGTACATTGAGAAAAAGCTTTGTGTGGCAAAGGATGATTGAACATCAGCCTTTCATCAAATAACAAATCAAGAGTATGACCATCACAGCCATGGTTAAAATCTTTGAGGGGAGTGTCAAAATTGACATATATCTAAAATTAAGTCCTTTGTTTAGACAAAATTGTTCAAGGAGGGAATATGAATGCAACTTTCCCAACTAAGCTGCTGATTATTATTTCAGCTTTGTTACTGTAAAATCACCTAGCCTATCCTCAGTTGTGAACCTGAAATACTTTCTCTGCTTTGCTCTGTTATTTGCTTAGGAATCTCGTAAACACCTGGGGTAAATGTGATAACATGTGCACTTCAGCATTTGCTCTAATCTCCATTTAGTGTACTTTTCTTTTCTGCAGAGACTAGAAAGAAAAAGGCTACATTTTCAAAATCTACTTATAGCTAGGGTTCTAAATCTGATTTAGGTTCTGCCAATCAGATACAACCCTGTGAGACTTGTATTTATAACTGAGATAAGTGGGGAAAAAAGAAACAGCACAAACACATCAATTTTGCTGAGATGGATCTATCACATAAAACTCTTCTGGAAGCAGTCAGGTTTTTGTTTTGTTTTGAGATATATATACATAGATATAAAATTCTTCTGGAAGCAGTCAGGTTTTTGTTTTGTTTTGAGATATATATATATTTGATATATATATTTGATATATATGATATATATATTTGATATATATATTTGAGATATATATATTTGATATATATATTTGAGATATATATATATGGTGTGTATATATACATATATATATATTTGGGTTGCAGCTAAGCGGAGTGATCATGAAACCAGTATTTGGGACAGTGGCTTACTGACTTTCTCCTTTCCTGAATAGTGTTCCCTTTGCAGGCCCTTTGAACACATTCATTCAGGGATTGTTTTTGGAGATCCAGCCTACACCTTTCCACTGACTCTATAAGCATGTAATTACCTTTACTAAATGCCTTTCAACTTCAAATAGATATAATGATTTCTGTTCAGCAACTAAACCTTAACAGATAAATTATCTCTCAAGACCCTCACTAGGTATCAGAATTACATTCTTCTTTGTAACTTTATAGAATAAGTTTTAAAATTCTTATTTCCTTACTTTTAAATAGATTTTTCCCACTTTCCCACTTTACTTGATTGTGAAATATTTGACTAAAGGGACTGCTATACTAATCTATTTTTTAGTAACTTGTTCTTATCAAAGTAATAAATTTATATATTTTTAAGTGACATGGTATATGAAGTCTCACCAAGTAGTATATACCCAGGAGTTGTTTCTGAGCCTAGTTCTAAAAGATAACTTACATTCTATGCTCTTAGCAATTTTCAGTTTTTATTCAATATTATCTAATGTATATCTATTAAATATAACCTACTATTTTTAAATCAGTCTTAAATATTATTTCCCTATGTATTCAGTTAAAAACTCCTTTTTAATGCCACACACTGTTTTAGTAAATAAAGCTCATGATCTATTGAAGCAGTGTCATTGTCTGGGGTAAATACCCAAGGTTCATTGTCTCACGCCAAGGAAATCGAGGACACAGACACACAAGAAGTGAATTTAAGACCAGAGGTTTAATAGGCAAGAGAAAGAAGGAAAACAGTAAGTCCTCTCTCCTGCAGAGAGAGAGGGGGGCTCCCGAGTGGGTCTTCTGGTTTTGTGGTGAAATGCATAGGATTTTATAGACAAGCTTGAGGAGGTAGTGAGTGATTTACATAGGGCCTGAGAGATTGGTCAGACCAGGTGTGTCGTTTGCATAGTGTGCAAAGTAGCTGGACATCATACCCTAATCTTTTATTATGCAGATGGGTTCTCTACCTGGCTGGTGCCATGTTGCTTACTTTTTTACTGCACAAGTGGCAACAAAGAAAAGGGAAGAGGGAACCTTTAAGTTGAATATACCTGGTTTCCAGGTATCCCTTTTCAATTGGCACAGCTCCCAGCATTTACCTGTGCAAGCTTTTAGTTTGCTTTTCTATGCTTGCAGCTTGATTTTTCAGGCTGCTTTTTGTTAGAAAAGAAATCATTTTATTTATTTATTTATTTATTTATTTATTTATTTATTTATTTATTTTTGAGATGGAGTCTGCTCTGTCACCCAGGCTGTAGTGCAATGGCGCAATCTCAGCTCTCTGCAATCTCCGCCTCCGGGGTTCAAGCGATTCTCCTGCCTTCGGCTCCCGAGTAGCTGGGATTACAGGTGCAAGCCACCATGTCCGGCTAATTTTTTTGTGTTTTTAGTAGAGATGGGGTTTCACCATGTTGGCCAGGCTGGTCTTGAACTCTTGACTTCAGATGATCTGCTCACCTCAGCCTCCCAAAGTGCTAGGATTATGGGCATGAGCCACTGCACCCAGCCAAGAAATGATTTTGGGGGCTGCTTTTTATTAAAAGGAACCTTATTGAGGCCTCTTTTATTCTGACTATCTACCTAAATAATTTATTTCTAGCTCCTGTATCACTATTACATATAAACTGATAAAATGTAGAATATTGTCAGGTAGTACTATATTAAGGTAAGGAGATAGCCAAACCTTTTCAATTTTCTGTCATTCCTGTCAATATTAACGAATGTATCAGATAACCCCTCAGTTCTTTAATTTGCTTTTTCTTGGAGCCCCTCTTTTGGAGTACTCTATCCTCCTTTCCATGTGGCCAGGTAGCTCCCTAGGCTTGCACCTAGCTGTTGCCTGGGAACTTATTATTATTATTATTCTGAATTGGATTTCTTGATTCCACTCACAAGCCTGCATTTTCCTTTTTTCACTCTTCTTTGTTTTGGTGATGTGGTCATTGTACAATATCTTCTTAAGAAAGAATGTCTGAGGGCAAATACTTGAGTCCTCGCTTTACCCTTTTGTGACATCACATGTCAGATCACCATAAGCTGTTCTTTGATAAATATTGTAAAAGCAATTGAGTAGCTTTATTTCTCACACATCCTCCAAGTGTCATTATAAGTTTTTACTAAACCTCAGGGCCACTCAATTTCTCCAAAGAGGAATCTACTCATTTCCTTTCATAAGAAGTTTATAGGCTTACATGCTTGACTCTAATATTTCAGAAGTAGGAAAAGGGAAGGGAAGTTGAATTCAGTATGCCAGTTTCTCCAACTCCACTCATTTCTGCCCCCACTTCATTTTTTGGTTTTCATTGTACTTGATTGGCTTATTTCTTTTTTATGTTCTGTCTGAAGGTTAGCTAGATTGCAACCTTCTCTGTTCTGCTCAGTTAGTTCAGTTTTACCACTTGTTTTTCATCTTCTGAAAATTTATTGAAGTCACTGTGTATATTATTATTTCCTTTCTTGATTTTTCTTCCTTGTGTGTTTATGATTATTTTATTCCTTCACTGAGATTTACTAAGAAGTTTATTGAGATTTATTTGGTTGAAGAGTATGAAACATACAGCTATGTTTAACTAGAAGCCCTAATCTTATTTATCTTTATGTTCTCGATGATCCAAGCTAACACATAATAATAATTCAATCTTGTGTTAATTTAAAAGTAAGTTTAGACACTTAAAAGCAATAAATCCTCAACATGTATGGCAACAGACATTAAATCATAAATATTTTAAAAGTCATAGTTTATATTAATGGTCAAAGCCCTCAGTTTCTTTGGATCCCAATTGCATATATTAACAATAATAAATTTGGAATAATTGGTTTCTAAGTTAATTTCTGACACCAAGAACAACTAATTTATTTTTTCAATTGCTTGACCTCTAAGCACATTTCAACACCGTAGCCTCTTATTTTTTTCAAACAATCTCTTCCTTGATTTCTCTGACACCTCTCCATTTTCATTCTATGTATCTGGCTATTTTCATCTATGTATTCTCCTTTGTACAATTCAGAGGTTTTTTTCTCAGTATTCTTTACAGACGATTTAGCTTTTCTTTGCTGAGAAGGTAATTCTTCCTCCTAGCTGGTTCTGGATTCCATATTTTTTGCTTTGCATTCTCTTTCCTGGCAATATTATCCGTATCTATTGCTTTAAATATCATCTCTAGAAAATAACCTCTGAATGTATAACTACAGTGAGGCCCAGACATCACCACCAACTTCTTAATTCGTATCTGCATATGGATAAATGAAAGTCAACTCAAGTTGAACAGTCCTAAACGAAGCTCATCATCCATCTTTCACTATGTTTCTCCACTATTCCCATTTTAATGAATGATTTATGGTGAATACAGTTATATAAGACAGTAACTTAGGAATTGTCCCTAATGCTTCCACTCTCTCCCCTCATATACAATTCAACATTGAGATGTTTCTTTTAATTTGCTTCTAAACTATCTCTCAGATTTATTAATATTATCTACATTAATACCATTATAACTATAAGCCAAGCATCTCCATCTCTTGCCTTGGATGAATATAGAGTCCTTCTAATTGTTCTCACTAACACTTTGTTTCTACTTTCCAGTTAATTTTCCACACGTAAAAAGAATAACCATTTTAGAAATCACATCTGTTCAGGTTGCCCTTTAAAACCCTTCCATGGATTCCTATGTCTCTTAGGAGAAACAAAAAATATTCTTCATTTGGCATATGAGTCCTGCATGATCCTTCCCCAGCTGTTTGAGCATATTTGGCATAATCATTATAAACAGGAGTTGTCGAACTGGACTGCCTGGGATTAAATTTGAAATAGTTCAGTCATTAGCTATGTGAACTATACAAGATATATTCTTCTCTGAGCCTCGGTTTTCAGATGGGTTATTAATATTGAGTACTTGCTTCATATAATTGTTTTAAAAATTTAATTAACTACAACATATAAACTACTTTGATTTATATGCCTTTCACACAATTTAAACATCAATTTATAATATCATTATTATTACATTTTCATTCTCTTTTCATGATCATCTCCCTCTCCATCTCTGTATTTTAGCCATAATATTGTTTGTTTGTTTTCGTTTTTCAAGTACACATGCTCAGCCCCACCCCAGTATTTACACATACAGCAGTACTTCCTCTCCGTGGAATGTGCTCCACTCTCCCACCCATACCTCTACCACAGCTGATTTAATTCCTTTTAACTCATCCTTTAGGTTTCAGCTTTCCTGAAAAGTGTCCTCTAACATTAAATCAGTTTCTACCATTCTAAGATTACATAGCACCCCGTACTTTCATTCACGGCATATACCAGTTTATAATTAAATATTCGTAATTTAAAAAATATCTTTCTCATCAACTATACCATATGTTCTGAAAATATAAAACATATATCTGTCATATCATGTTACACTTAGTATCCATTACCATTTTCTCATTTATTTCTCGAAAGTGGTTAAAATGTTTCATAATTGTATCAGGAAAAGTATGCTGTCACTAGTTGGGGAAATTTATGCAAAACTTGAAAATGGGCAAAGGGATGTAACATATCCTTTCAATGTCAGTCAAGAGCATTGTTTAACAGGGTAACCCAAAGATTATTACATTCTCTAGGAAAATATAGCTGTGTTAGATTTTTACCCTTTTCTATATAATTATTGTCCAGAACCTGTAAAGTGACAGCTTGCAGGTTTCTTACCAGTAAAAAAAGAATAAAAGAAGAAACCTGAAGTTTACAATTGTAGTTGTCCTCTAAAATATTAGCCAGCATCACATTCAACTAAACATTTACAAATATTTCTTATTTTAATATGTTTAAATATCTACAGATAACAGTTACTCAAATGCTCTTTTAATTAGCTTTACTATCCCTCTGCTCTCCTCAAAAATAAAATAATGTTTATTAATTTTATACATTCATTTTATCTTTTATGAATAATATTCTTTAAATTTATATTTGGCATAATCAATGGGTCTACCAGATTAAATCACTGTTGTACTATAATAATTGGTTCAGTGGTTGCCTGAAAACTATTGGTTCTAATGGATTATGTAATAGATTATAAATAAATAGCTTGGCTGGCACATTTTTTTCTGGCAGTTATATTATATTTATTATATATACTGTGATATAAAAATGGATGCATTTTCATCTCAATTTAGGCTAAAGCCCCAACATAATAGAAACCAACTGTTCCCATATTTCAAATTGAGTTATGATTACACTATTTTAAGTAAAGAGGAAAGAAAACTCTCTTTTTTTAAAAAAAAAAATAGCTTCTCAAGCAACACAAAGACAATAAAAGTATTGTTATTTAAAGATGAAGGGAAGACTTTTGGTGACAGATCTTAATATACTGAGTCCTATCCACATCCCAAAGGGAAGAGAGCAGGAGGCACTTCCCTCTTCATATAATGTGAAACCACAGGGGCTTTTCAAAGCCCACCCAGATAACTTCATATGGTTCTCCTGAAGCTTGAGAAAGTACAATATATTGTTGTCTGACTCATATTTAAAAAAAAATTAAGACTGGATTATTAGTTGTTATCAGGGCAAATCAAGGATAAAGGTGTTTGAGTTGAATCAGCCTTTTGATAAGAACTGACATGAGTATCTTCACTCTGTTGCTTGTGAGACAAAAGGCCTCAAATGATTAGAGATACATGAATTGCGATAGGCATTCTTTCTTATAGTTTCACAGCTAGGTGATATGTTAGAATGAAAGTGAGGCTTAGACTGAATTCTACCACTCACAGAAAATTCATTTGTAAACAGGTCCCAAACAGTCATGGGACCTGTTGTGGTGGCAGTATTAAGTTAACCTTTTCATCTAGTAAGATGACCGATCCCTGGAAAACACTGTGGCACAGTGGACTGAACAAAGCCCTGGACAAAGACCCTCACTCAGGAAGATGTTAGTCTGAGAGCTCTCCAGAGTTTGTTTAAGGGCCAAATCTATGTAAGATTATTAGCTAATAAACACCTCTTGACCATTACTCATTTCAGCAAATACATATGTTTCTAAATTCACTTATACTGGTCATCAAGTCTTCCATTGTTTATTGAGAAAATGATAGTTCAAGAGTTTTTAGTTGAAATCAACCTATGACTTTAAAATTCTTTCATGGATTTCTTTTTATCTCAGTAAAAATGGGAAAAGTTACTAATTTCAAATGCTAATTCACCACCCCTGTAGTGATCATTCCGAAGTATTTCAAGTGTTAGCCAAATACTTATAAAATAAAATATTAGTGCATATTCCAAAAGTTTTACTTACGATGCTGAATTTTTTGCAATAAATTACTGACAGTATAAGACCTAAAATTTCATAGGTTGTTCTGGCAAAAGATTGGGTAGTCTGTTTGCATAGGACAAGACACAGGCCATTGCCAAATATAACTAGTCAGAACAGAGTTGTTCTTTGTCTCCCTTACAGAAATCATGAATGAGAGGTTCCCAGTGGTGGGGCAGTGGGCACGGAAGAACCCACACACCCTGAGAGACAGTGTCAGCTTTAAATGTCTGCCCCACAGGACAGTCCGATGTTCCCTCACAACATCATTAATCAAGTAGGAAGGTTCATGTCACAACCCAACACCCACTGTGTATGGAAAGCTTCTCCTTTGATGGGGAAGATTATTGTGTTTCAACTTTGGATGAAGTTTATAATTTTTAAATTAATATAATGGATTGAACAAAATAATTACTGAAATGAGACTGTGTATGAAAACTGGAAGTTACTTGAGAATTTTTTATCTTAAAGTGACAATGACAGCCATGGGACCTGCCCTAGTTTTCATCCAAGGGAAGAAAAGGCAAAATGAGTCCTACAGCATGAAGTGAATGGACAATGGAGGTTAAAAGTAAGATTCTTTCATATTTGTCCTTATTGAGTGACATTGTTTCAGTATGATGAATTCTGTTCCAAATTTTCTCACAGATAAATAACATGGGTGGATCAGGAATCATAGTATTCAGGCTCCACATGCTAGTATTATAAAAGAGTCTCTTCTCTTTTTCCTTTCAACATCTAAAAGCTTTTAGCTGAAATGCCCATAATTTCCTAATGCCACAATTCAGAAAAGGGATGTGTCAAATATGTTGTAATTCCATCTTTATTACACTAATGGCTAAAGGAGTAGAGATTGCCTTAAATTACAAGCTGTCAGGCACAGAGTTTCTGGTGACAGTACACTGCCACTGAAGCATCAGCTATCTCACCCAGGGCAAAGGGCAGTGACGGTGTGATAAGTTTCCAGAGGGAAATATAAGCTGTGGTGAGACAGTGTTGCTTGAAGCTATGAGTGGTCTTAGAGGTCACATCTAGAGAACACTAGTTGTATTTATGTCCCCTGTTCCAGCTGCTACCATAAGTTCTGAAGGTAGTTTTCTTTCAGGCATAGTTTCTGAGCAAAGCTACTGCTCAGTGTTTTACTCAGTTGAAAGGATGCTGTATTATATCAGACCAAGGTCATGTGAATAACTTCTTTGATTTGCACCTCAGTTCATAAAGGGTCAATCTCACATAAGTGTCTGGGGCTCAGGTTTTTTCTTTAGCTGTCTTTCCACTTCTCACTCCTGCCATGTCACCATCAGTGTTTTTACCCCCCATGCCTTCATGAAGCCCTGACTTCATCCAGAGGCATTCCAGCAAATGTTGATTTAATCCCTGGCTCCATTCTGGAAGGAAGATAATAGAAAATATTTTATAAACCTCCATGAAAATAATTGTTTTTTTCGGATTATTCAGAGTGAATAATCCTGGAGGATACTGCATGTCAGTGAAATCAAAAACAAAGAACTGAATACAAATGGAATGAGCTTTTCTATGATTTGTGTATGCAAGTATATGTGTGGTGAGAAATTAGTGAAAAGAAGGATCCATTACCTCCCTACTTTTCTTTCTAAAAAGAATATCTTCATGAAATTCTGAAGATTTTGCACTTAGGAAATACATTGATAAAATGCAACAATAAAATGCTCCATTATAGGAACTGTAATTTTTAGAAAATTGCCCAGCAGGAAAATAATGAACAGGCAAATACTTACAAAAAATATATAGAGACAATCTTGATGATTAGTAATCATGTGATTTTTCCATGAAGACTCTGAGTTTCTGAAATGAAAAAGTCTGTATTTGTCATAGAATAAAACAAGTAAGTACTTATATTAAAACTTGAGGGAAAATCACTTTTTCTTATAACCGAGTAAATTGCAATCAATACTCTGCTTGCCTAGTAGTCAAGATATTTTTATCAATGTATCTGCAATTACCAAAGAAATATCATGCTGAGGTAATTACATGCTGTTCCTACTTTTTGAAAAGTAGCATTCTGTCAAATAGTGCCTGGATATAGCTATTGGTCCTACACAAATTCAAAGGGAATCTGGAGAAACTTACTGAGAGAAATGTATTATGCTTTACAATTTCATTTCAAAGTTATATAGAGTTAAGGACCTAACTGCTAGTTATAAAACAGTTATGTGCATCTATTCCTCTGACTTTTACTGTTTTTGCAATATCTCTGTGCAGAGGGCTATATTTAAAAGATACTTTTTTTTCACTTTTATTGTCTAAGATCTTTACACTTTTCTTTGTTAATTATAAGCCTTGTCCTTTAGGTCCATATGTTTTCATAGTTTATCAGCACGCACAGAAGAAGATATTATTATGGGTAACATTTATTGGGCATTTACCATATGCCAGGCACTATTTGAAGGGTTTTACATGAATTAGATCGTTTGATCTGCACAACAAATCATGAAGATAGATACTTTGTTATCACCACAGTTTTACAAATGAGAAGGAATAAGATACAGAGATGTTTAAATTCATCTTTTTGGTTGCAGAACAGGTGAGAAGCAGAGCCAGCCTTCAAAGTCAGCAATTAGGTCTAATGTTTGATTGTAACACCATATTTCAAGTGTTATAAAATACCCAGCCAAATAAAAGAATAATATTTCTCTGAAGCAGTCATCCCTTCAGGCAAATTCACTAGAAGCTTACAAATGTTAATAATATTTAACATAAATAAGTAAAAATTATGACAAAGCAAGAAGGTTTTAAGCAGCTTAGGAGGACAAATAAAAGGGCAGGTGTAAATAAGTAGTTCCTGTACATTTACAACGTTCTAAGACAATGCCAAAACCTCATTAATTGAGTGCATATAAGGTATTGCTTTAAAACATAATACATCAAAAACTTAACATGTTAGGGATTATTATTCCTTTGATATGCGGACTAAAGGGCAACTAAATAAGGATGACTTTATCACAGGCAAACCATTGTTTGTGTAACAACAAAATTATCTGTTTTCATACTATGGCATATAATCATTTTTAAGCAAAAATGCCCTATGTTTAATATTATGTTTGAAAAATATTTGCACAAGCTTTAATATGATAGTATTTGGAAATATTGTAGCTCCAGGTGTGAGAGCACCTCTCAGTGGTGGGAAGTTGTTGTTATTTTAAAGACAGAAAACTGGCATGTTCTAGTAATAACTGAATTTTTAGTGAGCTAACAATATTTTTGTGGATTTTCTGAGCTGTTTGTTTTCTACTGACTCCTCAGTTTTCCCTACATTTTTTCTTCTATTAGTTATTGCTAGCAAGAAAAGATAAGCAATATTCAGAGTTTTATGCTACTCTTGACTTTCAAAAAAGAAGGTATAATTTAATTCTGGGTCTTTAGGAAAATTAAAGTTAAATTAGTAACATCATATTTATTTCTTCTATATGTTTAAGAATTAATGTATTACTATTCCCTTCCGGGACACAATGGAAATATTTTATTATGAGTTCAACCAAAGAAGCAGAACCAGTGATAATTTATATCTATCTATCCACCTTCCCTCCCCAGCTATCTGTCTTGTGTACTTCACAAGCCCATTATAGGACACAAAGCAGCAGTCTTACCTAAACAAATGCATAAGGCCAACTTCCTAGGGGTTTGTGTTCGATGCTGGAGCTTGGAGTTCACAAGATAGGCAGCTAGGGAGGGAAGATGGATATAAAGTAGAGCAAGAGCAATCAGGAACCCATAAAGGCAAGCTAGAGGCTCCAAGAACAGACTGTAACCTATGTCAATTCTTGTTGCCTCTGACCTTGTTTGTATGGTTATATTGCAGAGGTTAAGGCCCATTGTCATGGAGTTAAGCATCCGCACAAATCCAAGAGTTAAGGAAGCTGAAAGAGGATCCATTGGAAGGTGGGACAAATGCAGACTGCCACTGCCTCACATCAATGAGGTGAGCCAGCAGTGACAACATTTGTGAGCTGCAAAGTGGTGGCTGCTCACATCCTCCCTCCAGTTCTTCCATAAGGTACTCTGTCATGCTCCACCCTAACCAGAAAAGTACAGAAAATAAAATTCTGAAAAACTTAAGAGAAAGTGGTTAAGCCCAGCCAAGTTCACCCATTGTCAACTTGGCACCCATATACATCTTCTTAAACCATATTAATCTCCAGATACTGAAAACAGCAAAGTCATGCTTCCACATAACATGTTACAGCTATTTCAGATACAGCTGAAAAAACACTAATCTTTTAAAGAAAGAATATAGAGTCCCTTTTTTGTCTTTGGGTGATATTCATTCTTCTATTCATACTCCATTATTGATACGGTGTACCTTAAATACTGAGATATAAAGTTAAGCACTATTAACACATCTTATTTTACATGATTAGGGAATGAGGGAAGAAAGAAAATAAACATTGTGTATGTGATATCACACACACAAGAGTCATATTTATATAGAGATAAGAAATACTCATAATTAAGTTAGTCCATATATCCGCAACTGGTCTCATCGTTATAGCTGGTATGTTTAAACAGCTTCTTCCACTACCATTTTTATATCCTTTGCCCCCAGCAAGAACTTCAGTTTGTTGTAGTTTCTTGCCTGATGAAGTTACCTAAATCATTATTGCTGAAGGATCTAGGTGATTATCAGTCCATCCTGAATTGAGCTGTGCTAGTTTTCCACTGATTTCAATCACAAGAAATGAGAATACTAATAAGCACTCTGGAAGATCTCCTCCATTTCAGGTATATATATCTTTTTATTTTTTATTAGAAACCCAATTTTACCTTGATAGCTAGAAGAATCACTCCAACTAGTACAGAAGCCCCATTTGTTGCCTGTTAATTGAAGACCCTAATTTGGCTGGGTCAAGTCTCAGTGTCTAGTTCAATGCAATCATTATTGCGTTATCACTTGATAGAAGCATTACTTCCTTTGAAATTAAGATCTCTAAACTCACAGGGCCTAAAATAATGGCAATGAGCGGCAAAAGTTTGCTAGTATATCACCTGAAGAAATAGTGATAGTACATTCTAATTTTTTTCCCCTCCTTTTGATTCCTTGACCCATACATTTGGACTGTAAGAGATATGGCACCACACATGTATGCTGACCATGCAGAATATCCTGGGGATATTACTTCAGCCCTGAAAAGTTTTGCCATATGGCTGACATCATAAATGAGTATTCAAAAAGCCATTCCATCATACTATTATCCATGCTATGAAGAAAATCATGGCAAGATTAGTTAATTTCACGAGCAAGGGCCCTTTGCCACATTTTATTTGCTGTAAAATAAATTCCTTGGTCAACAATGATGGTATAAGGAATAATATGATCCTGAATAAGGTATTCTGTAGCACACAGATGGTATTGTTGGCAGATTTTGAATTCAGCAGTTTCTGTGACCAGTAAATATTGATGAGCAGAAGTCCATACTGCAGGTCTGATGTAAATCTTCCTCCCTGTCATCATGGCCACATTCTTCGTAAGTCTATAGGTCAACGAAAGGAGTGGTTAGGGAAAGAGGCTAACATCTACAGTACAGGTAATCCTACACCCCTGATTATTAAAACCCTCTTCTGTTGAGGTTACCCTTTGGTAATCTTTCACTTGAGGTACTAACATTTCCACATCATGTGTGGCAAGGTATCTCCACATGCTTCCTGTAATCACAAATTTAATCTTATTCCAAGTTCTTAACCATCTTACCAAACAACAGGCCACATCCTATGACTCAATATAAACCTATACCTCTAACTATTTCTTCTTCCAGGCAAAAAATGAATGGTCAGGTGCACTTTTCAAGTTATGCCCACTGGGAAGATTTACCCTCACCACCGTCTTTCAGGGATATTTCAAGGACAGGCTGTAGTGCAGCAGCTGTCCTCTTTTGAGAAATACTTGAATATATTGCAGCATCACCAATAAATCACAGACGCAAATTTTGTCTTCCTCATTCAATTAGTTATAGGGAATTTTCCAAGAGATTATAGTTGTGTGCTGGGAGACATAAATTAACAAAGCAGAAGTAAGGACCATGGGCACTTGGGCCATTCCTCGGTCAACTCAACTTTCTTGTGCCTTCAGGGTCTGTTCAAGCCCCGTCTTATCTGTACCGCTTCCATTTGATAATGGACTGCTGTTGTGCATGACCAGTTTTATGGCTTGGTAGGTCAGAAAACACCCATTTCATGATGAGTAGTTTAGATCACATAATAACTTGGTGTTCCGTGGTCAAGTTTTCAATCTCAACTAAAGCCCCAAGGCAAGCCAAAAAAGCTGTTTCTCAAAAGGAAAATAAGTATCCACACTGTTTTGCTCCAAAAGTCTAATGGTATGCATAATGATTTTCCTATAGTGGCCTGCTCAAGGCCCAAATCAGCACTCCTATCTGCCACCAACACTTTAAGCACCATCAGATGTGGTGGGTCATAATGTCTCACAGTCACAGCAGATTGGCCTGGACCTGTTGCAGAACCTTCTCTTCTTCTGAGCCCATCCATAACTATAGATTTTAGGGGGTAATTTGGTAAATAGGTTGAGGTAGCACACCAAAATAGGAATTTCTATTAATGTCTATAGTCTTCTGTGGCCGTTGAAATAATTTCCTGGAAACATAACAAATTGAATATTATATAGGTATAATCTGATTCCTAAATAAGAAAAATTCAATCATATTTGGAGATACTTATAAAGATACTTGGTCAGGGAATTTAAAAATTGTCTATCTACCACTTTTTAAAGACTTGATTGTTTTCAAATTAAAAACAAAATGTATTTCAATCAACACTTCCATTTGTGGTCCACATGTTGATGAGTACCTGTGAATCTATTTATTTGGTAATTTCTTCAGTAAAAAATTCTGCAAAAATATTGATGTATTAAGTTTGTAAATTTCAGTAAATTCAGTTCATACTGATCTCTAGAGAAGGAATATTAAGATAGAACATCAAAAAGCTGTAAATGAGAATCCACAAAATGTGTTACTATATTGATAAATACAAATAATGGGGAAAACTGAATGCAATGTTCATTATTTAACTTATAGAAGGAAAGGCCAAAAGAAACTGACTATGCTGTTGAAGAGGATGCAGAAATTTTGTCTTCAGTGAATCAAAAAGAAAGATGAAAAAAGGGAAAAAAGAGAAGAAAAAAGAAAGTGAGAGAGACAGAGTTGTAGATTCTCAGCACTGAAAATATAATCCATAGAATCAAAAAACCCAGAAGACAGATATGTAGATTTCCTTCAGTTTCATTTTTGTATTCATGTTTATAACCCATAAATAATAAATATTTATAGTAATATTTAAGAGTAGGATCTAACTTGAGTTTGTAGTAAACAGATGATTTCTAACAGAGAAAAATAAAATATACTCTGCTCTATTTCTTGCTTGTCTTTATCTGTTTCTAACTTGGATAATTCATTCGGCTTCCCTCTATGCTAAATGTACACAAATTAAACTGAAGGTTTATTCAACATGCTGATTACTCAAGTTAACACCTCGTTAAGATACAGTAAATTGACTAATTTATTTGCTATATTTAAGACTAATACCTTATTTTACAGCAGGTTTTATTCTGTGTTTTCCAAAGAGGTGCTGATACAAACCTCTGAGCTACTATTGAAACTGTTAAGAACTCCTCCTCCTTTTGTTAAAGTGCCAATTCCCATTTCTGCCTGCTGTGACTTTTACTGCTCTTTACTTGGAAACTACATAGTGTCTTATCCTTCAGGAAACCATCCTCAGTAATTCACGTTGGTGAGCGGGGCTCCTGGTAGGAGTACAGATGATTAACTGCAAGCTCTCCTGCTGTTCTCAGTCAGCAACCAGCTCTATAACTGGCTCAACAGATGTTTCCCTTTTAGAGATTTAAGAACTATAATTGGGTGGAAAAATAGCGTGTTTCACTTAACTCAATTTGCTGCTTGCATTCATTTGTTAGAAAACTCATAATTTAAAATCCACATGAATATATTGGCTTGACTAAGTGGACTATGAAGTATATAATTCTTCCCATGTGTCAACAAAATATATTGCACAATGGTTGGTACCCATGAAAGGCAGTTTATCTGAAATTCAAGAAATTCTATTTTTGAACTCATATCGAAATAACTTGATAACAACGGTCTTGATCTAGTCCAGAGTTCTCTCATGTCAGGTGACTTGCATATCTAGATTACTGCTATATCGCTACCTTCTAGCCTAGAATATTAAACATCCAATAAAGTTTTAAATAAAATATTCTACTAAACTTTAAACATTTGCTTGGCTATATGATGTGATATACAAGATAATAATTTAATAAAAAGTATAAAAAATTGAATTGCATAATTGTTTTATGCATATAATACCTTTATTACATGCTAATATAAATAAGTTCTTTTAATTTGCATTTTTCAGGAGGGTATAAATTGTATTGAAATGAAGCAAACCTAGAGAAAAGTTAGTGTTATACAACACAAAAGGAAAAATAATAAATTTTAAGGTTACACGCCTGTATAATTAGCACTCACATCAAAAAACAGAATGTTAGCAGCTTCCCAGATGCTCCTACTACTTTCTTCTAGTACTTACTGAATCAAGGGTAACCGCTATCCCATCTTCTAACAGCATTGGTTAGTTTTACCTGTTTTGAACATAAATATTTTCCATAAACAGAAATACAAATACGCACTCACTTGTGTTTGGGTTTATTCTTTCACCAATGTGTTTGAGATTCACCTATGTTGTTTCACATGACATGTAGTTTCTCATTCTCAATATTGTAAAATAAACGTATTTTTCATTTCTGCTATTACTGGGCATTTGGATTATTTCCAGGTTGAGGCTATTTTTGTTAGTGCTTTTATGAACATTTGTGTGTGTGTGTGTATTTGTGTTGGTATATACACAGAAGTGAAATGAATGGATCATAATATATGTGATTAAGTTTTAGAAGTTGCTGATAGTTCCAAAATGGTTGCATCAATTTCCACTCCCAGGAAAGTGTGAGTTAGTTATTCCACAGCCTCTCATATGCATGTAAAACATACTTGTTTTTGATTTGTTTACTTCAGCTAGATTGGTAGGTATGTAGTGCTGTCACATTGTGAGTTTAAGTTCCACTTCCCCAATGATTAGTTGAGCTAAGCACCTTTTCTTTGGTTTAATAGTGGATATCCTTCTTTGTGAAATATCTGTTTGCCTTTTATCCATCTTCCTTTTCAGTGGTCTGGCTTTTTTTGTTCCCTCTTTTATTTTTAGTTGACACACAATAATCATACATATTTATGAAATTCAGAGCAATATTTCTATACTTGTATACTATGTGTAATAATCAAATCAGAGTAATGAGCATATTCATCAACACAAACATATATTACTTTGTTGTGTGTTGGGAGCATACAAATTCCTCTCTTCCAGCTTTTTGAAAATACACAATAAATTATTGTGAACTATATTCACACTATAGAGCTATAGAGGTCTAGAACTCATTCCTCCTGTCTAGCTATAATTTTGTATCAATTAACCAATTTCTCTCTAGCCTCCCCTCTCTACTAGTCTCTCATGCCCCCAATAACCACAGTTCTACTCTCTACTTCTATGAGTACAACTTTTTTAGTTTTCACATATGAATTAACAGATAAAATGCTTTTCTTTCTATACCTGACTTATCTCATTTAACATCATGTCCTCTAGGCTGATTCATGTTGCCACAAAGGACAAAATTTACTTCTTTCTTATGGCTGAATAGCATTCCACTGTGTATATACAACACATTTTCTTTATCCATTCATCTGTGGATGGAAATGTAGGTTCATTCTATATCTTGGCTATTGTGAATAGTATTGCCATAAACATAAGAATGTACATATATCTTCCATGTACTTATTTCCTAACCTTTGAATAAATATACAGTAGGGGAATTGCTGGATTTCTATTTCTACTTTTAGTTTTTGAGAAACCTACATACTGTTTTCCATAATGGCTATACTAATTTACATTCCCACCAACAGTGTGTAAGAGTTTCTTTTTCTCTGTATCCTTACTAGCATTTGGGGGATTTCTTGTTGTTGTTGGTTTTTTTGTTTTGTTTTGTCTTTTTGGTGATAGCTGTGCTAGCTAAGGTAAGGTGATATTTTATTTGCATTTCTCTGAAGATTAGTGATGTTAAAATTTTAAAATTTACTTGGTCATTTGTATGATTTTTTTGAGAAATGTCTACTCACAGCGTTTGCCCATTTTAAAATCAGATTATTTGCTTTTGGCTGTTGAGTTGTTTGAGTTCCTTGTCTATCTAGAATATTAGTATTTTGTCCAATGTATAGTTTGCAAATATTTTCTCCCATTCAACAGATTGTCTCTTCACTGTATTGATTGTTTTCTTTACTGTGAAAAAATGTGTTTAGTTTGACATAGTCTCATATATGTTTTTGCTTTTGTTATCTGTGCATTTGAAGTCTTACCCATAAAATCTTCGCCTAGACCAATGTCTTGAAGCATTTTTTTCATGTTTTCTTTTAGTAGTCTGACAGTTTTGTTTCTTACATTTAAGTTTTTAATCTATTTTAAGCTTTTTTAAAAATATGGTGAGAGAAGGGGGTCTAGATTCATTCTTCTGCATATGGATATCCAGTTTTTCCAGCAACATTTATTGAAGTCAGTGTCTTTCTTCAATGTATGTTTTTGGTGCCTCTGTAAAAATCAGTTGGTTGTGAATATGGGAATTTATTTCTGAGTTTTCTACTCTGTTCCATTGGTTGATGTGTCTGTTTCAACATAATGCCAAAATTTTTTGATTACTTTAGATTTGTATTATAATTTGAAATCATGTAGTATGATGCTTCCAGTTGTTTTTTTGTTTGTTTCACTCAGTATTGCTTTAGATATTCAGTCTTTTAAAATTCCACACAAATTTTAGAATTCTTTTTCTATTTGTGAATAATGTTATGGTATTTTGATAAGGATTACATTGAAGATCACTTTGGGTTTTATGGTCATTTTAACATCATTACTTCTTCTAATTCATAAGCATGAGATGACTTTCCATTTTTTGTTTGTCCTCTTCAATTTTTTCATAAGTTTTTTAGAACAGCAGTCCCCTTTTTGGCACCAGAGAACAGTTTTTTTATTGTTGTTTTTTGTGTTTGTTTGTTTTTTTTGTTTGTTTTTTTTTTTTTTTTTGAGATGGAGTCTCGCTCTCTTGCCCAGGCTGGAATGCAACCCTCGCCTCTCCGGTTCAAGCGATTCTCCTGCTTCTGCCTCCTGAGTGGCTGGGATTACAGGCACCCACCACCATGCTCAACTAATTTTTTTTTTTTTTTTTTGTATTTTTAGTAGAAGTGGGGTTTCACAATGTTGGCTAGGCTGGTTTTGAGCTCCTGATCTCAAGTGATCCGCCTGCCTCAGCCTCCCAAGAGACTAGTTTTGTTAAAGGCAATTTTTCCGTGGATGGGTGGAGGATGATTTTGGGATGATTCAAGCACATTACATTTATTGTGTACTTTATTTATATTATTATTATATTTTGACATATAATGAAATAATTATACAACTCACCATATTGAAGAATCAATGGGAGCCTCAAGCTTGTTTTCCTGCAAGTAGATGGTCCCATCTGGGGGTGATGGAAGATGGTGACAGGTCATACAGCATTAGATTCTCATAAGGAGCATGCAACCTAGATCCCTTGCATGCACAGTTCACAATTGATATCGCACTCCAATAAGAATCTTTTTTTTTAAAATTTTTTTATTATACTTTAAGTTCTAGGGTACATGTGCACAACATGCAGGTTTGTTACATATGTATACATTTGCCATGTTGGTGTGCTGCACCCATTAACTCGTCATTTGCATTAGGTATATCTCCTAATGCCATCCCTCCTCCCTCCCCCCACCCCACAACAGGCCCCAGTGTGTGATGTTTACCTTCCTGTGTCCAAGTGTTCTCATTGTTCAATTCCCACGTATGAGTGAGAACATGTGGTGTTTGTTTTTTTGTCCTTGTGATAGTTTGCTGAGAATGATGGTTTCCAGCTTCATCCATGTCCCTACAAAGGACATGAACTCATCATTTTTTATGGCTGCATAGTATTCCATGGTGTATATGTGCAGAATCTAATGCCACTTCTGATCTGATGGGAGGTGAAGCTTAGGCCTCTGTTCCAGTTTGAATGGTTTTGTTTCTTTCACTTGCCTGATTTCTCTGGCTAGGGCTTCCAGTACTGTGTTAAATAAAAGTGGGCATCATAGAATGAATTAGGAAGAAGCCCCTTCTCTTCAATAGTTTGGAATAGTTTGAAAAAAATTAATGTTCTTTAAAAGTTTGTAGAATTCAAGCAGTAAATCCTTTCTGTCCTGGGCTTTTCATTTTGGGAGACTTTTTATTACTGATTCAATCTTATTATTTGTTATTTCTCTGTTAGAGTTTTCTACCTCTTCCTAGTTCAATCTTGGTAGGTTTTATGTGTTCAGAGATTTATTCATTTCTTATTGTTTTTTCAATTTGCATCATTGTTTATAATAGTCTCTAATGACCTTTTGTATGTCTGTGATATCAGTTGTAATGTCTTCTTTTTCATTTCTAGTTTTATTTTTTGGAGGGTCATCTCTCTTTTTCCTTAGTAAGTCTAGCTATGGTTTCTCAACTTTGTCTTTTCAAAAAACAACTTTTAATTTCATTTTTAAAATATTTTGTTGTCTCTATTTCATTTAGTTCTGCTGTGATTGTTATTATTTTCCCTGCAACTAAGTTTGGGTTTGGTTTGTTCTTGCTTTTGTAGTGCCTTGAGGTGCATTCTTAGGCTGTTTATTTGAAATATTTCTACTTTTTTGATCTAGGCATTTATTCCTATAAATTTCCCTCTTAGTGCTGCTTTTGTTGTATCCCATAGGATTTGGTATAGTTTTAAAATTGATTTTTATTTGTTTCAAAATATTTTATAATTTAAAAAATTTATTCATAGACATATTGGTAGTTCAAGACCATGATGTTTTATTTCCACATATTTTTTACAGTTTTCAGTTTTTCTTGCTATTGGTTTTCAGGTTTATTCCATTGTAGTCTGAGAAAATATTTTACATAATTTCAAGTTTTAAAAATTTGTCAAGGCTTGTTTTGTGGCCCAACATATAGTCTATCCTGGAGAATGTTCCATGTGCTGATGAGAAAAATGTGTATTCTGAAGCTTTTGGATGAAATGTTCTCTAAAGGTCAGTTGGGTCCATTTTGTCTACAGTGCAGCCTAACTCTAATTTTTAAAAATTTTCTTTCTAGATAATATGTCCATTGCTGAAAGTGAGGTGTTGAAGTCCCCAACTATTATTGTTTTGGGGTCTCTTTCCCTTTAGCTCTAATATTTGCTTTAAATATTTGGGTGCTCCAGTATTGAGTGCACATATATTTACAATGGTTATATCCCCTTGCTGAATGTATTCCTTCATCATTATATAATGACTACCTTTGTTTATTTTTAAGCCTTTTGACTTAAAGCCTATTTTACCTGATATAAAGATAGCTACTTCTGCATGCTTTTTGTTTCCACATGCATGGAATATAACTTTCCATTCCTTCACTTTCAATCTATGTGTGTCTCTACAGGTAAATGAGTCATTTGTAGCTAGCATGTAGTTGAGTCAAGTTGTCTTATCCATTCACCACTCTATATCTTTTAAGTGGGTATTTGAACTATTTCCAGGTGTAGAACGTCCTTACACATATCTCACAGGGCTGGTCCAGTGGTGATGAATTCCCTATTTTTGCTTGTCTGGGAGGTATTTTATTTTGTCTTTATTTTGGAAGAATAGTTTTGCTCAAAATAGTATTCTTGACTGAAAGATTTTTTCCCTCTTTCAGCACTTCAACTATATTATCCATTTCCTGGACTACAAGATTTATATTCAGAAATCTGCTGTTTCTCTTATTTGTGATTTGACACTTTTGCTATTTTTAGAATTTTCTCCTTGTCTTTGACTTTTGACAGTTTAACTATTTGCCTCAGAGATGATCTTTGGGTTAAATTTATTTGGGACTCTTTGAGCCTTCTATATCTAAATGTCTATATCTCTCCCAAGGCTTGAGAATGTTTCAGCTATTTTATTATTAAAGATGTTGTCTATGCTTTTCCCATTTGCTTCTAGCAATCCCAATATGCAAATATTTGCTCACTTAATGGTGTCACATTAGTCACATAGGCTTTCTTCATTCTAATTTTTATTTTTCTTTTTTCTAATTTATTTTAAAATATATGTCTTCCAGTTCATAAATTATTTGTTTCTGTTTGATCTAGTTTATTGCTGAAGCTTTCAATTGTGTTTTTATTTTATGGATTTAATTCCTCACTTCCAAGATTTCTGTTTGGTTCTTTTTTATGATATCTCTCTCCCTTTTGAAATTCTCATTCAATCATGAATTGTTTTCATGATTTCTTTGTATTATCTACCTATGCTCTCCTTTAGCTTGCTGAGTTTTCTTAAGATCATTATTTTTAATTCAGTTCTAGAAATTTTATAGATTTTTTTTTATTGGGGATCTGTTCATGGGAAATTAACGTGTTCCTTTGGAGGTATTATTTCTTTATTTTTCATTTTTTGTACCAATATTGATATCTATGCATCTGTTGTAACAGTCACTTCTGGCAATTTGGAAGAATGTAGATTTTTCCAAAATTTAGATTTTCCTGTAGATTTATCTGTGGTGTCTGCTACACAGGATAATTTGATTTTGGTTCTGGGTGAGCACAGTAGTGTAGTCTTTACATTATTTATTTGGCTATAATCAACATCAACAGTATCTGTGAGTTCCTCAGTAGCTTAATTTATAATTATTTTGCATTTTACTACAATAAAATCAATATAAAGGAATATTTAAAGGGATATATAAGTTGACATATTTTAATATATGTAAAAAGATATAAATTTGAACCAATACAGTATATTAATTGATCACAATACTGTATAATTATATTTGTGATCTAGTTGATCATTTTTACAATAGGACTCAATAAAACCTTTTTTTGGATATTTATTTTGCTAGGCAATTATTATTCAAAACTATTCATTGTGGTTTACATATTTTTAGTACAAAGAGGAAGACTATAATTATAATTAAAATTTTGTTTTAGAACATGATAGGAAATCCTGTAGAGCTTCTTTATAGTCTTGGAGTTGGGACTTGAATCCATCCAACATCCAAAGTGTAAATAATTTAATAATTTAATTTTAGGGTTTTACTATATGTAGTTGTTATGCTACTGAACAATTACTCTATAATATTTCTGGAATAATTTACACAAAACAACCTTTAAAAGGCTCATGAAACATAAGAATCAACTATAAATCCAGGAAATAGCTCTTAATTTTAATTTACTTCATTACTGTATATGTGACACATAATTTTCTTCTTTAATAAACACCTTGTCACATAAATGAGGCAGTTTGTGGGGCATTCTAACAAAGTTCAGAACACATGGGAAAGTTATTTTCTATCTCTTAATAAAGTTGTAAATTATATTTTCTTGGGAAGATTAAAGTCATATTGTAACAATTAAAATAATCATAAATATTAATCTTTATGCAAATCATATAGTTTTTCAAATTTAGCAGATAAGGGAAGGCATTCCTAAAATACTTAATCATAAATGTAGTGTAAAAACATTGTTTATAGCAAAACGTTAGCAAGTAGTCCACCAACAAAATACTAAGAAAAATATTTATTTCAATTTAAACAATATTCACTTCTCAGAATCATAATCTGCATAGTATTTCTGATTCTCTATAAATTATAGTCATAATTTTGTCATTCTATTTTACCTATAATATGTGAATTCCTCAATATAATTTCATAAGCCTCAAAAACACTCTCAATTCTCAGTTATGGACAGGTTCTCTTCTATTCAGACTTTCCTTTCTCTCAATCTTTCTTTTATTTCACACATTTCTTATAGTGTCTTGAATTATCTAAATACATTAACCGCTTTTCCATGCATTCTCAACGTCATCAAAGAATTTTGGTTATTTATTGAAAGCCAAACATTCTTAATTTTCTCTCTCATTGATAAGGAGTGTCTCTTTGGGGTGAATTATATCTCCTTTTCTCCTTTCTCACCCTGACACCACTCTATATGGCTAAAAAACAAAATAAAGTCCTAAAGAAAAACAATAGCCACAATATAGCAGCATAAAAGCTAATCAATTCATGTATAAAAAAATTTAGATAATGGAAACCTAATTTCTGAAAGTATGAATAATTTCCCTTAATGTAAAAAGGTTCCTATAATAATATCCCAGAAAATAAAAAAAGTTGATAGTCTTTGCTTGAACAATTCTTGCAGTGGGGAAAACTCTGCTTTATTAAAGAGTTCATTTTCTTGCTGGATGGCTTTGAAATTAGAAAGTTGCACCTGAAATTTATTCATTTTTTCATACAGATTATGAGCAAACTACAAAAATAATGTAGCTGACCTCATCTGGACTCTGAACAGTGGCTGTTTTCCTGCATTTGTATACTTTGTTTTCCAGATGATGAGATAGAAAATAGCTTTGTAGGATTAATCATTCAAAATGTTCTCATATAAAAATATCCACAGTGATTTTTTTCTTTGAAATTTTACAAAGATAATAAAAAAGCTCTCTTGATAACGGAATTCATTTTCTGAAATGAGAATCTAAATGCACAATGAATTTTAAATCTCCATCTCTTCCTCATCAAGAAGTGATGAAACTCTTAGCTCCTGTGCCTGAAATGACCATCCTGGCCTGGTCTGGTCTGGGTCCTACATAGTGCCCTACATAGTTTGTCATATTCCATGTAGTCTATAAATACATTTGCCTCTTTTTAACCAAGTATGCTAACTTACTCCTTCTCCCCTTGCTTAAAGTATAATATTCTATATTAAATATTTGGCATTTAAGGAAAAATCTTGTCTTCCTACAGTGTACCTGTTGACTGTGATTGTGTAGGTCTGTTCATCTATGTGAGTGTTGGATGCAGTGAAACTGGAAAGGAGATGATTAATGGCACTGGCATTAAGCCCTTTTGCAAGGCAAATCCAATCCTGCTCTGCGTGTGAACTCAAAAATTATAACATATCCTTTCAATTTTATCACAATGCCTGTGTAATGGTCCTCAAGTATCATTGGCTGTGAAAATTTTAATATTTGAATTTGACAGAGGAGTCGAACACCACCAGAAACTCTACAATTGGTGTCTTGGTTGGAAGGTATTTAGGATGGTGCAAATACAATTTTAATTTTGAAGATTTATATATATATATATATCTCCCTGTATAACTTCCAACCAAGATATCAACTATCATCTTTAAGTATCTGAATATATATATCAAGTAGACATATAAAACTAAGCCTGCTAATTTTAATTAACTAACAGAGGTTCAGATGATTATCTAAAATATAATAATGGAATAAGTGTTGTTTCTTTGCTTACTTTGATGTATTCTAAGCCCTTGCTATCTTTTATCTACACATAATACAAATCAATACTTTACATATAGTTTGTAATGTATCCAGATTATCAAAAGACATCAAAAATTAAAACTACTATAAATGTGTAATATTTCTAAATAAGTCTTATATTCTATTTTACTTTAAAAGATTGCAATATGATAAAAATATATTAAGTGACTTGATATTTGACACAAAACTAAATTGAAATGTGTAGATTTTATGTTCAACAAATGGTTTAGACATTTGATTTAAAAAACATATTTTTTTTTTTTTGAGACAGAGTCTTGCTCTGTCACCCAGGCTGATGTGTAGTGGCACAATCTCGCCTCACTGCAACCTCCACCTCCAGGTTCAAGTGATTTTCCTGCCTCAGCCTTCCGAGTAGCTGAGATTACAGGCGTGCGCCACCACGCCTGGCTAATTCTTGTATTTTTGGTAGAGGCGGGGTTTCACCATGTTGGCCAGCCTGATCTTGAACTCCTGACCTCTAGTGATCCGTCCTCCTTGGCCTCTCAAAGTGCTGGGATTACAGGCTTGAGCCACCGTGCCTAGCCAGAAAACACATTCTTACAATGGTTTCAAATGCGTGAGGGCAAACAAATAATTTACTTCTTTTTCCCAGGTTATGAGTGTCATTCTTTTACTATTTGTTAATTGAAAGTATTTCCAGTGATTCTGCAAGAAATGTGAAAAATAGGGACAGGAGTTTCTGAAAATAATAAATGGAGATTCTTTATACTGGCTCTGTCTTTGAATAAATGATATATTTAAGGATTAGGAAAGTAGAAAAATTAGCATTCAGGTATCACAGTAAAGTCAGAGAAAAGCTTGACTAAATGAATAATAAACATATGGAACATGTCACCAAGGAGACCAATTAAAAATGTGATAAATCAAAAGTTCTGCCATCATTTCGAGTGCAACAGAAGTAAAAGGAATAAGACAAGAGAACACAAGTAGATGCTTTCTTTATTGACAAAGTTAAGTCATTATTTCTTTTCTTCACATAAAATATTCCAATTGATATCTCTATTGGTGTAAAATGCTTAACAGCAACCTCATCTTTACATATAATTTTTAAAATTAACAGTTTTCCCATTGGAATTCTATTTTTAAATACTCATTTTTGTATCTTTATTCTCTCATTATCTTTGCCATTCATTTTGCTGACTACAAAAATTGTGACGCTTTGAAGATATATATCTTCTTTTTTGGTATTATTATAATAGATGAATATGTAGCCAATTCTATTTACTGAGATAATCTTTCACACGTGGTAGATACAGGTATCTTTCTTAACTTCCTATATATCTTCACCGTTTTCCCAGATACTATTTAAATAACCAAAAATGCAATGTTTGTAATTAAGGCATCCTTGACCTTCCTCTTAAAATGCAAATTTCTCCAAAGACATAATGTATACATAATCAGCTGTATCTTGTAATAAGATTTATTATATTACTTTCCAACAAAACTTACAGAGAAACTAAAACCTGGGCCAAGTTAACTTTTGATTAGACAGAGGGTGCTGATTTTGCAGAGTGCAGAGTTTTGCTCATCTCTGAAGATGTACAGTCTCTGGGCAGGCAGAGAGAGGCCTCTGGAAACAGAACTGCATGGAAGAAAGATTAGAGATATCAGAAGGGTTATGAAGAAAAATTTTTTAAAAACTGACTTCAAAACGCAAACTCTACATTTGGAGTAGTCAATGTGTTTTACTATTTTAGTTCTATATATCATTAAATATTTATAAATTTCTGTGAAAATAAACATGTAAATTAGCTCATCCAAATTAAGACTGTATGACTTCATTATTGATATTTTTAAAGCACTTAGTAACAAACCACAAAATGGAAATGATATCTGCTCATTCACTCTACTAATAATTACTGAACATTGACTTTGCTCAGTGAACTGTGCTTGCACATAATTCGCAATACAGTAGCGAGTATGAATAATACTTCTTTAGTACTCTACAATGGGTTATTACAGATACTTTGACTAGTCTGATCTTATGGTGCTAAATGTTTTGATCTCAGGTTGCAGTACTAAAAAATAAATTTATTCATAAGATAACAATTTAAAAGAAAAGAGAAGAAATACTGCATCAGAATGTTTTAAAGGAAGTTGCATTTTCACAACTATAAATGTACTTCATTTAGACAGGATTCATAACACATATACTTTGAAGAATTATGTGTTTATATGTTTTCTATTTTTCTTAATCTCTGAATGAAAAAACTATGAAGTGATATATTTGAGTATTATGTTTCTTTGAAAAGGGATGATAGTTCATTGAAATGTTTTCTAAATCATTTCATAGTTTCATATAAAATGTCAGCAGTGGATAAAATCTTTGAGTTCCTGCTTAGGTAAATTATTTTACATTATGTTTAGTTTTCTATTTAACTCCATATAAAATCGAAACTGTATTCTTCTAGAAAATAATTGTAATGCTTAGATGTTATCAAAATGCACAACAGGTTGCATCACACTATAAATTATATTTTTTAAATTAGTATTTTCTGTTAATGTTAGGACTAAAATACATCACAAACACAACAATGAAAGATAACCAGTTTAATTAGATCCCATTTGTCAATTTTGGCTTTTGTTGCCATTGCTTTTGGTGTTTTAGACATGAAGTCCTTTCCCGTGCCTATGTCCTGAATGGTAATGCCTAGGTTTTCTTCTAGGGTTTTTATGGCTTTAGGTCTAACGTTTAAGTCTTTAATCCATCTTGAATTGATTTTTGTATAAGGTGTAAGGAAGGGATCCAGTTTCAGCTTTCTACATATGGCTAGCCAGTTTTCCCAGCACCATTTATTAAATAGGGAATCCTTTCCCCATTGCTTGTTTTTCTCAGGTTTGTCAAAGCTTCTGCACAGCAAAAGAAACTGCCATCAGAGTGAACAGGCAACCCACAAAATGGGAGAAAATTTTTGCAACCTACTCATCTGACAAAGGGCTAATATCCAGAATCTACAATGAACTCAAACAAATTTACAAGAAAAAAACAAAAACCCCATCAACAAGTGGGCAAAGGACATGAACAGATACTTCTCAAAAGAAGACATTTATGCAGCCAAAAAACACATGAAAAAATGCTCATCATCACTGGCCATCAGAGAAATGCAAATTAAAACCACAATGAAATATCATCTCACACCAGTTAGAATGGCAATCCTTAAAAACTCAGGAAACAACAGGTGCTGGAGAGGATGTGGAGAAATAGGAACACTTTTACACTGTTGGTGGGACTGTAAACTAGTTCAACCATTGTGGAAGTCAGTGTGGTGATTCCTCAGGGATCTAGAACTAGAAATACCATTTGACCCAGCCATCCCATTACTGGGTATATACCCAAAGGACTATAAATCATGCTGCTATAAAGACACATGCACACGTATGTTTATTGTGGCACTATTCACAATAGCAAAGACTTGGAACCAACCCAAATGTCCAACAACGATAGACTTGATTAAGAAAATGTGGCACATACACATCATGGAATACTATGCAGCCATAAAAAATGATGAGTTCATGTCCTTTGTAGGGATATGGATGAAACTGGAAATCATCATTCTCAGTAAACTATCGCAAGAATAAAAAACCAAACACCGCATATTCTCACTCATAGGTGGGAATTGAACAATGGGAACACATGGACACAGGAAGGGGAACATCACACTCTGGGGACTGTTGTGGGGTAGGGGGAGGGGGGAGGGATAGCATTGGGAGATATACCTAACGCTAGATGACGAGTTAGTGGGTGCAGCGCACCGGCATGTCACATGTATACGTATGTAACTAACCTGCACATTGTGCACATGTACCCTAGAACTTAAAGTATAATAATAAAAAAAAAGAAAGATAACCAGTTTGCTAAATATTGGAATGCAAGCTTCTTTTGGTATATTTTTATATAAACAGTGCCTAATATAGTCCCAATCACTTAGTAAAGGTACTTAATAAATCTTTGTTCAGTTAGTTTAGGAACTTATGTAGGCAAAGTGACTGCTTACTTGAGCAGCCAGGTTGATGCAAATCAATAGATTTCTTAGAAACACTATGTTCAGAGTTGAATGTTAAGCAAATATGTAAATCTAAGTGGAAGCAAAAGAGAGAGGAGAAAAATGAGGCAGGGAAGACAAAGGAGGAGGCTGGAGAAGTCAGTAGCAGGAGAAAGAAGAGGGAGAGAGAAGTTAGAGCATTTACTATTTATATTTACCTGTAGCGCCTTCGCCGTTCCTCTCAGTACCCTTAATCTCCTGGTTGGTGCATCTTTCTCCGATTACTACTAAGGGGATCAGAGCTACTACAGAGTTTCTGGGATACGTTTGAACCTGCACTGGCTTATGCTGGAAATCATCAATGCCATACTTAAAATATTCATAATACTTACAAAATGTTCTAGTTACATATTGTTTGCAATACCACCCTCAACTGTATGCTGTATTGAAAATTACCTAATGAGAACATAGATAACCTTCTATTTGATAATTAAGAATGGTCATTTCACAAAATATTTCTTTATAACCACAAAACAAGCAAACAATAAAAAAGCGTCTCTTTTCCTACACCTAAGATGCCCAGCATTCCCAAGGAAAAATAAACTCTGTATTTTTATGTATTTTAAGAACTTCATGTTTTAATTTCTCATCAGGGCATTTGACCCTGCCTATTAGTCTCTTTTCTCAATTTTTCTTTTATACTTAATTACCCTCTTCAAATCCCCATTTCTGGTGAACATTCTGCTATTTATTGAATGATAATTCATAATTCATGAATTTTCTCAAATTTTTATTCTCATAGAGAAATATGTGTTCTCCTCTTTAGCTCCACTCTCAGAAACAATAAAAGGCATAGTAACACTCTTTACTGATCTGTTAATATATTCAAAGAATTGTGCTAAAAAAGTCGTTATCAATAATTATGTTATTTAATATCAGATAGATACTAATATTGGCATCTTTTTTAAAAATAATGAAACTGAAGTTTCAAAAGGTTAGGTAACATTGCAGCGGTTAGTTAAATCCACGTAGTTAATATGTAGCAGAACCAGAATTTGCACGATCCTGATTGGCGATCTCTCTGTTACCTAAATTGAAAGGGAATAAATATTATTTCTTTCCATCAGATTTAATTCTCAGCCTGTGCTATAGACACATCCCCCCTTCCTCCGTAATTATCCATTGGGGAAATAAATGGAAGAGAGTTTGAAGAAGATAATGTGGTCAATTGTTTTATTTCTTAATTTCTCAGCTTCCTTTATTACCTCTACTAATGGCCCTTGCTCTATCACACTTTATTTTTTAGTTATATTTAACCTGTTTTGTCTTCCACTATTTCATGCACACCCTTTACCTCCAAGTTACATACTTATATAGTTAACTTTATTTCCCTCTAGGCTTAAGCCTTTTTTGTGGGCAGATTCTCTACCATTTCTTTTTTTAATTTTATCGCCTGTGTCTTGAGTATCTGCTACAATTGATATAGTTGATCAATTGTATCATAGTTGATATTCAATAAATAGGTGTTTAATGAATAAATCTCAATGTCTCTGTCATAATAAAAAAGAATCGTCTTCTTCAGGTTTTTTCAAAACTACATGGTAACTCTTTTGTTTCTTCATTCAACTGGTAGTTAAAGGCTAGTCCCCCAGAGATTTTTCCTTAGTCATCTATCCTCACTCTATCATCTTCCTTTGGAAAATGTGTTCCATATTCAACATTCAATTTCTACTTGTAGTATGCTAGTTATTTCTGATGAATCTCTCTCTTCTGCTCAGGCCTCTATTTTCTGCATTTGTCTTATATATTCAACTTCCATTTATACGTGAGTGTCCCATATGCATCAGGTATAAAATTAAGCCTCTCTTCCCCCATAACATACTTGTCCTATATTCGCTGCTCGTGAAAGAAACCAGTGATTACCTACTTTCTTAAGCTAGAAGCCTGTGAGTTATATAAGATAGATGTACTTTCTTGTTCACATATAACTTCTCTACACCAAAATGTAATTGACTTCCCCTTGCTTGCCACCACTGCTACCACTGTATTAACTTAGTACTTTATCTTTTCTTTCATGTATTAATAATTTTAACTAATATTTCTCTATTTTTCTCAATGCATTATGCATGAATTTCCAAAAGTACAGTCCTGATTTTGCAATACTCTTATTTAAAATCCTTTGCTGGTTCACCTTATTTTCAAAACAAAAATACAAACTACTCTATGTGTTATGTACAAAACATCCTTTATAAGATATACAAGTTTTCAACTTTATTCATAGTGAAATAAATAATATAAAAAGTATGTTAACCAAATCGAACAGTTTTCTTATGCATGTGTGCAGTCGAATGCTATTATAGCAATGGCAAAATATGGGTTATTTCTTTTTCTCTCAATTGATGTATTTATTCAACTCAGAAATTTTATTTAACTGTGAATTTCCTCATTTTTCTATTCTGTTAGTCAAAAACAGCACATCTAAAATTGCAAATGAACTCTTCAATTTCAGAAATATTGTGAATATCATTTGGACAGCAGTTTCTGTTCTGATTATTCTGTTAGAATTCCTTTTCGGGATACATGGTTTTTAACTAATTTTCTATGTACATAAAAAATAGCCAGTGTCCTGCAGATAGAAAGTGAAAAAGTTTTTAACCTGATGTTAAATTGATTTACCATCATTATTAGAAGTACATAGAGATAAAGAAATTTAAAATATTATTATTTTTTGCTATGATGTTTTCTATTCCTTTTCCCCCCAAATGGCAATGTTGTTGAGTAATTCATTTAAGGATATCAAGATTGTTAAACCCTATAAGTTTTAATTTTCTAAACTGGTTGTTCTAAGATTAGCTATATGTAACTTATTGCTTGAATTTAGGGCACAAGTGTTCACTTTTCAGACTGTAGCAGCACAGTTTTTATTTCTGACTTGTAATTTTGATATTAAACTTCAAACTTCTAAAAATAACAAATAAATACCACACTTTAATGAAAAACCTGTCTTCAATGAAAATATAGTTTCTAGTCTCCTGATTAGTCAACCTGAAAAAAATAAAAGCAACTTTTGCAAATGTTCTTTGCTCTAAAATACTTGACATTTTCTATTCCTATTCTTCTCTATTTTTTGTGTATTGTTCTTCCTACACTTTTTTGGATATTTTTTTCTGGCAATTATTTGCAGTTCTGGATTATTTTGATTCAAGATTTAATTTAGCTGGCATTTGTTGAAATTCTGCCAAATAACATGTTAGTCATAAAGGGTAAGCACATGAAATAAGCACAGACTCTATCCTTCATTATTCACAGACAAAAAAAATTGAGAAAGTCAGCATTTATTGAGCTCCTACTGTTTGCCATACTGCCTCTGATATTTATGACAGGCATAACTTCTCAGGCTGAAACGACTACCCTTAAGAGAATGTGTTATCACCTATTATTTACAAATAGGAAGAGCTCTAAACATTAGATGTAAGTCTTAAATAGTTGGGCCAAGATTTAAATGTATGAGGATGTAATAGTATGCACACTATGTCTAGTAAGCACCATGGTGCTTCAAAAATTATTTTTTTAGTATCAATACATGCTCAATCTTATCAATTTCTTTAATGTAAATTTTAGCTTTAGTTTTAATTGAGTGTCACAGAACTCTGGATATTTTCAAGTATGTCTTCCTAATATGACCCAAACATGATCTCTGTTGTTTTTTAAATACCTTTGATATAAAGTAAATTGAAGAATTTGTCTTTCTTGACATCAGTTCATCATACTCTGGATTGATGTAGCTTTACATTGTCTTTGAAAGATAGTATTAATACTCTTTGTCTCTTCTGATAGTTTTGTGGGATTTTTTTTTTAAACAAGTTGCTTTGGTTATTCCAGGCCCTTTGTATTTTCACATGAATGTTAAAGCCACTTAATCCCTGCTAAAACTTTTGTGGAAGTTTCCATTGGGATCGTATTGAACCTGTAGACTAATTTAGGGAGAATTGACATTTCAATGATTAATATGTCTTCTGACTTGTGAATACAGTATATCTCTCTATGTCTATGTTTCTTTAATTATTTTGGCAATTTTTTATAGTTTCTAGCATACAGATATTTCACAGCTTTTTTTCAGATTTACCTCTACATATTTACCACTTGCTGATGCTATTGTAAATGGTATTTTAAAATTTCAGTTTCTCATTTTCATTACTAATATATAGGAATGTAATTGATTATTTACATTGATGTATATTATTTCATATATGCATTACTACTGTTCTATTAGATTTTAAGTAGATTCCAATAAACATTTTAAAAAGACGATTATGCCTTGTGTGGATAAAAACAGTTTACTTCTTCCTTTCCAATTTGGAAACTTTTTGTTTCATTTTTCTGCTTTATTGCACTATTTGAGCCTCCAGTAAAATGTTTAATAGAAATGATGAGAGCAGACATCCTTGTTTTGTTCCTGATTTAGGGAGAAAGTGTTCAGTCTTCCACCATTAAATATGATGAGATATCTAGATCTTCATAGTTGGTATTCATGAGGTTGAGGAAGTTCCTTTCTATGCCTAGTTGGCTGAAAACTTTTATTAGGAATTCTAGATTTTGTCAAATGACTTTTTCCATAGCTATTGAGATGATCTTTTTCTAAATAATTTAATATGGTGAACTACATTGCATTTTTTGCATTCCTAAGTAAAACCATTTTGTCACCACGTATTATTCATTTTGCTTATTGATGTATTCTGTTTTTGTTTTAGATTTTTGTAACTTTCATCAGGTGGTACTTTGGTCTGTAGTTTTCTTGAAGTGTTTCTGTTTAGGTTTTGGTGTCAGGTTAATTCCATACACATGATTCACTTGAAAAGTATTCCTTTCCACTTTTCTGGAAGAGTTTGTTTAGAATTTGTATTATTTTTCTCTCAAATATATTGTAGAAATCACTGGTGATGTAATCTGGACTTAGAATTTTATTTGTAGCAAGGTTTGTTACTACAAATGTAATTCCTTTATATATAGGACTCTACAATTTATTTCTTCTTGGGTAAGTTTTGGTAGTAGGTGTCTTTCAAAAAACTGGTACATTTCATATAAACTATTAAATACAGTGGTATAAAGTTGTTCATAACATTCTCCTAATATTCTTTTAATATCTAGAGAAACTGTACTAATATCACTTTTTGCTTAGAAACTATACTAATATCACTTTTCCTAATTAATCTGGTTAAAGGTTTAAAATCAATTTTATTAATTATTCTCAAAAACAAACTATTGATTTTGATTTTGACCTTTCTTCTTTTTTTGTTATAGGAATTCAGTGGTATAAAATTTTTCCTATGTACTGCTTTTGCAATATACAATATACATTTTCAAATGTCATCTTTTCTTTTTCGTTTAGGTCAAAATACTTGTAATTTTCTTTTGGTTCTCTCACTGGCTCATCAATTATTTAGAAGTGATTGTTTATTTTGAAACTACTTAGGAGTTTCTCAGAAATCTTTCTGTCTTTAATATCAAATTTTATTCCATTGTGGCCAGAAAATATACTTTGTAGACTTGAATCATTTTGGATTTATTAAAAGTTGTTAGTTGTTATAGTTGATTTATTAAAAGTTGCTAGAATATGATCAATCTTTGTAAAAGTATTACATGCAGAAACTCTTCCAGAAAATTGACAAAGTATGAATGCTTCCCAAATAATCCCATGTGTTCTACATCATAAGAACATGTATTCTGCTTTTATTGGGTAGACTACTCTATACATTAAATTAGATCAGGTAGGTTGACCTAATTTCAAATCATCTATATTTTTCAAGTCAACTGCTGTATACCTGGGGTGATTTTCTATCTATTTATTCTATCATCTCTTTTATACAAAGTGGTATTAAAGTCTCCAGCTATCATTATTAATTTGCCAATCTTTTCTTAAAATTCTATTAGACTTTATGTATTCTGAAGTTCTGTTATTTTGAAACCGTTTTTAAATACATAAACACCTAACCTTTTAATGCTTTCCAGATGAATATGTACCTTTATTATTATGAGATGGACCACTTGATCCCTAGCCATATTCTTTGCTCTGAACTCTAATATTTAAAAAAGAATCTTTAGCTTTCTTTTGGTAGTATGAGAGACTTAGCCTGGTATACATTTTTAAAATATTTATATCTTTAGATTTAAAGTATTTTGCTTAAAGGTGGTGTTTATCATTTTTTTAATGTTACTCTCCTCCTTAATTTTTCTATTTGTACATTTTGGCTTTTCAGACTATTTACATAAAATGTGAGTATGGAAATTTTTAAGTTTAAAACTATCAGTTTGCTGTACACTTTGTATTCTCCCATCTATTCTTTATTCTATCTCTTTCAATTATTTTCTATTTATTTTCTATTTCTCTGCCTTTTGGATTTATTTAATTTTACGATTCCATTTTACCTTCTTTGTTGACATATTAGCTACGACTCTTTATTTTGATAGAATACATCTTTAACTTGTTACTCTTTATCTTCAAATGTTGTTATATTACTTCACTTATAGTATAAGCACAGTAAATAATGGACTTCCCTTTTATCCCCAGCTGGCACTTGTGTGTTATTGTTACAACATCTACTTACTTCGTACACTTCACTTTCAATTTCGTTGCTATTATCTATATTTAAGTAGTCAACTATATTTTAAATGAATTTGAATAAAAAATAGATATATATATTTTCTCCACATATTCACATTTACATTTCCAGTACTTTCATTTTTTTGTACAGCTGATGAATTTGAAGTTTTCTTTAAGTATATTAGGAGTTACAGGTCACATATGGTCTCTGTTTCAGATTCTCTTTTTTTTTTTCCTTTACCATCCTTTAAAAGTATAAAAACCAGGCTATCTCGTGGCTACACAAAAGAGGCTACTGGGCAGATTGTGATACATGGTTTGCCAACCCCTGGCATAGATGTGTGTTTATATCAAGTATCACTTTTTCTTCTGCCTGAAAAATATAGCTTAACATTTAGGTGGTGAGAGTATGCTGGTGATTAATTATTTCAACTTTTCATTGCCTTAAACTGTATTTATTATTCCCTTTTTAAACTCACTTTTTTTTTTGGAAGGATGTTTTCACTGGCTATACCATTCTAGGTTGACAGTTTCTTTTTCTGCAGCACTCTAGATCTTTAAATATTTGTATCTACTCTCTTCTTGTTTGCATTGTTTCAAATGAAATATCTGATGTAATCTTATTTTTTTCTCTGTACATAACATGTTTCTTTCCTTTGGATTTTTAAAAAAATTTTCTCTCATCACTAGTTTTGAAATATTTGATTATAATGTATTTTGGTATAGTAGTCTTTCACTGGGATTTACTGAGCTTCTCAGATCAGCAGCTATATAATTTTCACCAAATTTGAAAGCTTTTAGCCATTATTATGTCAATTTTTTTTGCACTCCACTTTTTTAGGGACTCCAATTGTAGGTTTATTAGGTAACCTGAAGTTGTACCACAGCTCACTGATGCTGTTTATTTTCTTCTCCTCCTTAATGTCTATGTAAAATTATAGATGATTCATGTTGCTATGCCTTCAAGTTTATTATTTTTTCAATTTCTACGTAGTCATTAACCTATCAAGTTATTTTTCAAATTTCACATTGTAGTTTTTTTCTTTAATAGTTCCATTTGAATCTTTTTAAATAACTTTTCTCTCTCCACTAACTTTTTAAATGCATGGAAAATAGGTTGGTTAATTTTTTTCCTCTCCTTATTATAGGTCACATTTTTCTGTTTCTTTGCATGCCTGCTAATTTTTTCATTGGATTCAAACAGTTGAATTTTACTTTTATGGATGCTGCAAATTTTTGTGTTTCTATAAATAAGCTTTGTTTTGTGATGCAGTTAACTACTTGGAAAGAGTTTTATCCTTTTTTGTCTTGCATTTGAGGTTTGCTAGGTGGTTCTGGAGCAGTCCTCTTTGTAGGGCTAATTATTCTCCACTGCTAAAGCATTACTTTTCTGTATACTCTACCCTGTGCCCTGTCAATTATGTTATTTTCCATCCTGTTTAGTGGGAACAGACACTACTCCACATTCTCTATGAGTGCTGGGTATTCTTCTTCTAATCTTTCATGTTCTTCTCCTGGTCTTGGGTAGTTTCCTCCTACATATTGCTAACCAAGACTCATGGAATATTTAAGGGCAATCCTCTATAGATCCCCAGAATTCTATTTCTGGGCATCTCTTTACTCTATGATACTCTGTCCTAAAAATTCCAGTTTCTTTGTCATTCTTCAACCCTTAGCTTCATCTCTTTGACTCAAGGATTCCATAGTCTCCATCTGGTTCTCTCTATATATGCCAAGATCTGGAAAATCTCTCAAGGCAATACACTGGAGTAATTCTAGGACTTGCCTTATTATTTCTCATCTTTCAGGAATAATTGTTATCTATTGCCTGATAATAACTTTCTAAGATCACCATTTTATATATTTGGTTGGTTTTTATTTATTCCTATAGGAGGGTAAATCTGATCCTTGTTAATCCATCTTGGTCAAAAGCATAAGTGCCCTTCAGCTGTTTTCAATCTATTCAACAATATGGTCAGAACTAAATTAAATATGGCTAGAGGGACCTGGAATTAAAGTAAATAGAAAAGTAACATTTTAATTATCTCCTGTTATCTATTTTAGCTACAGATTTACACCAATTTGGACTTTATTTCTCAAGTTAAAGCATTCTAATTGTAATTTACTTTGATTAAGAAGGATAATACTATTGGACATGATAAGTTTCAATTAAACTGATTATTTATTTGAATTCCTTCCAAAGGCTCAAGACCATTTCCTAGTAGTCTTGAGCCTTTGGAAGGAATTCAAATAAATAATCTGGCTTTGAGTTGCCTAGATCTCACAGACTAAGTTCTCCCTTCCTGATTTTTGGGTCAGAACACTTTGCATATTTAACTGAACACTTTGTAATAAAAAAATAAACACAATTAATTATTTGCAGGTCTCTTTTTCTATTTCCCTATGGCCCCAGTATAGTGAGTTTAAGGGATTTGGATCCTGATCAGGGAAAAAGATATAATCGCCATGTGGCAGGAACACACAATGAGCTTTATTTGGGTAAGAATTTGACAGGTTTGCATGCATGGGAAGACCATAATAGCATACGACCACCAGAGGCTATGACACAGAAGGAGAAGAAGGCAAAGGAACTCACACAGGATAGGGTACCAGTTAGGCGGATTGTGTGTCTAGGTGACATCAGTCAGCAACACAGCAGGGGGTCTCTGGGTCAGAGAGCACCAAAGGGCAGCAGCAGCTGGGGCTCCTTCTTAGCTACAGGATTTATTTTATCAACGGCTAGTGGATGTTAAATGCAGTTTTGTATGGTATACATAGGTGATAGCCTAAGTTGCTTGTTATAATCTGCTTTTTGGAGCTATGTGTGAAACCACTGTGTACAATTTTGGGTTTGATGCTGGAGGCCTTCTGAGTTAATTAGTCCCAGCTTGCTATGAAAAAGTAAACAACAGAGGGTCAATAACACAGAGGGTATCCTTATCTCATGTATATAACAATCCATTCCTTGGTCTCATATTGTTTTACAATCTAATGCTTGCATTTAGAGCCAGTGATGAAGTATCTTTGACTCAGACCCTTAAAAGGATGTGAATTAGGATTTCAGAAGGTGTTTGCAGCTTGTTTGACCATGTACTAAGGAAAAGCAAAGCAAACAGCTCAGAAAAGACTTTAATTTGCTCAATCTGTTTGGGCAGTACAGTGCTATTATGGCCCTTTGCTCCATGTTCCTACCTATCCACATACCGCAAGATGTTTAACTGGAGTACAGACCCCTCATTTGGTAGCCAATAAAAAAATCTAGGACTATGGAATTATCTAACATAATGGCCACTAACGTATGGTAAGATTCAACCAAGAGTTTTAGTCCATGGGCCATTTGCTTAATTTGTGTGGCTAACACCTTAGACATGGATAACCGTGTGTCTTTAATTGTGTTTGGTACGTTGTACATATGCTATTCTTACTGTCCCAGAAATGTGTGATCCTAAAGTGGTTAGCACTTTGAAGACTATTAGGAAAACTCATTTGCAGTATTGGAGAGTTGTGGCTAGTGTGGTTTATAGAGGCAAGAACTTTGGAAGGAGGGGGCGTGGTGGGCTTCCACTGCTGAGTAAAAATCTACTGGAATTTTGATCCAAATCAAAGTGCAGGAAATATCGTCCAGGGTCTGATGAGGAAAAACCATTTGGTTCCCTTACAGGCCCACAATACTTCCTCTCTTCTGTGTCTCTATGAAGGCAAGTTTTTATAGTTTGGTGCAATTGCAGAGAGTGTTGATAAAGGTTAGGGTAAAATAAGCACGTATGATATGAGCACCTGGGTCTACTAAATTGGTTATGGGCTCAATTTATTATTGTCCAGATATCTGCATGATATCAGTCTCTGTATATTATTGTTGGATGTGGACAGTTATTGGAATAGGCTCATTATGATAAATGAGGTTTGCAGGGGAACCTGGAGAGGGGAGAGTATTATTCTATGTTACATAAAATCAGGCTGGCAGAAGCAACCCCAGCATGTGGTTAAATTTGTCATAGTACATGTTTCTGAGTCAATGACTATGTGCAGGTTTGGTATGGTGGGCAATTGCATGTCCCTCCTTGTTCAGACTGGTATATATTGGTGCTTGAGTTGCCTGCCAACGGCCATTAGTAAATGCCATAAGCCATAAGCATGGGAGAAGCCTTGCAGGTGCTCCTGGTTATTTGAACAGTCAACATTATACATTAATATTGCTTGGTATTTTCACTTACTCTATTATTTTACAGGAACATGTATCATAAAAAGAAATATGAGCCTTAAAACAGGGTCTATTCAGAGAACTTGGATGACAATGGCCCTCCAAGCGGTTAAAAATACTCCCCATAGTCCTAGTAATATTACGTTCACCCTTTTATGGCATAAGTACATCATATTTAAATTCACTGCCAATGAGGAGACCATCTGTAGAGACACTGAGACCTCTGCTGGTATATACAACCACAGTAGACACAACCACAATTGCTAGTTTGCACAGAAAAATGCAAACCAATTTGCATGGGAGCCCTGGCATTACTGCCGACAACAAAGGAATATCACTGGGTAATTTCATCTTTTTCTTGTCTCTTGTAGAAAATTCAACATGTAGAAATTCAACATGATGTAGAAGTAATTGTCCCCCACCCCAGACCAGGTAATACCATTTGGTCGATACCAAGGGTAAAACCAGATCTCTTGCTTCTTGCTAAAGATGACCTCCATCTTTAACCTCTACTATGTTGTTCTTCCTTCTTATCTGAAAAGTTTTTACCTTTGCTAGTGGTAACTACACATCCACTGGAGAATCATGTTAGTCTTGGTAATTTACACCCTACCACTGACAAGCTATGTCTGAAAACAGCATGCAATGTGTACACCAGGGGGAGGCAAATAACATGAGTCAGTCTGGGGACATTGGAACCATACTGTTGACTATTTGGGTAGATCAGTCCTAGTAACATCACCACAAACATCAACACTTAGGCTAGCATTCCTCCTCCTATTCTACCACCACTAGCAACACTCATTCCAGCTAAACCAGACTCTTGGATATTACTTGTGACTCAATGACACCTTCTAAGTCCTATCAGCCAACGTTTACTTCAAATCAACAAAATAAAACACACTTTATTAACTAGTGCTATCAAACAAACAGAACAATGAATCACTATCTATCAAGTCTCATTTACGGAATGTCCAGAAATTGTGTTCACCCAATATTACAATAAAAATGCTCGCACTTGCTACAATCAATCAAAATGCTATAATTCATAGACAATACCAACAAATACTACAGGATTAAACAATAACATTATAGCTCTTACTAATCCCTGGGATAATAATAAAAGTAACCCTTGCCAAAAATATACACCCCTTGCTATATACTAAATGTTTGTGACCTCTCTAAAATTTACATGTCGAAATGTTAACCCCTACTGTGATGGTATTGGGAAATGGCACCTACAGTAGGTGATTACGTTAAAAGTCCAGAACCTTCACAGACAGGATTAGTGTCCTTATAAAGAGAAGTCAGAGAGCTCTCTTGCCCCATTTGCCACATGAGGACACTGAGAAGTTGTCAATTTGCAACCTGGAAGAGGACCCTCACCAGAACCCGGCAATACCGGCATCCTGATCTCAGACTTCCTGACCTTCAGAACTGTGAGAGATAGATTTCTGTTGCTTATAAGCAGTGCATGGATTTTTTTTTTTATAGCAGCTGGAGCTGACTAAGACACCCTTACAACTCTTCGTCTCTTTTCCTGTGACAGTTATGTGCCACATAAGGACTTTTGATAAATGACAGACCACATATTAGATGGTGGTCCCATAAGATTAAAATAATAAATTTTATTGTACCTTTTCTATGTTTATGTATGCTTACATAAACAAATACACATGGCTAATTACTGAAATTTGCATTAGATTTGAATGTATTAAAGTAATTGCCCTGATCCTTCACTTCTGGGCACACAGAGTTTAATTATGGACTTATTCTGCATTTCAAATACTTGGCACCAACAAGATAGAGAACTAAGGAATAGTTAAGAGAAAATGATAAAATATTATTCTACTGAGGAAAATGCTAAGAACCACAATACATCTGAGTAAAAATAATAATAATCTGAAATTCAAATTAAAAGGTCAAAAGTTACATAGAAGGTTGCAGTGCCATACAAGGCATTGAGTGATGTTACATAGCAAATTGTACATGAGATAATAATAGACAGCCAAAATGACAATTGTTCCCTAAGCTGCATATCAAAATGCATTATGCTGCCAAGTAGTAAGATCATGATCTCCATATATTAAAAATAAAAGCAGCATATGAGATACACTTGCTCTTAGTGGACTGAAAGGTATGGAATATGTAAGACACTGGTGAGTAAAAACTAATTTATCACTTTTCTGGATATCAGTGGTATGTGGTTGGAACTCTGGGGAAGGGGTCAGGTGATAAACGTTAAGCTATTTACCTTCAAAATTCTTCTGTGAACTGATGACAATTGTGCTTCAAATCTCCTTTTCTGAGAAATTTTTCTTTGCTCCTTACGTTTTTCTGCAAAGAGTCCCTGCTGCCTAATCATTTCCACTTTGCTTCTTCAAAAACACAAGTCCGTATTGTCCTAAGGAACAGTTGAAGTTCCACTTTCTTTTGCCTGTAGAGATATTGATTAGTCCTGAATTACGGTTATAGCTTTATTCCCATATATATCTCTGTTCTGTGAAAGGGTCACATGTGCAAAGCAGCCCCCAAACTCCACAGGAGCCTAGAAACCAAAGAATGAGGCAGAAACACCCAGTTTGCTAGTAAAAAGTGTTTTAATGGTGGAATTTAGAGACAGAAGTGTGGACTTGGGAGGCAATAAGGAAGGTAGATCTCTACATTGTCACCTCCCAGACTTACATTCCATAGGGAATGTATTCCCTATGCTTATTCCACAGGCTTATATTCCATAAGGAAAAGGTATAGTGCTTCAGCAAGACAATTACAGACAACCCCCCAGAACTGGTAAGAATGCTATGTACATCATAGCCTATAATTTGTACAATAACATCAACACTGACATTTCTTACACTGAAGTTTTTAAAGTTTAAGAACTGTAAGGACAATAAATAATGTAAGAAAACCTAGGCAATACCATTCAGGACATAGGCATGGGCAAGGACTTCATGTCTAAAATACCAAAAGCAATGGCAACAAAAGCCAAAATTGACAAATGGGATCTAATTAAACTAAAGAGCTTCTGCACAGCAAAAGAAACTACTATCAGAGTGAACAGGCAACCTACAGAATGGGAGAAAATTTTTGCAATCTACTCATCTGACAAAGGGCTAATATCCAGAATCTACAAAGAACTCAAACAATTTTACAAGAAAAATCAAACAACCCCATCAACAAGTGGGCGAAGGATATGAACAGACATTTCTCAAAAGAAGACATTTATGCAGCCAAAAGACACATGAAAAAATGCTCATCATCACTGGCCATCAGAGAAATGCAAATCAAAACCACAATGAGATATCATCTCACACCAGTTAGAATGGCGATCATTAAAAAGTCAGGAAACAACAGATGCTGGAGAGGATGTGGAGAAATAGGAACACTTTTACACTGTTGGGGGGACTGTAAACTAGTTCAATCATTGTGGAAGTCAGTGTGGTGATTCCTCAGGGATCTAGAACTAGAAATACCATTTGACCCAGCCATCCCATTACTGGGTATATACCAAAAGGCTTATAAAATGTGCTGCTATAAAGACACATGCACACGTATGTTTATTGTGGCACTATTCACAATAGCAAAGACTTGGAACCAACCCAAATGTCCAACAATGATAGACTGGATTAAGAAAATGTGGCACATATACACCATGGAATACTATGCAGCCATAAAAAAGGAAGAGTTCATGTCCTTTGTAGGGATATGGATGAAGCTGGAAACCATCATTCTCAGCAAACTATCGCAAGGACAAAAAAAACCAAACACTGCATGTTCTCACACATAGGTGGGAATTGAACAATGAGAACACATGGACACAGGAAGGGGAACATCACACACCAGGTCCTGTTGTGGGGTGGGGGAGGGCGGAGGGATAGCATTAGGAGATATACCTAATGTTAAATGAGGAGTTAATGGGTGCAGCACACCAGCATGGCACGTGTGTACATATGTAACAAACCCGCACATTGTGCACATGCACCCTAAAACTTAAAGTATAATAAAAAAAAAAAATCAGGAGGCATTCATGGGACTAGAGTTAACCAGAAATCAACATGGCAGATCAAGGTGGAGCCACTTTTGTCTCCACAATTTCTTTAGCTTCAAGAATACATAATATTTATGGGAAAATCATACACACTATTTAGAATCTGGAAAAAATGTTTAGTCCTGCTAAATCATTTACTACCTTTTTGATTTGGCCAAATCATTTAACCTATGACACTTAGATTTTTTGCCTATAAAAACAGAGATAATAAAGACTTGCTTGTAAGATTATTATGAGTCTTGAAAAAAGTATTTGTGAAAACTATCAGGAACACTTTTAGTGTTAATTTTTCTCCTCTTTCACGTCTTAAAAAATAGTAACTTATGCTTGTATTAAAATTTCTCATAAACCCCATAAATATACATGCCTAATACATACCCATTTTTTTAATAACTTAGTGGAAATAAATTCTGTGAATGAGAAACAATAAGGAACTTCATCTGGCATTTTCTTCTATGTAATCTTCATGGGGTTGAAGTGAAAGTATTTTCACATTGTCTGAAATACAATTTGATTAATTAAAGCAATATTTTTACACTGCAGATCATGATCTCTAAAATTAATGAGATTAATTTTTTTTATTTCACAGCTAATTTACCATTATGCTAGTGATAAGATTGGATTCACAATGTTTTATTACTTGGCTCAGAACCAAAATTAGAGACAAAATCACACGCATGGCTTCTTATGTGAATCATCTTGGCACAATATTAACATCAATATGAGATGAAAGGCTGATGAAATTCCACAGACCGTTGAATCAACAAGCTCTTTCTTATTGAACCATCCTCAATGATTCTACCGTGAATGATATGAAAAGCATCACAAAATTATTCCTAACTTCAAGTTCCTTTTCTTTTTGAAATAACTATTTATCTTGTAAAAACTGACTCATTTTTGCCATTTATCAAAAACATTAAGAGTAGAAAAATAGTAACTGATTAATCTTTAAAGCAAAGATAAAATAAGTATTAAGTGAAACTTAGAAAGTCTGTTTCTGTTAAAGGATTTACACTACTATGTGATGGTCATTGAGAGTAAAATATGAATTCCTTTTATATTAGGAATCAGCATCATGTCAGACATAGAAATTTGGTATCATTTTATTTTTATGATCAAGTATTATTCTGATTCAACCACTTACCTTTAATTTGCAAGTTGAATATTAACCTAAACGATGTTGTACAGAAACCTATAAGTGATCTCTATTCTATTTCATTGTTACAAAAGGGAAAAAATTTATCTATAAATAGCCCTCAAGGAAAAAAAATGAAACAATGTGTTCATAAAACAAGCAGTTTGCCCTCACACATGACCTTTCAGGCATGCATCTTGGTCAGGTCTTTTCAAGATGGATCTAACACAGCTTGAGTTTATTGTGGTTGACCACGGCTTCACTCTCCCTGCACTCATTCCTCACTCCTAGGCTGTCAGCAGACCTCCCATTATCTTCTATATTTTGATTCTTTTGCACAAGTCAGACACCAGACTTTTACTTCCAAAATCTGAGGAATACATATCAACACTATTAAATATCTCTCACTCTCCTGGGATTCTATAATGGCACCAATCCTCCCATAGTCCTGGGTTTGGCATGTGGGAATTACCAACCTTGTCCCCTCTCCAATGTCTGGGGGTAGGAAAACACCATCATATTCTCTGTTACACAAATATCTGTTTTTAAAGAACTCCTGACTTTGATCAAGCCCTTTCATGGCCCTCCAGCTTTCTCCTATACATAGGCTGGAATTAGGGGATGGATTGGAGAGTCTAGAACGTATTTTTGGCCACTTTTTAGAGTCTTACCAGGATGCACCAGCATCACTCTTTTGAATGTGTGGCTGTTTAACATCCATTATCATCTATACAGGGACATCAGTTAAAACTCTAAGACAACAGGAAAAGTAAACTTAACATTTTTTTCTAAAATTCTATTACATTCTCATATTTTATCTATGTAGGTATTCTTTTGTTTTATAGGACAATACAATAGGGAAGTTAAATAATTGACCTAATAGCTCACATCTAGAAGGAAGATTTTAAGAAATTCTAATGCAAATCTCTAAACCCCACTACTTTCCAAAAGATGGAATCTTAGTAGGCACATAGTTTATTGGCATAGTTAAGCTGAGGACCTTCCTCAAGTTTAGGGCAATAAACCTGATTTCCAGTTGTAGATACTGGAGAAAATGGGGCCATTACTATACTATTAGGCCCATTAATGGCTGAGTCCACAAGGTGAAAGACTTCTGGCCTTGTATTAATTGGATAAAGTAAAGCAGTATAAGGCAAATAGCCAATAATGCAGTACCTTATTGGGGGTGGGGAAGAAGAAGTTTGTTATTCTCACAGCACTTTAAGCAAGTGAATTGTATTTGTTTTTCTTTTTCTTTTTGAGATGGAGTCCGTCGCCCAGGCTGGAGGGCAGTTGCGCGATCTCGGCTCACTGCAAGCTCCGCCTCCCAGGTTCACGCCATTCTCCTGCCTCAGCCTCCCGAGTAGCTGGGACTACAGGCACCCACCACCACGCCCAGCTAATTTTTTTTGTATTTTTAATAGAGACGGGGTTTCACCATGTTAGCCAGGATGGTCTCGATCTCCTGACCTCGTGATCTGCCCACCTAGGCTTCCCAAAGCGCTGGGATTACAGGCGTGAGCCACCGCTCCCGGCCAAGTGAATTATAGTTCATGTGGTTTTTCAGAAATAGGAATACTTCACAGATTTTAACTTTCCCATTTCCTTGAGTATTATCATTGTCAAGGACAAAGATAGGCTGATATATGCATATTCCCCCTTAAAAGAAAAGAGTTTGGAAAAGCCTATTATCATTTGAAGTCTTTATCGAGGAAGCGGGACACTTCCACCAATTCCATGGGTGAGGACTTACTATAGTTTGAAAGTTTGTGTCTCCCTTCCAAATTCATATGTTCAAATTCTAACCTTTAAATGATATTGTTAGGAGATAGGGCTTTTTCAAAGATAACTGAATTACGAAAAAGAGCCCAATGACTGGGATTTGTGTCCTTATAAAACAGACTGCAGAGAGCCAACTAGCCCCTTCCACCATGTAAGGAAACAGTAAGAAGACACTCTCTGTAAGGATCGGGACCCTCACCAGACACTGAATCTGCCAAAACATCAATCTTATACTTCCCAGCCTCCATAACTGTGAGAAATATGTACATGTTGTTTATAAGCTACCCAGTTTATGGTATTTTGTTATAGCAGCCTAAATGGACTAAGGGAGAACTTAATCATGGGTTTACATTTAACGGAGAAAGAGGTGGATAATCGGGTATATCTGAGTAGTCAAGGGCTTGACTATAACACTTGTATTATGGAAGAAGAGGAGACAAATTATTTTGGGAAAGTAGTATTTGACCCTGACTTACACTAAGACACAATTGCAAATGAAGACAACTAAGCAGATGCGCAGAAAATACAATAAAGTATGGAGAAAGGACACAACAGACAAAGGCAATGGGTGTCCATAATGTAAAATAGGGGACAACCATGTTGGAACTAGGGAGGACAATGATATTTATAACACACATAATAGAGTTAAATATTTGAGAGCAAGGATAAATAAGGTTGGGTAAGTAGGAAAGATCCACCTCCAAGAGGTGTTGGAGGGCTTCAAGAAGAAGACATATGGAATCTGTGTGGTTTAGTGAAAAAAAACAAAATCTAAAATGAAACTTGAACAAAGAATACAGAGAAGTGGATTCCAGCAATAGCATCATTTTTGTCAATAACATATGTAAGTCAGTCTTTCCAAACCTCAATTTCCCCATCTAAAAAATGAATATACTATATTCCAATATTATTAAGACTCTTCTCAGCTATGTTGTCAGCTGTATAAAAAAAGAATCTATATAGAAAAGGATACGTTTTGCTTGGAATAACAAGCTAAGAGCATTATTTTAGGAAGTCTGGTTGTATAATAAAGCATTTCTCAAGGCAGAGAAAATAACAAAGTTGACACTGTAAAATTCTGTTTGCATTAAAGATAGACATAAAAAATTCTATAGTAGGATGATGAGAGCAAGATTTGAAAGGAATAACAAACTTCTAGAGCTGTGCTTCCTAATATGGAAGTCATTAGCAACATGGCGATTTTATAAAAATTGAAGAGCTTTATTGAGGTATAATTGACATCAAATAAACTGTATATGTTTAAAGCATACAATTTTGATGACTTTTGACACCACAGTCAAGATAATGAATGTATGCATCACCAGCCCCCACCAAAATTTTCCTTCTGTTGCTTCATAAACCCTTCCTTCTACCCCTCGTCATTGCCTTCCATTCTCAAGCAACTACTGAACTGTTTTCTGTCACTAAAGGTAAATTTGCATTGTTTAGAATTTTATATAAATGAATCACACAATTTTTCCTTTATAAAATGTAGCATTTTTTACTTGATACAACTATTTTGAAACTCATCTACGTTTTTGTTCATGTCGATAGACCATTCCTTTACATGGCTGAGCCGCACTCCGTCATATGAATGTACCACAGTTTGTTTTTCCATCCACCTCTTGATGGACTTTTGTTCTTTCTTTCTTTCATTTTTTGGCAATTATAATGGACACAACTATAAATATCTATGTACAGTCTTATTTTTTAATCTGTTTTGTGTAAAAACTTAGTTGTATACTTGCTGGATCATATGATAAGCAAATGTTTAGCTTCTTTAGAAACTACTGGGCTTTTTTAGGTGGTAGTACCATTTTTCAGTCCCACCACCAAAATATAGGACTTCCAGTTAATCCATACCTTTGTCAACACATGATATGTAAATCTGTTTAATTTCAGCCATTCTGATAGGTTTTGTAGTGGTATCTCATTGTGATTTTAATTTTTTTCCCTAATAAATACTGATATTGAGCATCTTTCCCCGTTCTTGCTAGCCATCAGTTTATCTTCCTTAAAATGTCTACTCAAATATTTTGCACACTTTAAAGTGGATTGTGTGTTCCATTATTATGGGATTTTGAGGTTTTGTGAAATATTCTACATTTAAGCCTTTGCAGATGTGTAATTTGCACATAGTTTTTCCTGGTTTGCAGCCTCTCTTTCCATCCTCTTAACACTGACTAAATAAGTCAAATTTGTAAATTTGTTACCTTATAGATCATGGTTATATTATCACATCTAAGAAATCATTGGCTAACTCAAAACCACAAAAATTTTCTCCTATGTTTTTGTCTAGAGATTTTATAACCTTAAGTTTTGCATTTAGGTCTACAATCCATTTTTATTTAATTTTTGCTCTTGGTACTTGGTAATAGATCAAAAGTAATACTTTTGCATATGAATATGCAATTGTTCCAGCTCCATTTGTTGAAAAGACTACCTTTTCTCCACTAAATTGCCTTTGTAACTTTGCCATAAATCAGTTGATCATATACGTGTGGATTGGTTTCTCTACTCTTTGTTCTATTCCATTGACCTATTTGTCTGCCTTGATTGCTATAGCTTTATGATAAGTGTTGAATTCACATAGTATAAGTCCTCCAATTTTACATCTCTATATAAATTTTAGAACCAGCTTGCCATATTTTTCAAAAACAAAAACAAACACAACACTTACTATCAGGAGCTTTGGCATCTAAACAGTATTGAATCTTATAATCTATGAACACAGTGTATCTCTCCATTTATTTAGGTCTTTTTAATATTCTCAGCAATATTTTCTGCTTTTAATTATACAGGTCTTGCAAATATTTTGTAATATTTATCACTAAATGTTTTGTATTTTTGATACTACTCTATGGAGACATTGTAAATGGGTGTTTTCTAAGCAGAATGTATATAGCAGTACTAGACAAGTAAAATGTACATGATACAATGTTTCATCAATTTAGTCTTCTCAAGGGTCTCTTCTATTTGTTAAAAATATATTTTTTAAAACATTAAAAGAATTTCTTGTATTAATTGTCAAAATAACTTGTCATTATTTTCAAGCCACCTGGGAGTTATGATTTACATAAGAATGGCTCTAAATACATCAACCCTTGTTCAGTGTTAGCGAAACTCTCATATCATGGCATAATAGAAAGTAATCATGTTTGTATGGCATGCTACCATACAGGAGCAGAGCTGGGAAGATTTATGGGATTGCAGAAAATAGATTCATTACATTTCTATTACATAATTAAAATAAAGTGGAAAATATTAGAAAATATATTAAATATTGAATTCCCATGACATTTCCAAATAAGAGCTTCTGTTTTCAAGGTAGTTTACAAGACAATTTTTTTTCTTTTTTTTCCCTTTTTTTTTTTTTTTGAGACGGAGTCTCACTCTGTGATCAGGCTGGAGTGCAATGGTGTGATCTCAGATACTGCAACATCCACCTCCCAGTTCAAGTGATTCTCCTGCCTCAGCCTCCTGAGTAGCTGGGACTACAGGCACACACCACCATGCCCAGCTAATATTTGTATTTTTAGTAGAGACAGGGTTTCACCATGTTGGCCAGGAAGGTCTCAATCTCTTGACCTTTGATCCACCCACCTCGACCTCCCAAAGTGCTGGGATTACAGGAGTGAGCCACCACGCCCGGCCTACAACACAATATTTTATATCTAATAGTACTCTAGATATTTGCATCACAATTGATAAATTATATATAAATAATGATCTGCCTTTGTGTAAGTTTCATTTTTTATGTGTACCTACTTGTGTGTATTAACTATTAAAGAAATTTGATAGCTAGAGTACTAGAGCCATAAAGAGGGGAAGATTTCTGTAGCACTGAATCTATAAGTAGTTCTCTTTGTGTGGAAAGTCAGAGGTGTATAAAATATAGCCAACTACAAAAGGGAAACATGAGCAATGAGAGAAACCTATAGTAAGCATATTTCAGAAGACCTCATCAGGGTACATTAACTGAGAAAGAACTATGTCTTTAGCCATAGTAGTTTAGTTGCCTTAAACAAAAAAGAAAAATAGCATGAGCAATATAAAGACAGCATGCAAATGACAGAATGCTCAAAAAAAATGCATACTACTCAATGACCATTTTGTGAGGGCTTCTGTTTTTCCAATTTTCATTTGGGATATAAAATATTTATCTACTATTTTCAAGTAGGTTTGTCCAATTTAGCTAACTCTCCTCAAAGTATTTGACTCAGTAATGAAACTAAGAGCTTATATTATAAAATTTAAAAATAGATTTATTAAAAATGACTAAATATATAGTGGAATAAACTATGTATATTTAAATAATGAGTTTATAAATTGTATTCAGGAAATGTGTGTACTTCTGTGTAAAATTTGTTGATTCACTGGCATTCTCTTTATTATTTTAAATGAACTATATCTCAACCAGCGGTATACATTTCATTTCTTCCTTCTGTTGTTGTTTTTTTAATAGCTTTTATTTTTTGGAAAAGTTTTAGGTTTATAGAAAAATTGAAGGAAGGAACAGAGACTTCCTCGCATACCCTCTACCACTGTATGTTCATAGCTCCTTAATCAACATCCTCTGCCAGAGGGTACATTTGGTAGAATAGATAAACCTACATTGATACATCATTATCGTTCAAAGTCGGTGGTTTACATTAGGGTTCATTTTGGGGTTGCACATTCTATGAATTTGGACAAATATATAATGAACCTGTGTGCACCGTTAAAGTACCATACGGAGTAGCTTCACTGCCCTAAAGATCATCTTTCTCTCCCCAAACTCCTGATATTTGTAGTTCTTTCAGATTGGCTTCTTTCACTTAGTAATATGCAGTTAAGGTTCCTGCATGTCTTTTCGTGGCTTGATAGCTCCTTTCTTTTTAATACTGAATGATATTCCATTGTCTGAAGGTACCAGTTTTTCTGTCAAGTTTTGGCAATTATGAATAAAGCTACTATAAACATCCATTTATAAAGGAATTTTCAATTCCTTTAGGTAAATACAAAGGAGGATGATCATATGGTAAGGTTATATTTGGTTGTGTGAGAAACTGCCAAACTGTCTCCCAAAGTGGCTGTGCCATTTTGCTTTCCCACCAGCAAGGAATGAGAGTTTCTGTTGCATCCTCATTCATTCCAGCACTTTACCCTTATCTTAAAATGTGTCCATTTTCCTGAAACCAGAGGCATTCTAGATCAATCTCTTCAAAGAAAACCCCCAGTCTACTGCTAGGCATGGCTTAAAAAAATAGGAAGAGCAGCAAATTATAACATTGCTCAAAGAGCTTTTCATTTCATCATCTCTCTAATTTTCTGACTGTGACTCTAAAAATCAGTGTTTGCTTTTTAAATCTTGATAGAATTAAACTTTCTTAAACTTAAGAGCCCAGATTTTTGCTTCAACTTCTCGTGTTTTGCTTTTTTGTTTACTGTTGCTATGGTGATCACACATCAGATCACACACTACTATATACTCCTTTTAGTAATCTATATCAAAATCTCTACATAAGGAGGACTACAATCAACGTATTTATGAGCTCTAACAGCCTTCTTTCAATATGTTATAAATATAGGGACTGTGATAAAGAGTGAGAATGTCTCCAGTAAAGATATCAACAATTTTAATGTGACAATATGTAAGTTGTTAGCTGCTATTAAATAAAAAGAAAACACATTCTATAAGCAAACACACCACATTGACTTTTGTAAGTTAAAAGTGCTAAAATGTATTCTCAATACTTTTCATTAATTATGTGGTTAATTGGAACTTTAAGAAAAATTACATTGAAAAACTGTCTAGTTTCCTGAAAACGCTGATGTTAGAAACAAATAACTCAGGAAGGGAATTGTGTGGTTATGTTTGCATTAGACATCTCATCCCAGGGGCATTATAAACATGTTCAGCAAGTACCATTTCTGTCATGCTAGTGTTACCTTTCACTGTAGTTGAGACATCTGACAAGCAAAGCCTCCATGCTAGACTACACAAACTCTCTAGACACCTTGGGCTTTCAACAATCTTAATCCTGCTTGTTGAATTTCAAAAGAGTTCCAATAAATCAGAAAACCCAGGGGGGTTTTCCCTCTCCCTACACATTACACAAACAAGAATCATATTATTGCTTAGTTAAAAAGGATTAGTGATTATGCCACCTACCTTTATTTTTGTTATTTTTGTTTGAACAATATTTTTATTCTCAAATGAAATAAATTTGAAAATTCTTAGCTCTAAGCAAAACCATATCACAACACAAATAATTCAGTTTTTCATTTGTTTTGATTTAATGCACACAACAATAGTCTGAAAAAATATGATTTGGTTACATTAGAGATTAAAACTGATGCTTTTTCTTTGATACAATTTAGAGTAATATGACTTTGAATAATATCTATATAACACTTCTCTGTCATCTTTCAGCTGATACACCACTACCAATACCCTCATCCAGCTTACTATCACCTTTTGCTTGGATTAAGAAAATGGCATCATAATTAGCCTTCCCACAAATTTCCTCGGATCAATTTTCCATCCTAAGTATCTTTCTAAAATCCAAAACTAATACATCATTCTTCTCCTTGAAACCTCCAATAGCTCCACGTTGCTTTTATAACTGAATTCTTTTAATCTGCCCCTGTGATCTTTATAAAACAGCTAGAGGTCCTCTTTTTGTTGTTAGAGTTGCCTCATTTCTTTCCAGTATGAATTTACATACAGCATATATTATTCCCTATGCTTGGACAAAGCTCTCCTCTCCTTCATTCAATATCATCTTTCTACTCATTCCTTAAAACCTCAGTTTAAATGGCCCATGATAAGGAAAATGTTTCTTAACCTTTGAGACTTTCAACTTCCCAATCATATGATTAAACAATTAATTAATTGCTAGTAATTTCAAATAACTGCTAATAACTGTAACAGTTATTAATATATAACAAGTTGTATATTTGGCTGGTTAATGTCCATCATGCATGCTAAAAATTTCTTTGATGCCAGGTCTTTGTCCGTTTCATCATTGCACCATCACTACCCTGCAGAGTAGAAGCTCTATAAATATTTCTTGAATCTAAAAATGTATACTGTGCACAAATCCAACCTACAGCCATGGCAATATCAGTACTAAACTAGCTTGTAATTATCATTTTTAATGTTCCCAAAGAGCTCTGTCACAGAGTAGTTAGCTGGACCATAATGCATAATTAGTAGTGCTCAAGACACATGCCTTCTACTTCCACCACTATTTAAAAAATAATGCTTCAATAAAATGAGCAAGAGTGACATCAATGAGAGAATAACTTTGAAACCTCTCTAATTTTGCAAAGCTACACAGTCAAAGTACTAAGCACCTTATCATTAGTTAAAAGTAATTTGTTATACACGTCATAATATTATGATTGAGGACCAGCAATGTAGATTATAAATGCTATGAAATGGCTTGCAGAGTAAATCTTGTTTTCAAAATATTTAATAAAAACTATCATAGACTCTTTTTTTAAACACTTAAATTTTGCCCTGAATTCTTTATTGCTACTAGGTAAGAAGAGCAAATAAAAATGACAATATTGCATTTAGCCTGCAAGTTTTACAAATTGAATTTCGTGTATAACTTTGGGAGGTGGCAAATAATATATGACTTTTCTAAGAACCACTGCCCTTAATCTGTTAATACATAAGAGTAAAGGTAAGAGGAAAAAAAGTTAGTAGGTTACAGAGTTCCTCACGAGACTCATAGCAGCAAAAATCAATCCAAGGCAGAACACAAACCACTCGAAGTATTCTAAGAAAAAGAAAATAATATGGAGAACTGGGTGTTACCAAATTGTTGGAAATGCTGAAGTTACCTTAGAATGAATCCCATGATCATGCAAAACTGGCCTACCAGAGATACCTCCGAGGCCATTGAAGGCATCAGTTCATAGACACAAAATGATATCTTCAACCCAGGAAATAAAGAACATACATGAATATGCCACTGACGCTGCATAGCCAACAAACCAAGGCCAGAGGATGAACAATGGAATACTGCCACATATAAAACTCAAATTTTCACAACTCTGCTTACTAGCAGAAAGAGCCAAAGAGATGGGAAAATGGATTCTGCCTCTCTTCTGCGCGTTTAATTGCAAGCAAGAACATCTAAATAATAAATATTTTGCATTTTAAATCTTAAGCATCCACCATAGCTATGAATGGGTGCATATGTGTTTAAGTCTACTAAATGGAGAAAATAGCTCTTCTGGAAAACTGACTTCAAATATTAACAATGTAACCGTTTAAAGGACACCTTACTTAAGCAACCAGGTGAGGATGGCTATACTTCTATGCCAAAAGTACTGTTATTCTTCAGTGGCTTTAGTTCTAAACGTGTGTGTGTGTGTGTGTGTGTGTGTGTGTGTGCATTAGGTGAAGGAATAGTAGGTCTTACAAATTTTATTCTATTCACTACTGATCTGACATTCTCCTTTTAAAATGTCATTACTACATTACTGTCAATGTTATTAATGCCTTATTTAAAGCTGTACTAGCACCTATTATTCTTACCATTTCTAAAGGTATATTATCCACCAGGATGCACACACACAAACAAAAATACATATATTTTAACTATTTCCAATTTTATCTATCCCCACATTAACTAGTGGTCATTATTAATTTCATATAAAAGATAAGGAAACAGAGACAGCAAGCAATTTTCCTGATGACACTCAGGAAAAAGTAAAAAGTGGCCACACAGATTCAAAACTAAATGGATATATCCCTGTTAGGCTAAAATATCACATTCTTAAAACTCAAAGTAGTTTAACATATAATGCTACTGATACCATACCTAATACTATTAAACATAACATGAAAGAAAATTGAGTTAAAGGATATGGAAAGAGACATTTGAGACCTTTATGTATAATACCTAACTAATAAACTTTTCTGAAACTTTTCTGATAGTGAACACAGAAAGGGCTTGTTAGGTTGTGAAGGTTGCAAGTTAGCCTCATAAAATTAAGTGTCATCTGCAGACTAACAATATATGCTACAGAATTAAATATCTTTCTTGGAGAGGTAAAGCCAGAATAAAATGTAATGCAAAAATATTAGCTAAAATGAGTATGAATAAAAAAGAGCTGTGTATTATTGAAAATATCACAATATTTGCACGTGCAATTTAAGTTCAACATATTTAGCTCCATGGAAAAATGTTTATTATATAAAGTTTCAGAGAGAGGAGAAAAATGAACTGGGAATTAGCCCTAACTATTTCACTTAAAAATATTTATTAATATATTCCAGATATTATTTTGAGCACAAAGAGGTAAAAAAGTGGGCAAAAGTAGACATTGCCCCTACCTTCACAAATGTCATATTGGTAAGAAACTAAGATTTTAATTAAATTATCACAAATAAATAGAAAATTATAATTATGGTAAATGTATAAACATAAGGTACACAATTGTGTGAGGCCATATAAAAGACAGCTGACCTCATTTATCCATTTAAGGAGAGTTACTTCAAGACAGATATTTACTTAAAAATTTACTCAGTGAAGCTTTGGTGAAGCAGAAAAGAAATAACTGGTAAAAGAAATAATAAGGAATTCACAACAAAAATTTTAAGGGCCACTTTAACAATATAAAAAATTATTCTTCTATCTTTCTCTATGTGATACAAATAGTTCCTCAGTTGAAGAATGGAGAGTGATTAAAAACACACACACACACTTACCCTTAGATGATATGTATGTAAACAGTCATACATATATCTGCACATATATATGCATTTAAAATGGAATAATAGTCAAAACATGAATGTGGGTAAATTGTCATTATTGTTCTTTGCTTCCATATTTCTGAGAAATATGCTTCCATATTTCTGAGAAAATGCAATAAGTGGTAGATATTATTTCAAAGTTCAAGAAGCTTGGAGGGAAAGAATTATGGCTTTGCAGTCTTAATAGTAAACAATAGCTCCAAAAAGTGGCCAAAGAGGATTTTAGTCTTATATGTATATATAAAGTATATATTTAGTCATATATATATACACAAATAAATATACATCACTTACATAATTAATATGTAATATTAACTATATATGTGGCATATATTTGTTTATTTTTTATATATTTGTTTTTTTAAAAATTAATGTAATTAATTTAATAACTCAAAATAGGCTGGAGTGCAGTGGCACACTTTCAGCTCACTGAATCCTCTGCCTCCTGGGTTCACTATTCTCCTGCTTCACACCCCCAAGTAGCTGTGACTACAGGGTCACACCACACCCGGCTACTTTTTGTATTTTGGCTAATTTTTGTATTTTTAGTGGAGACACAGTTTTGCCATATGCCTGGACTTGTCTTGAATGCCTGGACTCAAGTGACCCTCCTGCCTCAACCTCCCAAAGTGCTCAGATTAAAGGCATGAGCTACTGCATCTGAACAGAGCTTAATATTTTTTAAATATCCATTTTATTGAAAAAATTATTGAGTAATGCTTGGAAAGATAAATCTGGCTACCTATTAAATATTGATTACTTCATGCTTTAATAAATATTTTATGATGCACATGAAGTAATAAATGAAGTTTCAACTTGTTGAAGTCAAATTACTAATTATTGCATTAATATTTTATATATTCCTATAAATTTTTGCCACACTCCCATGTATGTGATTGCCTCTGTTCACAGCCCAGGTTTAATTAAAGAATTCAAGACTTGTTTATAAGGCTATACAATTTTCAGTTTTATAAACTTCCACTTTTCCAGTGAATGGTTGTGACAGAAAAAATGTATGATAGAGACTTTGCAACCTGAGACACATGCACAATTTTTGAACACCACTAACTTCTTGAGCAAATCATCTATTTTATCTCAGCTACATTTTTGCATCTGAAGAATAGACATTCTAACACTAAACTTCAGGGTTGTTTGGGGGATAAAGAAGCTTTTAAATTACCTGCCATCCTTGAAGCGCTTACTGAATTTGCCACAATAGATGCAATATGGTGAAAAGAGAATTAGATGGGAGATAATATGATTTTGGTTTAAGTCCTAACAAAACAATCATTAGCTATTTGATTCTTATATATGACACCTTCTGAGAGCCTGTTTCTTATTTGCTAAATGGAAAGAATAAAACTTGTCCTGCAGTTTTGTGAGCATCAAATGAAATACTATATGAGAAAAAGCAGCAAAACTAAGCGGATGCAGTCAATGCTTTTCACACGTGGTCCTATGAGAGCTATTCTCATGCTGTTGTGTTAAGTATGCATTGCTTAGCCAAGGAAATAACCAAAAAGCAATAGATAAGCTAGGACTACTTGATAAGACTCCAAGTATTTCTGGACAAAAATCACTTCCACTAATTTCTTCTCCCTCACCTAACATAGCTCATGACTTTATCCTTGTTTAAAATCAACCCCCATAGGAAGGAAAGAAGTGGCATCCAAAGAAACTCACGTAATATTTTGCACTGGGGTCAGTTTTTACTGGTTATTCACTGACGTGAGAGTGTTATGTTCATTTGCTATTCTTATGATTAGGTCCTATTACTTTATCTACTAAAATGAGAATTTTCATTCTGTCAACAGGATGATGATAATTTCATTTCAATCTTCATTTTTATCAATTTTAAAGGCAAGTGGAATACATGTAAATATGTTTTACTTTCAAAAACAAAAGACATGAGTACAGTTGATATACTGCATAAAACAGTAAAGTTTTGTGTTTATATTATTTAGATATATCACTTTTAAAATGATATTTGAAATCTGTGTGAAAATTACAAGAGAAAATGATGAGGAAAGCAAGTGAAAATAACTGCATTGTTCTAAATTGTAATTTAAATAAACATAATTTTTCTGAGTTTTAAATATTTTATATACCTATTTGATGTAGCATATGATTAAATGATAACAGAACTCTTTGCTCCATCTTATTTCAAATTACTACTTTGATACATACACAATTGTGCATTCATGCACACATCACACACAATATCAAATAACTGTCATTGTCATTATATGTAATATAATCTACTGGCAATGCTTGTCTATTTAAGACTACATTTTTTTAAAAAAAGCATACAGCCCTTGTTTCTCTTTCTCTGAAGATTATAATGTTGCTTGAAATATGCCAGCAATTTCAACTTTGTGTTAAAAATAGGAAGAAAAGAAGAAAGCAGAAGAAAAAGAAATTTGGAAGACAAGAGATTTAACCGAAAAAGAAACTACAAATTTCTGACTCCATTATATGTGCTAAAAATCCCTGTTGTACATACTTTATACATTGAGATTTATTAATATTCAGGATGCCTAAATGGAAGTAGATATGCATAGTAAAATTTAAGAATAGGATATTTATAAAAAAAGAATCCTCCAGTGACTTGACACAGTTTCACATTTTATCCTTGACCAAAATGAATGAACATCAGTTTTCCTGGGCATTATAACTGATTAATGCTAGATCAATTGCAGCAAGATACAGAATACATGAAGATGCCATTTCAAATGGCATCAGGATAATTATTCGCAAAGTGTCCTTTTTAATAAATGGTTTATGATATCTATTACCTCATGTTTTGCTAGTGTGACTTTTAAAAATATTATTTCATTAAAGATTAGGGAGAAAGCAAAAGACTGAAAAATTGAACTCAAGGGTTTGAAATAAATTTCCTATCTGTCAGAGCTAATACATGAAGAATTAAGTAAACTATGTTTACACTGCAATATAATTCAAATAAATTATTTTAACTGTTTTGTATTACTCATATGTATCCATGTGAATTTGATTTGTTTACATAAAATTTTAAGCCTAATTTTTAAAGCTACAGGTAAAATTTAATGCACAATTTTTACTGGATACTATATACATACATATATATATCTCTTTTTAATAATATTTTATTGGCCTCTGTGGAATAAATTTTAAATTTAATTAAGTAAAAAGGTAAATACTGTCACATTGTAAAAATAAGTCCCAAACCTTCATAATTACTTATCTAGTAAAACAAGAACTGTAAAATCTGAAGACTCGACAAATATTTTCTGATACTTTTTCTGTTTTTCTCATGATTCTTGTTACTGAATATAATAAAAACAAAAAAAGCCTCAATAATTTCATAATTTATTAAATGAATTACACTCTCTTGCAAATATCAAATATCAAAGTGATCAGAGAATGAAGTCAGCATTATGAACTATGACTCAGCATTATGAAGAACATTCTCAGTTGACAGAGAGGAAGGAGCAAGTAAGTACACTGGGTGTGGAAAGTGAGGTGAGAGAACTGAGGAGGAAAATATTGAAGAAAACTTGGCTGAAACCTGAACGTGCTAGAGGAAAGATACTAGGCTACGGTGTCAGAAATACTGATATATTGGCTATGACATAGCAATCTGGGATTTAATTCACTCATTCTAATGTACTTTATGCACTTATGAGGGTAAAAATACCTTCTTTCCAAAGATAGTAAATTAAATTTGGAATTGTATGCAGTTCGCTTGACACATACACAAGCTCAGTAATTTTTAGCTACTAATTGTATTCATAAAGAAAATAATATATGAGCTCATCCTAGACAATGACTACCATTTCTTCAGATGGAGTATGGAGAATGCTAATTTCAGTTCAAAGAAAATACAAAAAACAGATTTAAATGAAAGTGTAGTATACATGAGTAATATTAAATATTCTATAATGGCTAAAAGCCGTACAAATAGAGAAGTGGATGATAAGGCTGGAGAAGCAGACTTTGTCCTGATAATAAAATTATGTAAATTATCTGCTCATAAATGTGGACTGGATTGTGTAGACAATGGGGACCCACAGTGAGCGATGGAGGTCTGAAGTGGGCAGTAATAGTGATAAGTTATATGTAAATAAATCTTAATTGTGATTAATCACAACCTGAGCAATACTGCCAGATTATGATTGACCTGTCTATCTTACACATGGAATAAAGATGCAAAACAGTTCAGCCAGTGCCACGATACTTCCAGTGATATACACCCTCCTAGCAATTTTCTCTTCTTTTTTAAAACTATAAAATATTACAGACGTAAAAACATCAGAGAAAATAATATAACTGAAACCCATGTAAGTACCAAGCTGTAATACATGTGAACATATTGTCATCTTTACTTCATACTTTTTAAAAAGCAAAATTTTTTGTACAAATTAGAAATTCCAGAGATTGACTTTAGGTATGACAACATGAAAAGCTCCACTGACACAATCCCCAGGGAAATTGGGAGACATTATTTTTCAAAAACTAATCCAACCATTTAAACCTTCTGGAGTTGATCCTGAGAGGACCAAGTACAAGAAGAAACACGTATTCAAGAAAATCTACAAAAATTGGTTAGGAAGGGTGATAAGACAGAACTTGAACCTATACCAGTCCCTCCCTCCTTTCCAGCTCAGTGAAGCAGACCCCTCTCCAGACTGCAGTAGCCAAAAACACAGGGCTCCCTCATCCTCCCACTCCCCACCCTAGCTCTCAGTTGGAGAATTTCCTTCTCCAGAGGATAAGGACTTTAGCATTTTTTATCCTACTCCCAGCTTCTGGCTGCTGAGGCTAAATCCCAGGTGTCTGTGATCAAGAGAAAGTTGGAGTGGCTGTACTAACAGATTTTAAAACAAAGACAATAGATTTTAAAGCAAAAAATATTACCAGAGTTAAAGAATATTTTATAATTATAAAGGGTCAGTATATCAAAAAGGTATAATGATTACAAATACAGGGGCTCCCTGACTTATAATGAGGATATGTCCTGTTAAACCCGAGATAAAACCCCATACTGTAGGTTGAAAATGCATTTAATACCTCGATGAACCCATAGTTAAGTTGAAAAGTCACAGGTCAAGCCACCATAAGTTGGAGACCATCTGGATATAGATAGCTGATGACCAAGTACAAAAGATGCATAAAGTCACAGTAATCATACAGGGTGGTATTGACATAAAGACAGATACATAGATGAATGGAAGAGATTAGACAGCCACATATATATGGACAACAGATTTTCTACAAAGGCAATTTAGTTGGGAAAATTCTTTCAAAACTGTGAAAGAATTATTGAAATAACTTATACAAAATAAAAAAAAATTTAAATTAACTTTGATCCAAATCTCATGTCATATACAATAATTAACTCAACTGATGATATGCCTACATGTGAAATGTAAAGCTTTAAAATTTCTGGACTAGGCAAAGATTGCTGGAATACAATACTGTAAACCAAAAATAAATCTCTAATCCCCCCAAGTGACTGAATGGATAACCCTCTCAGCCAAGAGGATTCCAAAAACTTTTGAAAAATTAGTTCAGGCCCTTGCAGAAAGTGAAGAAGGTTAGACATGACTCATTTTACCCTCCTCCCTTTGGAGTTTAGACACAGCTGACCTGCTGGGTCTGACCCTCAGACCCTGGCTGAGCAATGGTTGAACGGAGTACTCAGACACAGGTTTTTTGCCTGGCCGCGCGGCTAGGGGACTGGGCTGCTCACAGACACTTCAAATCTTCAAGCAGAGCTTAACTCTTTCACCAATTGCAAGTCAGAAAATTGTTCAATCTACCTATGATATCCCGCCTTTCTGGGCTGAACCAATGTGTAACTAACATTGATTTATGTCCTTGCCTATAACTTCTGTCTCCTGAAAATGTACAAAATTATGCTGGAACCCAACTACCTTAGGCATATGTTCTCAGGACCTCCTGAGCTGTGTCACAGGCTACGGTCCTTAACCTTGGCAAAATAAACCTCTAAATTGATTGAGACTTGTTTCACATATGTTTTTGGTTTACAGTACCAAAGAACAACCCATTTCTATTCAGATGATACATTACAGCTCACTAATATGAAAAAATTCTGATCTTCAAAAACCCCTGTTAAGGGACTGAAAAGACAAGTCATATACTAGAAGATAATATTTGCAAAAAATATATCACATGTATTTATAGAGCATATATACCATGAAGGGCTTGAATCAAAATAATCTAACAATCTTTCCAAATTCAATGATTAAAAACAAACGACCCAACATAAAACGGGCCAACGCTTTGAACAGCGCTTTTAAAATTAACCTAAGTAGATGCTGAATGAACATAGGAAAAGGTGTTTCTTCATAGTCATTAGAAAAATGCAAAAATTAAAACCACGAGATACAACTACATATGTTTTACAAAAGGTAAATTAAAAGACTGACTATTCCAAACAAACAAACAAAAATGACTAATAGTGTCAGAGACATGTAAACCAGAACAACTCCATCTTGAATGGCACTAGGTAAAATAAGGCTGAGACCTACTGGGCTGCATTCCCAGATGGTTAAGGCATTCTAAGTCACAGGATGAGATAGGAGGTCAGCACAAGATACAGATCGTAAAGACCTTACTGACAAAACAGGTAGCAATAAAGAAACTGGCCAAAACCCACCAAAACCAAGATGGCGACGAGAGTGACCTCAGGTCATTTTCACTGCTACACTCCCACCAACACCATGACAGTTTACAAATGCCATGGCAACATCAGGAAGTTACCCTATATGGTCTAGAAGAGGGAGGCATGAATAATCCACCCCTCATTTAGCATATTATCAAGAAATAACTGTAAAAATCAACAACCAGGAGACCTCGGGGCTGCACTGTCTACGGAGTAGCCATTCTTTTATTCCTTTACTTTCTTAATAAACTTGCTTTCACTTTACTCTACAGGCTTGCTCTGAGTTTTTCTTGTGCGACATCCAAGAACCATATCTCGGGGTCTGCATCAGAACCCCTTTCCTGTAACAATAGGCTGCAATTAAACTAAAGAACTTCTGCATAGCAAGAGAAACTATCAAATGAGTAAACAGACAACCTATTGAGTGGGAGAAAATATTCACAAACTATGCATCCAACAAAGGCTTATTACCCAGATTATATAAGGAACTTAAATCAACAAGGAAAAAACAAAGTCGTCAAAGAACATGAACAGACACTTCTCACAAGAAGACATATAAGCATCCAATAAACATGCAACAATGCTCTTCATCACTAATCATCGGAGAAATGCAAATCAAAATCACAATGAGACACCTCTCATATGAGTCAGAATGGCTATTATTTAAAAAATACAGATAGCTATTATTAAAAAAATAACAGATGCTGGTAAGGCTGTGAAGAAAAGGAATACTTATTAACTGTTGGTGGCAAAGTAAATTAATTCAGCCACTGTGGAAAGCAGTTTGGAGATTTCTTGAAGAACCGAGAGTTGAACTAACATTCACCTCAGCAATTCCACTATTGGGTATATATATCCAAAGAAAAAAAGTTTCGACCAAAACTACACATGTACTCATATGTTCATTGCAGCATTATTCACAATAACAAAGACATGGAATCAACCCAGGTACCCATCAGGAGTAGATCTGATAAAGAAAATGTGGTACATATATACCATTGGATATTATGTAGGCATATAAAAGAATGAAATCGTGATCTTTGCAGCAACATGGATGCAGTTGGAAACCATTATCCTCAGCAAACTAATGTAGGAACAGAAAATCAAATACTGCGTGTTCTCGCTTGTAAGGGCGAACTACACACTGGGTACACATGGTCATAAAAATGAGAACAACAGAGATTGGAGAATGTCATAGGGGAGAGCGAGAGAGGGGGTTAAGTGTTGAAAAAAACTACCTATTGGGTATTATGCTCACTACCTGTGTGACAGATTCATTTATACTCCAAACTTCAGAATCATGTAATGTATCCTTGTAACACACCTGCATGTGTTCTTCCTGATTCTAAAATAAAAGTTGAAAAAAAATATTTTTAAACCCGATCATTTCAAATCCTGGCAAGGAGGTTGAGGAACTGGAACTTTCATATACTGCTGGGAGGAAAGTAAAGTGGTACAACAGCTTTAGAAAACCATTTTGCAGTTTCATTAAAAGTTAAAAATATGCCTACTCTGATCCAGCCATCTCATTTGTATGCAAACATTTATACAGCTTTTTCATAGCCAAAACCTTGAAACAACTGAAATTTCCATCACCAGGTGAATGAAAAAGCAAACTGTGTTATGTACATACAAAATATTCCTCAGCAATAAATAGTAATCTTCTCTTGATATGTATTACAGCATGAATGAGTCTCAACATAATTTTGTTGAAAGAAGCCAGATAATTAAGAACATACAGTATGATTTAATTTACAAAAATATCTTGACAATGTGAAATAGTCCACAGTGAGAGAAAGCCCGTAGATCAGTTATTGCTTAGGGGTTGGAATAGGGAAGAATGGAGTACAAAGAGGCACCAGGAAAGTTTGCCTGTGACGTACATATTCATTATCTTGAACATGGTGATGGTTTCCCAGGTATACACATACGTCGAATTTTATCAAGTTGTTTGTTGTAATTATGTGCAACCTGTTATATGCCAAGTATACCTCAATTTAACCTTTAAAAAATACTTTAAAAATCTATATCCAAAGCTGCCTTAAACACACACACACAAACACACACACACACACACACACACACACATTCACATGTCTGTTGCCCCTGAAATAACATTAGAGGGGAAATTGATAATTGAAAAATAAATTTATTCCATGCCCTAACTTTTAGAACAAATTGTTGCTCATGCTGTGACCTCTGAAATCTTCAATTACTTATTAGTAACTGAATTTTACCTCTGAGTTTCTTTACAGAGTTTGCCCAAGAACTCTTATCAATTTCTGAGCAAAAGGTCAGAATGTTCTGCCATATAATATGGTTTTTCATTATTTCCCTATAAACTATGACATTTTCAAAATGTCAGCATTGGAGAAAGCTTGAGTGCTCTTCCATTCTTTCTTCTTGATACATACTAGGAAACATGTAACATGAAAATTATATGAAATAAGTGTCTGTTGTGATGTGTAATGAGTGGTGATAAATAAGAGTAGTAGAGAAGATTTTAAAAAGACACTCTTACAGAATTTAAAGTCAGATTGAAGTACCTTTCTAAGACACCTAAGAATATAAACTGTAAGAATATTAATCAATCACATTTACAACATTAAAATATCTTCTAATTAGTTTTTGTGGTGTCTGAATCCAAATAATAAGCCAGTGAAATTAATATGTAGTCTTAAAATGAAGAAAATAGGAGTCAATAAGATATAGAGTATAACTTTGGAATAACTAAATAAGAATAGATAACACTCCCAACATAGTAAAAATGGTTTTAAATGCTTCTTTTAACAAAATTGAAATTTCATTATCTTAGTAGCTAACTAAAAGTTTTTAACATACTCTATTGATTGTAAAGTACTCTATTCTGATTTTCACTCAGTACAAGGTTTAGAAGTCAAATTATTTTAATTAATTGCATATATACTCCAAAGACAACTAGTAGGATATACTACATACTTTTTCACTGGAACTGGCACTTACATTTTCTAAGACCTCTGGTTTCCAGTTAGCTGTAACTCAGGATTTCCTATATTAAATCCTATTCAGTTTAATTTATTTATTATTAACACTGGATTTTTGGAAATGTATGATGAAAACAAAATCATATTTTATTATTGTCAAAAGTATTTTCATGCTGGCAGAGTAGGAGAACCTGTGTGAATTTGAAAAAGCTCCCTTTCCCACTTGTCATTAATTTCCCATGGTATTATATCTATAGAAGTACTCATTAGAAGGACACAGTTATTTTTAGAAAAAAGAAAAAAAAGGCCTGGTTTGGTTTTCAGAAAGTTGTAGTCCTCATTTTATTGTTTGTCTTTTCTTCTACCAATAACTTTTCTAATTAAGGCAATTGCTGTGATTGCCTATTGAATAAGTGGGATCTAAAGTTGAATTGATATTGCTGTTGATTTTTTTAATTTTAAAAATTAGATAGGGTGATCAGTATTTATATATTAATTATAATCATTATAATTAGCTGTACAAATGAGCACCCAGGACTCTACATTGTATTCATACAATACCTGAGCTATGTGATGTAAAAAAAGGCAAGATATGAAGAGAAAAACAGACTTCACCTTCTATTAATTATTTATTACGAGAGTTGATTCAACTGGGATTCCTAATTTTTATCATAATGGAGGAACCGGGAAAAGACATGCCTCCTTCTATAAACTACTATGAAACTGGAAATATTTGAGACAACAAAAATTAAAATGCAGGCATATGATTTTTGAAAAAGGAAAACATATCATTTTATACCTGTTTCTGGACTGGATTCCAGCCTGGGGGCACTTTTCACTGCACAGTGGAGAGAGAATGAATCCAAAAGAGACAACAGTCTCACTACACTGCTGGTGCAAGTTTCAAGCTTGGAGAAGAGGCGAGGATTTCAGGGTCTAAAAGGGAAAAAGCTGTGCATAGGAGCAATAGCAGACATTTGCATGGAGTCTTTAAATAAAGGCTGGGCTGTAATATGCACAGCTAGAGTCCATGAGCACTAACTGAGAACGGCTGCTGTGGGTTTGGAAGGCAAACATAGGTATGAGAACTTTCTCAGTACAGATGTATATAATTGGGAGGCTCTGGTAAACCTTGAAAGACTACACTTAAAGAGTAAGGGCAATTCTTAGGACAAAACTAAAACAGATCTGTCCTAATAAAAAATAAAATTAAGCCTGATAGAATCAAGAGGATGCCTCATAATTAAACTGCCTGCCATAACAAATCACCATACCTTTTACAGAAAAACAATAGAATTCAGATATTGCAAGTGTCACCCATGATGTCCAATATACAATAAAAATTTACAATCTATGTAAAGAAGAAGAAAAATATAGCCCATGATCAAGATAAAAAAAAAATCAAAAGAGACACCAAGGTAAAAAGATGTTGGAATTAGCAGGGACAAGGGTTTTGTTGTTGTTGTTGTTGTTGTTTTTAAGTTGCTAAACATATATCAAAGGACTGCAAGGCAGAAAATGGATAAAGTGAATGAAAATGTGGGAAGTCTTGAGAAATGGGAAGTTATGAAGAAATGGATGGAAATTCTGTAACTTAAAAGTACATGATCCGAAATGAAAAGTAGCCTGGATTGAAATAACAGCATTAAACACCTACAAAAGAAAAATTGATGAACTTGAAGAAAAATTAATAAACATTATTCAATCTAAAGAATAAATAAAAATATTAAAACTGTATCAAAGACCTCAGATAGCTGAGGGCAGTATGAAGTAATAGTAAAATATATGACCAAAAAAGGGAAGGATAATAACTTTGTTAAATTTCTTTAAGTTGGCTGGGCATGGTGGCTCACGCCTGTAATCCTAGCACTTTGGGAGGCTGGGGCAGACAGACAACCTTAGGTCAGGAGTTCGAAACCAGCCATGCCAACATGGCAAAACCCCATCTTTACTGAAAATACAAAAAATAGCCAGGCGTGGTGGCATGGGTCTGTAATCCCAGCTATTTGGGAGGCTCAGATAGGAGAATCGTTTGAACTTGGGACGTGGGAGTTGCAGTGAGCTGAGATTGTGCCACTGCACTCCAGCCTGGGTGAAAGAATGAGACTCCATCTCAAAAAAAAAAAAAAAAAGTTTCTTTAAGTCACATTTTACACGAAATGGGGACACAATAACAACTTAAACAGATTCTAACAATTTGAAAATATCTATTGCAATCTCTTGAAAAGCAAATAAAAAATATACAAGGGACATAGCTATAGGACAAATAAAAGAAATAAAGTGAAACAATACATTAATGTTAAAGTACTTTACTGATTCAAAAGAAAGCAGGAATAAAATAAAAAATAACACAAAAAAGAGATGAAATACAAAACAAGTAACAAAATAATAGGCATAAGTCCAAACACATGAATAATTGCACTAAACACAAATGGACTAACTATTCAAATTAAAAGGAAATTATTGCCGTACTGGATTAAAAAAACAACACCCAACTATTTCCGCCTTTAAAAATACACTTTAAAATAAAAGCACAGGCCAGCCATGGTGGCTCATGCCTGTAATCCCAGCACTTTAGGGGGCCAAGGCAGGTGTATCACTTGAGGTTGGGAGTTTGAGACCAGCCTGGCCAACATTGTGAAACCCTCTCTCCACTAAAAATATAAAAGTTATACAGGCCTCACAGTGCACGCCTGTAATCCCAGCTACTCGGGAGGCTGAGGCAGGAGAATTACTTGAACCCGGAGGCAGAGGTTGCAGTGAGCTGAGATTGCACCACTGCACTCCAGCCTGGGTGACAGAGTGAGACTGTGTCTCAAAAAATAAATAAATAAAATAAAAAATAAAAACCCAGATTCATTGAAATAAAAGAATGTAAAACAATATACCATCCCAATAGTAAGCATGAGAAAGCTTATATGGCTATATTAAGATCAGGCAACATAAACTTGAAAACAAAAGTTAATAGCAGGGAAACATTTCATAATTGTGAAAAAAATCATTTATCAGGAAGTTGTAATAAACATTCACATATATGTATCTAATCACAGAGCTGCAAAATACACAAGGAAAACCTGGCCAAACTAAATGAAGAAATAATTCACAATCATAGTTAGATATTTTAATACCTCTTAGTAGTTGAAATCAAAGTGACAAAATATCCATAAGTATACAAATCTGAACAACCTAATCTGAGCTAATTGCTATTTACAAAATTTTATGTCCAACAAGATTGAGAATTGAATCGTTCTATATCTGTCTTTTTAAATTAAATTTGTAAATAAATGCCTTAAAATAACTTGAATGCCAGTTGATTTACTGGTAAATTATATCAAATTATAGCCAACATTAAGGATTTATGTCAAACATTTGAAGAAGAAATAATGGTGATATTAAAGATATATTTACCTAATCTGTTCTACTTGACACATCACAATTTTCTCCCATTCAATTTCATACGTAATCCTTTCTGACTTCTTCTTGATGTAAAAGGAAATCACAAATCATAAATGCAATTATAAAGACATGTATCTTGTAGCATAAACTGGCTAGTTATTTCCCAACATTTATTTCATCTCGACGCACTGTTAGATCTTCTTGCCCAGGCCTCTTACCCATCAGACGTGATTGTTCTCAACGAGGGAATGAAAATGAAATTGATGCGTGTCAACACCGGGCAAAAGTAATTGAGAACATGTGTATTTTCACCACAGTCTGAATTTCACTTCTCTGCTAGGCGGATTTAGAGAACTGAGCCCTTAAGACGTGTGGAACCATAGGTACAAGGAGCCTGGATCCATGATACCTGCATGAAGCAGCCCTAACCGGAAAACACCTACTCCAATGAGGCATTAGTTTACTAATGACCAGTGACGTGAGTAAGAAATCAACCTTAATTATGGTAAGTTACTGAGATTTTAGGTTTGTTTTTATAGCAGTTAGTCCACCCTAACTAAAAACATTTTCAATTTTTAAATCATCAAGCCAAACATTATAGCTAAACAGACACTTAAGAAATATAATATTTCATAATTATTAAATTGCAGAAAGTTTACTCACTTAGTATGACCTTCAGCTATTTAGATCAACATTTGGCTTCAGCTTCTCTTATTTCTACTGGTTTCACTTCAGCTAAAACAAACTACTTTACTTGGCATTGGTAAATTCACAGAAATTACACTTTTATTATTCAGAGGCCACACGATAGCTATTCACAGAATCACTGATATCTTCTCGTTCATTTAGACTCAGGTTTTTCTATGCACACAATAACCCTCTATTGAATCGTAAGCAGACATGTCATCTTATAGTAACGATTGCTCTTAGAAGAGGAAGGTTATTTCTAAACACAGCTGAGTTGATGACTAGTTGAAAGCACACAAACTTGAAGTGATAGGAGACATACATTAATCAATAGATTTATATTAATTAAGAGTTAAATAATCAGACAGTATAATATGGTAGACAAATACCCTGATCTTGCATTGTGAGAATTAACTTATAATTCTAGCTTTCCTATTAAAACTATTTCCTCAGGCAAGTCTTCCTAATACAGGAGCCTTAAGTTTCTTCACCACATGATAGCAGCTAGTAGATAATATTTATTGAGATCCAGTGCTAGGTAACAAATTAGCCCAAAACTTCGGGCTTAAAACAACAAACATTAATCATCCCAGAGTTTCCACAGAACAGGAACCCATGCCACATGGCACAGACCTGACAGAGAGAACAGCAGCTGCTGTGTAAAGGAAGCCTTATCTACTTCATTTTTTCCTGTCTCTTCTACAAATTAAATCCTTCAATTTTTGGAGAAAGACAACAAACATCTATGATTTCTTTCAGCAACGTTTTGTAGTTCTCCTTGTAGAAATCTTTCATGAATCTAAAGTAAAAGTTCAAATTATATATATATATTTTTTTAAAAAAAGGCAACAAAAACTGTCACCCATATTCCATCACTGAAAGCTCACTACATCTACAGAAAGTTAATAGGAAAATAAAATCTACTCCTGGAACTGTGGCAGGCATATATGTTGGCCCAGTAGACTGACTAACTGGGGCTGAAACAGTGTTACTGAGAAGTCCCCACCCCTACTACTGGAACTTAATCAGAATGAAAGAGAGTGCCATCTGCCTAGGTAACCAGCTAACAAATTGACTACGGCAGGGAATGTGGCAAGAACTTGGAGAGTATGCTGTCTGAGGTGAAGCAGAAAGGAAACCTCTAAAGATGAGGATGGAACAGATATCGAGAAACTCCCCCTGACAAAGCTTTTCTCACACTAAAAATAAGGTAATACTTGAGGTATCTGAGGCCTATGTACACTAAAGATAACAACAGCAACAGCGAATCTCAAATCCAGCTCACTGTGTCACTAGATTTACTCTTTCCCCTGGCCTTCACATTAAGGGTTCAGCTGAAGGAAAGGCAGGCCCATTTCCAGGTATAAAGCTGCTTATCTTGGTCTCCAATATCCTACACAAAATAGATTTCCACTAGAAAAAAAAAAAAGGAGTGTAAAGAAACAAGGCAATCAAGAGGACAATAGCCATATATGATTCAGATGCTACAATATCAAACAGTGATTTTAGGTTAACTATGATTGCTATGTGAAGTGCTCTGGTGGAGAGTATGCATAATCTGGTGGGTTATTTTAGCAGAGAGATGAAAGCTATAAGACATAATCAAATGAAAATGTGAGAAATAAAATATATATAATAGCAGGTAAGAAAAGTGCTTTTTTTTTTTTTGAGACAGAATTTCATTGTTGTCGCCCAGGCTGGAGTGCAATGGCATGATCTCGGCTCATTGCAACCTCCGCCTCCTTGGTTGAAGCTATTCTCCTGCCTCAGCCTCCCAAGTAGCTGGGATTACTGGCACGCACCACCAAGCCCAGCTAATTTTTGTATTATTAGTAGAGATAGGGTTTCACCATGTTGACCAGGCTGGTCTCGAACTCCTGACCTCAGGTGATCCACGCACCTCAGCCTCCCAAAGTGCTGGGATTACAGGCATGAGGCACCGTGTCCAGCTGACTTTGACAAGCTCATTATTGACTCAACACAGCCAAGAAAAGAATCTGTAAACTTGAAGGAGTATTGGAGATATATACAGATAGATCAACAGAAATTATGCAAACTGAAACACAAAGAGAAAAAGGAGTTCCAGAGAGGGAGAATCTTAAGAGCAAATATTCTAAGAGGCAGGAGGTGAAAGCTACCAAGAGGAACAGCCTCACTTCTGTCCTATTCTAATTACCCAAAATAGTCAAAATTTCTGCCCAGGTTCAAGAGAGTGAAGAAAGACACTGTACCTCTTGATGGGGAATAGCCGATGTTATATTACATAACGTATGTGGAATGGGAGTTATTGTTGCAGCCATCTTTGGAAAGTATAATCTGTCACATAAATATTTATTGGATTTCTAGCTTGTGAAATTGCTGGATGCCTTAAGATATGTCGTCCCTGAATCTGCTAACCATCTGGAGTGGAGTTCAGCAACAAAAATTCAAATAGTATAATACAAGGTTGAATGTGCCAGATATCATAAGCAAAGAATATAGAACTACGGAGTTTCAAAAGGAAGTAATCAACATTTCAGTGGAAATAAATTCAAAAATTATGCATGCAGTAGTTGGAATGTGAGATGAGCCTTGAAGGTCAGATAAAATTTTTATAGGTAAGAAAACAAGAAGACATATAACAGCCAGTGAATACTCTAAGTTGTGGAAAGAGAGAAGCAAAAACAACAAAAAAATGGAGAAGAAGAAATATACACATACACACACACACGTGCGCGCGCACACACACACACACCCCTCTTTTGGCTTCCTTGTAGAAGACAAGAAAGAACACTGTATATACAGGAAGCTGAAAAGAGAAGTATGTGACTATTTTAGGGCAGTGGGAAGGATGCATTTGTTTGAGTGCAGGCAGTAGTACATCAGGCAGTGATCTGGATGCATTATATAAATTAACTGATATAAATCTTCATAGTCATCTTGTAGGTTTTAAAACAAATAAGAGAAGTGGGGCTTTCAGAGTTTCAAAAACTTGCTCAGGGAAAAATGAAGAGTCAATCCGTATCCTATTCCAGAGCCCAAATATTATACATTTCACCAAAAGCTTCTTTATAAACAAAGATCTAGTACTTGATTTGGTATTTAGTGGATATTCCTAGAAGGGTGTGGACAAGAAGGTACAATGATTTTAATTGCACTTTAGAAACATTTGAGTGGCTTGAAGAAAGAACCCAGAGAAGGTAGGGAGACCATTCGGTGGTCACTATCATACTCCATTACAAGGAGGGTGAGACCTGAAATTACGTCCAGGCAAAAAAAGTAGAGAACAGGGAGCAGATTTAAAGGGACTTACACACTTAACATAAGACCCGACAACCGACAGTACAAATGTTTATGACATATGTGGAGAGTGGAGGGGTCAACAATTAGACCAAAGATTAGTACAGATTTAGTCAGGGAAGACGCTTGAAGCTACATGTGCTCTCTGAGATATTGATGAATTTTTTTTTTAAATCAACTGTAAAAATAACCACCACCAACAAACATTACCAAAAGGGAAAATAAAAGCATCACAGGAAAGGCATTAGCAATAGTCTTGCATATTAAGAGAAGACTGAAAATTCTCTGAAAGCTCTGTAAGTTTAACTAACAAAAATATATGAGAGGCAGGTGGGGTTTACGATTAATTTGGCATGTAGTTTTATTGTCTGCAAAGAGTTTTGGGTATTTATAAATAAGCCAGCTATAAACCTTCCTCAATATTCTACTGTTTTCTCCTCTAGGCAGTGACTTTTGATAACTGAAATATTAAAAAGTGAACTCATGTCAAAATCCCAGAATTTTACTGGACTATTTCTCTCAAAGAATAATCTAATATTTTTATGGTAGGCAGACAGTCATTTTTTAATTAAACACCACATCCACTTACTGACGAACAAAATAAATGGGATAACATTTCTCTCAGTTATATTAGCACAGTTTCTTCCCTTGTGAAATATTGATTTATTAAATAATACTATGTTCCAATAGTAATTTTAATTAAAGTCAATATTATATATTAGCTTAATTTTAACCTTAAAACTCCCTGAGAGGAAAAAAAGGTATAATATTCTATTCTATTATCTTCACTAAATAATTGCGGAACATGTTACCTACATGAATTCGTTAACTTACCCAAAGTTTTACAGTCATTGTAAAGTCAGCACAGATATTAGAACCCAAGAATCCTGATACCCAGAATTGATACCAGTTCTCCTGAATTGAAATACATATGTTGTCACTAATAAAACATACGATCACAATTACTTCAGTGATATTCTATTTCATGCCTATGCCCAACATATTTACAGATCTTAAAATGTTTTACCCCTGTGAAATACATGCACTCCAAAAAACTACATATATGTGTTTATATATATAATTACATGTTTGTATATATGTCCACATAGATTTATTACGTATTTGCCAGTATTTATATGCAGTGAATTAATTCAGTGTATATAAAACAAATCTTAATTATTTATAAATTGTTCTTTAGAAAATCAAATGAAAGTTAAAAATTCAATGTCAAAATTAAGATTACAAATGGGATCTAATTAAACTAAAGAGCTTCTGCACAGCAAAAGAAACTATCATCAGAGTGAACAGGCAACCTACAGAATGGAAGAAAAATTTTGCAATCTAATCCATCTGACTGAGTTCTAATATCCAGAATCTATAAGGAACTTAAATTCACAAGAAACAAACAAACAAACAAAAATCAAAAACTGGACGAAGGATATAAACAGACACTTCTCAAAAGAAGACATTTATGCGGCCAACAAACATAAAAAAGAAAAAAAGCTCATCATTACTGGTCATTAGAGAAATGCAAATCAAAACCCCAATGAGATACCATCTCAAGCCAGTTAGAATGGCGATCATTAAAAAGTCAGGAAACAACAGATGCTGGACAAGCTGTGGAGAAATAAGAGTGCTTTTACACTGTTGCCGGGAATACAAATTAGTTCAACCATTGTGAAAGACAGCGTGGCAGTTCCTCAAGGATCTAGAACTAGAAATATCATTTGACCCAGCAATCCCATTACTGGGTGTATACCCAAAGGATTATAAATCACTCTACTATAAAGACACATGCACACATATGTTTATTGCAGCACTATTCACAATAGTAAAGACTTGGAACCACCCCAAATGCCCATCAATGATAGACTGGATAAAGAAAATGTGGCACATATACACTATGAAATATTATGCAGCCATACAAAAGAGTGTGTTCATGTCCTTTACAGGGACATGGATGAAGCTGGAAACTATCATTCTCAGCAAACTACACAGGAACAGAAAACCAAAAACTGCATGTTCTCACTCATAAGTGGGAGTTGAACAATGAGAACACATGGACACAGGGAGGGGAACATCACACACCAGGGCCTGTCAGGGGGTGAGGGGAAAGGGTGGGGAGAGCATTAGGACAAATTTCTAATGCATGCAGGGCTTAAAACTTAGATGATGTTTTGATAGGTGCAGCAAACCACCATGGCACATGTATACCTGTGTAACAAACCTGCATGTTCTGCACATGTATCCCAGAACTTAAAGTAAAAGAAAAATAAATAAATTTTAAAAATAAAAAATTAAGATTATGCCAATACTAGCTATCCTGATTTGTACCATTCTAATCTAATTATGTCCAATTTTCTGGGGGCTGGGGGAATGTTCATCTATCTGTAATACAAATAAGAGACTATGACTTTTGACTGACATCTTAAACTTCCTGATAGGATTCACTGGAAAAAAAAAAAAACAGAGGATCAGTTCTGTGATAGTCCTGCCAAAATTGCATCAACTTAATATAATCATGAGGAAACACCAGATAAATGCAAATAAAGGGACCTTTGACCAAATGGCGTCTAATCTAAACAGTCAAGTAATGAATGTCAAAGAAAGGCTTCTATTCTGAAGTAAGGAGATTACAGAGTCCAAATGAAATGCAATCTTGGTTTGGATTGGATCTGGAACCAGAGAATCTTTCTTTCTCTTTCTATAAAGAAAAATAGTGAAACAATTACAAAATTGGAATGCCTATAAATTAGGTATTAATAGTGTATTAACATTACTTTTCTGATTTTGAAAATTTAACTGAAGTTATAGAATAGAATTTCTTGACTCTAGTAAATACACATTAAATTATTTAGCGATATGTCATCAGCTCAACAACTTACACTTAAACATTACAGAAAAAAGTACACGCACTCACACATACACACAAGCACTCACATGGAGAGAGAAGAGAAATAAAGAGAAAATAATAAAGTGAATACAGTAAAATGCTAACTTGGGGAGAATATCCGTGATTTGCATGGGGATTCTTTGTATTATTTTTCAACTTTTCAGTAATTCTGAGTTTTTTTCAAAATAAAATGTTACAAAAGAATATGAATTCATGTTATTTTTATTATACTCAAGGTTGAATTTTCTAAAGCCAAGAAAAATGAAATGACACACATTAAAAAGAGAAAAAGACTGTCCCAACCAAGGAAAAGTAGGTTCTACACAGGATAAAAAAATTACCATAATGTAGCCCCAAAAAGTGAATGCTGAGTGGTTAGAAAGGATAGAAATTGGTCACTGTAGAGGAGAAAAGGCATATGAAAGAGATTAGATTTGAAGTGGTTCATAAGTAATAGCCTTGATTAATTTGCATTTAGTTTCTAAATACCACTTTAAAAATTTCTATTAATATTAATGGATATATAAGAATGATGGTAAGTTGCAATCAGACTTTATTTCAAGTTAGATAAATTCTGCAAATTGCCAAGTATCTCTAGCCAAATGTAAAAGTATCACTGTTAGAATTTGTTGAGTTACATTTCTTGGCTCTTCAGGCACAAAAACATACTGAAATACTCAGAATTTTTATATTAGTTACCTCTATAATTAGGAGGAAATAAGTCCTTATTTGAACATCTTCAAAATAATTACACTTATAAATGAATAATATTCCTGTTACTGGTATATGTAATAACAATGTGGCAGAGAAGGGTTCTCAGTAGCCCTTAATTTTTTGAAAATTCTAAGCTAGTCTCTAATTCTTAAAATAATCCCTTCCCCTTAACTTCAAATCTGAATTATCCCCTTCTTTACATTCCATAACACTTTGTTTATACTTCTAATATAAGCTATCACATCTCAGTATAAATATTCAGTTTCCTTTCTGCATTGAAATGTCTTAAAAATGGGTAGTTTCCTATTTTTCTATGTATTTCCAGAAGTTAGCAAATATTTTCTATGTTGTATGCATTATACACTATACTCTTATAACAAAGTAGGCTAGAGAAAAAAATGTTAGTAAGAAAACCATAACAAAGAGAAGAGAAAATATAATTACTAGTCATTAAGTGGAATTGGATCATTATTCAAATCTTCATCCTCACTGGCTTCATGTTGAGCAGACTGAGGAGGAGAAGGAGAAACAAAAGTTGTGTCTCTGTCTCAGAGGTGACAGAGGCAGAAGTGGAAAAGAAGATGAAAGGGAAAACAGGAGAGGCAGGCACACTCCATGTAATCTGAAAACATCATAATTTCTGATATTTTGCTTTCACATTTCTCCAAAAATGTTTCTACACAGTACCAATCCTTATTGCATCTTTTTGTTTTCTTTTGTTTTTTCAGTGCCCATATCATAGAAGGATTCATCTTGCAAAAGATGCCAAAAACAGTTGTGACTAACTGGAACCCTTCTGCCAGATTATGTCAATATTTTTTTTTCTGGCACCTCTTCTTTCTCATCATCTGGCACTGGCCTGAAAGCAGTCACCTCCATCAAGTCATCTTCTGTTAATTCCTCTATTGCAGTGTCTGTTTGTTCTTAAATTTCTCCAAGATCCATACCTAGAAAGCCTTCAGCACTCCCGCCACCCCCACACACCTTTGTTTTTTCTGCCATATCCACAATCTCTTTTATGATTTGCTGGATTGATTCTGTCCTAAATCCTGAGAAGTCATATCCAACATTTGGACATAGTTTTTTCCTGAAAGAATTTATTATCTTAGGCTTGATGGCTTTCACTGCTCTTTCTCTAACAATGATGGCTTCTTCAATGATGTAACCCTTCCAGGCTTTCATAATGTTCTTTCTATCAAAGTTCTCTTCCATAGCATTGATAATTCTTTCCAAAAAGTACAGTGTGTAATGAGCCTTAATGGTACTGTTGAACTTCTGATCTAGAGGCTGAATTAGAGGTGTTGTGTGTGGGGTCAAGTAGACCACTTTGACACAAACTCATGAGGTTCTGGGTGGCTAGGGGCATTGTCCAACATCAAAAGAACTGTAAAAGGCAACCCCTTACTGGCAAGGTACATCCTGACTTAAGGGACAAAGTATCATTGAAACCAATGCAGAAAAAAAAGGATTCTTATTGTTCAGGCCTTCTTGGTACAGAGCCAAAATACTTCCAGCTGGTGTTTAACTTTCCCTTCAAATTTCAGGGATTAGCAACTTTATATCCTGATCATAAGCCAGACTGCATTTTCACAACATTGTAGGGTTAGCCTATATCCCTTCCTGCCTTAAATACTGATACTTACTTCTCTTCCTTACTAATAAATGTCCTTGTGGCTTTTGCCCCCCAGAACAGTCAACTGTTGTCTGCATTTAAAACCTTTTCAGAAGGATGCCCTTTCTCCTCCATGATTTTGTTTATGGTTTCTGATAACTCTGCTGCCTCTTGGTCAGCAGAAGCTGCTTCTCCTGTTATCTTGACATATTTTAAGCCAAACTTCTTCTAAAGTTATCAAATCATCCTTTGCTGGTGGTAAGTTCTGCAGCTGTAGATCCTTCATCTTCCTTTTGCTTTAAGTTGTCATGTAATTACTTAACTTTTTCTCAAATTACATTAGAGTCTATAGGTATGCCTTTCTTACAGCAGTTCTGCACCCACATAAAAGCTGGATTTTCAGTACAAGACAAGAAGGTATTTCACAAAAAGCACAAGATTTTTGTGCTTACTGGCATAGCTGCAGTAACAGCTTCATGAATTTCCTTTTCTTCTTTTACAATGGCCCTTATGCTGGATTTATTTATCTTGAAATGGCAGGCAGCTGCAGCTGTAGAGCTCAGTCTACAGTGTATATCAAACAATTGAACTTTCTTTTGTAATGTCATGACTGCTTCTTTGAAGCAGTTCTAGCCTCACTAGTGGCACTTTGCATGGGCCCCATAATGTTTTTCAAGTTTTATATGCACTAAACATAATGAAAAATATGCAAGACACACAAGAGATCACTTTTTACCTGTGATATGCAATTTACTGAGAGATAAACTTTCCATATGGAGATGATTGGTGTCACACGGTGTTTTATGGGATACTCACAACACTTTAGCTCACTGCAATAGCAACAGGGAGTAGCTACAAAATTGTTAGCCATACAGTATATACTGCAGTCAATTTTATACAATTATTATTTAATATTGAATCTTTACATTTGTTTACATCTCTCTTGACTGGTGCTAAGTATGATCTTTAGGTGTTTGCGTGTGCAAGTTTTGATCAACTTTAACTTTTAAAATATATTTGTGTATATTTTATGGTAGTAAATGATAGACTAGTATCCACATATATTTTATGCATCTGTGGCATCTTTTTCTTAATATTTTTGACATTTCTGGGCTATGTAGTTCATCTGTTAGTTTTTTTCAGTGGTTAAAAAATTCTTTAAAACATTTTCCAATATTTTAGTTGAAAAAAAATGTATTAGTGGGCCCATGCAGTACAAGCTCATATTGTTCAAGGGTCAATTACACGTTACTTCTGGGGAAGAAGCAGAGCAAGATAGTGGAGCCTCCACTGATCATCACCCCAACCCCCCACAAAGACAACATGTTAACAAGTATTCACAAGAAAAAACACCTTCATTGGAACCAAAAATCAGGTAAGCACCCATATTACCTGTTTTTAACTTCAAATGATTAAAAGAGGAATTGAAAGGATAGAAAACAAAACAAAAGTCCTTAATCACTGACACCACCCCTTCTCTACCCTGGCAGCAGGGCGTGGTGAGAGAGCATCGCTGAGCATTGCGGAAGAAGAATTCACCAATTGAGAGACATTGAACTCAGTGCTGTCCTGTTAGAGCACAAAGGAAGAAAGAACCAAACTCAGCTGATGTCCACCCATGGAGGGAACCAGCCCTAGCCAGAAGGGAATCACCCATCCCAGTGGTCCAAAATTGAGTTCCTGCAAAACTTGCCCCCAAGGGCTATAGCACTTTGTGTTTCCAAGTATATTTGAAAGGCAGTCTAGGGCATAAGGACTGCAACACTTACGGAAGCCCTAGCACTGAACCTGGCTCAGAGACAGTGGACTGGGGAAGCATGTGACATTCTGAGATACCACCTGGGGAAGCCAAAGGAGTGCTGGAATCACCCATCCCCTAACCCCAGGCTGCACAGCTCAACACACCAATAGAGACTTCTTCCTTCTGCTTAGGGGAGAAGATGGAAAAGTGGGGGGGACTTTATCTTGCATCTTGGAGAGCAGCTCAGCCACAGCAGGATAGCGTAACTGTCAGAATCATGAGGCCCCCATCCCAGGCCCTAGCTCCCAGATGACATTTCTAGACACACACTGGGCAGAAGGAAACCCACTGCCTTGAAGGAAAGGACCCATTCCTGCCAGCATTTATCACCTGTTAACTGAAGAGCCTTCAGTTCTTGAATAACCAGCAGCAATACCCAGGTACTACATCAAGAACATTTGGTGAGCCTCAGAGAAACTGGCTTCAGGTGAGACTCAGCACATTACTAGATATGGTTAAGGGAAGGGTCTCCTGCTTGAGAAAAGCAGAGAAAAAAGTAAAGGGGACTTTATCTTGCACCTTAGGTACTAGCACAGCCACAGGCAGGTAGAGTAACAAGTGGGCTCGTCGGTTCTCTGATTCCAAGACTTGATACTTGGATGACATTTCTGGACTTACACTGGGCCAGAGGGGACCCCACTGCCTTGAAGTCCCAGGCCTGCCAGCATTCACAAGAGACTTAAGAGACCTTGGGCCTTAGGGGAACATTAGCAGTAGTCTGGCAATACTCCTTGTGGCTTATGGGGTGAGCCTCCTCTGCCTTTGGAAAGGGAAGAAACAAGTAAGAACTGTATCTTGTGGTTTGATGGTGGCTCAGCCACAGTACAGTAAAGTACCAACTAGACTTCTAAGGTTTTTAATCTAGTCTTTGACTCCCAGATGGCACTTCTGGACCCACCTAGGGCATAGGGGACCTAAATTCCCTGAAAGGAAAGATGAAGGCTGGACTGGCTTTGCCACCCTCTGATTGTAGAGCCTCAGGACCTTAAGCAAACATGGCAGTAGCGAGGGAGCAGTTATAGCATGCCTTGGGTAAGACCCAGTGCTGTGCTGACTTTACATCTCACCCAGTGCAGTCATAGTCGTGGCCACAGCATTGCTCATGTCACTCCACCTCTTGCTTTAAGTGGCTCAGAACAGAGAATGAGACTGTTTTGGAGAAAGTAAGAGAAGAGGACAAGAGTCACACTGCCTAGCAATCCAGAAAATTCTCCTGGATCTTGTTCAAAACCATCAAGGCAGTACCTCTAAAATCTACAAGAACCACAATGTTACTGGGCGTGGGGTCCCCATTAAAGCAGATACAGCTTAGATGACAACCCCCAAGCTCTTTCAAATATCTGGAAAGCCTTCCCAAGAAGTATGGCTACAAAGAAGTCCAGACAGTGAAGACTGTAATACATACCTGACTCTTCAGTGCCCGGACACTGAAGAACATCTTCTAGAATCAACACCATCCAGGAAGATAAGACCTCACCAAATGAACTAAATAAGGCACCAGTTACTAATTCTGGAGAAACAGATATATGTGACCTTTCGGATACAGAATTCAAAATAGCTGTCTTGAGGAAATTCAAAGAAATTACAGATAACATGGAGAAGGAATTTAGAATGCCATCAAAGAAATTTAACAAAGAAATTGAAATGATTAAAAATAAGCAGAAAATCTAGAGTTGAAAATGCAATTAGCATACTGAAGAATGCATCATAGTGGCAGGGTCTGACCTGCAGACCCAGGCTGCATGACAGATGAATAACGTACTCAGACACAGATATTCAGTAAAAGAGCAGGCCAGGGGGCTGGGCCACTCACAGAAAGAGTTGTGGCAGCTGTGTGCTGACTAGCTGGCCTTGCCGGCATTTATTCAGCACAGATTTAATGACAAAGGCTTTTAGTCAACATACCTGTGAGTAATTAACCTCGTTGCCCTTCCCCAGAGAGAGCAGTCCTATGAATGATCAAAGGTTGGTCTTAGGACCACATGAGTAAACAAGCTCGTTAGATAAACTCCCTTATATTCCTTTATACCTACTTTAAGCTATTAACTCAAGGTAAGAGGATTAGGCTGCCTTAAGCCAAATCTCTTACTGAAGCTATGAGAACCTCCAGACCTTTTCCGTTTTTTTGCATCAGGCTTTATGGTGTCCCAGGCACCATAAAATGTCTTGGGGTGATGTGGACTTTACTTGGAGTCCGGGATATCCCATCCCCCCATTGGCCCAAATCATAGGAGAACAGGACATGGCTATGAAACTGTGATTGATGCGATGATGGATGAAGACACCAGTAAGGTCACCCTGCAAATGGCCGTGGGGACTCCAGTCTAAGATGTTATAATTGCCTAACTCAAGGCTACAGGCTTGTAGAAGAAACTGGGGATAGAAGGAACATACACCAATATAAGAAAAGTCATATGCAACAGACCCACAGCTAGTATTATACTGAAGGGGAAAACATGAAAGCCTTTCCTCTAAGATCTGGAAAACAAAAAGAATGCCCACTGTTACCACTGTTTTTCAACATGGTACTGGAAGTCCTAGCTTGAACAATTAGACAAGAGAAAGATAGAAAAGGCATCCAAATTGGAAAGAAAGAAACCAAATTATCCCTGTGTGAAGATAATATGAACTTACATTTGGAAAAACCTAAAGACTCCAACACGAAAACTGTTGGAACTGATAAACCCAGTAAAGTTGCAGAACACAAAATCAACATATAAAAATCAGTAGCATTTCTGTATGCCAAGAGTGAACAATGTGAAAAAAAATTAAAAGTAATCCCATTTACAATAGCCACACATAAAATTAAATACCTATGGATTAACTTAATGAGAGAAGTAAAAAATCTCTATAATGAAAACTATAAAACACTGATAAAAAAATTGAAAAGGACACAAAACAATGGAAAACTACTCCATGTTCATGAATTGGAAGAATCAGTATTATTAAAATGTCCATATTATCCAAAGCAATCTACACATTCAATGCAATCCCTATCAAAACACCAATGACATTATAGAAATAGAAAAAACAATCCTAATATTTTTATTGAAACACACACACACACACACACACACACACACACACACACACACACACAAAATAACCAAAGCTATCCTAAGCCAAAAATCACAGAACTGGAGGAATTACATTACTTGACTTCAAATTATATTACAGTGCTATGGTAACCAAAACAGCATGGTTCTGCCATAAAAATACACACACAGACCAATGGAAGGGAATAGAGATCCCAGAAACAAATCCACAAACCTTCAGTGAACTCATTTTTGACAAAGGTGCCAAGAACAAACACTGGGCAAAAGATAATCTTTTCAATATATGATGCTAGGAAAACTAGATAACCATATGAAGAATAATGAAACTAGACCCCTATCTCTCGCCATACATAAAAATCCAATCAAAATGGATTAAAGACTTAAACCTAAGGCCTCAAACTATAAAACTACTACAAGAAAACATTGGAGGAATTCTCCAGGATATTAATTTGGGCAAAGACTTATTGAGTCATACCCTACAAGCACAGGCAACCAAAGCAAACTTGGACAAGTGGAATCACATCAAGTTAAAAAGCTTCTGCACAGTAAAGGATACAATCAACAAAATGAAGAGACTACCCACAAAATGGAAGAAAATATTTGACAGGGAATAATAACCAGAATATATAAAGAACTCAAAAAAAATAGAAACATTGTAATAATTTAATCAAAATATGGGCAAAAGATTTGAATAGACATTTCTCAAAAGAAGACATACAAATGACAAACAGGCATAGGAAAAGGTGCTCAACATTGTTGATCATCAGAGAAATGCACATCAAAAGTACAATAGGATATCACCTCAACACAGTTAAAATGGCTTATATCCAAAAGATAGGCAATGAGAAATGCTGGTGAAGATGTGGAGAAAAGGGAACACTCTTTGTACACTGTTGATGTGAATGTAAATTACTACAACCACTATGGATAACAGTTTGGAGGTTCCTCAAAAAACTAAAAATTGAGATACCATATGATTCAGTCAGCCCACTGTTGCATATATACCCAAAAGAAAGGGAATCATTACAACAAAGAGATATCTGCACTCCTATATTTGTTGAAGTACTGTTTACAATAGCAAATATTTGTAAGCAATCTAAGTGTCTATCAACAGATTAATGGATAAAGAAAATGTGGTACATATGCACAAGGGAGTACTATACAGCCATAGAAAAGAGTGAGATCAAGTAAATTGCAACAACATGGATGAACTGGAAATCATTATGTTGACTGAAATAAGCCAGGCACAGAAAGACAAACATTACATGTTCTCACTTATTTGCGGTATTTAAAAATCAAAACAGTTGAATTCATGGACATACAGAGTAGAAGGATTGTTACCATAGGCTGGGAAGAGCAGTGAGTGGCTGGGGAGAAGTGAGAATGATTAATGGATACAAAAAAAAAATAGAATAAATAAGACCCACTACTTTATAGCACAACAGAGTGACCATAGTCAATAACTTAATTGTACATTTTTAAATAACTTAAAAAATGTAATTGAATTGTTTGTAACTCGAAGGATAAATGCTTGAGGGGATGGATATCCCATTCTCCATGATGTGCTTATTTCACATTGCATGCCTGTATCAAAACATCTCATGTACTCCATAGATACATACACCTACTATGTACCCCCCAAAAATTAAAAATAAAATAACTGTATGTTATGTCTCTGGAATTTCTATCTATAGTAATGCAAAAACAAGATAAATCCTGGAAACAAGATAAGTTAAAAATGATTAACTTAGTTCAATATATTATCAGAATGTTTTGCTATATTCAACATGTTTTCAAAAAATATATTTCAAATGAATTTTTAAAAAGTTAAGATGCAATCATCAGTAATAATTATTCTTTACTCATTTTATTTTAAGACAAAAATCTATTTTAAAGAATAATTATCAAATTTAAACACTTTACTCAAATTCAGTAAAATATTTCATATATATATTCAAATATGCAAATACCAAGAAAAAATATTGCATATCTTATCTCACATTGTTTTACTATTTCAATTTTAAACACTTACTGAAAAATATCTCTAAATGTTTATATGGAATGACAAAATTTAAATGCCTTATTTTTCAGCAGCTAGTGTTTTTTCAACCAGGGTTCCACCGTACCCTAATTTCAGCAAGATATCACTAGTGATTTCGTTAGAGAACATGATCAAACAAAAACATATATTTACTTGCCACTTAATGCTAGTGCTCATAATGATGCACAATGACTGAATAGCCTATTTAGCAGTTGTAGTAGAGGATATTAAGCTCCCATTTGGCTGCATATAGGACTGTGTTCCTTTGGCTGAGTCCATTTCTTGTTTTTGATGCACAGTGGAAGAGACTTGATAACTTATGAGTACTTTATTGTACAGAGGAGCCAATGGCTGATGATGCTATTCCATCTTCAGTTAGCTCCCTTGAATTTTCTTGCATACAGTTCACTTAATTACAGAAGAAAACATGCTCTACTCCTGATATGGTTTGACTCTGTGTCCCCACCCAAATCTCATCTTGAATTGTACTCCCATAATTCCCATGTGTTCTGGGAGGGACCCAGTGGGAGATAATTGAATCGTGGGAGCAGTTTCCTCCATACTGTTCTCGAGATAGTGAATAAGTCTCACACAATCTGATGGTTCTATAAGGGGTTTCTGCTTTCGCTTCTTTCTCATTCTGTCTTGCCACCACCATGTAAGAAGTACCAAATACCGCATGTTCTCACACATAGATGGGAATTGAACAATGAGAACACTTGGACACGGGGTGGGGAACATCACACACCGGGGCCAGTCGTGGGATGGGGGAGAGGGGAGGGATAGCATTAGGAGATATACCTAGTGTAAATGACGAGTTAACGGGTGCAGCACGCCAACATGGCACATGTATACATATGTAACAAACCTGCACGTTGTGCACATGTACCCTAGAACTTAAAGTATAATAATAAAAAAAAAAAAGAAAAAGAAATAAGAAGTGCCTTTCGCCTTCCGCCATGATGTGAGGTCTCCTCAGCCACGTGGAACTGTGAGTCCATTAAACCTATTATTCTTCCCAGACTCGGGTATGCTTTTATCAGCAGCGTGAAAATGGACCAATACAGCTCCTATAATAAAAAATCAGAGGAAAATTTTAATCCTGAAGAAGGAATTTTTACATACTGTGATCCAGCTGCCGTGCCATTTTGCTGTTGTTCTGGGTGCTACAAAATATGATTATGTAGATTAGAAGTAAATTGTATTGTGAAGTTTCATATTTTTAATTTTCTCACTTGTTTGCCCTTCTGATTTATATTCATTAGGGTTTGCATTTTACAAACATGTCTGATGTTTCAATGTGCTTATTTTGAATATAATGTGTGAGATAGAAGAGAATTCTAGATCTAAGATGAAAAATAATTTTGGTAATGTTAGTAATTAGTAATTACAAATTTCAAGTTCTTTTACCGCACTAGTGTAACAGAGGACACGAAACAAACTTTCTGTTACAAGGAAAATCACTTATTACTGAGTCTTACATGGGCTGCTGATTCACGTTGTCCTATTCTATTGTGTGTTGTCTGTGACAAACAACTAAGATATGCAGCAATTACTCCAGCATAGTTGTAAAGCAAGCTTACTAAAGATCACAGCATTTGAAGAGTAAAGGTGCTAAATATTTTAAGCAAACACTGGAATCTCAAAACAGAGTAAGGCTTTTTAAAACAATTGGACAATTAACAGGTTAAGAAAGCAAGCTATTTTGAAAAAGTTATTGCCTGAAAAGCAAAAGCACATAGTTGGTGAGAATCTATTAGTGCCAGCATTCTAGATGAAGATGTGCTAGAAAAAAACAGAAAAGATTCCACTTTTGTAATATTCAATTAGTCACATGATAATATGTTACATGATGCTGAAAAGGCTTTGTGTAATAAACTGATAAACAATAGCTTCTGTTATCCAAGTTGACAACTTAACGGATTTTTGCCAATAATTGTCACCCTGCAACATTTTTAAGATTTATAAATTATGGAGAAATTTAAGAAACATTTTCTGCTACAAAAAATAATGCTACCTATAAAAAGCAAAGGCCATTTTCTTTGCAATGCTAGTCTCTGATTAAACAGATTTTAAACCAACAAAAATCAAAAGAGACAAAGAAAAGCATTACATAATGATAAAGGGATCAATGCAACAAGAAAAGCTAACTGTCCTAAATATACGTGTACCCAATACAGGAGCACCTAGATTCATTAAAAAGTTCTTAGAGACCTAAAAAGAGACTTAGACTCCCACACAATAATAGTTGGAGACTTTAACACCCCACTGTCAATATTAGACAGATCAACGAGACAGAATATTAACAAGGATATTCAGGACTTGAACTCTGCTCTGGACCAAGCGGACCTAATAGACATCTACAGAACTCTCCACCCCAGATCAACAGAATATACATTCTTCTCACCACCACATCACACTTATTCTAAAATCAACACATAATTGGAAGTAAAACACTCCTCAGCAAATGCAAAAGAATGGAAATTATAACAAACAGTCTCTCAGAACACAATGCAGTCAAATTAGAATTCAGGATTAAGAAACTCACTCAAAACCACACAACTACATGGAAACTGAACAACCTGCTCCTGAATGACTACTGGGTAAATAACGAAACAAAGGAAGAAATAAATAAGTTCTTTGAAACCAATGAGAACAAAGATACAATGCACCAGAATCTCTGGGATACAACTAAAGCATTCTTCAGAGGGAGATTTATAGCACTAAATGCCCACATGAGAAGCAGGAAGGATCCAAAATCAACACCCTAATATCACAATTAAAAGAACTAGAGAAGTGAGAGCAAACAAATTCAAAAGCTAGCAGAAGAGAAGAAATAACTAAGAACAGAGAAGAACTAAAGGAGATAGAGACATGAAAAACCCTTCAAAAAATCAATATATCCAGGAGCTGTTTTTTTTAAAGATTAACAAAATAGATAGGCAGCTAGGCAGACTAACGAAAAGAAAAGAGAGAAGAATAAAATAGGCACAATAAAAAATGATAAAGGGGATATCACCACTGATGCCACAGAAATACAAACTATCATCAGAGAATACTATAAACACCTCTATGCAAATAAACTAGAAAATCTAGAAGAAATGGATAAATCCCTGAGCACATACACCCACCCAAGACTAAATAAGGACAAAGTCAAATCCCTGAATAGACCAATAACAAGTTCATTCTAAAATTGAGGCAGTAATTAATAGCATACCAATCAAAAACAGCCCAGGACCAGATGGATTCACAGCCGAATTCTACCAGAGGTAAAAAGAGGAGCTGATACCATTACTTCTGAAATTATTCCAAAAAACAGAAAATGAAGGACTCCTCCCTAACTCATTTTATGAGGCCAGCATCATCCTGATACAAAAACCTGGCAGAAACACAACAAAAAAAGAAAATTGAAGGCCAATATCCCTGATGAATATTGATGCAAAAATCCTCAATAAAATACTGACAAACCAAATCCAGCAGCACATTAAAAAAGCTTATCCACCACGATCAAGCCGGCTTCATCCCTGGGATGCAAGGCTGGTTCAACGTACACAAATCAATAAACATAATCCATCACATAAACAGAACCAATGACAAAAACCACATAATTATCTCAATAGAGGCAGAAAAGGCCTTCAACAAAATTCAACAGCCCTTCATGCTAAAAACTCTCAATAAACTAGGTATTGATGGAACATATCTCAAAATAATAAGAGCTATTTATGACAAACCCACAGCCAATATTATACTGAACAGGCAAAACCTGGAAGCATCCCCTTTGAAAACCAGCACAAGACAAGGATCCCCTCTCTCACCTATTCCACATAATATTGGAAGTTCTGGCCAAGGCAATCAGGCAAGAGAAAGAAATAAAGTGTATTCAAATAGGAAGAGAGGAAGTCAAATTGTCTCTGTTTGCAGATGACATGATTTTATATTTAGAAAACCCCATCATCTCAGCCCCAAATCTCCTTAAACTGGTAAGCAACTTCAGCAAATCTCAGGATACAAAATCAATGTGCAAATATCACAAGCTTTCTTACACACCAATAACAGACAAGCAGAGAGCCAAATCATGAATGAACTTTCATTCACAATTGCTACAAAAAGAATAAAATACCTAGGAATACAACTTAGAAGAGATGTGAAGGACCTCTTTGAAGGGGTGGCCTGCCTCTCCACACCTGTGGGCATTTCTCTTCAGGTGGAACGAGAGACTTGAGAAAAGAAAGAGACACAGAGACAAAATATAGAGAAAGAAAAGTGGGCCCAGGGGACCAGTGCTCAGCATATGGAGGACCCGCGCGCCGGCACCAGTCTCTGAGTTCCCTCAGTATTTATTGATCGTTATCTCTACCATCTCAGAAAGGGGGATGTGGCAGGACAATAGGGTAATAGTGGAGAGTGGGTCAGCAGGAAAACATGTGAACAAATGTCTCTGCATCATAAACACGGTAAAGAAAAAAGTGCTGTGCTTTTGATGTGCATATACATAAACATCTCAATGCCTTAAAGAGCAGTATTGCCTCCAGCATGTGTCATTTCCAGCCCTAAGGCGGTTTTCTCCTATCTCAGTAGATGGAATACAGAATTGGGTTTTACACGCAGACATTCCATTGCCCAGGGACAAGCAGAAGACAGATGTCTTCCTCTTATCTCAACTGCAAAGAGGCCTTCCTCTTTTACTAATCCTCCTCAGCACAGACCCTTTACGGGTGTCGGGTTGGGGGATAGTCAGGTATTTCCCTTCCCATGAGGCCATATTTCAGACTATCACATGGGGAGGAACCTTGGACAATACCTGGCTTTCCTAGGCAGAGGTCCCTGCCGCCTTCCTCAGTGTTTTGTGTCCCTGGGTACTTGAGATTAGGGAGTGGTGATGACTTTTAACAAGCATGCTGCCTTCAAGCATTTGTTTAACAAAGCACATCCTGCATAGCCCTAAACCCATTAAACCTTGAGTCCACAAAGCACATGTTTCTGTGAGCACAGGGTTGGGGGTAGGGTTACAGAATAACAGCAATCTCAAGGCGGAAGAATTTTTCTTAGTACAGAACACAATGGAGTCTCTTATGTCTACTTCTTTCCACATAGACACCATAACAGTCTGATCTCTCTTTCTTTTCCCCACACCTCTTCAAGGAGAACTACAAATCACTGCTCAAGGAAATAAGAGAGGACACAAACAGATGAAAAAGCATACCATGCTCATGGATAGGAAGAATCAATGTCATGAAAATGGCCATACTGCCCAAAGAAATTTATAGATCCAATGCTATCTCCATCAATCTACCATTGACTTTCTTCACAGAATTAGAAAAAACTACTTTAAATTCCATGTGGAAACAAAAAAGTTCCCATATGGCCAAGACAATCCTAAGCAAAAAGAACAAAGCTGGAGGCATCACGCTATCTGACTTCAAATGATATTACAAGGCTACAGTAACCAAAGCATCATGGTACTGGTACCAAAACAGATATATAGACCAATAGAACAAAATGGAGGCCTCAGAAATAATGCCACACATCTATAACCATCTGATCTTTGACAAACCTGACAAAAACAAGAAATGGGGAAACAATTCCCTATTTAATGAATGGTATTGGGAAAACTGGCTAGCCATATGTAGAAAACTGAAACTGGACCCTTTCCTTACATCTTATACAAAAATTAACTCAAGATGGATTAAAGACTTACATGTAAGACCTAAAACCATAAAAATCCTAGAAGAAAACCTAGGCAATTCCATTCAGGACATAGGCATGGACAAACACTTCATGACTAAAACACCAAAAGCAATAGCAACAAAAGCCAAAATTGACAAATGGGATCTAATTAAACTAAAGAGCTTCTGCACAGCAAGAGAAACTATCATAAGAGTGAACAGCCAACCTATAGAATGGGAAAACATTTTTGCAATCTATGCATCTGACAAAGGGGTAATATCCAGAATTTACAAAGAACTTAAACAAATTAACAAGAGAAAAAACAAGTAACCCCATCAAAAAGTAGGTGAAGGATATTAACAGACACTCCTCAAAAGAAGACATTTATGTGTCCAACAATGTGTCCAATATGAAAAAAAGCTCATCATCTCTGGTCATTAGAGAAATGCAAATCAAAACTACAATAAGATACCATCTCAAGCCAATTGGAATGACAATCATCAAAAAGTCAGGAAACAACAGATGCTGGCGAGGATGCGGAGAAATAGGAAAGCTTTTACACTGTTGGTGGGAGTGTGAATTATTTCAACCATTGTGGAAGACAGTGTGGGGATTCCTCAAGGATCTGCAACCAGAAATACCATTTGACCCAGCAATCCCATTACTGGGTATATACCCAAAGGATTATAAATCATTCTTCTAAAAAGACATATGCACATGTATGTTTAATGCAGCAATATTCACAACAGCAAAGATTTAGATCCAACTGAAATGCCCATCAACAATAGACTGGATAAAGAAAATGTGGCACATATACACCATGGAATACTATGCAGCCATAAAAAAGGGATGAGTTCATGTCCTTTGCAGGGATTTGGATGAAGGTGGAAATCATCATTCTCAGCAAACTAACACAGGAACAGAAAACCAAACACTGCACAATCTCACTCATAAGTGGGAGTTGAACAATGAGAACACATGGACCCAGGAAGGGGAACATCATACACTGGGACCTGTTGGGGGGTGGGGGGCTATGGGAGGGATAGCATTAGGAGCAATACATAATGTAGATGATGGATTGATGGGTGCAGCAAACCACCATGTCACTTGTATACATATGTAACAAACCTGCAGGTTCTGCACATGTATCCAAGAGCTTAAAGTATAATAATTCTTTTTTTAAAAAAAGCAAAGGACAAAACATACTTAATGTTTTGTCTTTATGTCTGGAAACAAAGCTGTGTCTTAAAGAAACTGTGTGGATACCCTGGTGTCCCATAGTTAGACCACCTTGCATCCTATAGATGGTCAAAACTAATGGAAGAAAATGTATTTCTTCAGAAAGTGCTGTGACATAAGTGAATATCTTCTATAAGAAAGACTCTGGACTAAATACTTGAAAGAAAGAGTCAATTTAGACAGAGTAGCTGGGCTCAATGAGCTAAATAATCTAGCTAGGAAGAAGTACACTTACATAAGTCCCTTTTATGCAATTGTATGATTAATTTTAAAAAAGATCTTCAGAATATATGGGATGACCAATATGATGATGAATGTTCACTAAGAAAGTTGGGAAAGTGAGATATAAGTTGATTTCAGTCTCTATGGACAGATCTAATTAGGGTGAGGAGACTGGATGGAAGCTTCCAGACACTGGTAAATAACGTGTGCAAATGTGGGAAATTTTTTTGCCTTTGGTATATTGGACAGCACATGAGTAGATGTTTTATAATTTCATTAAATAGTCAACAAATATATGGAGTTATTATTATGCCTCACTTATTGTATGAGGGGTTGTGGATCCAAGAGAACAAAATGGATATAGTAGGTTTGGGATGTGAGTATTTGATTTAAGAGAAGATTCAAAGTCTATATTCTTTATTACCAACACAAATTTATTAGAATACTGTCATGGTGGGGAAAGATGTTAAATAATTGCCTTGCAACTTCAAAATGCTAGTTTTTCCCAGAGAACAGGAAGACTTAAATAGCCTTAGTAATCCATATTAATTTCATAGTTATACAAATTATTAAAAGTGTTGATAAAACTAGAGCTTTATGCTTATAAATATTAGCAAAATTTCAGGGTTGCCTGAAAGTACCGAGGCCACACTTTCCATTCCACTCCTTGAACATGTGTTCTGGATACTAGCCAATATGTGTGTACATTAAAGGAAATACAACTGAATCCTGTGCTTCTGTTTTTTCTTCTTCTTCTTCTTCCATAAGTACATATGTTATCATCTGAGTCAGGCACACAGTTAAGAATACTAGTGAAAGATTCATTGACTGCTTTCTCCACTCAGGACTAATGGCCACGAGAGATGGCAAATGTTATAATTCGTTTATAATCTCTGAATGTTCATATTATTTCTTGAATTCAATTTTATATAGGGAAGTGAAACATTTTGTCTGTACTGTAAGTCCATTTATACAAAATAAATTCAGGTATATTTAACTACAGTAGTCCCATCTTATCCTTAGGAAATATGTTCCAAGACTCCCAGTAGTTGCCTGAAACCACAGATAGTACTGAATCTTACATGCACTATGATTTTTACTACATACACATACCTATAATTAAGTTTAATTTATAAACTGGGCACAGTAAGAGATAAACAATAATAACTATCATAAAATAGAACAATTATAACAATATACTGTAATAAAAGTTATGTAAATGTGACCCCTCCTTCTATCTGTTCTCTGCCTCTCTCTAAAAATATCTTATTGTTCTGTACTCACCTATTTTCAGAATCAGTTCACCACCAGTGACTAAAACTCCAGAAAGCAAAACTTCTGAGAAGAAGGGCTACAGTAGTCACAATTAGTTCCAGGGTCACTTACAGCAAATATTTTTCCACCATTTCCTTAACACTTAGTAACTTTATACAAAAGAGTGTATTTTGTACTTGTTTAAAACTAAAAAAATTAAGTGGCCCCTATACAATAAAAATGTGTGAAAAACAAACAATTAAAGATGCTGATTCTGTTTTCATCACCTAGAAACATGAATCATGTTGTAGTAAGTGCCCAAATATTAGACACATATACCATTGTTTAAATATAAGTTAGAATATTCATTTTTGAACTCAATGTTTAATTATCACTATCTTAGATTATTTAAAGATAATCCATCATTGCTCATTTTTGCAAAATTGACTATATTTCCTATACATCCAAGAATTTCAGTTAATAACAATAAAATGCATAACTTTATGCAGTAAAAAAAATAGATCCCTAACGAATTTTTTGGCGGGCACTACATTTCTAGGACTATACTGTTATTTCTTCTCAGCATATGTTTCCCTTGGAACCTGCCATGTTCCTAAACTGTGTCCCAGCCCCCTGATCACAGTTGATCATTTCAGGGATAAACTTTGAACCAAGTTGTGCTAATAGTTTCCTTTACTGAGAGTTTTAGATCAGCAAATTAGAAAGGGAAATCACTTTCTCCGTATGTTAAATGTGTTATAAAGTTTTACTAGAGAGGCCAGGAACGGTGGCTCACGCCTGTAATCCCAGCACTTTGGAGGCCGAGGTTGGAGGATCATGAGGTCAGGAGTTCGAGACCAGCCTAACCAACGTGGTGAAACCCTGTCTCTACTAAAATTACAAAAATTAGCCTGGCGTGGTGGCACCTGCCTGTAATCCCAGCTACTCAGGAGGCTGAGGCAGGAGAATCGCTTGAATCGGGAGGCGGAGGTTGCAGTGTGCCGAGATCGCACCACTGCACTCCAGCGTGGGCAACAGAGCAAGACTCCTTCTCAAATTAAAAAAAAAAAAAAGAAAAAGAAAAAGAAAGGGTTTACTAGAGATCTATCAAAAGTGATCTTTCTTGCCATATTAAGAAAGTTAAGCTTTAGCAACCAAGAGTAAAGGATGTATACAGAACAAAGTAGATACAACAGGAGAGAGAGAGCATGAATTAGCTGGCCAGCTTACAGAGCCTCCGTTCTTAATCCTAGTCAATTTCTCTCCAAGGCCCAGCTTTATCCTTGCTCTTGGATTTACTGAGATATTATAGACATTTTCTCACTTAACTCTCACAACCATATGAGGTAGTTTTTAAAATATTAATTTAAAAATGTGGAATGGTGATTCATAGTAGTTATGCAATTTTCCCAAGATAAACCAGCTAGTAAAGAGCCGAATCTGAGCTGGCTGGATTGCACTGAGTGCATCACCTGGTCATGCCACCATTGCAGAGGGAGCAGACTCAGGATGCCTATGTCTTATTTCATATTTGTGAGAAAACCATCGGATTGTGAAACAATAGCTGGCTACTCTGGGACTAAAGTAAAACTTTTACTTCTAAAAATTACATATATATATCACACACACACACACACACACACACATATATATACATACATACACTTAGATATAGATAGATATAGATTCCACAGCAAGTTAATAATCAGACTTTTCTAAAAAACAGGCTCTTAAAAACAAGATGATCATAGCCAAATTATAAGAGAAATGAATGATGGAAGAAATACTTAAGAATGGGTAATGATACTTGTTTTCCTTTATTAAGTATATTCAACAATTTTTGTCTCCTCTCATTTGAATTTATGGAAGTGTTTGCAATTTTACTCTTTCTAAAACATTTTTTTTAATTTTTAAAAGTTCCTGATATTATGGTATTTTTTACTCATTTTTTTTGTTTTTATTTTTGTCTGTTTTTTAACACTTCTAATTTCCATGATGTTATGATCCCAAGATCACAACAATTAATTCACTTAATTTTTAGATAATCAAAAAGGTAAAAATCAGACCCAGGAACAGAAATCATGATGGAAATTTAATCTATGCATGTTCCTCCATTTTATTTCCCTTCTCATTGGTGCAGAGGCTCCTGCTGACAGCCAAATGGCCCAGTGCACACAAGAGAGTGCTCCAGATGATTATATTTCTAATGTCACTAAAATATTTTTCTTCTTACAAGATCCTCTAAGTGCTAATCCTCATAAAACAGAAGAAAAATGATATATTAACTCCATTTTACAGTCTCAGAGAGCATTTTAGTAACTTGACCTAAGTCACAAAATGAATAATTTGGTAGAACAAAATTTTAACTCAGGTGTGTCTGACACCAGAGCCCCTGTTCTTTATCTACTATTTTGTTGCTTTGTTTGGCCTTATTCTGGTAATTTAGCTACATAATTACAATTGATTTTTAAAACTATATGATACATGTTTATGTTCAAACATCAAAAGGATAACAATGAAAGTCTGCCTGCCAATCTGTGTCCACCAAAAACGATCTTCTCCTTTCTGGACTTGGTCAATATTATCAGTTACCTGTGCATATTTCCAGAGATATCCTATGCTTACAGGGGGAAAAATACATATGTTCTTTATCCTGTTCAATATCAGTTAACTATTATTCATAGAAAAGCACCTCAAAACTCAGTGACTTCAAACAATACACATTTATTATGACAAGTTTAAGGGACATTAAAATGTTTTTGCTCTGGGTCTCACTAGGCTGATCTCAAGTGGGTTCTCACTCACATATTTGGGTCAGCTAATGGCTTGCCAAGGCCCGGCTGCCTAGAATAGCCTCATTTACATATCTGGTGTTTGGCAGGCTATCAGCTGGGCCCACGGGTGACTAAGCATAGGAATGTTCACATGGCAGTGGCAGGGTTCCATGAAAGAGAGCAGAAACATGCAAGTCCCTTGAGGCATGGGCTCAAAAGCAGTAGACTTTCATGTCTGTCATATTCTATTGGCCAAAGCAAGCCATCTGGAAGTAGGAATCTACTTCTTTATGGGAGAAGTTTCAAAGTCATATTGCAATAGACATGAATACAGAAAAGCATGAATGATTGGTGCCACTACTACAATCAACCTATTTATTCACATACTGTATAAAATATGACATACTTGACACATTCTTCTGCACTTCCCTCCCTTTTAAGGCATTCAATATCATGTAGATCTTTTTATCATTTTCTATTAGTTCATAAACAGCTTAATTATGTTTTACAACTGCATAATCTCTATAGTGTACAATCATCCATCTCTCTATATACTTTTTGTTTAACAAGCAATGTTGTATTTAAGACTATATCTACAGAATAGATTTGTAGTATTTGATTAGCATAGCAAAAGGGTATATGACTTTGTAATTTTTAAGCATATTGAAACATTTTTATGATATTTTGTACCAATTTATACTTCTAGTAAAAAAGTGAGCATCTTGATTATCCATACTCTTGGTCTATAACATTTAATCTAATTTTTGAATTTTGCAAGTATGACAGGTAAAAAATAATGTTTCAATTTGGTTTGAATAAATAAATGTGGCTGAACAACTTTTCATGTGTTTAATAACCTACTGTATTTTCATTTATAACCTTTGACTATTCCTTGGTTATTTGTTGCTTAATACCAGTGATTGAATTTGAATTCTTATAATAAAAATCCGTGTAGTTTTCTCAGATGTTTTAAAATACCTGTGAAGGTGTGTGCCTTGATTCATGAATATCTATATGACTTAGCCTAATTTGTACACTTAATTTACTCATTGCTCATTTTTACATTTTATTAGTATATATCAGTCTTTTATTGTCTCCTCACCATTGGAGATACAAATTTTAATGTGAACCTATTCCCACAGAAGAATTACAGTGTTGTACAAAAACAATTAAAATAGAATAATGATTCATGCAATAGTTGTACATAACAATATATAGGAGCATGTGGGAAGTTACCTAACCCAAAATTGAGGAAACATGAAAATGTTACTAAAGATGAATCTTGACAGTTAAATAAAACTTAACCAGTAAAATAATGGAGGGAGGGCATTCATTCAAATAAGGATAGCACTTGAGGCTCAAAGTCAAGAAAATATATCTTTAAGAAACATAAATGAAAATATACTTTTAAGAAGTTTAAGTAGTCTTGGAACTAGAGTTCCACATCCAATATGAAAGTAGGTTTTGTGAGAAATGAGCTGGAGAGATAAATGAAAGTTTAGAATCCTGGAGTTTACACTAAGATCCCCTAAATGATTCTAAATATCTAAGTGACTGAAAGAGTTACGCGTTTTAGGAAAAAAACATTAACTCGGCAAAGACTGGAGAATGAATTGGAGCAGCACCAAATGGGTGGCTGTAAAAATGCAGGTACAAAATCATAAAGGACTAAATATGAGGAGTGAGACAAAGGTCAGTGATGACCATGCAAACCAGACAGCACTTTCCTGCAGTGCAGGAGTTTAAATGTCTCAAATAGTCTGTAAGTGGCTTTCAAAACAAGAATATGAAACTGCCCCAGACTAGATGGTATAAGGGGTATGTAGTGATACAGAACAGTATACAGGCTCACACAAGAATTTACCTAATCCAGAATTGAGAAACAGGTTAATACCCGGACTGAGGTGTTGAGCAGCATCTATTGTAGAAATCAGCTATCAAAGATGATATGAGTGAAAGGAAAAACATTCCATGCTCACGGATCAGAATAAATATAGATAAATTGTTCTCATCCCTGAAATGCTCTGTGATTAGTTTCTCAGGACCCAACCTCCCATTGTATGTTCACAAAGGTCAAAGCCAAAAGATTTTGAAAATAGAGCCCAGATAGCCAAAGCAATCCTAAACAAAAAGAAGCCAGAGGCATCACATCACCAGACTTCAAACTATACTACAATGCTGCAGTAACCAAGATAACATGGTGCTAGCACAAAAACAAACACATAGACCAGTGAAACAGGGTGAAGAACACAAAAATAAAGCCGCATACCCACAGCCATCTGAGGTTTGACAAAGTTGACAAAAATAGGAAAGAACACCCTATTCAATAAATTGTGCTGGGAAAACTGGTTAACTGTTTGCAGAAGAATGAAACTGGACCCCTATCTATCACCATATACAAAAAAATTAACTCAAGATGCATTAAAGTCTTAAATGTAAGACCTCAAATTTTAAAAACTCCTAGAAGAAAACCTAGGAAATACTCTTCTGGACATTGGCCTAGACAAATAAATTATGACTAAGTCCTCAAAAGCAAACACACACACACACACACACACACACACGCGCGCGCGCGCACACACACACACATAATTGACAAGTGGGACCTAATTAAACTAGAGATTTTTGCACAGCAAAAGAAACTATCAACAAACAGACAACCTACGGAATGAGAAAAAAATATTCACAACCTATGCATCCAACAAAGGACTAATATCCAGAATTTATAAGGGTCTTAAACAAATCAACAAGAAAAAACAACTGTTAAAAAGCAAGCAAACAACACGAACAGAAATGCCTCAAAAGAAGACATACAAGCAACCAACAAACATATGCAAAAATGCTCAACATCACGAATCATCAGAGAAATGCAAATCAAAATCACAATGAGATACCATCTCACACTAGTCAGAATGACTAGTACTAAAAAGTAAAAAAATAACAGATGCTGGCAAGGGTCAAGAGAAAAGAGAAGGTTTATACACTGTTACTGGGACTGTAAATTAGTTCAGCCACTGTGGAAAGCAGTTTGGAGATTTCTCAAAGACTAAAAATGAGCTACCATTTGACCCAAAAATCTCATTACTTGGTATATACACAAAGGAAAAGAAATCATTCTATCAAACAAACACCCACACTCCTATGTTTATCACAGCACTGTTCACAATAGCAAAGAAATGAAATCAACCTAGATGCCCATCAACAGTGGACTGAATAAAGAAAATGTGGTACATATACACCATGGAATTCTATGCAGCCATAAAGAAGAAGGCAATCATGTCCTTTGCAGAAATATGGATGTAGCTGGAGGTCACTATCCTAAGTGAATTAACCAGATAACAGAAAATAAAATATGATTTGTTTTCACTTATAAATGGGAGCTAAACATTGGGTATACATGGACATAAAGATGGAAAAAAATATGCACTGGGGACTCCAAAAGAGGGGAGGGAGGGAATGGAGCAAGGTTGAAAAACTACCTATTGGGTACTATGTTCACTATTTGGGTGACAAGTTCAGTAGAAGCCCAAACCTCAGCATCATGCAATATTTTCATGTAAAAACCTTGCACATGTACCCCCTGAATCGAAAATTTAAAAAAAAAGAATCCAGCTATGAAGTAGCATATTTAGGGATGGGCTTTTTTTTAATGAATGTAAGGTATGGAGAACATTATGTATCCAGCTTAAGGATCTATTTTGTTTATCATGTAAAGAACTTCACAAAGGTCAAAGCCAAAAGATTTTGAAAATAGAGTACAATGGGAGGTTGGGTCCTGAGAAACTAATCACAGAGCATTTCAGGGATGAGAATTAAGGGAGAAAAAGGTAATCTGAAGGAAATAACATAATAATGGGCCAACAGCAAAGAAGACAAAAAAGTAAATAATGTGAAATTAATCAGCCTCAAATGTTCAGATAAAATTTGACATGAGTTTGCCAGTGGAGATCTGAAGTAAGGCCTCAGTTGGAAGATAGAGGCTTGGAAAAGCCAGCAGGAAATATGGAATTATTTTTTATGTTTTGTTTCCCAGGAGCACGTGGGAATTAATGCAGACCATACTCACCCAGAAACTTTTGTGTCATCAATAATTTCCTTACTTTAATTATTAAAGAAGTAGCTAGCTAGATCAACTCAGATAACATTAGATGTTTAAGAAACATTTGATTTTCTATACATGCAAAAATATAAGTGCATTTTCCATCTTTTTTTTTTTTTTTTTTTGAAGCAGGGTCTCACTCTGTTGTCTAAACTGGAGTGCAGTGGTACAATCATGACTCACTACAGCCTTGAACTCCCAGTCTCAAGTTACCCTCCCAAGCAGGTGGGACTATAGACACACACCACCACCACTGGCTAGTTTGTTGTTGTTGTTGTTGTTTGTTTGTTTGTTTGTTTGTTTGTAGAGACAAGATCTCACTATTTTGCCCAGGCTCAAACTTCTGACCTCAAGTAATCCTCCTGCCTTGGCCTCCCAAAGTGCTGGGATTTTAGGCGTGAGTCACCACGCCCAGCCCCACCCATCTATTATGCTATAAAATTTCTGATCGTTCTGTATAATATCAGTATCCATCAGCATTCAGTTAGATTATACTAGTTGTTTTAACAGAAGTAATTTAATGTTTTAAAAAAATGTTTACTTGATACAAAGTTATTAACTTAGTAACTGAAAAGGCAGAAAGAGAAGTTATCATGGTGGGAGCAAATTCAAGAAGCAGCTACCACACTTATATCTGAACAAACAGAATGAAAGAGGCTAGAGCTATTAATCTCAGAAGCTTGGGGATGTCCTAGGGAGGTGAAATGTAGACATCTGAGAAAAGTAAGCTGCTCAGCTGGCACTGGTGTCTTTGAATTTGAGGAAGGGGCCCTATAGGCCTGGGAATCAAACCTGAGAGTTGAAGTGTCTGAGGAAGCTACCTTGAGAACGGTCTTGTGAGTACTGAACTCAAATGCTGACATGAGAAGGTACTGTTGCTGCTGTTAAAAAAAAAAAAAAAGAAGAAGTTTGCCAGTAGGGTGATTCTCATAGGAACACAGAGCCAATAGAAGTAAAATAAAAGAAAATGAGTCCCTAGCCTCCTAACCTCCCTCTAGCAGCCTCTATTCGTGGAGTTTAATGGGGAGACTGCTGGCAAAGCATAGACTTGAACTTCAGAATCCTAGACCCAGTATCACAAGGCAGAGTATAGAAAGGTAGGTTAGAACTAAGAGACAATACGTATTGTTTACATTATATAAAATATACCTGAATACCTGACCCAGAAAAATCTCTTTTAAGTAATTTTATATGTATGATTGTGTGTGTGTATACACACACACACACACACACACGCAATGAATTTATTGTAAAGACTTCCTCTAGGGTGTAATTAAAAACCTTTGTCCTTTATCTTTGGACCTTTTTTTAAAATGTTGCACTATTTGGGGATTTATTTTAATTTTGTTTTTCTGGCAATGTTACTTTACCTTTAGTAATCTAATTTAATATTTGAATAAATTGTCTGCTGTCTTACAGCAGCTAAAAACATTACCCATTACAGCGATAAAACCGTATTGGACTTAGTAAATGAAAAATGCATTAATATCTGGCTTGCAACTCTAGCTGAGCATCCTGCTTCATTATGAGAGGCAGGAATCAACAAATCTGCCATCTGTCAGCATTTTCCCCAGCACAGACTCTTCTTTCTCTTGCTGCTTCACCTGTGAGCTGTATGCTCATAAACACAGTTTTCTGGGATGGTGGTATTATGTTTTGGCTCCTTTGGCACCAGCATTTGGAAATCCATTTGTCTGACTATCTTAAATCATGCAAATAGTTTTAAAAAAATCTTTCTTTTGCACTTTTCATCAAGATCAAATAAACATCCTTTTTGTTTAAATCATATTTCTATTCACCAAATTGAAATAAAATACAAATATTTATGTGCATATAATAAAACCATTAGTGGAGCTGCAAAGGAAAATGAATATACATTTAAGTCATTTGAGCAGTATCATTTCACAGAAGCTCAAGCCTTTAGAGGCAAAAAGCAGTCTGAATTCTAATGAAATTTTCCTCAAGGAAAGAAAAAAAACAAGTGGCTTAAAAGAAGTAAATCATTAGAAGGAATCGTGGTATCTTAAAACAAATTTTTGTTTTTATAAACTAAATTACTCTTAAAGCGTAAATTACTCAGTAAGTCTTCTCATGGGAAAACTGACCAATAGAAAAGATTGAATAAAATTAAAATACATAGATTTCACTGTAATATTTCATTTTCTAGTGAGTATCGTAACAACATTTTAGAACTCAAATACACGTTAGTTCACATCATTTCTACTTTTTTAAATATTGCAGGTGGCATAGATTGGAGGGTCATATTCATGAAATCTAGATAGTTTGTATTATTTTTGAGTTAGTCTTGTTAATGGCTGTGCAGTTGCATATAATTTTTTTCAAATCATATGAATTAAAATTAGTTCCATGACAGGATAATACAGTAAAAGCATTTGTGATGGTTAATTTTATTAGTCAACTTGATTGGTCTAAGGGATACACAGATAGCTGGTAAAATAATATTTCTGGCTCTGTCTGTGAGGGTGTCTACAGAAGAGATATTAGCATTTGAATCAATAGACTGGCTAAAGAAGATCTGCCCTCACTAAGGTGGGTGGGCATCATCCAATTCTTTGAGGGCCTAAATTAAACAAAAAGGCAGAGGAAGGGTGAATTCACTCTCTCTCTTTTTGAGATGGGAGATTCATTTCCTCCTGTCCTGGGACATAGGGCACCAGTTTTCGAGTGTCATCAGTGGGTAGCTGATACATACTTATTTAATACTAACCTTGTATCCTGTGTCTCCATGAGGGAAGAAACATATCACTCTGAGTCAGCCATAACAGTTTTTTATGTCCTTAAAAACTAGGTTGGATGTTATTATAAAGCTGTTCAAGAATTTCACATTGAAAAGTGGGTCAGAAGTTGGGAAGCTCTTTCTTTTTAGCCAAAGTTTCTGTGTATACAGAGTATCAAAGGAGAAACAGGTAACTTCATAAGCATAATGATTATGATAAACACAGGTAATCATTGAAGATACCAGAGGTAGCAGCAAGATCACTGCAAGTCTCATAAGCCAATGTGAATAAAACCTAGATTCAGTGATGTGCTCGACACAGATTTAAAAATGAGAATTCCCTTTGAGAGGTAAACTGGTAAAATATCACACACATTACATGTGATTAGCCATTTGAAGAGCTAAACCTAAACACTACATCCATGAATGAAGAGTTTTAGGAAAACACAAAACTTCAGTTAAGGTGACCTAGGTATTATCTCAAATCAAAAGACAGCTATAAAGTGATTATAATATATACAGAAACTTAAACTTATTTTGTCCCAGTTTATAGACAAAAATAATAATTTCAATGTCATTCCAACAAAAAATGCCATATTAACTTTTTTAGAGACCTAGAAACATTGATGCAAAATTTCATATGAGAAAATAAGAGACCCAAAATGTCTGAGAAAATTGTGAAGAATGAGTGTAAGGGGGTAAGTCATTCTACCAGATATCTTTCTAAATTTGACAGGAATAGACAAAGTAATAGGAAGCTGATAAAATATATAATAAGTAATATATGACAGAAGTAGTTTAAATATTAGTGAGGAAAAGATGGACTAATCAAATATATATATTTAAATACATATATTAAATATATACATGTGTATATTTATAAATTACAACTATATGAAAAAGCTACATTATACTACCACCTTAAATGACATACAAAAACAAAATGCAGATGGAAAAATATAGAATGTGAAAAAATCAAACTAAAAGAGTAAGTATGGATAAGTGAAATGACTCAGAATTAGAAAGTCAGATACTGCGTGTTCTCACTTATATGTATGAGCCGCATAAAGTGTATACATTTACGTAGAGTGTGGCATACAACTCATTGGAGACTCTGAAAGGTAGGAGGGCAGGAGTGGGTGAGGGATGAGAAATTACTTAATGCGTACAATGTATACTAACTCAGATGATGCTTACCCTAAAAGCCCAAACTTCAGCACTCTGTAATATATCTATGTAGCAAAGCTGCACTTGTACCCCCTGAATTTACACCTTCCCCCAAAAAACAGTAAGCACGGAGACCGTTTTTAAGACAATGGGATCAAACAGGACTTCTGAAGTAGCCTCAAAAAGCATAAACTGTAAAGGAAAAGACTGAAAAGTTTGACCTTATATTAAGGAAAAAATTAATGGTCATATAAAAATTAACCGTGGGGACTTTTAGTTTCCAGTTCCCACGTAAGGAGCTTGGAAGTCATCACTTTGCTCTAAAAAATAAAAAGATGAACAAACTGACAAATCAAAAACTCTTTTTAGATTTGTAAGAGAAGTAAGGTCACAGGGCAAACAGGTGTTCCTAAATGGAGATACAGACAGGTGGATACAGAGAATTACAAATTATCAGAGAAGAAACTCCGGGAACCAGTGCGTGGTAGGAAAATCTGAACTTTAATTGACAGATTACTAGAAGCTAGGTGTGAAGGAGTCTGGGAGTTAAAACTCCAGGGAGACCCAGTCATAGTGGGGTGCCCCATGCTTTTGTGAGCTTTACCTCCAAGAGCTCAACCAGGTTCTCACACTAAATGTCACAGAAAAATTCCCCCATGCTTCCAGCGAGGGTAGGGGAAAAGGAACTGTACTGAAATACTACAGAATATTCTGTTCTTGTTAACAAGACCTGCCCTCAGGAAAAACTAGTTAACCAGAGCCTAACCTGCTGGGATTTTAGAGTCTAACTGATCTAGAGAAAGCGACATATCCTACTCTATCCCACTTTAGCCATTCTATCTCGCATAAGTCAGGGATTAAAAAGGTGAGAAACACTTGTGAAGTCCACAGTCCAGAGGCACAGGCTCACTAAAAATTAACTCTATGGTAATAATAATAAAAAGTTTAAGTACAAAGACAACCCAATGACTAGCAGATTGGGAGAGAATATTTGCAACACCTATTGTCAGCAAAGGATTCGTTCCGGAAATGTATAAATAACTCTGACATTAAGAAAAGATAATAATAATAACTCAATAGAAAATATTATCAAGGTATATAAGAATATACTTGATAATAAATATATGGAAAGATTTTCAGCCTCATTAGTAATCAGTAAAATGCAAATTGAAACAATGAAATACCATTTTTTCACTTAGACTGACAAAATTTAATACTATCCATTGTTGTCAAGGATATGGGCAAATAAGGACTTTTGCTGCTGCTATAACAGTATATTGGTTTAACCATTTTAGAGGGCAATTGGACAAAATCTATAAATTAGAATATACATATACACTACCACATGATAATGCCATTTATACAAGTGCACAAGGATGTTTGTTGTAACACTGTTCCTAACAATAAAATTGGTTAACTAAACTGTCTTCCATTATGAGAATAGACAAATTATTGCTAATTTATAAAAAATAATCATACATGTAATATGAGCAAGTGAAAACTATATATGGTACCATAGATAAATTTCAAAACTAAAACCCTGAAGAAAAGAAACAAGTTGAAAAAGATATACAGAGTAAGATATTTATGAACAAATTTGAAGCAAATACGGCTACATACTACACAAATGGAAATAAAAAAAAATTCCACCCGGGCACGGTGGCTCACACCTGTAATCCCAGTACTTTGGGAGGCCAAGGTGGGTGGATCACAAGGTCAGGAGTTCGAGACCAGCCTGGCCAAGATGGTGAAACCCAGTCTCTACTAAAACTAAAAAAAAAAAAATTGGCCAGGTGTGGTGGCGGGCGCTGGTAATCCCAGCTACTCGGGAGGGTGAGGCAGGAGAGTCGCTTGAGCCTGGGAGGCAGAGGTTGCAGTAAGCCACTATCGCACCACTGCAATCCAGCTTGGACAACAGAGTGAGACTCCATCTCAAAAAAAAAAAAAAAAAGAAAAAGAAAAAGAAAAATTCCCCTGAGGAAGGAAGGAATGAGTAGAGAAATGGGGCAGTTTGGGGGAAAGGGTTTTAATTGTATCTGCTTCATTTCTTTATCTGTCTATTTACTTAAAGGGCTGAGAAGCAAATTTGAAAAATATTAACATATTTTTAAACATGGGGTAGGTAAAATTGTATTCTACGATAGATATCCAGAAGTTCAAAAAATAATGAACAAGCTGCTGGAATATTCTAAGCTAAAAATAAATAAGCATGGCATAGTTGACATAACACAGGATAAATGGACTTATAGTCAGAAGATCCAGGCTTTAGTGTTTTCTTTGCTATTAGCTTCTGCTATGATCAGGAAAATTATGTATTTCCGCTGTGCTTCAAATGATCACTGAGTGTCGGCTTTGACACTCTAAGAATGCCATCTCTTGTGTCTGTGAAACACAAATGAATATCCTCACAGCAGTGAGAAGAAGTTTAGAGTGGTATTCTCATACCACTCTAAACTTTAAATTTAATTTCTTTTTATTTTATTCTGTACTTTTTCTTTCAAAGTGATGGTTAACATGTTGCATTTTCAATGCTTTAGGAAACCTTTTCAAATACTTGTTTTTTCCCAATTTTTAGGTTCGGGGGTACACGTGCAAGTTTGTTACATGAGTGAATTTCATGTGGCGGGGGTTAGGTGTACAGATTATTTTGTCACCCAGGTAATAAGCATAGTACCCAATAGGTAATTTTTCAATCTTCACCCTCCTTCCACTCTCTACCCTCAAGTAGGCCACAGTGTCTACTCTTCCCTTCTTTGTGTACATGTGTACTCAATGTTTAGTGACCTATAATGTGGGAAGAATCATCCATTTCATCTCCTTTTCTGGAAGGCTAGAAGATAGAGATTTCTCCTTCTTAGAAGTATTGGACAAATAGATTTGACCCTTCCTTCTCTTCTTGCACACTCCTCGCATTGACAACAGTAACGTGTCCAGTTGTTTGATTGGAGAGATCGGCAAAAGTTCTGAGTACGCGTGGATCAACCAGTCTGAGACATTTCTTTTTAAGGGATAGCCCTTCGCCTGCATCAGTGTTTGACTTGTAGTGTTCCATTAATAGGGGAGGTTTCGTCACTACAGGAGGCTACAAATTTACAAGCTATACTTCCTGGCACTATCATAGTCCATATAAGCCTCATTCTCCAAGTAACTAAATCCTGAGGTCTGGACTGGAAAAAGGCAGAGAAACCCTAATTCTGACTCAAATCCAATCCCAAGGTATGTTCCTCATCTAGTTCTACAGGAAATAAGCCTGATCCTTTTATCCTTATCTTTTCCTGATTCTATTTCTATGCCAAACTTGGTGGAAAATGTGGGATAATTTTATTCATTTGATGATGATCTTTAGAGATAATACATGACTTTTCAAATACTTATGATCATTTATATCCAGAAAGTTTGAACTGTCTTTGCCTTCTTTTTTTTTACTTTTAAAACATAAATTATATAACTATACATTATCTATTAATTCTTTAATAATTTATTTAAAATATATCTACCCCTGATAAACTTTAAGCTTTATGAGGGCAGTAAGCTTGTTTTGTTCACCCCTCCATGGCCAAGGCCTAGTGCTGTACCTGGGATGTGGAAGGTTCTCAGAAAATACCTTAGTAAGTGAAATAAACAATTTTTATCATTCTAGTTCCCTGGAATATTATGCCAAACACTATGGATATGATTCTTGATTTCAAAGAGCTTTGCATTTTCTATTCCTTAACAAAGCCTCTCTCTCAGCGTGACCTGAATGGTAGCAGTTCTCACAGATGAAATGTCCACTGAATAAAAGTGAGAATGTGTTCATGATGTTATCAGAACTGTCTATGAATTGAGGATGTGAAAGCTCTGAAAATTTAAATTTCAACATTTTTACCTTTATTTTCTTCATTATACAGCCAATATGCTCATGTTGTTTCAAGTTATTCTTGCTTTTTTATTTTCTATTTTTACTGTATTGAGAAAGAAATTGGTAACATCCACTCTTCAGTATGGAGTTTGGGACTTAAAAGCAGAAATAGTTATCTTTCACAAGAAAAACTTTCCTATTAAGATAATTTCCTGCCTTCTTTGCTTCATTCCTGACATAAATACTTCCTTCCATGCCCACACTGTTTTTCTTTCTAGGAAGAGTTCATTCATTTATGGCAGTGATGGGTCTTGTGAGAGAAAAGAAAAAAGAAGCAGAGGAAGAAGATGAAGTCACTAACAAGGTGGAGTGGAGAGTTGGGTATATAAAATGCTTCTCTGATGGGGTGATATGTGAGCAGAAATATGGAACAAGAGAAGGAGTAAGTTATGCTAAAATCTGGATATATAATGTTCTGAGCACAAGAAACAGAGTACAAAGGCACGGAGGTGAGAATGTTAATCTCTTTCAGGAGCTTCAAGAAGGCCAGTGTAGAATGAGCCACATTAGCTGATGAAATGAAACGCTGCTCATTCTTCTCATCTTCACTCTCTCCTTTGACTTCCACTTCACCCTAGATTATGTTGAAAACCTCTTGAAATAATCTCCCTTCCTTTTTTTAACAAAAGCCTCAGATGCTGTGAGTAGATCACAATGGATCCTAATCAAGATTTTCAAGCTATAATTGTGCATGACTTTGCGGAGAAATAAGAGACAGACTTATGTTCAACACAAAAATAATCTTGCATCTTTAAAGGTAAATTGATTGCTTCAAACCACTCAGATATGCTTGCCTTAGCTCCCCTCACTCATTTCCAGGCTTATTAAATAATTTATAAATTTAATAAATTTAATTTTTTTAAAAAAAACATAACTGAGATCTTTATATTAAAACAAAAGAGAAATGTTGAACCCTCCCCCTCAATAGTTTACCCAACCAGCAAATCACATTTACTAGCCTATATATCTCTCTTCTTTGGCATCTGACAAACATACCAAACACTATACTAGGTACAGGCAGAATTAAGACAAGAGGCTCACCTCATAACCTGTGCCAATGTTATTGCAACAACATTCCATACCCCAACTCTCACCATTCTCTAAAGTTATTTTTGTTTTGAGAACACCGATTACATCACATCATGATCCTGCATACAACCCTCTTCAACCTTACATTATTTATAAGATAATATTCAAACTCTCCAGCACAGCCTAAAAGACCTTTACTAGCTAGCCTGGACTCGACCTCCAGACTTGATTTCTAGCTAATTCTCCTCAACGTTGTTTATGTTCTAGCCCAGTAGTTCTCAACTCAGGCTACACATTGGATTTACCTGGGGAGCTTTTTAAAACACCAATGCTCAGGCTGCATCCCAGAAAAACTAATCATAAGCCCTGAGGGCACAGGCTGGGCAGTGATATTTATTGAAATTTCTATGAAGGAATCTAATGTGGATGTGGCTAAAAAGTGAAACTACACTACTGCATGTTGCTGTGTCTCTGGGTAATTTTGCCTAATTCTGAAGCATACTGATTCAAAATCAAATAAAGAGACATTGAATTGGAGGTGAAAATAGCCACATTAGCTTCATACATGATTTCTCAAACATCCTGTGTTCACACAGGCTTTCAGTTTACTTGGAACATTCTTTTGCATTTTCTCAATCTAATATCCTACTATTTATATCTGAAAATGTAGCCTAAGTACTACTCCTCTTGAAATACTTGAAATACTAACAGGAAAGTTAGTAACTTCTGGTTCTAAACACCACAGCATTTTGAATTTATCCCTTTTAAAACTTTGTAGAAAGATTACTTGCTCACCAGTGTACCTTCTGCATAACTAAACACCACATCCTTAAGCACAAGGAACCATATGTTTCTTATGTTCATCTACTCTGTTCCTTTTGAAACCTATAAGAAATGAAGTGGAAGGAAAATCAGAGAAATGTGGGGTCCCAAAAGCCAATGAAAAATAACTTTTTTAAAGTACAAAAATAATCAATTTGTTAACTGATACGTTAAAAAAGATGAGGACTAAGAATTGAAATGAGGTTTGGAAATGTAGAGGTTATTTGTGTGTTAGAGAGGCAATATAGTGTAGTGGCCAAAAGTATGGATTTAGGCAATATCTACATGGATTTTGTTCCCACCTACACTTCTTACTAGCTACCTTGCATGTTGTGGTAAGGATTAGATAGTCTCATAAAGTGCCTTTATAAAGTATCTGGAACATAGTAAGTATTATAAGAGTGTGAATTATTATTTGTAGCATTCTTGCATAAGCAGTTTCACTAAAGTATACAGAATAAAACCTTACGTGAAATAAGTTTAAGAGATATTTAAAAGAGAGAAAGGAGTATGTGTACTATTTTGAGAAATGTTACTACAAAGGGAAGCAGAAAAATGAGCTAATCACTGGAGAGAAATATTAAATGGAGAGGGGTTTTATTTTTAAGATCATGTAACAACAACATTCTTGTATGCTAATGGAATGTTTCAGTAGAGAAAAAGAAAAATTTTCAGTGCATGAGAAAGCAGAATTCCTGAAATACTATCTACGCGGAGTTGGAAAACACATGGGAACTGTTGTACAGGTGGGAAGACTGGACTAGAAGTGCAGTTCAGTGATAAAAGAAAGCAAAGAAGATATGATTTCTGTAAATTTGAGGCACTAGGATAGAGAGATAGATAGATGGATAGGTGGACAGATATGGTGGAGCAAGATTGTATAATTTCATTTCCAGTTGTTTTATTTTCACAATGAGATAGAAGACAGAATTATCAGCCAAGAAAAGAGAAATTGATGGCGATTTGAGGAGACAGCCAGAGATGTGGAATAGCTGCCTAGGGTCATGAGAGAATAACTGGCCTAGGGGACTGTATTAGGATTTCTAGGTAGCATTATGAGCTCATCTAATATTCAAGGTTATAAAGGTAAAGAAACCAGACAGTATATATGTGTGCTTTTCTCCTGCTTCACTCAGCTGCATAGATGCAGGTATAGAGATGTCAAAGAGTTGGGATAAATTAGTGTGTTCTGGATTTGGCAAAAATGTAGAAGAAAAATAAAGGAATTGTGAGTGGGCATGGAAGAATGATTATAAAGGTGATCCATTGGCTTTAAGGTGATTTAGAAGTTAGTGAAGAAAATGAGGGAGAATGTAATGGAGTAGGACCAATGGATTGCAGGTACAGGTGGTATAGAAAGCCAACTAGACACTTGATGGAATTCATGTGATTCTCTTCCTTCTCCCTCACATCACGTGCAGCTTAACTGGCTATCTACCATTCATTTTTCTGCTCTTCTTTGCACTGTTGCCTCCTCCAGAAAACCTGCCATGAGCCCCATAGTATAGTTTGACTGTTCATCTAACTTGCTCTTATAACACTGTATGATTTTTAATTGTGGTCCAATAAAGTCACTGTATCAAACTCATCATATCAGACTCATCATATCAGGCTTGACTTTAAGCGACTTGATGGCAGAATCTCTGCTTTTTACCTGGCAAATTATCTTGTAGGATAATTTGCAATTACTTGGTAAGCATTTGCAATTTGGGCAGGTACATGAGCGAATCAGTAATCAAGTGTCTTTGTCTGATAAACAAAATAATGACCTCCAGAGACACCTAAGTCCTAATTCCCAGAACCAGTGATTATGTTACCTTCCATGGCAAAAGGGACTTTACAGATTTAATTAAAATAGGGTTCTTGAGATAGTGAGATTATCTTGGATTGTATGGGTGGGTTCAATGTAACCATAAGCTTTATAGGAGGGATACAAAATGAGATGGGAGAATGGAAGCAGAAGTTGGAGTGATTTCCTCTGGAGGAAAAGACCATGAGCCAAGAGATGTGTGGGGCTTCACGAAACTAGGAAAGTCAAAGAAAAAGATTCTCCTTTGGAGCCTTGAGAAGGGACATAGCTTTGTTGACATGTTGATTTTTAACCTCTTCAGACGCATTTCAAATTTCTGGCTTTCAGAACTGTAAGATAACAAGTTGATGTTGTTTGAAGCCACAAAACTTGTGGCAATTTGTTGCAGCACCAGGAGGAAACTAACGCACACAGTAATTAAATGGATTATTATCTTGGATTATAAATAATACATTCCTTACCTCTATGTAGAAGCTGAAACTATCCCCAGCAGACATCATTGACATGAGGGTGGGTTATCTGTCTCACTCTCACATAAACATTAACATAACTTTCCTCTGCCTTTTATTATGCCATCATTTGATTGTCAAGAAAGAAAATTAAATGAATTTCATTATAATGACAGATAAGTGTGACATGGTTATATCTTCATGCCAGATGTGGTTATAAGATGATGACAAAAGCCCCAGTACTATGGACATGTTTCATTTTAGCTGTAGATAACATTGGATGCACCTCCATTCTTATAAACATTATAGCAATTCTTTATATGATTTAGTCTTGGAAACTGTTTAGCAAATGACATGCAGGTAGATTCAAAATTGAGAAAATATTGGCAACCATCTGATAACTTTTTGCACAGTCAGTTGTGAAAGTGACTTACAGTGACAAAATATATTACACATACTAAAATATTTAAGCTTTCTGGACATATCATGAATTGTAAGGCAATGGGTATTTTATTTTTGATGCAGCTAAATGTATCTGCAGCTTGATGGCTCTCATAAGTAATAATCTGAATTGCCTATCAGAGGAAAGTGCTGGAGTTATTTACAAAGGAAAAACCAACCCAATAACCCAAGGTGTCACCATTTTATGCAGAAATAAAGTGAATCTGGCAGCAAGAATAATGAAATGAGATAAGCTACACACTTGAAATCTTATATTCCACATTTAAAAAACTTTATAAAAACTCTTTCTGTGGATATATAGGTTTACTGAAATGGAATTTATATAAATTGTGTAGATGATAAGCCAAAGAGCTGACTCTGAAGTCCTTGTTACATCTCCAATCATGGCTCCCCAAATTGTCTGTATGACTCTCATGTCTTCCAGTATAGGTGCTTCAGGCTAACTACCCCTGAGTTTTTCCTTTCCCTCAATTCCTCCAAAATACAACTGATTTTTTCTCCATAGAATGCCTGTCAGGGGTGCTTAAGTGAACCACCCATCCCAAAAGATGCTCTCCATGTAAGCTTTAATTTTATTCAGTAGATGTCATCATTTTTGTTGTAGTTACTGTTATGCTAATACAATAAAAATCTGTTTTCCTCACATTTGACCTATGGCTTCTGTCCGTTTTCAAGTTCCCCACATAAGGCTTTATTTAAGTCCTTTCTTTGTACTATATTTACAAGTAATCTTCATTTTCCCATAAGTCCTAATTATTGCTGTATTGAGAAATTATTGCTTAAGGGGAAAGCATAGATGTTCTGGAAAGAACATAGCCATGGGAGACAATCTCTGCTATTATTTGGTTGTGCATGTCAAGACAAGTTACTTGCCACGTTGAACTTCATATTCCTTCTGTATCAAAGTGGGTTTCAACAATTTCTGTCAGGATAAAGGACAATTCGGTGTTTACAGGAAGTAAATTAGACAAAATATGGGAAAGCATCTAATAAATAAATGTCGCATTTCTAATATTGGTATCATGAACACAGAGCAAGCCCTAGCCAAAATACTAAAGAAAATTATATTTATTTTTGGTAACATCCTATCCAGCAACGGCAGCAACAGCACCTACAAGCATCCATCCCAACCATGTGATTCCCTTAGCCTTGTGATTCTCAAAGTGTTCTTTGGGATCCCTGGAAGTCCTTTGCAGAGGGTCTATGAGGTCAAAAACATTTTCAAAATAATAGTAAAACAATATTTGCTTTTTTCACTCTCGTTCTTCACAAGTGTACAGCGTAATTTCCCAGAAGGTACATGATGCCTTTATTGCAACAGAGTAAAAGAAGAAGAAAATATGAAATTGTAGCTGTCTCCTATTAAGCCAATCTTTAAGAAATTTACAAAATTGTAAAACAGTGCCACTCTTCATCTTATGGTTTTTGAAAAATATAGTTATTTGTCATATAAATATGTTACTCATGTTAAAATGTAATGAGTGTATTATGGTTACTTTTAAATAAGTTATTTAATAATATTTTATATTTTTCATTTTTAATTTCTAATACACTAATTGAGATCATTCAAAAACACATAACTTTGAAGGGCCTTCAATAATTTTACTAGTGTAAAGGGGGCCTGAGATAAAAAGGGTCTGGAACTGCTATTTTAAATTTTCTTCTCTTGGTGGTTCACTCACTACAACCTGATTCCATTTGTGTCACTTCTTTACTACTTTCTACTGTAACATGATGAATGTGATTCCCTGTGGGTACAGATTCATCTCACCATCCTTTGGGCTAAAATATATTCCACTATGACAGATAGGTGCAAAGTCCTGCCTAACTAGATTTTAAATGCACTGACCTATATTTGCTAATCCCATGAAGGAAGACTGTTTTGAACAGGAAATACAGGGTCTCCTCAGTTGTACAGGACATGAAGGCACTCTTTCCTGGTACCAGTCTGAACCCTGTACCATTTGTCTTCCTCATGTCCTTGGATCCTGTGGATCTTGTCTCAAAGTTTGTCCCTCCCACCAAGCAGGGATTTTAAACACTGAAGCCAGATTTTCTGCTCAGCCACTATTCCTTACCTTTTCCTTCGAATTGAAATCAAAATTAAGTCTGTAATTTAGTTAATAATAATGTACTAATATTAGTTTCTTATTTTTGGCAAATCCTGGTAATGAAAGCTTTTAACAATAAGAGAAACTGGGTTAGGATACAAAGAAACTCTAGTTTTGCAACTTTTCCATAAATCTAAAATTATTCCAAAATTTAAATTATAAATAAAATTAAATTGGACCATATTATTCCTTTTATTTGAGCCCTTCAATGGTTTCCTATTGTTCCTGTATGTTCCTATTGTTCATACAATGAAAACTAAGCTCCTGTCTTAGCTCACAATGTTCCTGGACACCTCTCTGTTCCAGAGGACCTAGGAACATCTCATATACTCCCCTGCCTTTATTGCTCTCTAGCTTCTCTGGCCTCCATTATCCTACTTGCTTATGCCAAAATCATTTCAGGGTCTACAACCTTCAAGATATCTCATGGATGACTGCTTTCATCATTTGAATCCCAGCTTATTCACCTCTTCAGAATTTTTTTTTCATAATCTTTCTGCCTAAAGTTACCAATTTCCTCTTGAGGCACTCAACGTAACATGACCTTGGATTGTCTCCACTTTTATGCATGTATGTATTCTATTATAAAATGTATCACTATGTAAAATCTTTTCTTCTTACTACTAAACATTTATTTTTTATGTCTCTCTTCACTCAAATATAAGCAGGATATAGCCTATTTTATTCATTGTTATATGTCCAACACCTGAAAGAGAATTGGTATACAGTAAAAATGGTATCATTATTTAATGCTGCATAAGATTCCAAAAGTTAGAGGTATAAAGCAATCTTACGGTTTTGTGGTTCAGCAATTCTAACAGGGCAATAGTAGGGATGATCTCTTCTTATTCCCCAAGGATTGAAGCCTCAGTTGGAATAGATCAAATGACTGGACTGGAATATTCAAGGTGTTTTCTTCACTGACATCATAATTCAAGAACGTGAGTTGGAGGCCTTGTTTCTTTTCTATGTGTTCCTCTCTAAGGCTTCCTCATAGCAGAGAAGCTTGGTTCCCAGAGAAATCAAAAGAGGGCTGCCAGTCAGGTAAACAGCTACACCCAGAACTTTCTTCTACTTTATTCTGTTGGTCAAATAAGTCAAAGGCCAGAGTCAAGGGGATACAAGGAAAAATACTTCACCTCCTGATGGAGCTGTGGCAAGATTATAATGAAGAAGAACATGTGTGATGAGAGATGTTATTGCAGCATTTTCAGCAAATACAGTCAGTTCACAGCTGGCCTGCAGCCACAATTCAAATGAGAAATACACTTACACCATACCCAACATTCCCAAAGCCTCATCCAATTATGGCATCAGATCAAAATCTATTACTTGATGTCTGGGACCTCCGATGAGATAGTTCAAAAACTGAGGGTGAAATATGAAGGATGGCTTCCTCATCTTCACTAACATAGTGTCAAGTTGGTAGTGGCTATCAGGTAGGATCTCAGTTGGGGTTGCCAGCCAGGAGCTGTGGGGCCACTCCCTTGGGACCACTTGAGGTCTCTACACAATTGGCCCTTACGAGGCATGAAGTGGAAGCTTCCAGGCCAAATAAGGGCTAAGCTTGTATTTAATTGGTCAAAGTAGCCATAGAGTTAACCCAGATATAAAGAGGTAAAGAATGGGTGTACAATTGCGTGATGTTTCCAAATATGCCAGACCACCTAAATTTGCACTCCGGCTCCACTTAGTAGTATTCTGTAACCTTGGACAATTTACTTAACTCTCTAAGATTTCATCTTCTTTTCTTGATAGAAGATATGCCAAACATTGGTGACATGATGCTTTTTGTATAAAGTAATTCCACTCCCTTAGGAATATCATAAGTTATCCAGGAGATCATCCATTACATTATTTTAACAGTCTAAAAGTCATATCATATGATAACACAAAGAAGTTCACTATTTAGAACAACAACAAACCAAATATATAGTATTTCTAAAAGTGGTGAGTTAGTTATAAATTATTGCTTAAAGATAACTGGTTTTACTATGAAAAAAATTACATATAACCTTTTTATAATTTCGTAAGTTAGAATACCTGAAAGTTAGAATACCCTATACCAGGGTTTAAAATACATTAGAATTTTGGAGCTACATTTATTGCTAATCAATGTAGATAAATGTGCATTTTGTAAAGTGTAGACACTGTTTTCGTGAGGAATGTGGATTCAAAGCAACAGAAACTAAGTGTGACTCATTAAAGCAGAAAAGTCTTAAGTGGATATTGAATAATTAATACACATCAGTCACCCATAGAATTCCCAGGAATGTTGCACAGTGAGCATGTGGTATGATTCTATCACAAAACCATGTTGACTGAGTTCTGCTTTGCCATGACTTGGACTACGGTTGCTGTAACTGCTCTTCGCAGGGCACCACCACTACTTTTGCTGCATTTAAAGACCTGGTGATGCTGGAGTTGCTCCCTCACCCACGAATTTACTTTCCCTTATTCCTTACTATTTTTTGTCCCTGGAGCCAGGTTCAATGTCTTGAGCAAGTTCACTGGATTGGCTAAGCCTAAGCGTCACACCCAAGCTCAAATGATGCTGCAAAAGCAAGTATTTGGTGTTTTCAGCTTCAGTGGGCTCTTCCTTCTACCCACATTTATAAGTTTTGGGAGTTCCTAAATATAGATATGGAGTTCAGATTCAAAGTAAACAAAAACGAATAAATGTCAATTACAAGATTACAGAAACATTTATGCTTATCACCATTCCAAAATTTATGGAAAAATAATAGTATAAGTTAACTATAAGTTTATTTTACAGTTTTAAAGTGTACACTGATTGCATTGACACATTGCTGTATTTATTTTCAAGGTAAAAATAAATGTTTTTCACTGTTTTTTTTTTTTTTTTTTTTTTTTTGAGACGGAGTCCCCCTCTGTCCCCCAGGCTGGAGTGCAGTGGCGCGATCTCGGCTCACCGCAAGCTCCACCACCCAGGTTCACGCCATTCTCCCGCTTCAGCCTCCTGAGTAGCTGGGACTACAGGCGCCTGCCACCAGTTTTAACGAGTGGAGAGTTTAATAGGCAAGAAGGGGCAAGAAGGAAGAGAGAAGGAAGAAGCTCCCCTGTACAGAGGTGTGTGTGGGCTGGGGGCGGGGCGGGGGGGGTGGTGGGCGGGGCAGGGGTGTGCTCCAAAGCCAAGAGAGAGAACTCCACCTGCCACAGATACCAGCTAGGTATATATACAGAGGCTGGAAGAGGCAGTGTCTGATTTGCATAGGGCTCAGAGGATTGGTTTGACTAAGCATGTTATTCACATAGCCCGCGTAAAAATTGGTCCTGCCACCCTAGCTCTGTAATATGCAAATGCAGGGCACCATGATATTCTACACACGTGGGGGTACATGGAGGTGGTCATGTTGCCAGGAACATGTGGAGAAAAGGCAAGAAGGTCCATGTTTGAGTGGACCCAGTTTCTTTTTTATTCTTTTTTTTTTGTTGTTATACTTTAAGTTCTAGGGTACATGTGCACAACGTGCAGGTTTGTTACATATGTATACGTGTGCCATGTTGGTTTGCTGTACCCATTAACTCATCATTTACATTAGGTATTTCTCCTAATGTTTTCTCTCCCCCATCACCCCCACCTCGCCCCAGGCCGCAGTGTGTGATGTAACCCGCCCTGTGTCCAAGTGTTCTCATTGTTCAGTTCCCACCTATGAATGAGAACATGCGGTGTTTGGTTTTCTGTCCTTGTGATAGTTTGCTCAGAATGATGGTTTCCAGCTTCATCCATGTCCCTACAAAGGACATGAACTCATCCTTTTTTATGGCTGCATAGTATTCCATAGTATTCCATGGTGCATTGTGCTACATTTTCTTAATCCAGTCGATCACTGATGGACATTTGGGTTGGTTCCAAGTCTTTGCTATTGTGAATAGTGCCACAGTAAACATACATGTGCATGTGTCTTCGTAGTAGCATAATTTATAATCCTTTGGGTATATACCCAGTAATGGGATCACTGGGTCAAATGGTATTTCTAGTTCTAGATTCTTGAGGAATCACCACACTGTCTTCCACAATGGTTGAACTAGTTTACACTCCCACCAACAGTGTAAAAGTGTTCCTATTTCTCCACATCCTCTCCAGCATCTGTTGTTTCCTGATTTTTTAATGATCGCCATTCTAACTGGTGTGAGATGGTATCTCATTGTGGTTTTGATTTGTATTTCTCTGATGACCGGTGATGATGAGCATTTTTTCATGTGTGTTTTGGCTGCATAAATGTCTTCTTTTGAGAAGTGTCTGTTCATATCCTTTGCCCACTTTTTGATGGGGTTGTTTGATTTGTTTCTTGTAAATCTGTTTAAGTTCTTTGTAGTTTCTGGATATTAGCCCTTTGTCAGATGGGTAGATTGCAAAAATTTTCTCCCATTCTGTAGGTTGCCTGTTCACTCTGGTGGTAGTTTCTTTTGCCATGCAGAAGCTCTTTAGTTTAATTAGATCCCATGTGTCTATTTTGGCTTTTGTTGCCATTGCTTTTGGTGTTTTAGACATGAAGTCCTTGCCCATGCCTATGTCCTGAATGGTATTGCCTAGGTTTTCTTCTAGGGTTTTTATGGTTTTAGGTCTAACATGTAAATCTTTAATCCATCTTGAATTAATTTTTGTATAAGGTGTAAGGAAGGGATCCAGTTTCAGCTTTCTACATATGGCTAGCCAGTTTTCCCAGCACTATTTATTAAATAGGGAATCCTTTCCCCATTTCTTGTTATTGTCACGTTTGTCAAAGATCAGATGGTTGTAGATGCGTGGTGTTATTTCTGAGGCCTCTGTTCTGTTCCATTGGTCTATCTCTCTGTTTTGGTACCAGTACCATGCTGTTTTGGTTACTGGAGCCTTGTAGTATAGTTTGAAGTCAGGTAGCGTGATGCATCATGCTACCTGAGTGGATCCAGTTTCTAATGACTTGCACTTGCATATCAAAAGTTGCAAGCCTGGCTCTAAGAGCCAGGGCTTTACAAGAAATTTTCCGGAGATGCTTTAAAAATTGAAAATTTCCCAGGGACCCCTTTTCCTCTCTAACTGTCTAAAATAATTTCTTAATAACTCCTACAACAGTCCCCCTGTGGAGATGCCACACTAACTGCTGTTAGGGGGTTTTAGGCGATGACTCCTTCTGGCTACTTCCTGCTGAAAAGGGGTGTCGAATGGGGTACAGCAGCTAAGGCTCCTTCTGGAGTGGTTCTAAGGGTCCTCGGAAGAATGGTGTGGCCATGTGTGTTTCAGTTTACAGCACCATTTGGAGTTTCATAGCTTCTAGGCAAGAAGAAACGATTTGAGTTACAGTATTGTATATACAGGGTCCAAATGTCAATACAAGACATATAAGCAGGAGAGAGCTTAACATGGGGGTTAACCAATTCCATAAAGAAGACTGGAATTTATTAAAGAGGGATTGCAGCCACTCAGGGCTGAAGCTGGCATTTTCCCTGAGCCTGTCAATAATTTTGATTTGATTTGTAAGTACCTGTAGATTTTCCTTTACTTTACTAGAGGTGTTAATCTAAAAGCTGCATGTTTCATTTAAAACTGCATCACTAAACCCAATAAAAAGTCCTAGCAGACTCAGTGATAGCAAAACTTTCATGCTTTTTTTTTGTTAGTAACTATTACCCCTGCTATAAGGATAATAATTAAGCAAAATACAACAGCAATGGAAACTCTCTGTTTAATATTTCAGTTAGAAGGTGCTACCATGTATAACTCTACTGCAAATAAAAGAGTGAGTATAACAGTTTCCGTAAGTGTGGTGTGGTAGATAATTTGCATTTAAAATTTTACTTGACAAGATACAGAATTCCCCTTTGGGGGTCTATGAAGTGCCTTGGTTTTATTTTCCTAAATAAAGAAATCTCTGGGTTATGAGCACCCTACTCACTTTTATTACCTGGCAGAATTTGCAGGATAATTGCCCAGAACTAGTATACTGATCCAGATTTTTACATTACCCATCCCTTATTTTTTCTTCCAGGCTGCCGGAGACCACTACTTGATTCACAGGAATAAGCAGGGTTAGTCTAAAATGTAGACAGAAAGCTTGAAAACAATTAATGAGACTAGGACTTAATGACAAATGTATGATAAGCTTTGAAGCACAATTTTTCTCTCTAGTCCTCATTTTTGGTAAAAACAAATTATGGATAAACTATAATCTTATACTTGGCCTGATTATTTGCATAAAGTGCAGCAAGAATGGTTATTTCTACATAGGCCTTTTGGATTGGCTTTGATGAAACTGTGGCACAAGGAATTTCAGATAAGACAATTAAAGCCAAGCCCAGCCATGAGTTTATATGCTCAGATACCTGTGAGCTGGGTGATCCTCTCCTCCTGAGATCCCAAGATAAACTCAGAACTCCTGGACCTGTTAGAAAGTGACATTCTTTACTGACCACAGGTTAGGAACCCTTTGCAGAGACTCTGTAGACAAGGTATGAGGACAGTTCTCCCCAAAGGGCTTTTATTGACTCTGCATGTCAAGCTTGATTACTTAAAGGGAAACACACCCTTTCAGTTAAAGCCTTGATAAAATAACCAGTTTTTCCAATTATGTACTGTTGACAAAGAAAAATGGATTCTTATTGCATTGATGCAAACAACTATATTGCCAAAGTTAAGAGTACTCACAGATAGTTTCCAAATTCTAGAGGAACCAGAAGGAGAAATAAACATGCTCCAAATTTTGTTCATAGAAGTATACCTTACTCAATTATTAAAGGCCATAAATAGTTTAAAATAAGTTTCCTTCACTCTGAAAAACAAATCAAGGATCAGCAGTATTCCAAGCAAAAGTTAAAAGGCTTGCTTTAACTTTCTGAGTGCAGTCCATTTAGTTAATTCTTGTTTTGCTTGATATTTGTGAGCATGTCAGTTCTTTAGGAGTTTCGTACATTCTTTCTCTCTTCCAATGTAATTATGAATAAAATATTTCTGCAGAACTGAGGAACTGAGGTGAGGTCATAATTTAAAAATTCCTTTTTGTTTCATGTGTAGGGTTTAAAATCCACACTTTTTGTTGTATTTTTGTAAATATATTATGATTTATCTGAAGTAGCTATTAATGTAACAGAAATAAACAGAAAAAATTCTCAATGCTATCTTCAAAATCTGTGTATATTTATGCATCTGTTTCAGACTTTACTGTTTAAATCTGTGGTCTATAATGGGTTTGGTTATACATTTATGTCAAACTGCAATTTCTAATAGCATGTTTAAGTTACTCATTGCACATCTTGTTTTATCTTCAATACAAGGTATAAAACACATATAAAATTTTAAAAAATGAAAACAGAAACTAATGTCATGTATTCAAGATATGCAATAAATACTATGTTGAATAAGAATAAAATAATCTGTTCATAATATATATAATATACTTTAAAGGTTTTTAAAGTTATTTTATGAGGAAACCTCAAGGAAAAAAATCTCTAAATAATCTTCATTTCTTTATAAAACAATGACTTTTGGCATTAGTGAAACAGACTTTAAATTCTGAGCAAAAATGTTACAAAGAAAGGGAAGAAAAATGAGCATGAATTTTAAGAGATGGTGAAGAATGATGCACAATTAACATTGAATTATGATACTATTTGGCTGGGGAACAAATAACAATGTCCTGTCCTGCAAGTTCCTTCAGAGTTCCCTAAGGGAAATTTTTGCACAGAGAATGAAGCAACGAAAATAACACTTTGTCATTAAGTGGGACTTTAGTATCACATCACCAAAGTAGAATTCTAACGAGTTAATCAATCCCAAAATATTTTGTAACCTCTATTTTCTGGGCATTGTAGTTAATGCTAGGAATAATGAAATTAGAAATCAGCATGACACCTGCCTTCTTGGCCTATAATCTAACGGGAAACATACAGATAAAAAAAAATCACTTCAAACCATTAATTAAATAATTCAAGGTATGCCAAGTGATGTGGACAGAGTGCATGAGAGTATCTAATAATGGACCTCATTCACTGTGGAGAGCTGAGGGGTATTCCCCTGAGGAGTTGCAATTAAGCTAAGAATTGAAGGGTGAATAGAAATTAACCCTAGGGTTAGAAAGGAATGAAAAGGCACTGCCTCTTCAAAGGTCTCGGGTGAGAAAAAAGCATGAGACACTAGGTCTTTCATGTCTAGTATAAAGACTGAGAGAGTGACATAAGAAGTTTTCAGAGGAAGGCTAGGGCAAACTCATTCTGACCTGGCAAAGCACTTTATGGTTTTAGCTATTGTCTAAAGGTGTTTGAGATCTATTACTCAAGGGAATGATATGATGTAACTTGGATTTTACAAATATCTCCCTGGATGTAATGAGGAGGATACATTGTTTGAAAAAAATCCATAGAAGAAGGAAGAGTTGGGGGACTATAGCTGTAGTCTAATTAGATTTAGCTGAATCCTGCAAAACTCCTTGCCTAAATTAAATTACCTAAATTAAATTATCTAAGAAGCAAAGAAGCCCAAATTGTCAGCCCTCCCTATGATCCTTTGAAGCCCAAACACAAAACAAGTTCACATGGAGGTACTCAGCAGCAGGTTTTGAGAGTGTTTGCTTGTATTATTTAAATTGCCTGCTGTTTTTTGTTCTATAAAATGTGTTTTTGCGAGATTCAAGGATGAATTTGAGTTGGCATGACCTGAAATGCAAGCAGCCTGTCACTCCCTGAAAATCAGAAGTCTACCATCAGGCTATATCAGGATATTTTGGCATAAAATTTACTCCCTAAAATTACACTAGTTTGGGGTTTTTCACAAAAAATATTTAATATATTTTGTAAAGTTTTTACATATTCAACAACTATTTTGAATCTTTTCAGCAAAGAAGGATGTTGCCCAGCCATATTCGATATATCCCAAACTCCATTTATTTGAATAAAAGTGGTGGGTGGGAGTGTGTGTGTTTGTGTTTTGTGTGTGTGTGTGTGTGTGTGTGTGTGTGTGTGTGTGTGTTGGGAGTAAGAGGTGGACTTGGCCCTAGGAAGAAAATATAAATAAAGAAGTTTTTGACCTTGGAGTCTATTAGCCAACTTTAAAAAAAATAACCCATGGATTATGAATGCATTGACTGAAAGGATGCTCTTCTTAATATAAATGGGTCCGAGAATGCTATGTCCTGTACCCTAGTAGTCACAATGAATACTAATTAACTCCAAGATCACTGAGATTCATCTGGCTCAGATCAATCTATGTGTGAAACTATTCAAGCTACTCGATAAAATACCAGGACTGAAGGAGTTCTGAAATGGCCCTCCATTCAGATGGTGTCCTCTGAAATCTTAAAATCTCTGGTAAGAACTTTGAGATCAAAAGCCTGAAATGTTGAGTGACCTGAACTGTCTTTCTAATTGTTGTGCCACGATTGGAATGGCACTGACATCCCTGTGTATTCTTTAAATAAATATTCCTTGTTTGGTTTGCTGAAGTCGTTTCTGAGACTACTCTTACCATCATTCCAAACAAACTATTGACATGATAGTTGTACGGTCTTTTGGCAGAGGTCTGATTATCTGGATTTCGAAAGAATGATACTGTACTTGTAGATGCACATTTGGGAGTCTATATACCAGCAGACACATAAAAAGTGTTTTTGAAAAAGAGTAGCAGCAGGTATTGACAGAGATTTAAAAAAACTAAAGGATAGACAGCTCCTCTGGGGCCATGTGAGAAACGTGCCTCTCTGTTGCTGCAATTGTGGCTACAGAGACCCATGGTGAGTGCAGCCTCGGGCAGACATCAGGAGTTACATAGCATCGATCATTGGCCTTTTGGAAGAGATGACTATCTGATGCAATTGCTCACTACTCACACTTTCACAGACATTTGGAAGCCACCTAGGGGGCACTGTTTTTTGCTAGACGTGCTACTGAAGACAACAAAAAATTCTGAGCCCAGAGATTTTGCTGACTATGTATTTTGTTAGAAAATGATGTAAATATAGAAGGAACAGATTTTTTTAAAATTCATTAATTTCATACTAATAGCATGTTTAGGAATATGGAAAAGAAGTTGCCGTGGGAGGTGTACTCAGATTCTGTGAACAGTCACAGCCCTGGGAGATACATCTCTAGCAATAGAAATTGGGAATCCCCTGTCTGAGTCTTTGATTTTATAAGAATATGAATGAGATTTTATCACTGTCATTATTATCGATGGCAGTAAGCAAATAACTAATAAGGGTAGCTGACAGACTACAAATTTCAAACTAGCCAACAGAAAGGCTCTGGTAAATCTGCATGATGGGCCGAAGAAAATATAAGGCAGACAATAATTAATTCCATTGACTCTGCAGCTACAGCCAATTATTTAGATATTCAGCCACCAGTGATCAGAGTATTCATCTCCCAGTTTAGTGACGTAACTTATGGAAATCCCATATGCTTTTAAACTTCAACTCAAGTTGTCATATTCATACCATAAGATGTCCTGATGATGGAAATCCTTCTGACCAGAAAACCATTGTGCTCCCTCTAGAGTTTAGATGAATAGACACACAGTGACTCAAGAAAAGCAGGAGTGGGTTCAAAACTACACTTTTACTCTTTTTGTAAAAGAGTAAACAATTTTAAAACAATTTTAGATTTACAGACCAGTTGCAAAGATACATAGTACAGTGTATTCCCATACACCTTTCACCTAACTTCCCCTAAATGTTAACATCTAACTTTACTATATATGGTATGTTTATAAATATTAAGAAATTAATGTTGGTAAATACTAATAACTATATTACATATTTTACTCAGATTTCACTAGTTTTTCCATTAATGCCTGAAATCAAACCAGGACACCACATTGCATTTCGTCAGTATGTCTCCTTAGTCTCCTTGAATTCGTGACTGTACTCACGCTTATTTTGTTTCCTTTTTATGACTGTATTTCCATGACTTTGTCACCTTAGAAGAAATATTGTTTTCAATTTGAGTTTGTCTAATGTTTATCATAATTTGATTGGAGTTTTGGATTTGAGAGAAGAAAATCACAGTAATGTCCTTATTTTATTTTATTTATTTATTTATTTATTTTATTTATTTATTTATTTTTTTGAGACGGAGTCTTGCTCTGTCACCCAGGCGGGAGTGCAATGGTGCCATCTCAGCTCACTACAACTTGTGCCTCTCGGGTTCAAGTGATTCTCTTGCTTCAGCCTCCTGAGTAGCTGGGATTACAGGTATGAGCCACCACACTCAGCTAATATTGTCTTTTCAGTAGAGATGGGGTTTCTCCATGTGGGTCAGGCTGGTCTCAAACTCGCTACCTCAGGTGATCTGCTAGCCTCAGCCTCCCAAAGTGCTGGGATTACAGGTATGAGCCACCACGCCTGGCCAGCAGTGTCCTTCTTACTACATCATGTCAGTGTGACATGCTATCAACCTGACTTATTACTCATGATGTTAATGTTGATCACTTAGAGGAGGCGGTGTCTGTCTTCTGGGTTTCTCCCCTCTAAAGTTGTTATTGTTCCCTTCCATATTCTATTTGTTAGGAGCATGTCACTAAGTCCATGCCACACTCAATGGGAGGCAAATTAAGTTCCACTTCCTAGATGGAATAATATCAAATAATTTTGGATATAAGTTAAAATGAATACAGGAATTATTAAAGATTTGAGGGAAATATGTTGAAATTATACAAATATCTTGTTTCTCCTTAAAATTTTGCTGACTGTTTTTAGCATGCCTTAGTGGATCTTGCCTGCAGCATCAGTTACTACGGGGTTCTAACGGTGATTTTTGATGCCTCATCCTTCCTACATTTATTATTTGACCCCTTCTATTTAAAAGATATGCCCCTTCTCCCCTACTTATATATTCAGAAAATATATTTATTCATTTATAAATGATAGCTCTTTATTTACAAATATTCCATTCCTTGAGTTACAATCTATTGCTGTTATTATTTAGTATGTTGTTGGAATAGATCCAGCTTTGCATAGTGGGAGCTCATTCAACTTGTCTTCTGTGTCCTTTTGACATCACTCCTTTCTTCCCCTCCCCTTATTTCCTGGCTGTACAAGATGTTAAACGCTCATCTCATATTTTTCATTGTGCCAGCCCTAAAATAAGCCATCTCATCTCATTGTTTTTATTAGAGAACAATATTTATTTATTTATTTATTTTTGAGACAGGATCTTGCTCTGTCTCCCAGGCTGGAGTGCAGTGGCACCATCACAGCTCACTGCAACCTCCGCCTCCAAGGTTCAAGCAATTCTACTGCCTCAGGCTCCCGAGTACCTGGGACTACAGGCGCCGGCCACCATGCACGGCTAATTTTTTGTATTTTTAGTAGGGGCAGGATTTCACCATGTTGCCCAGGCTTGTCTCAAACTCCTGACCTCAAGTGATCTGCCTGCCTCGGCCTCCCAAAGTGTTGAGATTACAGGCGTGAGCCACTGCGCCCGGCCAGATAATGCTATTTAGAAATGAAAGTAAAATGACATTGCTCCCACTCTTACAGCTAAAAAATAATTATGCAAATAGCAATGTTTCTGGAACCTATTAGGTAAGTTAGGTCACAGGGCAAACAACTAACACCAACTATCTAGAGAGAGACAGGGTCTGCAGGCAAAAACAGGACCCACGTGTTTGCTTACCTAGGATAGATGCCACTGAAGAAACTAGAAGTTATTTTTAACTAAATCATATTTGTATTATTATTGTCATTAGAAACATGTTATTCTATAAAGAACTAAATGTTAAACATATAATCACAAGATTGGCCTTGTGTATATGTTTTGAAAACCTTCACAAATCATAATTTGAGCTAAAAAAAAACTTGTACCTCAAAGCCTAAAGTATTTTATTTTCCCCTTGGTTAATCAGCCTACACTAGTTTGGTTTTAGAAAACGTGCTTCACTTTTGGGGTCTAAATTTCCTTCTTGGCAAACTGAACTTGAGTTACCAAAATTGCCTTCCAGATTGAAGAATATAGGTTCTATTCATTCTCAGCATACTTTGCACCTACAGTCAGAGAGGCTGGATGTGATCCTCAAGGTGATAAACACACAATCTAAATTAAACAGCCACAGGAAATACATTCTGAAGAAGACTGAAATAAAGCCATATTCTTTGCAAACAAAGCCCATAATCAGTAATCAGGAATTTTGCATTATGGAGGAGATTTAACATGGGATTTATAAGGTTGGGAAGAGGTGGGAATTAGCTACTACGAGAGGTTTCTGAAAAAACAACAACAACAACAAAAAAAACAGAAATTGATTGAGAATAGTTCCTATCACGGCGTAAGGAGTAGACCACAGCAGTATAAATTCTTAAACATTTGGTTCATGCTCTCTATTAACACAATGTAAATAACACAAATTTTGATCATATTTTTATTATTACAGTGTTCATATTTATCATGCTTGTATTGATTATTGCCTATTGATTATTGTCTTGTACTGATTATTGCCTTTATTGCCTTGTATTGATTATTGTCTTATACTGATTATTGCCTTTATCTTATCTAGCCCTTAGAGTCTAACATTTGTTAAAAGTTTAATGATATAATTTCCTTAACTTTTTAAGAATGTTTAAAAAGTAAGTTCAAAGATAAAAATATTTCATATATATATATATATATATATATATATATATATTTTTTTTTTTTTTTTTTTTTTTTTGAGACGAGTCTCGCTCTGTCGCCCAGGCTGGAGTGCAGTGGCGGGATCTCTGCTCACTGCAAGCTCTGCCTCCTGGGTTAACGCCATTCTCCTGCCTCAGCCTCCCCAGCAGCTGAGACTACAGGCGACCGCCACTAAGCCCGGCTATTTTTTTTGTATTTTTAGTAGGGACGGGTTTTCACCGTGTTAGCCAGGATGGTCTCGATTTCCTGACCTCGTGATCCGTCGGTCTCGGTCTCCCAAAGTGCTGGGAGTACAGGCGTGAGCCACCGCGCCCGGCCGGCAATATTTCTGATTTTTAAAAAGTTCTTATGTATAACTCATGATATATTTACCTTTCTCTTTGCTCAAATATAACTTTTGGTATTAAAAAGTATTATGTACTTTTTAAACTATTAAATTAGCCCCAAGGAGTACAATAAGATCTTTCAAAATAATTTATAAAATGAAAACATTTCTGAATTTTAAATAATAAAAAGCGTATTCTTAAAATTACAGTAAAATTAAATAGAAAAAGACCATGGTTTATAAGTATAACATATGTTAGACTAATCATAAGAAACTATGTATTTAGCTTAAGCCTACCTTTGATTAGAGTGGAAAACTATTTTAAATTTAACCACAAGATGGTGCTGTCACAAAGCAATTTCAAAGATAAACCAATAATATAGTCTGCATTATTTGTACTTGGATTTCTTTCTAAGTCAAGCCTTTAAATTTTAAAATTCTCATTAGTAAGTGTCTTCTTCCAATTGTTCTTGTATTTCGAGATGTGTTTCAGGTCTGAGTTTTGGAATTTTTTCCCTCCCACCTGTTGTTGATTGACTACCCCTCAAAGGAGATCAATTAAATCTATTTTGTTGAAAACTGTATGAGATGTTGGCACAATTATCTTTCAAAAATAAGAAATAATATAATTCTATTTGTATTTTTGATTGTCATTTATTATTATTTTTTAATTTAACAGAAGAGATATTTCCTTCTCCTCTACCCACAGGGTCAGTTAGCATAACAGTCGCAGAGCAAGCATTCAGGAGAATAACAAGCTCAATAACAAGCTGAAAGAACATTTTCATTAATTTGGTCATTCCTTCTCTTGCCTCACCATCTGGGTCTCCATTTGCTGAAAGAGATGTCTAGCTTGCAGAGGCAGCAAACAATTAAGGACCTTTCCAAAAAACGCAGAAATTGAGATGAATTCTTAAGAAAGTGTTGTTCCCAGATGACTTGACATCCCTCACACTGCATTCTGTTGTCTGTGTCAAAAGAGCAAGAATATTTATTTAGTATTACTATATTATGAAGCTCAAACAATCCAGATTGTAATGCTGCAGCTTATCTGGAATCTAAGGATAATATTTGAAGGTCCTAGAGACCCTCAATGTGTCATTTAGAGGACAGCAATTTGAGGATTTGTTGAAGCAGATAATAAATTGTACTAGAAATTGCAGAGGATAATGGCCCAAAGATAAGAGATGAGACATTTCTATGCACTGTAAAGATTACTTTATTGCAACTTTAGAGAGAATACTGAAATTTCTCAGAGTGTTTATGAAAAATGATTCCTGCTGTATTTGTTAGCAGAGAGTATTATCAGGAGACTTCTAGACAAGGGGTGGGCAAACTTTTTATTGCACCTACTCTCCTATTGTAGGGAAAGCAGACATAGACAGTAGGTAAGTAAATGAGCATGACTGTTTTCACTAAAGTGTAGTTACAAAACTAGGCAGAATTAAATACCTGGGAATAAATTAAACAAAAGAAGTGCAAGGCTTGTACACTGAAAACTACAAAACATTGTTGAAAGAAATTAAAGAAGACCTAAATAAAAATGGAAAGCTATCCCTGGTCCATGGATTAGAAAACTTAATATTGTTAAGATGGCAGTACTCCCCAAAATAATCTATAGATTCAGTGCAATCCCTATCAATAGCCCAGCTGCTTTATTTTCAATAATAGACAAGCTAATTCTAAAATGTATGTGGAAATGTGAAGGACCAGAACAGCCAAAACATTTTTGAAAAGGAAGTTGGAGCACTCACAGTTCCCAATTTAAAACTTAATACAAAGCTACAGAATCAAGAGAGTGTGCTATTGATGTAAATACAGACATATCCAGTCCCTGGGAAGATAAAACTGAGCAAAACGGTCACTATTTCTAGAATTTAGAGAATATTTACATCTTTAATTCCAGATTAACATGAGAAAAATTCATTCCTTTACATAGATGATGATCACCAATGATGTACCAAGCACTTTGTGAAGCAGAGAGCTTAAAAAGGCAAAGTTTCTACTCTTAAAGAGTTCACAGTCTCTTGGGAAAAAGAGACGAAATTCAAGCTAACAAATTCATGATTTCAATGTATGAATTCTCTTTTAAAAGTATTATAGTTCAATAACCCTGACAATCTCCCAGGACAAACTACCTAGAAATGTTAGCTCAAGTATCACACACACACATGCATACATACACACACACACATACACACACACAAGACACACAACACAAATTATATTATTGTATTTCAGAAGAGAGTAGAATGGAAAACATTTTCCCGTATTTGGATTCAAATATTCCTGACATTTAAAGTTCAGTGAAACTTTGTATTTCAATGAAAAAGTAGTTTTAAAAATTAAGTTCATTTAATTTACATAATCTTGATTGAAACACTTATTCTTACACTTTGTTCAATTATAAAATTAGATTTTGATTAAATAATATTTAATCTAAAAAATGTTGCATTTATCTTCATTGTCTCATTGTATCATTTTCTCATTTATCATTTATCTCTTTACTGATTTAACAGATACCAAGCAACAACTGTGGGCCAATCACTGCTGCAGGTTCTGAGGACAAAATGTTAAATAAACATAACAAACATACAAACATAATATCTGCTATCGGGAAGTTTTAAAGTAACAGCATAAACAGATATTAACCAAATTCAATTAATACACAATTACACCTGAGACACAGGCTCTAACTGAAAGATACGTGTTGCTATGGAAAGTTACCCTTGACGATAAATAATGTCTTTGGGAAATGCCTTACGTATTTTTACACCTCATGCTTTGTATTTCCAACCTTTACTCAAACTGATACATCTTATACATTGCAACTAGATGAATTTTCTCATCAAACAGAAGTTTGGTAAGGTCAATCTTCTGTTCATTTTTAACTTCCTCCTAACCCCAAAAGAGAAGGAGTTCCCGTTAATATATTATAAATCTCCGTCAGTTGGACCCCAACCCATCTCTACTCCCATGTCTCTTATTATCTCTCATTCATGTTTATTTTTTCTTCAACAAGTGAGGATGTTTCATTTGCCATATAGGCTGTGGAGTTTAGTAGCCAATATATGACTTTGTTCATAATATTTTACTGACTTGAACATTCTTACAATTCATAGGTACAGATTTTAGTAAGTTTCTCAGACCATCTCAGGGTTAAAAAATGTTTGCACATCAGGCATATTTGGTGACTGCTGTTAATTAATGGATTGATTTTCTCTCACTCCTCTTGCATAGTAGATGTTGAAACTGATCTCCTGCATACAAAATCTAACAAACAACACTTTACTCAGCACATATATAAATTTAGAATATAAAAATTGACCGTTTTTCCAAAATAATAATATTTATTGAGTGCCTATTAAATGTACTAACATATATAAATCTCACAACGACCATATGAACTATAAGGCTTTAGGCCCATATCATGATGAAGAAACAGAAAAATCAAGTTAAATAACTTGCACATAAATAGCAACTTGGGGGCCAAAATATAAACCCAGGCAGCCTGATTTCAGAGCCCACACTCTTAATCACTTTACCATAATGCCAACTCAGTCCCATAAGTCAAAATCAAAATAAAATATAACTGTGGCACCTGCAAAGAAATGCAGTTAATTCTTACTCAGAAAAATCCTGTTAGAAAATACTTTTACTAATGGGAGAATTCAACTTTCTACACTGGAAATAGGTTTCTCCTTTTTTGCTTCCTAGCTGTTTCTTTGGACACATTTCTTAATTTATGTAGGGCTCAGTTTCTGTGTGTGAAAGATAGATAACAAAACCTACCTCATATGAGCATTCAGAGCCTTAACTAATAGAATAGATGTGAAAGTGTCAATTTAAAATGTCAATACTTTTGTGTAACAAAATGCCTCAGAATAGAATGGCTTGAAACAAAATGCATGTATTTTTGCTCCTTGCTGTTGGCCATCTGGGGGTCAGCTGATCTAGGTTGAGCATAGCTGGGCTTGACTCCAAGCTGCAGGTTAGAGCCCAGGATTGGCCTTGTTACTCTCATCCTTGTTGACACAGTGGCCTAGTTCGGGCATATTCTCCTTATCACAATAATATAAGAGCAAAAGAGAAAGTCCAACCGGTAAGCACGTCTCATGCTTTCACTTGCATTTTGTCTGCTTGCTTACATGCCATTGGCCAAAGTAAGTCATATAATTAAACATAAAGTCAAAGGTCAGGAAAATACACACTTCCTCTAGTGTGTGTATTTTGGAAGGAACTGCAAATGCACAAGATAAAGGGTATGGATAAAGGAAGGATAAAAATGGGGCCAAAATTCAATATCTGAAAGTAATTATTAATAATTTTAGGGAAATCTTTATCAAAAAAGGTATCCTGACCTTATTTACATACCTCATTCCATCCAAAGATTGAAATTCAGGAATGAGAAAACTGTCTTTGTATTTGAAGAAGTCCATCGCAAAAGCAAAAAGTAATATAACATTGTTATTTTTATAATTACTATGACATTATTACACATTATAAAGCAAAGTTTTATGAAAAAAATTCCTATAACCTGTATTCTCCTTTCATAGAGAATATTTCCTCAAAATCTAACTCGTGGAGTCTTTGCACCTTCAAGTCAAGCAAACTGTCATCAATAGAAACCAAAACAATAGCGATGTTATTACTTTTTTCCAGCTTTATTGAGGTAAAATTGACAAATAAAAATTAAATATAGTTAAGATATACAACATGATGTCTCAACTTATGTATACTTTGTGAAATAATTGCCACAATCAAGCTAATTAACATATCCATCACCTCACATAGTTATCTTTGTATGTCTGTGTGTGTGTGTGTATGTGGTCAGAAAATGTAAAATCTCCTCTCAGCATATTTCAAGTATACAATACATTATTACGAAATATAGTTGTCATCCATTGCGTTAGTTCCCTAGAACCTATTCATCTTGTAACTGAAAGTTTGTACCATCTGACCAACATCTTCCCGCTTCCCCCTCCCCTTGACGCCTGCTAACCACCCTTCTGGTCTTTGTTTCTATGAGTGGGACTATTTTAGATTTCTCATGTAAGCGAGAAAGAGATCATACTGCATTTGTCTTTCTGTGTCTGGCTTATTTCATTGAGTATAATGTTCTCTAGTTTCATCCATGTTTTTACAAATGGTAGTATTTACATATTTTTTAAGGCTGAATGATATTTTATTGTACATATACCACATAAGTCCACATATTGGCTAATGTGAATAATGCTGCAATAAGCATGGGAGTACAAATATCTCATTGTGATAAGGATTTTATTTCCCTCGGATATTTCCAGAAATGGGATTGTTAATAGTTCATACGATAATTCTACTTTTAATTTTTTGAGTAACTTCTATATGACTTTCCATGATGGCTGTACCAATTTACATTCCCACCAACAGTGTACAAGGGCTCCGATTTCTTCATATCCTCACCAATATTTGTTATTTTTGCATTTTTGAAAATTGTCATACTAACAAGCATAGTTGATATCTCATTTTTGTTTTGATTTGCATTTCCCTGATGATATGTGATATTGAGCGTCTTTTAAAATATCCATTTGCCATGGTATGTCTTTGGAAAAATATTCACTCAGGTTATTCAAGTCCTTTGCCTACTTTTAATTAGGTTTTGTTTTGTTTTGCTTTGCTTTGCTATTGAATTGTATAAATTCCTTATTTTTTTATAATAACCCCTTGTCAGATATATGCTTGCAAATATTTTCTTCCATTCCCTGATTTGCCTTCTCATTTGTTGTTTTCTCTACTGTGCAGAACATTTTTAATTTAATGCAGTTCCACTTGTTTATTTTTACTTTTATTCCCTGTAGTTTTGGTGTCATATCCAAAAAATTGTTGCCTAGAACAATGTTGCAGAGCTTTTATCAATGTTTTTCTCTGAGAGTTTTATGGTTTCAAGTATTATGTGTAAGTCTTCAATATATTTTGAGTTGATTTTTATGTATAGTGTAAGATAATGATCCAATTTAATATTTTGCATATGAATATCCAGTTTTCCCAACCCTATCAAAGAGACTATCGTTTACCTTTATTTCTGAGCCCTCTATGCCCTTCCATTGGTCTATGTGCTTGTTTTTACACCAGTATCGCACTATTTTGATTCTACTGGAAATATAAGGATTAAGTTATTAATAACTAAATTAAATTTCTGCTTTGCAATATAATTTGAAATCAGAAAATGTGATCCCCCAAGGTTTCTTCCTCTCACTTAAGATTGCTTCAGCTGTTCTGGAGCTTTTGTAGCTTCATATAAATTGTAGAATTGATTTTTCTATTCCTGTGAAAAACGCAATTTAAATTTTGATAGAGATTGTATTAAATACGTAGATCGCTTTGGGTAATATGGATATTTTGACAATATTTTTTCTATCTATGAATACAGTATATCTTTTCATTTATTTGTGTTTTTCTTAGTTTCTTTCATCTGTGCTTTATAGTTTTCAGTGTGTAGATCTTTCAACATTTTGGTAAAATTTATTTCTATATATTTTTGATATATTGTGACTGAGATTATTTTCTTAATTTCCTTTTCAGATAGTTATTTGTTATTATACAGAAACATAACTGAATTATGTATGTTGATTTTGTATCATATAGCTTTACTGAATGTATTAGTTCTAACAATTTTTTTATGAAGTCTTGGGAGTTTTCTATATAAGATCAAATTGTCAGCAAACAGAGATCATTTGACATCCTTTTCTAATTTGGGTGGCTTTTTTTTCCTGCCTAATTGCTCTGGTTAGGATTTCTAGTACTATGTTGAATATAAATGAGGAGACTGGGCATCCTGTCTTCTTCCTGATCATATGGAAGCTTTTCACAGTTAAATATATAATGGTAGGTGGGAGCCTGTGATATATGGTCTTCACTGTGTTGAGGTATATTCCTTCTGTACCTAAGTTGTTGAGAGTCTCTGACAGTTATTTTACTGGTCTTTGTATAATTAATGCTATGATAGATTTAGACAAGTTATTCTCTATTCAATAAATAGTGCTTGAAGTTCACATCTCCATTTCTTCTTTTTTCTTTGCTTTTAAATTTGATGAGAAAAATGGGTATAAAAGTTCAAATCAATACAGAGGTCTCAGTTATGTTTAAAATGTGTTACCAATGGTGACTATCATTTAGGCATTACTCTTTTGTCAGTATCCATATTAATAAGCTATAGCATTCTAAGTGATTATTTAAAAATACTAAACAATTTATATAGAATTTTACCCATCAAAACATTTTTATCAAAATAATAATAATATTTAGCTCTGGTCAGGGTGCTGTTATTGAGAGTGTAAGTTAGCATTACCTTGTTTGACGATTTATTTTAAAACTATTACAATGTTCAGAAACTTTGACACAGAATTCCTATAGACAACAACCTTTTTCTCTGCCTGAAAACAGAGCCACAGATAGAGCTTTAAGAGAACATGTCTTAGTTATGTGACAACCTATTGTTTCTAATACTAAAGCCCAGAAACGAAGACTTGCCCATCTGATCACAGACCGCCCTGAAGAACTGCAGGCCTTCCTACTAAGACAGAGCTTTCATTGATAAACTTAAGGCACAAAAGTACACTGGGGCACATGTTCTCTACAGGATTACAGGTCTCAAATGAAGAGGAGAAGGGCAGGGCTGAGATTTAAACATCTTCTTAGTTCCTGCTCCTAAATGTTTCATTCTGAGAGGCCAAGAATATTGCTCTAATAACTGTCTACCAGTTGGGAAGAATCAGGAGTAAGGAGTAGGTGTTCTAACATGTAACTACAATAAATCTTTAACTATAATCATAGATACAAACATGTAGATCCTAAAAGTACAAATCAAAATTTTAATTATAGTGTCATATAAAACAGAGGATCTAAATATTCCTCCTATATTCCACTTCATGGTACATTATATAGTATCTTAGAAATCATGAGGAATATAGGAAGGTGGGTTTAGAGTTCAGAGGCAATAACTTAAAAACTGATCATATGAAAATAGTTACATTTTGATGTATATAAATAATGAGATATTATGCAGCTCTGGAAATTATGTTTTGAAAAATTCTTAACAGCTTTGGTAGCTATCGCAGTATAATACTAAGTTTAAAAACTAAGACACAAAAGTGCTTATGCAGTGTAGTGTAATATTTAAAATACATACTACATTGAGATAGCCCTAAAAAGAAAAACACAAATGTATTAATAACAAATGTTTGGGTACTGGTATTGTGAATTATAATGCTCTCCTATAGTTTTATTTATATTCTAAAATTTCTAGAAGCATGTGTATGATTAATTGATAACAGCACAGCTTATTTAGATATGTTGTGTGCATTTACCTTATTCAAATGAAAACACTGTTGAAAATAAGCCTTACTGATGAAACATGCTCAGTTTCTTTTTTTTTAACATTTCCTCTTTGTGATTGTTAAAAGGAAAACTTCAGCTGAATTAAATTTAAAGGAGTTTAACTGAGCAATGAACAATTCATGAATCCAGCAGCCCCATAATCACAGCAGATTCAGAGAGACTCCAGGGGTGCCTCGTGGTCAGAACAAATTTATAGACTGAAAAAGTAAAGTGACATACAGAAACTGGAAGTGAGGTACAGAAACAGTTGGATTGATAACAGCTCGGAGTTTGCCTTATTTGAACATAGTTTGAACACTCAGCAGTGTATGACTGGTTGAAGTATGGTTGCTGAGATTGGCCAAGACTCAGCAATTGTTGCAGGCACATACTTCTAAGTTAGGTTTTCAATCTTGTCTACCTATTAAGTTAGGTTTCAGTTCATCCACAAGAACTCAAATATAGAAGTACGGCCATATTTAGTTTTTGTTAACATTTCCCCACTTTTGGTCATTTTCTTAATTTTGAGAGATTGACCAAAACTTTGGACATTGATGTCACTATCACCTTTGTAAATGTACATATTTGGTCTTGAAACCCACTGAAAAACAAAACAGTGGGTACTGCAAAGGTAGAAACAAGGAATAAGTAGAGGGTACCTCCTTGTGCTGGAATGTTCTGTTTACAGGAGAAAACAAAACCAAGTCTGTTCTAATCTAAAATCTACGTGTTTCTTTAAAGTCTTAGTTTGATTGTGAAAATTTCAAACTAAGACTTTAAAGAAACACCTACTCATCTGACAAAGGGCCAATATCCAGAATCTACAATGAACTCAAACAAATTTACAAGAAAAAAACAAACAACCCCATCAAAAAGTGGGCAAAGGATATGAACAGACACTTCTCAAAAGAAGACATTTATGCAGCCAAAAGACACATAAAAATGCTCATCATCACTGGCCATCAGAGAAATGCAAATCAAAACCACAATGAGATACCATCTCACACCAATTAGAATGGCAATCATTAAAAAGTCAGGAAACAACAGGTGCTAGAGAGGATGTGGAGAAATAGGAACACTTTTACACTGTTGGTGGGACTGTAAACTAGTTCAACCATTGTGGAAGTCAGTGCGGCGATTCCTCAGGGATCTAGAACTAGAAATACCATTTGACCCAGTCATCCCATTACTGGGTATATACCCAAAGGACTATAAATCATGCTGCTATAAAGACACATGCACACGTATGTTTATTGTGGCATTATCCACAATAGCAAAGACTTGGAACCAACCCAAATGTCCAACAATGATAGACTGGATTAAGAAAATGTGGAACATATACACCATGGAATACTATGCAGCCATAAAAAAGGATGAGTTCATGTCCTTTGTAGGGACATATATGAAATTGGAAATCATCATTCTCAGTAAACTATCGCAAGGACAAAAAACCAAACACCGCATGTTCTCACTCATAGATGGGAAGTGAACAATGAGAACACATGGACACAGGAAGGGGAATATCACACTCTGGGGACTGTTTTGGGATGGGGGGAGTGGGGAGGGATAGCATTAGGAGATATACCTAATGCTAAATGACGAGTTAATGGGTGCAGCACGCCAGCATGGCACATGTATACATATGTAACTAACCTGCGCATTGTGCACAAGTACCCTAAAACTTAAAGTATAATAATAAAAATAAATAAATAAATAAAATAAAATAAAATAAATGAAGTCTTAGTTTGATTATGTCACATTTAGCCTGAACAACTCCATTTTTGTTTTGTTTGGTTTGGTTTGTTGGGGCCTAGTGCGTGAGCTCAGTCCAAAACAATGGCCTCTAATAATTTCGTTTTAAAAATTTCCCACTTTTTGGCCAGGTTCTCACTTAGGTAAGAGTTTTACTAAAACTTAGGGCCTTAGCATCACTCTCAGTTACCATCATTTTGGGTTTCCGGTCTCAGCATGCCATTCATAGGTTACAGAGTCCCCATGGTCACACATTTCTTTCAGCTCTTATCATTCCAATTGAAGAGAGACCATTTGACATTCTAGAGATGGTTGCATGCAAACATTTATAACCCTTGAGAGAATGCAGCACAATAGGGAGACTAATTTTATGACTCTGTGGAGGATAATACCAAGAGGGTAGAGTATGCTTCTTACCCAGGGTCCCCATAAACCAAACCACCTACAATCAAATAGATCAAAGAATGAGCTAGATAAAGAGTCTATTCACTTAACTAAGCAGTCTCTTATCTATATTAGGCTCTCATCTTTTACCTATCAAAGTATAAGTTTATCCATGGTCATCCACGGATATACATTTGGTCATCTGATGGGTTGTTTAAACATTTTGTAAAGGGAGTTCACTCAAATGTTATTTCCAAAGCATGTTTTCTGGTTGTATAAAAGCTCTCCCATGGAGGAGGCCTGATATTATAACACTAAGTTATTATGCCACAGTGTATTTTCACCACTAAAGAAAGCTTTTTATGGTTCACAGAGATATGATTCACAGAGGATAATCAATCCCTTCACAATCTAGAAGCTTAGATTTTTTTCCCGGGAATATGGGACCAAATATTGGTTATAAACTACTTTAGCAATTTATGCCACCACACCAATATATTCAATTAGGATCATTTTATCTTTTCCATGATGAGTCATGGAATGCAGAACTTTTAATAATAAAAGCTTTATGTACTCAGGAAGGACAAGGTGGCCATCCTGGTTCTCCATGAGTCCATGTTTAATTAACATTAGACTTCTATACTCTTGAATATCAGTTGTTTCTCCAAATTTGGTGCATAGCACTGATAACTGATGGGTTATCATCGGTAATTTGACTTGGACAATGGAATTTTTATTTCATGGGAACCACAGGCAAAAGCCTTTCAATTTTGCAAGTTGCTGCCCATGGGGTTGCATGCGGGGGGTAACCCAATTAACATTTTTCATTCTGGCCAGAGCAAAATTCATGACATTAGCCACTCTGCTTAGCACCCAACGTTGAACTGGCAAAGGTCAAACTTGTCCTTGGTTGGGCCCTGCGATCTTTAATCCATTTTTAACCAAGAGGGACTTTATTGAGGGGAGGGCCTCTAACCCAATTCCATCTTTTATTCAGGTAAAATGTACCCCATTACCTATCCGAAGTCGGCCAATTGGTGCTGCAGTGTATTTCCTTTGGAGTAGGATAATAATTAAGCTGAAAGATTGGCAGCTTTAATTTTTGGGAGCCCTCATTTTTAAATGCACTTGAATGCATTGTTGTTTATTCAGAATGTTTCACCATAAGTTACTTTTAGTAAGATTTTGCCATTTCGGTAACACTTTGTTTTTTCCTGTGCCTAATGTATAAGCCAGAAGGGACTCAGTTTTTCAGATATGAAGAATCCCATTTTTACCTAATATTGGCTTTGCTTTCAGGTTCCCTTGATTAACCTGCCCAATGATTTTTCCTGCCTAAGTGCACAAGTAAAATGAAACAAAGGTGTAGAATACAAAAATCCCCACAAATTTTTTAAAGCCAAATTTTACACCCCTACAATATTACCATTTGCTACCAGTTTCTTTCTGACCCAGTCAGATGTAAGAGGCCTCTAACTGGATCCAAGCTGGTTAATTACTAAATCAAATCCATTCCTGGACCCAATCCAGTTTCTGTTGCAACTTCCAAACCCAGTTTGGATCAAAAATTTGCTCTAAGAAACTCAGAGAGCTCAAAACACAAATAGGTGGAGCCCCAAAATCTGAGAGAGAACTTACCCATGATCTCCAGGCACTCTGAGAGATCGGTGGACACAAGTGGGTTCTGCAGATACCTTGCTTGTTCACTCAGTACTCCCGGGGGTTGTCAGAAGCTCTACTTTGCACCCCACTTCTGACATCATCTGTTAAAAGAGAAACTTGGCTGAATTAATTTAAAGAAGTTAAATTGAGCAATGAATGATTCACGAATTGGGCAGCCCCTGAATCATAGCAGATTCAGAGAGATGCCAGGAGTGCCTTGTGGTCAAAAAAAGTAAAGTGATGTACAGAAATCAGAAGTGAGGTACAGTAACAGCTGGATTGGTTACAGGTCGGCATTGGCCTTATCTGAGCATAGTTTGAACACTCACAAGTGTATGACGGGTTGAAGGATGGCTGTTGGGATTGACCAAGACTCAGTGATTGCTACAGGAGCATACTCCTATATTCAATCCTCTCTACCTATTAAGTTAGGTTGCACTTCATCCACAAGGACTGGAATATAGAAGTACAGAATCCTTCCCAGGTCATATTTAGCTTTCTTTAACAGTGGATATTAGATCCACTGATATTGGATAATTTATCTTCACATCTTAAATTAACTTATGCATATCTAGCTTTACATTCTGTAAAAATCCAGTACAATAACTACATGAGTAAGAAAGCTTTTTATTGATCATTTTTACCGTAGGATATCTCAAGTTTTCACAAGCCTATTAGACACCACAGAGCATTTCTTTTTCAAATTTAAATTCTTGATCACACTTTAGATTATAAATTAAACCTCAGTAAATTCAAAATATATTTTTCTTACAGTGCATAACACTTACAATTTACAAATCTCTTTCACATACCAAGATCACTGAAGACAGAACAGAAACAGTCATTATAGGTTTCAAAAATAGGTATACTTATATGTATTCACAGATACACACATACACACATTTTACACAATATTCTAGGCAGAGGATACAATTATCATTAAAATACACAATAATTTCTGTCAATCTAATGGAAAAAGAGACATTAAACAAATGGGTACAATGTAATGACAGTCTGGGCAGCTATAACAAAATTCTGTAAACTGGGTGGTTTATAAACCAAAGAAATTTATTTCTCACAGTTCTGAAGCCTGAGAGGTTCAAGATCAAGCCACCAGCAGGTTACATATATGGTGAGGACCTGCTTTCTGCCTCATAGACGGTGCCTTTTCACTGTCTTCACATGATAGAAGGGACTAGCTAGTGTTCTGCAGTCTTTTACAAAGGCAGTAATCCCAATCAAGAGGTCTCCACTCTGATAACCTAGTCACCTCCCAAAGGCCTTACTTCCTAATATCATCACCTTATGAGTGAGAATTTCAACATATGATTTTCATGGGGAGGACACAAACATTCAGCCCATAGCAGTGGCTATATCATACAGATGGTGACAGTATAACTGGTATTGTGAGTAAGTATAATTGGTGTTGCATTGTAGATAAGGAGAATAAGAAGGGATTCTGAATAAGGGACATTGATGCTGAGACCTAATGTATTTAAACTTGGTAATCAACAGAGTGAAATTTTTATATATGTATTATTTCATTATAGAAGCAAATTTAATTGCCTTAGGAAAGAATGTGGAGTAAGGAGGATAGCAAGGACTGAATAGAAAGGAACGCTCCATGTAAGGCATAAAATGAAGGCATGGCAAGAGACATAGGGACCAAGTCAGGGAAGAAGGCATATGATGTTGTAGAAAACAAGAAGAGTCAAAATAATGCCAAAATCTATTCAGAGTTCATGTAAAATGAGAACTGAAAAGTTTCCAATTGGGATTATATTATCAGAAGAAGTTGGTAAAAATTATGAGAACATCACAACCTGCAGAATAACTTATGTTATGAAAACTCTGGGAAGACTTTATTGATGTCATTTCTAATGTAATCCTCATTACATTTCCTTAATTTTATTTCTATTTATTTAGAGGGTTTTTTTCCCCTTGAACTATTTCCCTTTAATTTTAATTCAGCTTTGCCATTGTTTTGAAAAAATATCTCTTCTTTAACATATATACTTTCATCTGGCATAAAATTGTTCTATTATATGGCTTTCACTGTCATCTTCTGAAAATTATCTTCAGAAATCCAGAAATCTACAATGTGCACATTATGAAAGGCACCCCTTTAAAGGCAGAACCATACATAGTAGCCCTGTGATAGAATGTTTTTCTTATGTAGCATGTGATTGATTCTATTGGACTCATATTGTTAAAGACACCTCTTTTATGGAAGTCTCCATCCACCTTCTACAATATGGTAAATCATTGACTTCTGTGATCATTAATACTGAATGTCAACTTGATTGGATTGAAGGATACAAAGTATTGGCCCTCACCAGTCAGCCACCTTCCCCAGCCACCCCTGCTATCGCCCACTGGGCCCATGAACAAAATGTCCATGGTGGCAGGGATGGAGGTTACGCATGGGCTCGGCAATATGGACTTCAACTCACCAAGGTTGATCTGGCTACGGCCACCACTGAGTTCCCAATTTGCCAGCAGCAGAGACCAACATTGAGCCCTTGATGTGGCACCATTACTCGGGGTGATCAGCCAGCTACCTGGTGGCAGGTTGACTATATTGGACCTCTTCCATCATGGAAAGGGAAGAGGTTTGTCCTCCCTGAATAGATAATTACTCCGGATATGGGTGTGCTTATCTTGCATGCAATGCTTCTGCCAAGACTGCCATCCATGGCACTCACTTTAGGGCTAAAGAAGTATGGCAGTGGGCTCATGCTCGTGGAATTCACTGGTCTTACCAGACATCCTGAAGTAGCTGGATTGATAGAACAGTGGAATGGCCTTTTGAAGTCACAATTCCAATGCCAACTAGTTGACACTACTTTCCAGGGCTGGGGCAAGTTCTCCAGAAGGTCGTGTATGCTCTGAATCAGCATCCAATATCTGGTACTGCTTCTCCCATAGCCAGGATTCATGGGTCCAGGAATCAATGGGTGGAAGTGGAAGTGGCACCACTCACCATCACCCCTAGTGACCCACTAGCAAAATTTTTGCTTTCTGTTCCCGCGACTTTCTACGCAACGTTCTTCTGGCATAGAGGTCTTAGTTCCAGAGGGAGGAATGCTGCCACCAGGAGACCCAACAACAATTCTATTTAACTGGAAGTTAAGATTGCCACCTGGACACTTTAGGCTCCTACTACCTTTAAGTCAACAGGCTAAGAAGGGAGTCACAGTATTGGCTGGGGTGATTGACCTAGACTACCAAGATGAAATCAGTCTTCTACTCCACAATGGAGGTAAGGAAGAGTATGCATGGAATACAAGAGATCCATTGATGCGTTTCTTAGTATTACCATGCCCTCTGATAAGGTCAATGGGAAACTACAACAGCCCAATCCAGGCAGGACTACAAATGACCTAGACCCTTCATGAATGAAGATCTGGGTCACTCCACCATTAAAAAAATCATGACTGGCTGAGGTGCTTGCTGAAGGCAAATGGAATACAGAATGGGTAACAGAAGAAGGTAGTCATCGATACCAACTACAACCACGTGACCAGCTGCAGATACGAGGATTGTAATTGTCATTAGTATTTCCTCCTTCTTTTGTTAAAAACATGTTTGTACATGTATACACTTGTACTAAGAAAATATCTTCATTTTTTTCTTTCTCTGTCATCATGTGACATATGATTTATTGACTTCACATCAACATTTAAGTATTGTTAACTTTATGTCACAGTATTTGGGTTGAAGATTGGTGCATTTCCAGTTGTACAAAGGATAGTTGTATTACGTTAGGCATAATTATGACCTTATTATTGTCTTCATTTGAAGATTATGTTTGATCTCAGGAGATGTGTGTGGGTTCATGTTGATAAGGGGTAGACTTGTGATGGTTAATACAGAGTGTCAACTTAATTGGATTGAAGGATACAAAGTATTGATCCTGGGTGTGTCTGTGAGGGTGGTGCCAAAGGAGATTAACATTTGAGTCAGTGGGCTGGGAAAGGTGGACCCACCCTTAATCTGGGTGGGCATAATCTAATCAGCTGACAGCATGGCTAGAATATAAGCAGGCAGAAAAATGTGAAAAGAAAGCCTGGCCTAGCTTCCCAGTGTACATCTTTCTCCCATGCTTGATGCTTCTTGCCCTCGAACATTGGACCCCATGTTCTTCAGTTTGGAAACTCAGACTGGCTCTCCTTGCTCCTCAGCCTGCGACGGCCTATTGTGGGACCTTGTGATTCTGGGAGTTCATACTTAATAAACTTAATAAACTTTCATTTATATATATGTCTATCCTATTAGTTCTGCCCCTCTAGAGAACCCTGGCTAATACACCCTCTAAGCCTGCTTGTCATCCTGGTGCTTCCTTCCATTGCTGTCTTTCTTTTACGTACACATAGTGAGAAGAAATCTCACATGAAAAGATGAAGGGGAGATATATTATCTGAGCACTCCTGCTTCTGAAGAATGACTTTATTCTACCATGAAGAGATTGATCATTTTATTTCATATAGAATCAAAATGGAAAACAGTTTCCTTTAGAACATTAAAGGCAGAACTTCATTGTCTTCTAGCACAGAGTGTGTTAAAGAGAAATCAGATACTAATATGAAATTCATGTCTTCTTAGATGACCTATTTTGTGTGTGTGTCTGGTTTTAGTGTCCTTTTGGGAACTTCTGGGTTGTTATTTTTATGACTGATGGCCCTACATCTTACTATGTGTCTAGGTGCGTATGGCAGCCATTAATTATACTCACCAAATAAGTAGTAGGAAAATATCTATTTGATCTTAATATCCTATATGTTCAATAAAAACCAAAGCCTTTTATTTTTTATATAAAGCATTGTTTTCAAAAATGCTTTTACTGAACAGTATTCTGGGAGATGTTAATAAGTATGCATGAAAATTGATTATAAAGGTAAATGAGGTTAGGAATATACTACATTTTTAATGCTATATCCCCTGGTTTGAGATTCCTGAACTGCATTAGAATTATAAAGCCCAGATAAACATAGATGCAAAAATCCTCAAAAAAATATTAGTAAACCAAATTCAACAAGATATTAAAAGAATCATTTACTGTAGTCAAGTGGGATTTATCCATGTGATGCAAGGATGGTTTAACATACTCAAATAAGTACTTGTGATATACCACATTAAGAAAATAAAAAAACATACAATTATCTAAACATTTTTAAAAAGCATTTGACAAAATTCAATATCCTTCATAATGAAAACTCTCAATAGATTAGGCATATAAGGTATGTACCTCAACAAAATAAAGGTCATATATGGCAAACTTGTAGCTAACACCATTTTCTATGGGAAAAAATTGAAAGCTTTTCTTCTAAGATCACGGAAAAGATAAGGATGCCCACTTTCACTATCTCTATTCAACATGGTACTGGAAGTCCTAGCCAGAGCAATTAAGCTAGAGGAAGAAATAAAAGATATCCCAGTAGAAGAGGAAGAAGTAAAATTGTCTCCATTTGCTAAAGACTCTGCCAAAAGCTATTAGAACTAATAACTCAATGAATTAAGTAAATGTGTTGGAATAATCGCAGCATACAAAAATTAGTATCATTTCTTTATACCCATAATAGACTTTTGGTGTTGCCAAAAGGAAATTGAGAAACAATTAAGAAAACAACCCCAAAATAACAGCAAGGAAAATAAGTACTTCGGTTTAAATTTAACCACGGAAGTGAAAGGCCTGTATATTGAAAACTGTACGACACTGATAAAAGAAAGTGAAAAAAACACAAATAAATAGAAAGGCATTTTATATTCATGTATTAGAAGAATTGATATTGTAAAAATGTCTATACAATACAAAGTGATCTACAGATTCAATGCAATCACTATCAAAATTCCAGTGTCATTTTTTACAAAATAGAAAGAAACAGTCTTTTAATGTGAATGGCACCACAAAAGACCCTGAATAGCAAAAACAATCTTGAACAAAAAGAACAAAACTGGCAGCATCATACTCCTTGTTTCAAAGCACATTATAAAGAGATTAATTAAAACCTAATAGTACTGGGATAAAACAGACACATAACCAATGAAAAAGGGTAGAAATCCCAGAAATAACCCACACATTCATGGTCAACTGATGTTTTACAAAGGTGCCAAGAACACATAATGGGGAACGGATGGTCTCCTCATTAAATGTGTCGGAAAAACTGGATAACCACATGCAAAAGAGTGTAATTAGATCCTAATCTCACACCACATACAACATTAAACTCAAAATGGATTAAATACTTAAAAGTGGAACCTGAAACCGTGAAACTACTAGAAGAGAACATAGGGGAAAAGCTCCATGACATTGGTCTGAACAACAATTTTGTTTTTGTTTTGTTTTGTTTTTGGATATGACCATGAAAGTGCAGGCAAAACAAAAACAAAAACAAACAAACAAAAAAACCCAGCTACATAGGATGGCATTAAACTAAAAATCTTCTGCACAGCAAAGGAAACAATAAAGTGAAAAGACAACCCATGGATTAGAAGAAAATATTTGCACACCATACATCTGATAAGGGGTCAGTATTCAAAATATATCAGAAACTCAACTCAGTAGCAAGAAAACAAATAAGTTGACTTTAAAATGGGCAAAGGACCTGAACAGACATTTCTCAAAGCAGACATACAAAAGGCCATGGGTACGTTAAAAAATGCTCAAAATCACTGATTATTAGGTAAATGTAAGTTAAAACCACAATGATACATTACCTCACACTTATTAGAATAGCTTTTATCAAAAAGATGAAAGATAGTGTTGATGAGGATGTGATGAAAAGGGTTCTTTTCATTGCTAGAGGGAATATAAATTAGTATAACTATTATAGAAAGTTGTATTTTTTTCCTAAAAAAATTAAAAATAGAACTACCATATTATCCAGCAATCACACTGCCTGCTGTGTATATATACAAAGGAATTGAATTCAGTATGTCAAAAAAATTCTGCTCTCCCATGTTCATTGCAGCATTATTCATAATAGCCAAGATATGAAATCAACCTAAGTGCTTATCAAAGGATGAATAAAGAAAATGTAGTATATATATATATATATATATACACACACATGGAATAATAGCCTTAAAAAAGGAGAAGTTCTTGTCATTTGAGATAACATGGATGAAAACTGGAGGACATTATGTTAAGTAAAATAAGCAAGGCACAGAAAGACAAATACTGCATGATCTCACTTAAATGTGGAATCTAAAATAGCTTAACTCATAGAAGTAGAGAGTAGAATGACGGGTACCAGAAGCTGGGGTGGTCATGTTGGGACCAAAGGAATGGGAGGTTGATCAAAAGATATAGTTTCAAATAGACAAGAAAAATAAGTTTTGAGATCTGTTGCACAGCAAGGTGACTACAGACAATAATAATTTACTGTATATTTCAAAAAACTAACAGTAAATTTCAAATATGTCATGACAAAAAATAAGTAAGTGAGGTGCTGTATATGTTAATTAGCTTGATTCAATCATTTCTCATTGTATGTTTGTCATATTGTACCCCATACCCCATAAATGTAAACAATAATGATTTATCATTTCTTTTTTCCTTCTTTGCTGAATTTCTCAAATTAAACAAGAGTACTTGCATGTTACAGTTGGCAAAAGCTGAATTTTTAACTTATAAGTGGATAATTTGTTCATTATCATTTGTCCTCCATCCATCTACCAGTCACAGGAATAAAAACTGAGTTCACCTCATTTACCATGACAGGGTATGAATTTTCTCAGCTCTGCGACAAGTCCCGTATGGAGCCTACGTCTAGGGCACACACCATTTGTTTAATTCTATGCTTCAGTTAGGCCAGAGGATTTTACTTACTTTCTCTGCAATGCCAGAGGCCTGTCTTTGCTCATCCCTGACCTAGCACCAAGGTTTATCCTGTTACAGATGATCCTGGAGGCTTGGCTTCTATCAGAGCTTCTCCAGAGAAAAATGGAACTCAGGGCCTCTCTTCTCACAGTTCCACAAATGGAAAGGAAGATCCTATTGCTCTGAACTTTACTCCTACCCCATACCTTAGTTTCAAGGGTATCAGAGAAACTCGTATTGATCTCTAGAATCTTTCCAATCCCAACCACTAGTTTTCCTCGACTAGGAGGAGGTTAAACAAATCATTTTTGTCTCACAACTGAATGGTTGAATATTATATTTCAAATTATCTGACAGAGTTACTCTTTATGGAGAGTAATCTCTAAAACACTGAGTATACTTTCTTCAGCTCCCAAAGTAGAAGGTGTGCAGGTAGATGTTAGGTATGGAAAAGGAGATCAAGCACGTCCTGTGCGTCACTCACACATATTATATTCTTACAAAGATTAGAAATCAGCAAAGCCACCTGATGTTTGCCTTTTTTAAAAAAATAAAAATTTAAAATTAAAATCAAAAGCAATCTTTATAAAATTGTAAATAAAATTGACTTGAGTGAGAGTAATCTTTAGTCTGAAAATTATTTGTATTTTCTCTATAAAATATTGTCTAAATATCTAATAAGGACATTTTTTTCAGATCTTATAAATTCTGCTTGCAAAATTCCATCCTTCATAATTTGTCCTGATTACATGTACTTTGTTATTATTTATTCTAATGAGAAAAAGTTTATTATCCTTAAAATTTCTTTACACTTTTTGAAGATTATTTTTGTCATGTCTATTCATTTCACTTGTTAAATAATAGAGGGCAAAGAACAGTAAGGTATAATCACAGTACGTTTAATTTTTTAAAACATTGTATGTTTAATTTTTTAAAAGAGAACTATTATGTTCATTAGCTTATTAAACTAGGTTAAGCATAAGTCATGTTACATTACTTAAGTCACGGGATAACATGATTTTTTGTTATTTTTTTCAACATAGAAATATGCAATTTAAATTTTATTTCAAGTAAACATTTATCTAGCTATGGACAAAATAATGAAAGAAGAGTTAAAGCAGGTTTCAGTTATGTTAAATGATTTTACTTAGCTGAAACAAAGATTTCTGTGACCTCTGATATAAGCTTTAGCATTGTAATGCTCAATCCAGTCTAAGTTTTCTTGTTCACTAGCAGATTATTAGGAATATATGTCTGTCTGTAATGTAAATTCCTACAAAAAGATATATTTTAATTATATTATTTTTAAAAATTAGTCACACCTTATACAAGGCAACTTACTGCTAGTGATATTTCCTTGAATAAACCAAATGACAAAAATGTGGCATTTATTCTGGTCAGTAAACAGAAATAACATAAACTTATGAAAACACAGCCTTTTGCTTTTCAGTTTTAGACCTAGTTGCAGTCAATAGCATTATAAATAATACAAACAGAATGTGCAGACGAAATTTTCAAGTTTTCTTAGTTTCAACTATAATAAAATAGCTAATATTTGACTATTTTGGATCTACTAAAATAGCATCTTCATATGGTTCAGTTTAATAAGTACAATAAAATGGCCACATGGTGAAAAGCTAAGCTAAAGGCACTGACTTAACAATAAAACTTGTGAATGGTTTTGTAAATGATCCTTTATCTCATACTTTTATTATGAGGAGGGTGAGTTTCAAAAAATAATTCAGAATGATGACCTCTGAGTGATGAGTTATAACTCAACTAAAGGACAGAGACATTGTTGTGGACCATTTCTCTCCGTAAAGGAAATAAACCCACACATATATGACAAACTGATTTCAATAAGAGTTCCAAGAATACACAATAGGGAAAGGATAGTCTTTCACAAAGAGTGATAGGAAAACAAGATACCCAAATACAAAAGAATGAAATTAGGCCTTTGTATTACACCATACACTCAAATCAACTCAAAAATGAATTAAAGAATTAAACCCAAGACTTAAGTCTATAAAACCCCTAAAAGTAAACATAGAGGAAAACCTTCATGACATTAGTTTAAGCAATAATTTCTTGGCTGTGACATGAAAAGCATAAGCCACAAAAGCAAAAACAGACAAGACTACATCAAACATAGAGCTTCTGCACAACAAACGAAACAATCAACTCTTCCTTTGCTATCCAATAGTTATCTTGGCTTGTTCTGTGAAAATGGACCTGAGTTGGGCCCTTTAAACACTGTTGCCAGCTGGCAACGTGAGGTTTATTTTTGTCAGTAGAGAGTTCTACTACAGCAACACCAGAGGCGGAAGAATTTGGTTTGCTTCAGTTTGATTATCTTTTTTCCGGGTTCTGTTGTGCTCCCCTTACTAGGCTGCTTTAGCATACAGTTTCTCTAACTGTGGATGCCCCAGTGTGTGGCTTCCCCAGTTTTCTGCTTCTGCAGTGAACAGCTCCTCCAGGAACAGGCTTCTTCAGCACCCAGTAGCTTCCTCAGACACCCACCTTGGGAAACTTTATAGAAGAGTTCCATCAGCAAAGTATCTCATATGAACAGCTTCTGAGGCTTCTCACATTTGACTTTGCAGCAAGTTGCAAAGCACAGCATCTCTCTGTAGTTAGCTTCCCCAGGTACCCCAGAGAGCAGATTTACAGCAACTTCTGACATTCCAGGCACCACAGCAACTTTTCTGCCATGTAGGAAGCCACGTTGCTTCACTCCCCAACAAGGCTCTAACTACCTTTTGGGGAGGATCTCTCCATTAGATCCCTTATCTTAACCCTACAAGTAATAGCTACTTATACCTATGAGTCTATATTCTTAACAGTTCTTTTTATATCTTATTAAAGAAATAAATCTTGTATTCTCCAATTTCTGTTATTATTAAATAATTTTCATACTAAAATTTTCTGTTCACACTATGGTATGGTTTCTCTCCCATGGTTGGACCCAGACTGATGCTGATACCCAGAATTGGTAGTGGAAGGTGTTCCCACAACTACAATTGCCAGGATTGGATTTTGCTGTTGGTTTAATCCTGCTCTTAAACTTGACTTTCTTGCCAAGTTGAAATGAGATGCTTGTAATCTATGGTATGCAGTATCATCATAATTAATCAAACTATTATCTGGATTGAGTGTGATAGAGTAAACTAAAGCACACTGCTTTGGGAGCTGGAATGGTTACTGTAATTAAGGTTCATCACAGTAATGATGACTATGATGCAAATGAGATTTTGAGCCCATTTTAAGCTTACGGAATAAAAATGACAAGCTCAGAATTTTTCAGAACCAGCTCAAGCCATGTTGTGAGAACTAGAGAGCTTCTGTGCAGGCTTAAGAGAATAGCTTAGTTTTTGTAGCTATTTGGCTAATGTTGCTGAGAATCAAACGTAAAATTTAGTTCTGCCTGGCTAAACTACAGCAACAGGTGAAGTCTTAGTCTCAGTGAGTCTCACTTGGGAACATTGGTCATTAGTTGGAAAAAGATGAATCCTGAAACATGTAATGGGGAAATCTCATTTAATCTAGATGAAACTGACGATTTTGTACTAAAATCACTCTGATTCCCCCTTACTAGTGGAAGTAGCATGCTGTCGTGAGTCTCAGGATCCTGCTCTTCCTTCAAATCATAGACTTTTAAAATTCTCTGATTAGCAGATATCTAGAAAGGTATGATGGCTAGTTTTTGTGTCAACTTGAAGGGTATTTTTAGATAAGATTTGTATTTTAGTGGATTCTCAGTAAAGCAGATTGCTCTTCATAGTGTGGGTAGGCCTAATCCAATCAGTTCAAAGATTGAACAAAAGACTGATCTCCCCTGAACATAAGGTAATTCTGCAGCACACAGCCATTGGACTTAAACTGCATGTGCACTTCTTCCTGGATCTCCAGCCTGCCCACCCAATCTGGAGATTTTGTACTCTTTCTACAGAAAGGTATAGATATAGGCATAGTTATTGATATTTATATATATCTTCTATTGGTTCCATTTCTCTGAAGAATGCTAATACAAAAGGGGACACTCAATTTCTTCAAGACCATCAGAGTTACTCCCTGTTTCCTCTTGACTTGACTAATGTCAAATCTCAGCATGCTCCAAGGAGATAAGTACAGTTGACCCTTGAACAACATGAGTTTGAACTGTGAGTCCACTCATATGAGAATTTTTTTCAATAAATATCTTGGAAACATTTTTAGAGATTTGCAACAATTTGAAAATACTCATAGATGAACTGTATAACCTATAAATATCAAAAACAATTCAGAAAAACTTAGGTATGGCATAAATAAAAATATATGTAGATGCTAGTTTATTTTGTCATTTACTACCATAAAATATACACAAGTCTATTATAAAAAGTTGAAATTTATCAAAACTTACACTAAAATATACAGACCATACATGGCGCCATTTACAACTGAGAGAAACCTAAAGATGCAGTATTCAATCATAACTACATCTGTAGTAATTTCATAGCCAACTCCTATTGCTATTGTGGTGGGCTCAAATGTTGTGGGTACAGGCTTAAAGTGTCATGTGACAATGATCAACTCCTCATGAGTAGTTTGCCTCTCCAAGTAAATTGTGTATCTCGGTAAAAAGTAATCTTTCCTTGTTCTTGTGCATTTTTCATCATGCTTACTATAATACTGTAAACCTTGAGTGACACCATGAGACCCATATGAAATGCCACTTGTGATGCTGGAAGTGCTCCCAAGAAGCAGAGAAAAGTCATGACATTAGAAGAAAAAAGTTGAAATGCTTGATATGTACTACAGATTGAGGTCTACAGCTGCAGTTTCCCGCCATTTCAAGATAAATGAATCCAGCCTAAGGACCATTGTAAAAGAAGAAAAGGGAATTCACAAAGCCATCACTGCAGCTACTCCAGCAGGAACAAAGTCCTTACACTTTTTGCAAAATATCCTCTTATCTCGTATTGAAAATGCAGCTTTTTTTGTGAGGGAATAAGTCAGATATGCATATTGACTTTTAAAGTCATCACTTAAAAGGATAGAAATATTGTATATAGTTTTCAAGATAGTATAAGCAAGCAATAAATGCCAGAAAGGAGGAAATAAAAAGTCATAGAAAAAACAAGGTTAATAGCATTAAATAATATAGTAAAAATAAATTTAGGTATATTAGTAATCACAATAAATGCAAATGGAGAAAATACATGGGTTAAACTTAGGGATTATAATGAATAACAGAAGAAAATTAAGTATATGCTTTTTACCATAAATACCACTAAATATAAGGTTTAATTTAAGTATTAGCCAAAGAAAGCTAGAGTAGCTGGATTTATAACAAACAAAATGAATCTTGAGATGTTTTAGGAGTTAGAATACTCTCCTTTAGTCAGAATTGCTATTCTTGTTTAGATTTCTACTTGTTCCAGGAGTTAGAAATTTGTAAATAGAATAAAACCTTGGTCAGTTGGGGAAATGTAGCAAAAGAAACTATGTAGTAGAAATTTCTTTTTATTATTATTATTATACTTTAAGTTCTGGGATACGTGTGCAGAACGTGCAGGCTTGTTACAGAGGTGTACACGTGTCATGGTGGTTTGCTGCACCCATCAACCTATCATCTACATTAGGTATTTTTCCTAATGAAAACTCAGCTTTTATTTGATTGCAGGATTGCTACAAGCCCTCAGGTTTATGATCAGGACTGCCCCCATCCCCCCAAGCCCCAAAGGGAAAAGATAAACATCAGTTGTCAATCTTTTGGTTCTGCAATAAGAATGTCTGAAAAACAAGAACCCTTTTTGGCATTGATTCTGTTGATGCTTAGCCCCTGAAGACAAGATGTATCTTGCCAGTGAGGGACTAATTTTAAAGTTATTTTCATATTGAAAAATGCCCCTGACCACCCAGAATCCCAGGAATTCAACACTAAAGGAATCAAAGTGGTTTACTTGCCCCCAAACACAGTATCTCTAATTGAACCTCTAGATCAGGGAGTCATAAGGATTTTTAAGGCTCACTACACACAGTACTCTATGAAAAAGATTGTCAATGCTATGGAACATAATTCCGATAGAGGGAATGGAACGGTTACACCATTGAAAATGTCATTGTTATAGAGAATGCCACAAATGCCATCAAGCCCAAAACAATACATTCCTGCTGGAGTAAACTGTGTTCAAATGCTGTGCATGGCTTCCCGTATTTATGACAAAGCCAATTAAGGATAGTATAAAAGACACTGTGGATATGGCAAAAAAAAAAAAAAAAAAAAAAAAAGATCAGGGGTGAAGGGTTTTAAGATACAAATCTTGGAGAAAGTAGAGAGTTAATAGAGACCAGAGTGGCAGAATTAACAGAAGACAACTTGATGAAGATGGGTGCATCTGAGCCAGTGCCAGATGATCAGAAAAAAGAGACAGAAGAAGCAGTGCTAGAAAATCAATTGCCAGACAATCTGGCAGAAGGATTCGAAGTATTAAAGATTGCTTTTGACTTCTTTTATGACATGGACCCATCTGTGATATGGGCACTGAAACTAAAGCAAATGGTGGAAGGATTGGTACTGTATAGAAAGATTGCTAGAGAAATGAAAAACCAAAAAATGTCAGACAGAAATTACCATGTACTTCTATAAAGTCATACCAAGTGTGCCTGCCTCTCCTGCTCATATTTACACCTCCTCCATCTCTTCTGTCTCTCTACTCCTGAGCCCTCTCTTCCTTCTCCTCCTCAGCCTACTCAATGTGAAAACTATGAGGATGAAGACCTTTATGATGATCCACTTCCACTTAATGAACAGTTAATATATTTTCTCTTTCTTATAATTTTCTTAATATAATTTCCTTTTCTCTAGCTTACTTTATTGTAAGAATACAGTATAATAACACATGTAACATATAAAATATGTGTTAAGCGACTGTTTATGTTATCAGCAAGGCTTCTGATCAACAGTAGGCTACTAGTAGTTAAATTTTGGAAGAGTCAAAAGTTATAAGTGGATTTTCAACTAAGGGAGGGTGAAAGGAGCTGGGTAAAGATCCCTAACCCTGAATTGTTCAAGGGTGAACTTTTTACACTAGACTTCTGAAGAAAGGAGCTTAGAAACAAGAAGAATTGCAGGATTTTGCTAATATATATTAGCAATATATATTAGCTAATATATATTAGAAACCTGGGGAACATGTGTAGTAGTAATTCTAAGGAAATTAACCAAGGAGAGTAGGATACAGCAGGTCCTTAAATAATGCCATTTCATTCAATGTCATTTTATTATGTAAATGAGAAAAAATTGATTACCACCTGAGGGCCACTGTTGTGTTGAATGTGAATGTTCTTCCTACATCTGTACGGGTTTTCTCCCAGTATTCCAGGTTTATCTCACTTCCCACAGATGTGCACATTAGGTGAATTTGTGTGTCTAAATAGTCTCAGTCTAAGTGAGTATAGATATATGTGTGAATATGTCCCTCAATGGATGGCATTCTGTCCAGAGTTGGTTCTCACCTTGGGCCCTGAACTGCTGGGATAGGCTCTGACCATCCATGACCCTGAACTGGAATAAATGAGTTGGAAAATAAATAAATGAATGAATATAAATAATTGTAAAATAAAAATTCATAAGGTATACAGTAATCATACAGATGCACAACAATGAACAATTCTGTAGGAAAGTGCTCAGTGAGCCCACCATATGTTTCATTGTCTTTTTTTAAACTCTGTGGTGGTAGGAGGTGCTCTTTACAATTTTCACTTTGCAAACATTTATTTCTTTACTTAACCCACCATCGTTATGACCACTGTCACTCACTGACTCACCAAAAATTGGGTAAGTATTCTTACTTGTTTTATTAACATTTCTTTAATGAATGTATAGCTCACATTTGTTTCAATGTTTAAAATTACAAGTATTTTGGTCTTTATTTAGATTTCCACGATGAAAGATGAGAGTAAATGAGTAGGCCAGGTGAGGTGGCTCACGCTTGTAATCCCAGCACTTTGGGAGGCCGAGGCGAGCAGATCATGAGTTCAGGAGATCGAGACCATCCTAGGTAATATGGTGAAACCCCGTCTCTACCAAAAATATAAAAAATTAGCCGGGCGTGGTGGCTCATGCCTGTAGTCCCAGCTACTCGGGAGGCTGAGGCAGGAGAATGGCATGAACCTGGGAGGCGGAGCTTGCAGTGAGCAGAGATAGCGCCACTGCACTCCAGCCTGGGTGACAGTGACAGTGTGAGACTCCGTCTCAAAAAAAAAAAAAAAAAAAAAAAAGAGTAAACGAGTAATCAGACTAACTACTATGATACAGATAACTCACACGGGGTCAGGGAATGAGCTAACAATACATGTGACGTCATCCAGAAAGCTCTACACACCAAACTGATAGCTGCTAGGATTAGGAAATTTACAGGGGGCATCATACATTCATACAAATACTGTTTATGTAAACTTTCAGCTTTGATAAATGTTATTTAAAATTCTTAAATTGATTGTTATAATAAATAATGCATAACCACAAAAATTTTTCTTTCCTTCTTTCTTGTTTTCTTGCTTTCTTTCTTTCTCTTTCTTTTTTTTTTTTTTTTTTTTGAGACAAGATCTCTGTCCGTCCCCCAGGCTGGAGTGCAGTGGCGAGACCTCACGGGTTCAAGCAATTCTCATGCCTCAGCCTCCCAAGTAGCTGGGACTACTGGCACATGCCACCAGGTCTGGCTAATTTTTACATTTTTAGTAGAGATGGGATTTTACCACGTTGGGCAGGCTTGTCTTGAACTCTTGGTTTCAAGTGATCCACCAGCCTTGGCCTCACAAAGTGCTGGGATTACAGGCATGAGCCACTGCGCCTGACCATAAAAATCTTATAACATAACATTTATCATATTCACGGCACAAGACAAGGGATGTTTTGCTCTTCAATATACAATACTAAAGAGTAGCCAGATTTTAAATTTAGAGAAAATTGACTTTTGGTGCTTATTAATGAAGAAATAATCATATTATAAAGTCATGAAGTTTTGACTGCCGTCTCTTTGAAGTCTCACAATTGACCACTGAAATCTCAATATTTTAAAAATCTGAACTTTGTGTTCTTCTAGTGTCTTTGCATGTTAGACTTAATGACTGTGATATGAGTTTACAGTATTTAGAAATTTCTGGGTATATACCCAAAGGACTATAAATCATGCTGCTATAAAGACACATGCACACGTATGTTTATTGTGGCATTATTCACAATAGCAAAGACTTGGAATCAACCCAAATATCCAACAATGATAGACTGGATTAAGAAAATGTGTCACATATACACCATGGAATACTATGCAGCCATAAAAAATGATGAGTTCATGTCCTTTGTAGGGACATGGATGAAATTGGAAATCATCGTTCTCAGTAAACTATCGCAAGAACAAAAAACCAAACACCGCATATTCTCACTCATAGGTGGGAATTGAACAATGAGAACACATGGACACAGGAAGGGGAACATCACACTCTGGGGACTGTGGTGGGGTGGGGGGAGCGGGGAGGGATAGCATTGGCAGATATACCTAATGCTAGATGACGAGTTAGTGGGTGCAGTGCACCAGCATGGCGCATGTATACATATGTAACTAACCTGCACGTTGTGCACATGTACCCTAAAACTTTATTAAATATAATAATAATAATAATAAAGAAAAAGAAAATTTCTGAAAAGACGCTTTTTTTCCCCTGAGATTTGTCCCAGTGAAAACAACTAAACCCTAATCTATGCCTTGTTATATGACTGATAATTTCGGTCAATAAGTAACAAATGACATTGTACAGGTGTGTGAAACAAGATGGGCAGCATTGCTCTACCCATTTATAAATGATGTGTTAATAATCACATGGGCAGCTCTGGAGGCCACATATGAAGAAAGATACAATAAATTTTGGAGAAGTCCAGAGATGGCAGTTGTTAAGTACTGAATATTTGTGTCTCCCCAAAGTTTATACATTGCAATCCTAATTTCCAATGAGACAGTATCTGAGGTAGAGGCTTTGGGATATAATTAGAGTTAGATGAGGCAATAAGGGTAAGGACCTCATGATGAGATTAGCACCCTTTTAAGAGCAGAAGAGCTTGCTTTCTCTCTACCATATGAAGATACAGGGAGAAGGCAGCCAGACTTGTATTCTCACATAGTAGAGAGAAAGGGCAAGTTCTCACGAGAAATTGAATCACTCAGAACATTAATCTTGTACTTCCAAGCCCGCAGAACTGTAAGACACAAATTTCTGTTTATGCCACGCTATCTGTGGTATTTTGTTATGGCAACCAAAGCAAACTAATGCAGAAGGATATAATTGGACCTTGCTTTTTATGGGTTGAGCCACTCTATGTATTTTGCTAAGAGGCTTAATCTATTCACATTCAAGGTAATTATTGATAGGCAAGCACTTACTTTTGCCATTTTATTAATTGATTTCTGGCTGTTTTGTGCTCTTCATCTCTTGCTGTCTTCCTTTGTGATTTGATGATTTTCTGTAGCAGCATGTTTTGATTCCTGTCCCATTATCTTATGTGTATCTACTATAAGCTTTTGCTTTGTGATTACCATAAGGTAATAAAGCCTCCTGTAGTTAGTCTATTTTAAGCTAACAATATAATTTTAATCACATAGAAAGTTATGCACTTTTATTCTATTTCCCTCATATTTTATGTTTTTAATGTCACAATTTACATTTTTATATTGTATATTCACTAACAGTTATTTTTAATATTTTGTCTTTTAACTTTTAATTACAGTTAAAAGTGATTTACACACTGCCATTACAGTATCAGAGTGTTCAGTATTTGACTATATATTTGCTTTACCAGTGAGCTTTATTTTCTCATATGTTTTCATGTTAGTAATTGCATCCTTTTGCTTCAGCTTGAAGCGCCCCCTTTAGCATGTCTTGTAAGGAGGTGCAGTGGTGATGAACTTCCTCAACTTTTGTTTGCCTGGGAAATTTTTATCTTCAGTTCTGAAGGACAGATTTGCCAGATAAAGTATTTTCGCTTGCTAGTCTTCTTCCCCTTCCTCTTCCCCTTCCCCTTACTCCTCATCCTCCTCCTCTTCCTCTTCTACTTCTTCTTCTCTTCTACTTCTTCTTCTTTGAATATACCATCCTATTCTTTCCTGACCTACCATATTTTTTTTCCATAAAATCAGTTGACAGTCTCTTGGAGGTCCCCTTTTCTGTGAGGAATCTCTTTTCTCATGCTGCTTTCACTATTTTTTTTCTTTGTCTTTGATTTCTGGCAATTTGATGTCGACAGCTGTTGATGAACTCTTTTTTGGATTCAACATTATTGGAGACTTTTTAGGATCATGTACCTGGGTGTCTGTATGTATCCCCATAATTGGGGAGATTTATCCATTATTTCTTTAAGTAAGTTTTCTGCTCCTTTTTCTTTTTTCCTTCTACAGATCTATTATGTGAAAATTAGTTCTCTTGACAGTGTCCCATATATCCCATAGACTTTCTTCATTTTTTTCTCTCCTCTTACTAGATATTTTCTAATGACTTGTTTTCAAGTTCACATATTCCTTCTCACATTTGCTGCAGATTTTACATATATATATATATAGATAGATAGATAGATAGATAGATAGATAGATAAATAGATAGTATTTTTTTATTTAGCTCATTGTCTTCTTCAGCTTCAGAGTTTGTTTTCTTTTTAAAATTTTTTATTTCTTCATTGAACTTCTTATTTTCCTTATACAGTTGACTCTTGAACAACACAAGTTTGAACTGTATAGGTCCACTTATACACAGATTTAAAATAAATACAGAGGACTCTTCCTATCCATGGATTCTGACTCCACAACAAATAGTGAATTAAAAATACAGCATTTGTGGGATGCAAAACCGATGTGTATGGAGTGCTGACTTTTCATATTCCTGAGTTTCACAGGACAAATTGCAGAACATGAGTATGCACAGATTTTTGCATCCACAAGGAGTCCTGGAACCAGTTTCCCATTGATACCAAGGGGTCTCTCTTCATATTGTTTTCTGATATTTTTGATCTTTTAAACCTATATTCTTTTGTAGTTCAACTGAGCTTTTCAACAACAATTATTTTGATTTTGTTTGTCGGAAAATTTCTATTTCTTTGGAGTCAGTTACTAGAAATTTATTTTCTTCCTTATTATTTGGTATTGTCATTTTTTTCTTGTTGTTGGTGTACCTGTTGGTGGTGGAGTGCGTATGTGTGTGTGTGTGTGTGTGTGTGTTTCCTGTTGCCTTAAATTAATGTCTATGTAATGGACAATCACCTCTTCTGGACTTTATCAACTAGTTTTAGTGGAGAAAGACCTTCACCTATGTGTGAATGTAAGGGCTCTCTCTGGCTGTGTAGGGTGAGATGGTTCCAGCTCTGGTGAGAGCACTGCCTCTATGAAGCTCTGTCAGCTGAGGCCAGCATTAGTTAAGATTGCAGGGGCCCTCAGCAGCTAGCGTTATGGATGTCTATAAACATAGTAAAGGCTATTGAGGTTTTTTTGGTGAAGCCTGCTGGTGTCCTCCTGTTCTATTTTTTTTTTCTTTTCTTATGGGAGAGAGAATCTCCCTTGGCATCAGGTCCAGGTCATGTACATGCTCTTGGTGATAGTATGCATGTTCGATGCATGATGCCTGTGGTGTGGCCATGGAGCTGGAGTGCAGAGCTCAAGTACACACCAAGCTACAGCACCCCTGGAATCTGGATGGAGGCTAGCTTGTTGTAGGGGTGGCTCCAATTACCAAGGTGCAGGTGATCACAAAGTGCTGTGTAATTAGGATCTGGAGTGCAGGGCAGTATGGAGCAGAGTGGCTCTAAGGTTCAGGGACTACACAGGATTGGGGAGAGTGGTGATCCCAGTGGCAATAAATTTTTATAACTCTTTATTGCCTAAGTATCCATTTTGACTACAAGTTTAACTTTCTCATACCAGAAGTAGAGTTCTGGCACCATTTACAAGAGTCCAGTTCTACATCTCACCCAAATGACTCAAGTCAGTTGCCAGAGATAAGAAGTTAGAGTCATCTCTCCTGCCTAGCAGATTGGGCTCCTTGCTTTCCCACTGCTATCCTTTAAATGAACCATTCAGCTATTTGCCTTTTAACTTAAAGTGACTCACATCCTGTTTCTTTATTTGTACTGCTAGTTGCCACATGCATCTCCCTTTCTCTGCCAAACTCTTCCTTGATGACACACAAGATCCGAGGATGAATGATTGCCCTCTTGAACTCATTACACTTTCCTTGCCTAGAATCTGTAAGTAAAAATCTTTGGATTTATTTTCTGTTCTGGTAGTTACAGAATTTGCACCTTCCATCTGAAGAATTAGAGGCTTCCTCAGGCCCCACTTTCCCTGGGATGCCAGGGAGAACATGAGATCAAGCTCCCAGCTGCAGCATAGAGCAATGGTCAGACAGTCATAACTGGTCAGGAAACAGACTCAAGGAAGTCTTCCAGTATAAACAAGTTTCACATGTGAGAGACCCCTATCTGTGGGTGGGACAACTAGCCATTAGGCTGTCTGCCAGGTAAAAGTAGTGTCATGTGAAAATCACACCATAAAACACCCATATCCAGCTTCCCTTTATTTCCCATTAGAACAGGGTTATTAGCCTCTTTAGTACTGGAACCCCAATGTAGCTGGGGCTTTAATAACACTGATCTCTGAGTGGCACAACAGTAGCTTCTTCTTATGGGTAGGGATACCAGCAGCATCTCCCTCTCCAAGGAGGTTTGTTTCTATGATGGCTGTTGGTTAGCTCAGTGGCAAAAACTGCCAGTATCCTCTGCAGAGCCGGCTGCTGGGGTCCATGCCAATAAACACTAATGGCACCTTTGCTGTGAAGGCTATGGTGAATCGGCAGATGCCATATGGGCTGTTGTAACCCTCAGTGGCAAAGTCTGCCAAGGTGCTCTGCAGAGAAGGCCACTGGGAACCATGTTGGCACTCACCATGTGGCTGGTACTGATATCCATGCCATTTTTGTTGTTGTTGTTGTTCAAGCTCCCAGCTGCGGCATACAGCAATGGTCACACAGTTGTAATTGGTCAGAAATCAGATACAAGGGAGTCTTCTAGTATAAACAAGCTTCCCATGTGAGGGACACTGGTTGTGGGTTGAAAAACTAGCCATTAGGAGGTTCCTCGTCATCTCCAGGAGTCTCAAGTATGCTGATCTTCTCAGTGTTCCTTTGTGTACAGATTTTGTCCATGTTTCCTTGTTCCATGGTGATGCTGAAGGTTTTTAATTGGATTATTTTGCCCTCTTAGTATTTCATTCATTGATATCTGTCTAATTAATTGTTACTTTGCAGGGGGACAGAATGAAGGCTCTGTCTTCTACTCCATCATCTTGTTGGCATCACTCCTGGAAAAGGTACATTAAAAAATAAGTTGAAATATATAGAATTGTGTAATTACTTAGCTATAGAGTTGTATGAAAACATAAATAGTTTTCCAAAAGTGTTTAGATAAATTCAGTGCAATTATAACTACAAGTGCATGTTAAAGGAATCAAGGAGCATTTCTAGTTTTTGAGATTAATTTTATGAAAGCAAATATATCATTTTGGTATATCAGCCAGCTTCTTAGTAACTAGAGATTTCTTTGGCCACATAACATGACTTCTGTATTCTTGTAAGTTTAAAGTATCTAAAAAAAGTAAAATTATTTATAAAAATTTCAATAACCTTCTAACTTTAACACTTGCATCCCTCCAGCCTTTTTAACACTTGCCTCCCTCCAGTCTATTCTCTACTCAATATCTAAAGTAACCTTACAAAAGTAGAAATCAGATGATCGTATCCGTCTTCTACTGAAAACACATCAGTGAATTCTAATCACCTACATTTAGAAAAAAATTGAAACTCTTCATCATCTCCTTCCTGCTTATTTGTGTAACAGATATATGGGGAAATTGTTTAATAGGAACAATGGGTCCACTAGTAAGTTATATAGGGGCTGCAACATTTCAGATAAGTTATTTGTTTGCAGGAAAAGAACACACATACACATACACACACAAACACACATGTGTGCACAAATTCACATATACCCTCTCTGTAAGCTACAGTAAGTTCCCAATTTAGTTAGCAAGGATGTATAAACCTAGCAGTGGAAAGCTGGCCACACAAATCAGGAGCAGATATTGACTATCTGAATACATCTCTTGTTTTCAGAGACCTTGAAAGGGGAAGGTTAATGATGGATCAGTAACTGGGACTCATTTGTGTCTTGGAATATTGTCCATAAGATAGCAATATATAGGAATATTGTCCGTAAGATAGCTATTGCCTTTTATTTGGAAAGAAAATGGGCTAGTTTTAAGTCACAATATGAATTTTTTTCTCTCTTCACCACATTTTTAATTAAATGCCTTGTTGCTCAATAATTCTTTCATTTGGTTTTTCAAAATAAATTGTAAATAATCAAAAATTTTAATACTGAAAAAACCATCCCCACATTAAAACACTTATTCAAATATTAGAATCTCTTCCCAAAGTTGTTTTTATTCCTTTTATCCATAAAGATGGGATACAATGAAGTGCTTAGATGTACTATGTTATTTCTTCAATGCCTAGAGCCTGTGCTTTCCACCGCTGAAGCTGATATAGCTCTTTCAGCAACTTCCAAAGATAGAAACTGTTCAAACATTCCTTGGAAGAAGCAATGGTACACATGAAAGTAACACAAGCTAGTTCTACATCTATCTAATATATAATCAACATTATAACTAAATTAACATACATTAAACAGAAGGAATGCCTCACTTTGCTATTGTCAGTCATGAAGCATACCTAAGAATCCACACTATCCTCTCTACCATGGGGAGAAGACACAGTGTAGACAAAAATCCTGGTTTCAGCTTCACTGGAATGAAAGCTAGTGCAAGCTCACTATCAAGATTTACTACAAGTGAATATGACTCGAGTGGAAGAAATTTTCCATCAAAATGTCAGTTATGGTTTTATGATGTTTATATATTTGGGAGAAACTCACTCATACATGCCTTTTTTTTTTTTTTTTGAGACGGTGTTTTGCTCTTGTCACCTAGGCCGGAGTGCAGTGGCGCGACCTCGGCTCGCTGCAAACTCCGCCTCCAGGGTTCAAGTGATTCCCCTGCTTCACTCAGCCTCTGGAGTAGCTGGGAGTATAGGCGCCTGCCACAACACCTGGCTAATATTTTTGTATTTTTAGTAGAGATGGGGTTTCACCATGTTGGCCAGGCTGGTCTCGAGCTCCTGACCTCAAGTGATCCACCCGCCTCGGTCACCCAAAGTGCTGGGATTACAGGAGTGAGCCACTGCATATGGCCATACGTTATTTTTAGTAGAGACTATTTGAAATACTCTTTCTTATGGAAAAAATAGTTTTATAATATATTTCCTCAAAGTTCCTACTTCTTTTTTTAGTATCTACCCAATATATTTAAAACGTCTTAGTTTCACTTCTTTTTTGAATCTTTCTTACCAGATATTCCAGTGCAAAGTTGAGTGTGGATCATCTTTAGGGATGTAATCTCGACTTCCCTTCGGAGAAAAGGAGAAATACCACATTTGTTGGAAGCCAGTCTCCAAGAAAGGTTATTGACTTTGCGTTACCCACAATCCCAATTTTCCACTTAAATCCCTGTATTTAGAATTCTCAGGCTATCTAGAGCTGTAGTTGTTCTAGAAATTCTCACATACATGGCACATATCTACCTCTTTCCTAAGTTTGCCCTAGCTGAAGGATCACACTCAATAGATTCCTGAAGATAAACTTCTGGTAATTGATACCATTGTTGGTATACTTAGGATGATAGCAAGGATCAATATTTCTTCAGTAATATAAACCTATTAGCTTTCCTTCCTTTAGTACATTCACTTTCCAATCCCTGAATAACTATTTCAGTTACAGCATATGCTTTCTTTTCCATGTTGTCTTTACATGTCTCCTTGGTAAATTCCTCTAATGTTTCATTTTGTCTCAAAAAGACAAAAAAAAAAGATCCTAACTACTTTTATGCAGTACCTGTGGACAAGGTAAAATAAAGAAATAAATAATCCTGCATTTCTGTAGGGTCAAAACTAGTTTTTACATTGGTTATGCATTTCCACCGTTCTACTTATTAACTGCAAGATTAGTATCTGTATTTTATAAATTTCATATATTCTTTTTCTAATTTTCATTAATATATTTCTGCTAATATATTCCATTTAGAAGAGGTCTAGCCCCTTCACTACAGTTTTCTCATAGCTTTTAATAAAATCTGATGGCTAGAGTATGCCAAGAATTCTTGGGTTTTTAACAACTCCTTTGTGTTTTTTTCCCCAGCCCAGAAGATGACATGTTTATATATAATAAAGGGCCTTATTGTTCTTCATCCATTATTGATTACATTACCTGGAAGGTGAATAGGCCATGATCTGTACCTATGACATCTACAGCTTTGGCTGAGCTTATCAACTAAACAAATGAGAATCAATTTAAAAGCACATGGTAGGGACAGTGTGAAAGAGTTGGTGGAAAACCTATAGGAATCTCCAAGTTAATTTTTTCATTGCTTACCCTTTATTACTGCATGAAGTCCAAAACATGATAACAGAGTTTAGGTCTGCCTACTAAAGACAAATACTTGAACTTAATAACAATAATAATACCAATAATTCAAAAGCTGAAGACACAAAGTGTTAATGATTTATAATCTTTTATGAGTTCTCATCTAACAATTAAAGACTATTTTTCTGCATAATACTAACACTTTTCTCCTCAAGCAGTAGACTCTTTCCATGTATTGGCTCAAATTCCTAAGAATTTTCCTACATGACACTGTTAAATTGTGAGATATTTAATACATAATTACCAGAACCTTGAATCTGAAGCATGCTTCTCAGTTCACAGTTTTTCCTGATGCCTATTGTCAAGCTCAGCAGAGCTGCCTGCCTCCAGCTCCAGTATTAGAACTATCCTGGTGTAATGTGCAAAAAAAGAGAACAGAGAGAAGATAGAACAATCATCAAATTCTTACTCTCATATTTCTACAAACATGAAAAGATAAAATCTAAGAGGGAGAACAAGTAAGTCAGGGATTACGGCTACGATTCAGTTTCGAGATTCCACTAATTGATCAGAGAAAAAGAATGGACTGCAAGATGAGCTTAAATCATGTTATTGTTTCACAATCACAAAGACAAGTAAGTAAAAATATAGAGATACATATCTGCCAGATCGATTTTGTTGTCGTTGTGGTTTGAGATGGATTCTTGCTCTCTTTCCCAGGCTAGGGTGCAGTGGTGCTATCTCTGCTCATTGCAAACTCCACCTCCCGGGATCAAGTGATTCTCCTGCCTCAGCCTCCAATAGCTGGGATTACAGGCGCCTGCCACCGCACGCAGCTAATTTTTGTATTTTTTAGTAAAGACAGGGTTTCACCATCTTGGGCAAGCTGGTCTCAAACTCCCGACCTCTTGATCTACCTACCTTGGCCTCCCAAAGTGTTGGGATTACAGGCATGAACCACTGTGCCCAGCCATTCTAGATGTTTTAAACTGCTATCACTAGTGAGAATAGACGAAACAGAGTCCTGGACTTTGGCATAGTACATTAGATTTTCTACCACTTGGAAAGAAATAGAAAGGTAGAATGAAAAGAGTAGGTTTTTCCCCATGGAAATTGCTATTGTATCTTCATTTAAAGAAACACAGTGGTGTATCGGCATTTTGTTTTCTCTTGATATGAATGATGTTAGTATGTACTGTGCCGTGAAGTATATATTGCTTTCAGTCCTTAAGCCATTACATTCTTGTTTTAAATCAATAAGAACTAATGTCATCCAAAAAAAATTTGCTGGTGATACATTTATTTGCCAGCATCATTTGTGTCAACTATATGAAACTTAAGTTATATTATTTTCAGACACAAACTTCACCTTATTTTACCTGTAATATCAGAGGATTTAGAGAAGCAGAAAAAGAAAAAAAAATTTCCTACTAAGTAGTAAAGATCAGTGTCTTGGAGCTATATATACTTTCTCTAATGTAACATATCAATTTTTTACTACTTTTATTTTTATTTTATTATTTTAGTTTTTATTATACTTTAAGTTCTAGGGTACATGTGCATAATGTGCAGGTTTGTTACATATGTATACATGTGCCATGTTGGTGTGCTGCACCTGTTAACTCGTCATTTACATTAGGTATATCTCCTAATGCTATCCCTCCTCCCTCCCCCCACCCCACAACAGGCCCAGTGTGTGATATTCCCCACCCTGTGTCCAAGTGTTCTCACTGTTCAGCTCCCACCTATCATCTGAGATATGCGGTGTTTGGTTTTCTGTCCTTGTGATAGTTTGCTGAGAATGATGGTTTCCAGCTTCATCCATGTCCCTACAAAGGATATGAACTCATCATTTTTTATTGCTGCATAGTATTCCATGGTGTATATGTGCCACATTTTCTTAATACAGTCTATCATTGATGGACATTTGGGTTGGTTCCAAGTCTTTGCTATTGTGAATAGTGCCACAATAAACATACGTGTGCATGTGTCTTTATAACAGCATGATTTATAATCCTTTTGGTATATACCCAGTAATGGGATGGCTGGGTCAAATTGTATTTCTAGCTCTAGATCCTTGAGGAATCACCACAGTGTCTTCCACAATGGTTGAACTAGTTCACAGTCCCACCAACAGTGTAAAGTGTTCCTATTTCTCCACATCCTCTCCAGAACCTGTTGTTTCCTGACTTTTTAATGATCACCATTCTAACTGGTATGAAATGGTATCTCATTGTGGTTTTGATTTGCATTTCTCTGATGGCCAGTGATGATGAGCATTTTTTCATGTGTCTTTTGGCTGCATAAATGTCTTCTTTTGAGAAGTGTCTGTTCATATCCTTTGCCCACTTTTTGATGGGGTTGTTTGATTTTTTTCTTGTAAATTTGTTTAAGTTATTTGTGGATTCTGGATATCAGCCCTTTGACAGATGGGTAGATTGTAAAAATTTTCTCCCTTTCTGTAGGTTGCCTGTTCACTCTGATGGTAGTTTCTTTTGCTGTGCAGAAGCTCTTTAGTTTAATTAGATCCCATTTGTCAATTTTGGCTTCTGTTGCCATTGCTTTTGGTGTTTTAGTCATGAAGTCCTTGCCCATACCTATGTCCTGAATGGTATTGCCTAGGTTTTCTTCTAGGGTTTTTATGGTTTTAGGTCTAACATTTAAATCTTTAATCCATCTTAAATTAATTTTTGTATAAGGTGTAAGGAAGGGATCCAGTTTCAGCTTTCTACATATGGCTAGCCAGTTTTCCCAGCACCATTTATTAAATAGGGAATCCTTTCCCCATTGCTTGTTTTTGTCAGGTTTATCAAAGATCAGATGGTTGTAGATGTGTGGTATTATTTCTGAGGGCTCAGTTCTGTTCCATTGGTTTATGTCTCTGTTTTGGTTCCAGTACCATGCTGTTTTGGTTACTGTAGCCTTGTAGTATAGTTTGAAGTCAAGTAGCATGATACCTCCAGCTTTATTCTTTTGGCTTAGGATTGTCTTGGCAATGCAAGCTCTTTTATTGGTTCCATATGAACTTTAAAGTAGTTTTTTCCAATTCTGTGAAGAAAGTCATTGGTAGATTCATGGGGATGGCAATGAATCTATAAATTACCTGGGGCAATATGGCCATTTTCATGATATTGATTCTTCCTACCCATGAGCATGGAATTTTCTTTTTTTTTTTTTTTTTTTTTTTTGAGACAGAGTCTCGCTGTCGCCCAGGCTGGAGTGCAGTGGCGCAATCTCGGCTCACTGCAGGCTCCGCCCCCTGGGGTTCACGCCATTCTCCTGCCTCAGCCTCCCGAGTAGCTGGGACTACAGGCGCCCGCCACCTCGCCCGGCTAATTTTTTGTATTTTTAGTAGAGACGGGGTTTCACCGTGTTAGCCAGGATGGTCTCGATCTCCTGACCTCGTGATCCGCCCGCCTCGGCCTCCCAAATGGAATTTTCTTTAGTTTGTTTGTGTCCTCTTTTATTTCATTGAGCATTGGTTTGCAGTTCTCCTTGAAGAGGTCTTTCACATCCCTTGTAAGTTGGATTCCTAGGTATTTTATTCTCTTTGAAGCAATTGTGAATGGGAGTTCACTCATGATTTGGCTCTCTGTTTGTCTGTTATTGGTGTATAGGAATGCTTGTGATTTTTGCACATTGATTTTGTATCCTGAGACTTTGCTGAAGTTGCTTATCAGCTTAAAGAGATTTTGGGCCGAGACGATGGGGTTTTCTAAATATACAATCATGTCATCTGCAAACAGGGACTATTTGACTTCCTCTTTTCCTAATTGAATACCCTTTATTTCTTTCTCTTGATGGATTGCCCTGGACAGAACTTCCAAAACTATATTGAATAGGAGTGGTGAGAGAGGGCATCCCTCTCTTGTGCCAGTTTTCAAAGAGAACACTTCCAGTTTTTGCCCATTCAGTATGATATTGGCTGTGGGTTTGTCATAAATAGCTCTTATTATTTTGAGATACATCCCATCAATACCTAGTTTATTGAGAGTTTTTAGCATGAAGTGCTGTTGAATTTTGTCGAAGGCCTTTTCTGCATCTATTGAGATAATCATGTGGTTTTTGTCTTTGATTCTGTTTATATGCTGGATTACATTTATTGATTTGCGTATGTTGAACCAGCCTTGCATTCCAGGGATGAAGCCAGCTTGATCGTGGTGGATAAGCTTTTTTATATGCTGCTGGATTTGGTTTGCCAGTATTTTATTGAGGATTTTTGCATCAACATTCATCAGGGATATTAGTCTAAAATTCTCTTTTTTGGTTGTGTCTCTGCCAGGCTTTGGTATCAGGATGATGTTGGCCTCATAAAATGAGTTAGGGGGTATTTCCTCTTTATCTATTTATTGGAATAGTTTCAGAAGGAATGGTACCAGTTCCTGTTTGTACCTCTGGTATAATTTGGCTTTGAATCCATCTGGTCCTGGACTTTTTTTTTGGTTGGTAGGCTATTAATTATTGCCTCAATTTCAGAGCCTGTTATTGGTCTATTCAGGGATTCAACTTCTTCCTGATTTAGTCTTGGGAGGGTGTATGTGTCGAGGAATTTATCCATTTCTTCTACATTTTCTAGTTTATTTGCATAGAGGTGTTTATAGTATTCTCTGATGGTAGTTTGTATTTCTGTGGCATCGGTGGTGATATCCCCTTTATCATTTTTTATTGTGTCTATTGGATTCTTCTCTCTTTTCTTCTTTATTAGTCTTGCTAGCAGTCTATCAATTTTGTTGATCCTTTCAAAAAACCAGCTCCTGGATTCATTGAGCTTTTTGAAGGGTTTTTTATGTCTCTATCTCCTTCATTTCTGCTCTGACCTTAGTTATTTCTTGCCTTCTGCTAGCTTTTGAATGTGTTTGCTCTTGTTTCTCTAGTTCTTTTAATTGTGATGTTAGGGTGTCAATTTTGGATCTTTCCTGCTTTCTCTTGTGGGAATTTAGTGCTGTAAATTTCCATCTCCACACTACTTTAAATGTGTCCCAGAGATTCTGGTATGTTGTGTCTTTGTTCTCATTGGCTTCAAAGAACATCTTTATTTCTGCCTTCATTTCATTATGTACCCAGTAGTCCTTCAGGAGCAGGTTGTTCAGTTTCCATGTAGTTGTGCAGTTTTGAGTGAGTTTCTTAATCCTGAGTTCTAGTTTGATTGCCCTGTGGTCTGAGAGACAGTTATCATTTCTGTTCTTTTACTTTTGCTGAGGAGTGCTTTACTTCCCACTATGTGGTCAATTTTGGAATAAGTGAGATGTGGTGCTGAGAAGAATGTATATTCTGCTGATTTGGGGTGCAGACTTCTGTAGATGTCTGTTAGGTCGGCTTGGTGCAGAGCTGAGTTCAATTCCCAGAAATCCTTGATAACTTTCTGTCTCGTTGATCTGTCTAATGTTGACAGTGGAGTGTTAAAGTCTCCCATTATTATTGTGCAGGAGTCTAAGTCTCTTTGTAGGTCTCCAAGGGCTTACTTTATGAATCTGGGTGCTCCTGTATTGGGTGCCTATATATTTAGGATAGTTAGCTCTTCTTGTTGAATTGATCCCTTTACCATTATGTAATGGCCTCCTTTGTCTCTTTTGACCTTTGTTGGTTTAAAGTATGTTTTATCAGAGGCTAATATTGCAACCCCTGCTTTTTTTTATTTTCTATTTGCTTGGTAGATGTTCCTCCATCCCTTTATTTTGAGCCTATGTGTGTCTCTGCATGTGAGATGGGACTCCTGAATACAGCACACTGATGGGTCTTGACTCTTTATCCAATTTGCCAGTCTGTGTCTTTTAATTGGAGCATTTAGCCCATTTACATTTAAGGTTAATATTGTTATGTGTGAATTTGATCCTGTCATTATGTTAGCTGGTTATGTTGCTCATTGATGAAGAAACTGACCATTGATGAAGTTTCTTCATAGCATCAATGGTCTTTGCAATTTGTCATGTTTTTGCAGTGGCTGGTACCAGTTGTTCCTTTGCATGTGTAGTGCTTCCTTCAGGAGCTCTTGTAAGGTAGGCCTGGTGGTGACAAAATCTCTCAGTATTTGCTTGTCTGTAAAGTATTTTATTTCTCCTTCACTTATGAAGCTTAGTTTGGCCGGATATGAAATTTTGGGTTGAAAATTCTTTTCTTTAAAAATGTTGAATATTGGCCCCCACTCTCTTCTGGCTTGTAGAGTTTCTGCCGAGAGATCTGCTGTTAGTCTGATGGGCTTCCCTTTGTGGGCAACCTGACCTTTCTGTCTGGCTGTCCTTAACATTTTTTCCTTCATTTTAAATTTGGTGAATCTGACAATTATGTGTTTTGGAGTTGCTCTTCTCGAGGAGTATCTTTGTGGCATTCTCTATATTTCCTGAATTTGAATGTTGGCCTGCCTTGTTAGGTTGGGGAAGTTCTCCTGGATAATATCATGAAGTGTGTTTTCCAACTGGGTTCCATTCTCCCTGTCACTTTCAGGTACACCAATCAGACGTAGATTTGGTCTTTTCACATTGTGCCATATTTTTTGGAGACTTTGTTTGTTTCTTTTTACTCTTTTTTCTCTAATATTCTCTTCTCACTTCATTTCATTCATCTGATCTTCAATCACTGATACCCTTTCTTCCACTTGATCAAATCAGCTACTGAGGCTTGTGCATGCATCACATAGTTCTCATGCCATGGTTTTCAGCTCCATCAGGTCATTTAAGGTTTTCTCTACACTGTTTATTCTAGATAGCCATTCGTCTAATCTTTTTTCAAGGTTTTAACTTCTTTGCGATGGGTTCAAACATCCTCCTTTAGCTCGGGGTAGTTTGTTATTACCGATAGTCTGAAGCTGTCTTCTCTCAACTCATCAAAGTCATTCTCCATCCAGGTTTGTTCTGTTGCTGGTGAGGAGCTGCACTCCTTTGGAGGAGAAGAGGCGCTCTGATTTTTAGAATTTTCAGCTTTTCTGCTCTGGTTTCTCCCCATCTTTGTGGTTTTATCCACCTTTGGTCTTTGATGATGGTGACATACAGATGAGGTTTTGGTGTGGATGTCCTTTCTGTTTGTTAGTTTTCCTTCTAACAGTCAGGACCCTCAGCTGCACGTCTGTTGGAGTTTGATGGAGGTCCACTCCAGACCCTGTTTGCCTGGGTATCACCAGCGGAGGCTGCAGAACAGCAAATATTGCAGAACGGCAAATGTTGCTGCCTGATCCTTCCTCTGGAAGCTTCATATCAGAGGGGCACCCAGCTGTATGAGGTGTCAGTCAGCCCCTACTGGGAGGTGTTTCCCAGTTAGGCTATGCAGGTGTCCGGGACCCACTTGAGGAGGCAGTCTGTCCATTCTCAGATCTCAGACTCCATGCTGGGAGAACCACTACTCTCTTCAAAGCTGTCAGACAGGGACATTTAAGTCTGCAGAAGTTTCTGCTGCCTTTTTTTCAGCTATGCCCTGCCCCCCAGAAATGAAGTCTACAGAGGCAGGCAGGCCTCCTTGAGCGGCAGTGGGCTCCAACGATTTCGAGCTTTCCAGCTGCTTTGTTTACCTACTCAAGCCTCAGCAATGGTGGATGCCCCTCCCCCAGCCTTGCTGCCACCTTGCAGTTCAATCTCAGACTGCTGTGCTAGCAGTAAGCGAGGCTCCATGGGCATGGGACCCTCTGAGCCAGGATATAATCTCCTGGTGTGCCATTTGCTAAGACCACTGGAAAAGAGCAGTATTAGGTCGAGGCAGGCAGATCACGAGGTCAGGAGTTTGAGATGAACCTTGTCAACATAGTGAAACCCTGTCTCTACTAAAAATATAAAAAATTAGCCAAGTGTGGTGGTGAGCACCTGTAATCCCAGCTACTTGGGAGGCTTAGGAGGAGAATTGCTTGAACCCAGGAGGCGGTGGTTGTAGTGAGCCAAGATCGCACCACTGCACTCCAGCTTGGGTGACAGTGTGAGACTCCGTCTCAAAAAAAAAAAATTCTCTGGACTTTTGTGGGCATTTTTGTTGACTCTATGGAATTTAAAGTGTATGATAATTTATATGACCCAAATTTGAATTAATTTTACTTTTTATATCAAAAGACAAATATACAAATGGAAATTTTTAATGATTTATTATCTGAAGATATTGGCTGACTAATGTTTATTATATGGGTGCAGTTTTTGGGAATTAGTTGGATGAATGTAATGAAAGTGCATTAAGATAAAAAAAATTAATTGACCATAGGAAGAGTATTAGTTTCTCTATGGGAATGCAATAATGAATAGGAAACTATTCTTTTGACTTTATACGTGTCCAAAGTTTTTTTTAACTCCTCCCTTCAAGAGATGAAGCTTAATTACCTTCTCCTTGCATGTGGGCTGGAATTGATGACTCATTTCTATCAAATAGAAAAATGCAGAAGTAATGCTATGTGACTTTACAACTAAGACATTAAAGGCATATAACTTCTGTCTTGGCCTCTCTCTCTCTGTCTCTCTCTCTCTCTCTCTCTCTGTCTCTCTCTGTTGAATCACTTGCTCTGGGGGAAGTCAGATGCCATGTTGTGAGAGGACCATGTGCTGAAGAACTGAGGCCTTCTGGTGAGAGCCACCTAAGTGACCTTAGAAGCAGATCTTCCAACCCCAGTCAAACCTTCAGATAATTGCAACCTCAGCTAATCTCATGAGGACTATACGCTCATGAGAGACTCAGATAAATTGCTTCTAGATTTCTGACCCTCAGAAACTCTGCATGATAATACATATGTTTGGTTTTAAGCCTGTAAGTTTGCAGGTGACTTGCTACATCGTAATAGGTAATACATTGCTCTTACCTGAAAGATACCTAAAGCCTTGTTGTGGAAGAGGACCAGAGTGAGATGTTTTGAAATACTGCTTCACGCACTGTGTCACAGAAAAATGGAGAAACTGTATAACAGAAATAAAGGGTCCATAATAATTCACGCAAGGTTTGCCACATTTCAGATTGGTTATAAATTCACAGGAAAAGACCACACATGCATCCACACAAACATACACACATACAAATACACACTATAAGACTACAGTAAATTCCCAGTAAACTGAACATTCAGAGCAGGAGCAGCTACATGATAGCCAGGTAATTAATTTTTCTGCTCTATCTAAGCTCAAGAAGAAAAAAAATCACCAAGGTCTTATGGCCGTGAATATTTTATTTCTTTTACTTCCTTTTTGTGCATGTGCAAACATTATTATTTAGTATAAATAGCTCTCCATTGACATGTATATGAGACTTGGAATTTAGTGTAATTTAAAACTGAAAGACAAAATTGCTTAGAACATGAGAAGAGCGAGTTTGTGTTGTATGCTAATAGGCTTAGACTACAAATTTTTTTTAAACAAAATTTGCCTTTGGGAGAAGAATCACTTGTGATATTTGTACTAAACTCAGTATTAGAAATCCCCACATATAAGAAGATTAAATCATCATCATGCAGCAAACTACAACAATGTTAGTTGGGGACATCTGGACAATTATTCTGCTCCTCCAGAAAAGGACGTGCCTTGTCATTGCTGAATTTAAGTCAGAACCAGAAAAAATCATTATTAAAGAAAAAAAAAAAGAAAGAAACAGGGAAAGAAAGAAGGAAAGGAGGGAGGGAGGGAGGGAGGAAGGAAGGAAGGAAGGAAGGAAGGAAGGAAGGAAGGAAGGAAGGAAGGGGGGAAGGAAGGAAGGAAAAGAAAGCAAAAGAAAAAGAAAGAAAACAGAAGAAAGAAGGAAAGAAGGAAGGAAGGAGAGAAGAAAGAAAGAATAGAAGGAAGGAAAGAAAGAAAGAAAGAGAGAAAGAAAGAAAGAAAGAAAGAGAAAGAAAGCTTAAATGAGAGCTGACAGTTTATTTATATAAAATGTTTAGAATTTTTATGAAGTACCCTCATAAACTGGAACTCCAGACCTGCTAAGATAATCATGTGAATGGACAGTGTTGCCAGCATCTGCCTACCCCTTTTCAAGGTTTCTGTGGTGCTGAGATAGATGCAACTGCTCCTGCTTATTGTAGCCAGTTTATCATTGCTAAAATTACATACCCTTGGTTAATTAAATTGGGAACATACTATAACCGTTCTGTGTATGTGTGTATGTGCATGTGAATGTAGTCTTTTTCTGTAAATACCAAACAGAGATGTTCCTGACTCAGGGATATATTTTTCAACCACAGTAAAATTCATTTTGGATCCAATATTTCAAAGGTTTTGATTATTAAATATGAAAATAATGGTTTTTTACCATATCCCTCATACCTAATAATGAAAAATAGCAAGTGCTTTATAAACATTTGTTATTGCTTCTCTACACTTAAACTGAAGAAAGATAAATATATGAAAATAATACATGAATATTCTTCTCTAGATTTTACTAGAAAATTTAGAGCATTTCATTTTTAATATTACATGGAACAGATAATCTATAAATATGGCATATGGTGTATTGCTAGACAAGTATATTTACCTTCCTTTAAAAAATATTTTTACTTCTCAAACTACCCCCACGAATGCTCTCTAAGGTATAATGCTTCATATACTTCACTTTACAACCTCACACTATACTTACAAACATTAAAACATATGTAACTCTTTTAATAGGCTATGCATATTTTTTTCATTTCAGAGCTACTGACATGTTTCTGCAAATTTATAGGAAAAAATGATAAAGATAAATTAATATGTCTAATCAAGTTATGGATCAGTGATGCCTCCAGTGTGTACTCTAAAAAATATTTTTAATTAGTATTCTAATATCTAATACTCCTACAATATATTTTTCTGTTCTTTAGTCAATCCTTCTGTATACTTTAGAAACTACAGAAAGGGCTTATTGTTATTAATGAAAATGATTAAATGCATACTAGCCTATGTGCATTTGTATATTCTCTCAGAAATCAAGTTGCTTGTCACCAGGAAGAGCCCAATTAACTCTAGAAGAAAATCTAAGAAGGCAGAGCGAAAGGTGGGAGGCTGATTTGAATTTTACCCTGCCAGGAGCACACAAGAGATTCAGTTAGGAGGATTCAATTCACATACTCATTTGTCAGCAAAGGAATGTGTTTTTGTCAGTTAAAATGAACTCTAGACAAAATTAAATGCAATATTTTTGCACTCTGCATATCTATGAACTGAAGTTCAGTGATATCTGTTTTATTACAGGGAATGTCACTGAAAAATAACCCTGAAATATTTCAGGGTGGTTTTAGGTAGCTTTCCTCTTAATTTTTTTGGATACTGATGGTAAAATAGAATTATAAGAGCCATGCTTATTTACACTAACTCAATTTTCTCTTTCCTATATTTTTTTACCTTTATTATTTTCAACATGCTAACATTAAATATAGCTAAAAATAAGTAAAGTGATTAATAGCTACACCAGACAGGTGATGCATAGATAGGACATAGCCAAAAGAATCATTAGTGTTTGCTTGATTCATTCGACAAAGTTTTATTGAGTATCTACACTGTGCCAGTCATGGTGCTACCAACATAAGACACTGCAGAATGCAAAACAGACAGAAAGCATTGCTCTTTCAGAGATGACATCTGGGGAGAGGCCAACGACAATCACATAATAAATAAATGAATTATGTAATATGTTAGAAATTTATGGGGAAATTAAGCATTTTGGTTTAAGAGACTAGGAAGCAAGCTAAAGGTGAGACAGGAAATATTTATACTTAATAATTTCCAGCTGAAAGTATGATTCATACTATCAGAAAACAAAATAAAATATCCTCTAGTAATGGTTATCTTTATAATTTTCTCCTCTGACTGGGGATATGCTAAGAGTAGATGTGGGAGGAGAGCATGGAAGTGAGACTGAATTTATCTCAGACATGCATTAATTTAACAAATAATTATTGATTACCTACTATGAACAAGATATTGGGGATGCAGAGGCAGACAAAATAAACAAAATTCTAAATACATGGAACTTATATTAAGAGGAAGCCACCAAGTAAAGGAAGTAGATATGTGGTATATCAGATGGTAATACATTTGCTACTTGAAATATATCAAGGAAGTGAGATAAAGATGCAGCCGTAAGAGGCAGAGCTGAGAAAGAGTTTGAATTTTTGTATATGGTATTCAAGGAGAGCCTAAAGGAGGTATTAAAAGAAAAGAAAGTCATTCAGATATCTGAAGGAAGAATATTCCGAGGAAAGAAAACAGGAAATGCCATGTCCCTGAGGAAGGAACATATCTATTTGATTTTTAAGAAAATAACAATAAGACTAAGTTTGGCTAGAGCAGAGTGATCAACGAGGAAACAGTAGGAAGATTAAGACAGGGAGGTAACAGGAGTCCAGATATGTGGGGCATTACAAACTTAAATTTTATGTGAGTAAGTTGGAAAGCCATTAGAAGGTTTTAAGTGGTGGGATTCAACATATTTTAATAGAATGACTCAGGCATTTGTATTGAGAATATATTATTGGAAGTAGAAGATGAAATACAGAGTGATTAGTTAGGAGGCTAATACAATTATCTCAGATAGGGAAGATAGTGGCTTTGACCAGGGTATAGAAGTGAAAGAATTGGTCAAATGCTGCATATACTTTGAAGAAAGAACAGGATTTGCTGACGATTTTAATACAAAGTATGAGAAAAAATCCAGGAAACAAGGATGACTATGAGGTTCCTAACCTATACAATTGACAATGTGACAGTACTCATTATTAAAAATAGAAGATTGTAGAAGAAGGAGTTTTAAACTTGAAATTTAGGTTCCTATTATATATTTAATTGGAATTATCAAGAAAGCAATTAAATATGAATCTAAAGTTTAAGGGGCATATAGAAGTTAGCAACATAAATTTAGATTTCATCAACAGTAGATAACATTTAAGGCCAAAAGATAATATGAGACCACAAAATTGAATGTGTGCCCCCAGAGAAGAGAACGCATATAAAGACAAGTCCTATGGAGCCCAATTTTAAAAGATGAGAGAGATGAGGAAGAACCAGCAAAGAAAAAAAAAGTAAACATTTAAAAAAAAGGGTGGCCACAGAAGTAAATGAAACTGAAACATTTTTACTGTCCATAAGTCAAGAGAATGAGTGTTTCAAAGAAGAAAGGGTACACACTAAAATTTCTCCATCAGGATTAACAATTACCTCTGTGTAGCTAATTCCAACGGTCAATTATTGGTCCTCATGATATTTGACCTATCACTGGTAAATTATCATGTCATTGATAATTTGCTTTTTTATCCAAGAACCTCCTTAGTCTCATGGGAAGAAGATAAACTTGAGTTAGTCGAGTAAACCTGGACAGATGTGAAGGCATAATAATAATTATTTTCTTTTTTAGTACAGGGGCTCAGTTAACTTCACTTTCATCTGATGTCCTCAGGCTGTAGAATTAATAATAGCGCTTAATTATTATGTGTAAGCATAAATCAATCACAGAAAAGGTAGGAAAACAGTCAGAAAGAACTTACCCACTATCGGAACAAAGAGAAAGTCCCAACAAACTTTCCCACATTAAGTAAGAGAAAGAAGAAAATAAATGAAATGGCTACTATACAAAAGTGAATTGGAAGGAAAAAGAAATAGGAAGCCATGGAATGAAGATGAGGAAGGTGAGGCAAAAGCAAAAGGAATATGTGCAGGAGGAAAAAGAGCTAAAAGGAAGTCTAGTATGTGGTCACTGATGAATGAGGAAGAGATGGTGGGGAAGATGAAGAGAATACAGCCTGCAAAATGATCAAATAATCTAATCTAGAAGAAAACGAGAGGAATCAAATAAGAATAATCTGAAAGTGTTCATTATAAGAAAGTACTTTAAAGAAAACATTATTCTGTGAGATAAATTTTTTGAAAAATAATGAGTTGTGAAAACAAAAGAATTATAAAGTGAGAGTGCAGTAGAAGGATGTCAACTGAGAACCAAAAGAAACTACAAATAATAATTAGTGGAACAGAACAGAAAAGAGAGGCTCAAAGTCTAAATTAGTGCCTTAGAGGAAAGTCTAAGAAAATCATTTTGAATTCAGGGAAAAAGTGTAAAGAAACTGATTTTATAAGAAAGAAAAAGGATACCTAACAAAAAAGATGCTGTACATAATAATAATTTACTCCTTAAAGTAGAGAAGAGAAAAAAAAATTATAAAAATAGAACAGAAATTTATTCATTAGACAATACAATGTTTTTCTAAAAGAAAAAATACAAATCTGCTTATTGAAATGGTATGCACTGTTTCACGAAGAAAAAAAAAGATATAGAAATACCCAGACATATGCTAGTGAAGTTACTAAACTTCAAAGATAAAGGATTCTTGAGACATTTTAGCAGAAATATCATGCTTCTAACAAATAAAGATTAAAAATATCAGGCCAGCCTCAGACTTTCAAACTTTTTTCGTTGACACATCCAGTGCTAGAATGTGATAGAGCAGTTTACACAAAGTTCTGAGAAAAATAAAGAGCAATGCAAGAATGTTTATTATAGAAGCTGTCATTCAAATCTAAAGCCACTAGCAGACATTTTCATACATATCATAAAACCAGTGAGACTCAATGAAGGATCTAGGCACAGAGGTTAAAAAAAAAAATCTACATTATACTTATTCTATGTTTGAAAAATCCAGCCAACCAAATGCTGATTAGAAAAACCATAGTAGAGCACTTTTACTCACTGGAAATCAGGATTTATTCTAAAACCAAAATTAAACTACTGCAGGAAGATAAATGTTATATATGTTGACAAATTCCAAAATAAAAATGTAAAAGATTAGGAAAGGTGAATGGGAAAAATATATGCACTTATTTCCATATCTTTATTAATTAGATTTTCTCTATATCTGTATGAATGAGGATTCAAACAGCATTGAATTTAGTAATTAAGAAACAATTTGTGTATGTTATTTAAAGTTATGCTAAAGGAACCAAGAGATTCTAACACATATTAGGAGATCCTAACACGTACCAGGAGATTAAGAAGGGAAAATAAATTAAGTATATTCTGTCAACTTTTGACTTCCCCAAACATCTGCCAGAAAAGTAGATATTGATGTTTAGCAACCAATTTTATTTATCAAACTTACTACAGATACTGCTTTGACAGAACTTAAGTAATGTCTCAGAAAAGAAAAGTCAGATTTAAGGCCTGGACTGGATGATATAAGGTAGTCTTGCAAGGCACGGAATTATTTGGATCAGGTAAAGTTTTTGATATGAAATTTTGTATTGTTTGCTGGGTGCAGAAAGGTAAGAGTCTTGTGAGTTTGATGAGCAAGCTGCTAATTTTGATAAGAAAATTGTTTAGGTTGGTTCACAATCTTATCTTTGAAAAGTAAATATTTCCTGGAGCAAGCATATAAGTAATTTTTGCCTAAGGCCTATATTGCCTGACACACAAAAAGAAAAGCATGTTATGTGCTAGAATTATTTAGTAGAGAAACAGTAAAGTATCTCTGGGTTAGAATTTCTGAGCAGAGAATAGAAAAATATACTGGTTTTAGTTCTCCATCTCCTCTTTCGTTATCCTTTAGCTTAGAAAGGAGGGGAAATCATTATCACCTGGGGATATAATCAATCCAATCTGCACTGGTTTTAATGTGTAATGGTCACATGTAGAGTTCCTGGTGGTAACTGTTCCAATATCTCTAAGTGTTATGTTAGATTTTCTTTTACTTTTCTTTTTTCTTTTGTTTTGAGTACATTTATTAGATCATGTTATGAAATAGCAGCTATGACTGAATTAAAAAATTTGGAGATCAAACATTTGAGCAGTGAAACAGACTAAGATATGAACAGATCTTGCAGTTTGTTTCTAATCCAGAAGCCAAGATACCGAAATAAATTAAGCAAAAAGAATTTTGATATGAAAAATCTACTGACCCATGTACAGGGCTAAGCCTAATTATTAATTCCATAATTTTATTGTTTGTTTCACAGACCCTTTTTGCAATATTAAACATTCCAGACAAGCCTATGAGGTTTTAAGTACAACATTGTTTTCCTAAAATTGTTAATATTCTACTGTGAATGGCTTGCATTTTATGTAAAATGACTCTATTTTGAACGACCTGTTCTATTACATTAAATTCTTTCAAGCATGAAGTTCTATGGCCTTAATTACAGTGTACAATCCTCCTGCTATTTCTGTAAATCATAGCATGTAAAACTCTTCCTATGTTTTGATCTTCTGTAATTTGTGAAATGAAGACACTTAGAGCAGAAGACAAGAGTCCTAATTTCCTCTCTGGTGGTTAAAATTTTGAATTTACACTTTAAGTTTTTATCTTCTTGAATCAAATTATACAAATACCTTAAGTTAAATTATTTGATATTTGGTGAGCCAAAATGAATCTCCATTACAGTAGGGACTATCTCTAAAGCAGGCATCAGTTCAATAAAATTACACATTACTCCTCAATTTGTAGAAGTAGGTACAATAAATTTCCCCCCCACAAATCTAATACCAGTGTTTAGAGGCAATTCAATTATTTATTTTTGGTACAGTTATTCCTATGAGATTTTCAAATACTGTTTCAATGTTTTGCTATCATATATGAAGAATAGTTCAGTGTCAGTTGTCGAAATTTATACGACAGGGATCATCATGTAAATCTAACAAAAACTGCTTTTGGCTGTACCTAGTTAGTTTGACTTTATTTTAAAGTTTAAACATTAGCCTCTGATCATGCCTCTTATGTTCCCTAACTGTTTATCAAAGTCCATTTCTCTGAAAGTTTGGTTACAAATCTAGTTCATATAAAATGTACCCAGTTGTTTCTGTGGAGAAAGGAAACTCTCTTTTGGGGTACAATTTGATTCAGTGTTCATATTTCTGAACTATTTATTTTTTGTATCATCTGAAAAGTCACTTAGTGGTTGAGTTCATCCATTCGGGAAACCAAGTTAATTTTACGAAGAACTTGGATCAAAGGAAGATGGGTGACATTCAAAGAAAAGTGAGTACAAACCCAATGGTAGGTTTAATTGTATATTTTAGCCAAATTATGAGCAAATTATAGCCAGACTATTTGTCTCATACTAAAGCGTTACTAATGATGCAAAAAAGTAACATCAGGTTTATAACTCTATTAAACAATTATAGTACTTACGTAACAGGTAGTGACTGAGATTAAACAAGAATAAAGGACAGAGTAGGATTTGCCCTGATGGTGTCAAGTCAGATAATGGAGCCATGGCTCTTAGTTTGGGGAAGAGTGTTGGGAAGATGTCTGGGGCTCCATCTTAAATCCAGTCAATTATGTCAAGGTGTGCTAGAGAGGAGTTTTCTTATAATTGGCATTTTCTGTGGTCTGGAGGTGAGCCAATACAATCTTTTATTTGCCAAACACTTTACATGCATTATCTCTTCGGTTACTCACTACAACTGTGTCAAGGGTCCCAAAGATTATACTTAGACTCAGTGATTTGCTAGAAGGACTCACAAGATTCAGATGCTGTTATACTCATGGTTATGGTTTATTATTGCGAAAGGGTACAAGTAGATTAAAATCAGCCAAGGGAAAAGTTACATGGGACAATGTGCAGAAGAAACAAAGTACAAGTTTCTAAAAGCCCTCTCCCAGTGAAGTCATACAGATGTTTCATTCTTCCATTAATGATGTGTGACTACATGATGTAATGTGTTGTCAAGTAGGGAATCCCACTTGAGCCTTGGTATCTAGAGTTTTCCTGGGGTCAGTCATGTAGGAACACACCACCTGCATGACTGACCTCAACTACTAATACTCTAACACACCAAAGCAAAAACAGGAATTCACTATAAATTATATTAGTTTGCAAAAACTATCTAATCCATCAGGTACAAAGCGGCCCAAGACCTCATTCACACATATAAAATATCTTACCAAGCATAATATTCCAAGGACTCAGTGCTCATCTACCAGAAGCTGGCCAAGGGATATTCCTAAAGAATGTCCTTCCTTGAAAATTTGCAGAATCTGAGCAATACAGACCTGCTGAATAATTCCTTTCCTGCATAACAGCCTTATGAGATAGTTATAGTTCTGGAGTTCAACTGTGGATTGAATTCAAGGATTCCTGGAAATTGAATGGGAAAAAATTAATCTCATTGTCTTTAATCACTCATCTCTAATTAAAATGGCGCATTTTTTCAAATTTGAATATGTTCAAAAATTTGATAAACTTGGCTGGGCAACACATCCTTTCAGTGTCACATGGGGGCATGTTATATAGGCAAAGGTTCTTAGTTTATATTAGGCTCCCAGGCTTCAATTGTAAAGTTTTTTTTTTTTTGAATAGTGTATTTTTGGTGAAATGTAAATAATTTCTGTACAGTGGAATAAATTGCCCTACAGATTAATTAACTCATTAGACAATAACTAGTATTATATCTAACATAAGCATTATATTTTTTCATATATTTTCTAGTTTTGCCTATGCTCTTTGAATTAGTTATAAAATCCTACTGTTTCCCTCATTAATTAATTAGTTCAATAAAATCTTTGTTCATTTTATGTTTGTATGAGAGTCATGATTTTACTTTTGTGAAAATTATTCTCTAACAATTATAAACAAACCAGCTTTATTGCTAGTTCCTATAACTTTGCAAGAAAGAGAAATCAAGCAGATATTTTCTTTTTTCATTTTTCTTTTTTTTCTTTAGTTTTACTTTAAGTTCTGGGATACATGTGCAGAACGTGCACGTTTGTTACATAGGTATACACGTGCCATGGTGGTTTGCTGCACCTATCAACCCACCATCTAGGTTTTAAGCCCCACATTCATTAGCTATTTGTATTGATGTTCTCCCTCCCCTCTCCTCCCGCCCCCACTGACAGGCCCCAGTGTGTGTTGTTCCCCTCCCTGTGTCCATGTGTTCTCATTGTTCAGCTCCCACTTATGAATGAGAACATGTGATGCTTGGTTTTCTGTTCCTGTGTTAGTTTGCTGAGGATAATGATTCCAGCTTCATCCATGTCCCTGCAAAGGACATAAACTCATTCTTTTTTTTATGGCTGCATAGTGTTCCATGGTGCATATGTGCCACATTTTCTTTATCCAGTCTATCATTGATGGGCATTTGGGTTGGCTCCAAGTCTTTGCTATTGTAGATGGTGCTGCAATAAACATATGTGTGCATGTGTCTTTAGGGTAGAATGATTTATAATCCTCTGGGTATATAAGCAGTAATGAGATTGCTGGGTCAAATGGTATTTCTGGTTCTGGATCCTTAAGGAATCACCACACTGTCCACTACAATGGTTGAACGAATTTACACTCCCACCAACGGTGTAAAAGTGTTCCTATTTCTCCACAGCCTGTCCAGCATCTGTTGTTTCCTGACTTTTTAATAATCACCATTCTAACTGGTGTGAGATGATATCTCATTGTGGTTTGGATTTGCATTTCTCTAATGACCAGGGATGATGAGCTTTTTTTCGTATGTTTCTTGGCCACATAAATGTCTTCTTTTAAGAAGTGTCTGCTCATGCCCGGCATGGTGGCTCAGGCCTGTAACCCCAGCAATTTGGGAGGCCGAAGTGAGTGGATCACTTGAGGTCGGGAGTTTGAGACCAGCCTGACCAACATGGAGAAACCCCATCTCTACTAAAAATAAAAAAATTAGCCAGGCATGGTGGCACATGCCTGTGACCCCAGCTGCTCAGGAGGCTGAGGCAGGAGAATTGCTTGAACCCGGGAGGTGGAGGTTGCCATGAGCCGAGATTGTGCCATTGTACTCCAGCCTGGGCAACAAAATCGAAACGCCATCTCACAAAAGAAAAAGAAAAAGAAGAAGCAGTGTCTGTTCATATCCTTTGGCCACTTTTTGATAGGGTTGTTTTTTTTTTTCTTGTAAATTTGTTTAAGTTCCTTATAGTCTGGATATTAGACCTTTGTCAGATGAGTAGCATGCAAAAAGTTTCTCCCATATTTTCATACTGTATTATGTTTATTTTCATTTATTAGAATAGCATTTATCTCTACATTAAGCTCTGGTTATTAGACATACCTCTATATCATCATTTTAAGCACTGAAGTAGTACCATATTAGTGTATCGATAAAATAATATTTATTATTTCTATACATGTATTTAATTTTTTGTAATTATAGGAATTCTGTGTCCTCTTAGAATATGTTGCATGTTTATCTAGCATCCCTCACTTCTGCATATAGCACTTTCCCTCTTTTGAAGGATTTTTTCTTCACTCCAACTTTTCTTTTCATTCCAACTCTGAATAATAAGGGTTTCAGAGGTGAGAACGTTATCCAATTCACGCACTTCAGTGTTATTCATAACATGTTTTGTACTAGAATTAAGTACAAAGAATTTTTTTCACTGGGAAGAAAGGTGTCTTATCAGGAGTGGTCAGTGAGATAGGAGAGAGACTAGTGTGTTGTCTCAGACAAATGATGAAGGAAAAAATTATCTGTCAAGTGCTGCTTGCTGACAGATCAAGATGAGGGCTGCATACTGACTTTTAATTTATCAATACAGAGATCAATGGTATCATGACAAGAGCTATTTTAATGTAGTGGTGAGAGCAAAAGAAGAATAGGTTGAACAGAAAATGGAAGGAGAAGAATTGAGAACAGGAAGCATGGATAACTTTTTCAAAGAGTTTTGTTGTCAGAAAGTGTAGAGAAATTAGACATTAACTAAATAAGTAATTAAGTTGAGAAGGCTTTTTTTTTTTCAATTTGTAAAGGTGTTCTCCTACCTTTATAAATGCTAATGGGAATAGTTAAGTAGAGAGTAAAAATACCACTGGAGAAATGTTCTTGGGTAGAAGTTAAAAAAAAAAGGGAATACATCATAAAAATAAAGGCATGGTCTGAATTGGGAGAAGATATAATTTATCAATTGCAAAAGAAAAATGGACAGAGTGTACAGATATATATTATCAAAGATATGCTCCTGAGATACTTTGAAAGTTATATGTTGTGGGCTTCCCTCAGTTAAATAAGATGCAAGGTCATCAGTTGGGACTGAGGATGAGGGAGAAAGCACTAGGGTATTGAAAACAGACTCTGATATAGTCCTTTAGGAGAATAGGAAACAAAAACACTAGAGAATGGTAGTATCATTTCTAGGAACATTAAAGAAACGCTTGAAATTTGGAATGAATTACAAATTTAAAGTGAAGCCAGTCAACACATGTTTTACATAGGATAAACTAGTCTCTGCAGCAGTAATAAACAACTTTCTGTTCTCACTAGCCTTAAGCAACCAAGTTGATATCTCACTCATTTTATATGTCTTTAGGTTGGTGGTATTGGGTGTGGTGGTGCTGGGGTTGTGTGTGTGTGTGCTCTGCTCCACATGGTCATTCAGGGACCTAGGCTGATGAAGCCTTTTTCTAACTATGAGTCTGGGAAAGAGAGTACTGAGGCTTATGCACAGGATCTTAAATGCTTCATCTAGGAAATAATACATGGTCACAGAGCATTGACAATACTAGTCCCTTGTCCTGAATAAACTACAAAGAGGCCGGAAAATATGGGAGAGCACATGAATGGACAATGAGCAGAAAAGCCCTCTATATCTGTGGGTATATGTCACCATATAAAATAGTCACAGATGAAGAGTTGAACTTAACTAGTGTTACCAAGGATTTTCAGTTGAGTATAATAACAAAAGAAATTAACAAGAAATTTAAAGATACATATAAGAGGGCTATTAAAATGATTAAGTGTAAATATTTAAGCATGGAAAAGAAGAAAGAGACATTACAAGGGATGTGAGGGATGGTGAATAGACAGCAGCTATGGGGTAGGGGTGGGGGTGGTCCATGGGTTACTGTGTACATATTTCTAGAGTGAGAAAGCTAGAAAGATTGAGGGTCAATCACAGTGTGGAATCTATGTAAACTATAGAAAAGTTTCTTGTGTCTTAGTGGAAAACTTTGCACCACCTATAACATGCCCTTACAAGTTGTCTGATTCTGGTCCTTTTCATTGTCTTTGACCTATATTGTAACTATTTGTAAAAGTTGTATGCAACTGAGAGATATGTACATTAAGTCTTCTTTGATAGTGATTTGGGTGATTTCCTCTCTTCGGTGGAAAAAGTTTTCTTTTTTTCCATTTGCAAATTCATCTCAGCATTCCTTTACTCCAGTTACAACATCTGCCTGGATTCCTGATAGCATAGAAGTAAAATAAATTCTTTAACACATGTTTATTTTCATATCTCTTCGAAAGTCATGACTTTATCTTTTTCAGAAAATTATCTTTCAACAGAAATGAGATTCTGAAGGCTTTTTTCACTTATTAATACTGAAAATTTCTAAGATATGATCATAAGAATGAGTGGCTGAGGAGTGGTGGAGGATAAGGTCTTTTTAGGAGAGGAGATCTAAAAATTATGCAGTCACAGAGTTGGAATGTTCATCTATTACATATTTAGATCACCAAAAATTAAACAGGAATTTTGTTGAGGAATCCAATGCTAATCCAGAAGCTAAAATATTTAAGAAATGGAGGCAAGGTTTATAAATGGCGTGTGGCAAAAAACAGGAATAATAGTTGGTGGATTGCATTCATCTGATCACATGAGATTCAGAATTGGAGGGAGTGATTCAGGAAAGAGGGAGGAAAACATACCTAGAAGCAGCCATGAGTATCAAGGAGAGGACCAACCTCACTGTTAGGCCTAGTGGAATAAGAAATATGAGAGAGCAAATGAGACATTATTCAATATTCAGGAAATATAGTTTCCTAAGGAGAGATATGAGTTCCTTTTAAAGAAAGAAAGTAAAGAGAATTTGCAGAGAAGAAGTTGAAAATATACAACTTTTTGCTGATACTGGAGAAATCGTTGCTAAGGGCACGTACAGTCAAATGGATTCAGAAGTTGAGGGTAATGGGAGGTGGATGCTTATAGGCAGAGTCAGATGTAGATTTGAGTGTGGAAACAGAGGACTGACATGGGATTAAATGTGGTAACTGAGACAAAGAAGAGGAAAGGGCACATGGGATACTCCTGACCCTCAGATTAACTCCTCAACAGACACTCACAGGCAAACACATACCAGTGAATATCAGTATCCCACAAAGAAAGTTAATTTTCAGAGACAGTGGCAAGTTAATTCCATATTTAGGGGAAAAATAACAATCCTGGTTGTACATTAGAATGATTTAAAGATCCTTAAATATATATAAACATCCAAGATCTCCCTTCAGAGATTCTGATTTAATGGATTTAGAATGAGGCCTGAGCATCAATATTTTTAAAAAGCTCCCTGGGTAATTCTAACCAGCAACAAGAACGTGATCCACTGGGCTATAGTTACAACTCACGTGCCTTATCAAAATATTTAATATCTAAATCATATTAGCACTTTATTACTGTTCTCTCTATGCCTGGAATGCCGCTGTATTAGTTCATTTTCACACTGATGTAGAGAATTACCCGAGACTGGGTAATTTATGCAGAAAAAAGGTTTAATTGACTCAGTTCAGATGGCTGAAAGGCATCAGGAAACTTATAATCGTGGTGGAAGGTGAAGGGGAAGCAAGGCACATCTTACATGGTGGCAGGAGGAGAATGAGGTAAGTGCCACACTTTAAAACCATCAGATCTCATGAGCACTCACTCACTATCATGAGAACACTATCATGAGAACAGCACGGGGGAAACTGCCATCATGATCCAATCATATCCCATCAGATTCCTCCCTCAACTGGTGGGGATTACAGTTCCAGATGAGATTTGGGTGGATACACGGGGCCAAATTTTTCTCAGCCAAACCATCAATGGCTGGGAATGGTGTCAAGTACTGTGATCTCAGCTGGGATGGGAGGAAATCCAAGGCAGCAGGACTGGGTATCAGCTCTCAATGTCTCAAGTAAGGTTGCTATGGTTACCCTCAAAGGCATCAGATGGATGTCATGATCGGATCTCAAATAAAATTTCACTGGCAGTAGTTAAATTCTGTTTTATAAAGGAATAAAACTAGTTGATAGGCAACCCATCAACATTTTCCTTGATTTGTAGAACCTGAGTCATATAACCATGAGAGTCATCGATCTTTATTCCACTCTCATATCTGAAGGAAATTATAGAATCATCAGAGTTCCTTAAATGGAAGAGAGGCCCAGGTCACCTTGAGGAAGGTCATTGCTGTTACACTGGAGATCAGATGGCAAAACGAATTTCCACGCAGAGCCTACATCATTATTAGCCCAGTGGAACACGGGAATAATTGAATGTTTATTATTTCCTACTGTCAGGCTGTCTGGTTAAAGTACTTTTAATTTATTTTACTTGCCATTACTATCTTGGTATCCCCCGTTAACACCACTGACCAAGCAACTTACTTCAAAGTAAAAAAAAAAATGAAGATAAGCATATTTGTTTCCTTGGGCTGTCACAACAAATGACCACAAAAGTGGAGGTTTATGACAAGAGAAGTTTATTCTCACAGCTCTGGAGGCCAGAAGTGAGAAATCAAGTTGTCAGCGAGATGTACTCCTTCTGGAGACTCCATGGGAGAATCTGTTCCATGGCTTTCTCCCAGCTTCTGGTGGTTGCTGGCAGTCCTTGGCGTTTCCTTACTTTTTTCTGCATAACTGCCTTTATTGTCACATGAGGTTCTCATTATGTGTCTGTGTACAAATATGTCTCTTCTTAAAAAGACAATAGTCCTATCAGATTTGGCACCCACCCTAATGCAGTATGACTTCATCTTAACTTGATTACATTACAAATACCCTATTTTCAAACAAGGTCACATTCATAGGTTCTCTGTGGACATGGGTTTGGGAGATATTATTAAATCCAGTACAGTAGTCCAATATCTATAATATTTAGTGGTATTATATACCTTGTGGCCCAGAAGCACAGGCCTTAGAGAGCTATGGGTTGTATATTGGATATTCAGATATAGGGTCACATTGACAGCAATGTCTTTCAAATTTTGGGTGCTATATTGGAAAATGTGATGTATCATGTCAACCAGTAGCCAATATATGATTTTATTTCTACTATAGCCAGAAAACTTTGCTTTGAATACCAAGAGATGGCGTTGAAGGTGGTTCTTTTCAGAATTACATGTAATGACACATTTTTGAAAAAAGAAAGAGAGAGGATGAGAAAGGTAGAATAGTTTTTCTTTCTATTTTATCTAGGCTTTTCTGATTTAGAGACTTTAGCGTCTGAGGGGTGAAACTAGAGAAGAAATGGATATCATCCAGTGATCCCGAATTTAGAGTTGGATGAGTGAATTAGAAAAGTGTGTTCTCTTTGGGCATATAAATTAATTATTGGTGTATCAATTACCTTTTGCTATATAATAAATCAGTTCAAAACTTCACAGCTCACAACAACAAATGTTTATTTTTTTTCTGATTATGTAGGACAGTTGGTGGTTATTCTGGTCTCAGCTGTCTTAGATAATTTCTGTGGTCACTTGGAAGATTGGTTGATATCCAGTGGTCTATAATGGCCTCAATAACTTGTTTGGTAAGAAGTTTGGTCTCTTTTTTATGTGATCTCGAATTCTCAAGATCAGCCAGCCCTGGTCTCACAGAGAGCAAAAAGTCTTAAATCACAATAAATAAGCCTTTTCACAACCTCTACTTTCATCTTGTTTGCTACTGTCCCATTGGCCAAAACAGTTAACAGAAAGGGGAGACTCAATACAGAGGGAACCACCAAATGATGTGAATACAAAAAGAATTACTATGGTTCTTTTTGAAAAACAAAACAAAACAAAACAAAACAAAACTATCACAGTTTTTTTAAACTGACAAAAACACATTTTTCTTATACAAAAGAGGAATTTTTAGATAGATATGGGGGCTTACGCTTCAAACTTAATAATAAAGAGGCAGGCTTGGAAAACAAGCAAGAATCAATGAGGATCCTGAAGTTTGGTAGGACAATGATCTAGCCAGAATAGTACTACTGTATACTGCATCCACTGCTAGACGTTTTATTTTGTTGAATACTGCAAATGGACATCACTGATGCTTTTGTAAGGCATCACAAATCAATTTGAACCACCTCTTCATCTTCACTTTGTCAGCTCCAGATTAAAACCTTAGATGTAGGTAAGCCTAGATTATTGAAAATGAAAGAGTGAGGATTTTCTATCTTCACTTTCTGTAGTGGAGGAAGGACATTGCATGCCACTAATTCTAACAATTAATAGAGAATTACTCTATAACAGGAAGGGCAGATACTGAAATGCCACTCACACACACTTTCAAAACACACATACATATAATGTGCATAACAGGGAATAGTGTGTTCATTTGCATTGTATTAAAATGATTCAATCTTTAAGGTCTAGGAATTAATATCTTGAGAATAGTAGCACAAGGTGGACCGAAAAATTGGACCTTTTTTTTTTTAATACCACTTTTGCATCATGGGAAGAGATTCCTGACTTCTCAGAAGTTTGCTTTATTAGATTTTCCTTAGCTATGGTTAGCTATACATGTAAATACATTTTTGCAACCCATGATCTTATACAGAAACTGAAGCAGAAAGATAACAAGGCAATTATATGTGTAGAATTAATGAGATTTGCATCCCCTGCCATTGTCCACTTTGTTCTACATGTGCACGTCAGTGATGTCGTTTGTATTAGGACTGAACCAATAGATTTTAATTTCAAATATTTCCCTTTCTACATAATGGCTTCAAAACCACTGGATTAGTTTTTCCCTGTTCTCTAGCTGCAGTTTGTTACTCTAAATTGAAAATACTTTTAATGTAAAATAATGTTCTTACTTTTTCTCCCCTATTCCTATCCCTCAATGCTTTCTCTCCATGCTGATTGGCACACATATATGTTTGAGAAAAGAAATTAGAAGGTTGCATTTCTTAAATAATATGTGGACACACAGAATATAACCAGTTTATAAGGCCTAATTTCTGAATTATTAGGTATTCTTTGATATCTAGAGTTTATAATGCAATGCCCCATTGGTAATCAACAAGTATTTCCCAAGATCAATATTCTAGGAGGCTGGGCACAGTGGCTTAAGCCTGTAATCCCGGCACTTTGGGAGGCTGCGGTGGGCAGATCACTTGAGATCAGGAGTTCGAGACAAGCCTATAATCTTATGAGGAGCAGTTTAGCTGTCACTTGTCTTATCTTAGCCCATTCACTCTGTTTCCATATAAGCTTCTCTTTTAGCTAAACTCGCCCAACATGGAGAAACCTTGTCTCTACTAAAAATACAAAAAATTAGCTGAGTGTGGTAATCCCAGCAACTCAGGAGACTGAGGCAGGAGAATCACTTGAACTCAGGAGGCAGAGGTTGCAGTGAGCCGAGATCGCACTACTGCGCTCCAGCCTGGGCAACAGAATGAGACTCTGTCCCAAATAAATAAATAAATAAAATAACCTAGGGCTTTGTGTGGATAGTCATGGTCCCTGACTTCAGGAATTTTAGTCTATCAAGAAAATCTAGCATTAAACAGATGTAGGTGGGTAGCAGTTTCTCCATTTCCCCTACCACAATTATTTTAAGTTAGAGGAAAATCAAATTGTATTAACATGATGTTGAGTGCTTCACCTGGGAGCTGCTTTTTTCATGTCATCTATTCTTTCTCAGCTGCCTGTTTTGCCTTGAGACACTGACTATTTTATTGCTAAGCATCCCTTTATTCTCCAAATATCAATTAGACAGGATTCTATAAATAATAGAATTTATTGAAGGTTTAAGTTGATAAGAGGGGAGGAAGCAGGTACCCTGAAGTATACCACAGCACATAAACAAAAACAATTAATCCACTGGGCACGGTGGCTCACACCTGTAATCCTAGCACTTTGGGAGTCCGAGGCAGGTGGATCACCTGAGGTCAGGAGTTCGAGACCAGCCTGACCAACATGGGGAAACCCTGTCTCTATTAAAAACACAAAATTAGCTGGGCGTGGTGGCACATGCTTGTAGTCCCAGCTACTCAGGAGGCTGAGGCAGGAGAATCACTTGAACACAGGAGGCGAAGGTTGCGGTGAGCCGAGATTGTGCGATTGCACTCCAGCCTGGGCAAAAAGAGCGGAACTCCGAAACTCAGTCTCAAAAACAAACAAACAAACAAACAAACAAACAAAGTCTTTTTTTTTTTTTTTTACCACCTCCTGGCACTAAAAGCTTTTCTAGTCAAAGCTCCTCTACAGTTGACTAGGCTTCTCACCTGGGAAATGGTGCTTGGACCTCCTGTCTCATGATATCTTCTCACTGGACTTAGTTCTCTTTCTATGCTTTAAATCTCTCCTATAATCTTATGTGTAGTTCAGCTGTCACTTGTCTTATCTTAGCCCCTTCGTGCTGTTTCCATATGAGCTTCTCTTTAAGCTAAACTTGCCCAATAGTGTATTTCTAAACAAAACATACATTCTCTCCCTGAGAGTCTTTCCAACCAGATTTTAAAATTTTGTTTCTTCTCTATTGATCAAATACTACATTATAATACTGTTACTAATAACACAAGTACACATCGGAGCAAAAAGCTGTGAAGAGGCATAGGATACTATGAGGGTATATAAAGGAAATATTTAGTTGTATATTATCATTAGTGAAGATATTTGAGACCGTCCTTGAAAAGTACTTACTTATTTCAACAGTGGTTCTTGATAGGTATTTTTGCATAACTGAATGAATAGTTAGAATGACAAGAAGATCATACCTATTTATTAGGCCTGATAATCACTTTGGTTCTTATTCTAAGAGTAATAAAAGGCCTGTGGATGATTTTAACTAAGAATACATTAAAATCTTTGAACAATCTTTCTGAGCATAATTTGGAGAAAAGAATGGAAGCAGGAAAGATGGAGTTTGGGAGGTTTATCTGAGAAATGCAGAATAAGGCTAACATCCGAGTTCACTGGTCCAGAAAGGCAATGGTGAGACTGGATCTGAGAGACATTTAGGAAGGAAAATCACAAGAAATGACAACGAATTGATGGACAGAAGGTGTGGTAAAGGAGAAGAGGGAAATTCAAGATGAATCTCAGGTTTGCCCTTTGGGGAATTTTTTTCTCTACTAGGATAAAATAATAGCCTTGTGTTTATACCCTGTGAGCAGGCGGTAATCCGATTGGTGTGATGAACAATAGGTATTGTCAGCTGAATAAAATTTTAAAAATTTTCAGCAGAGACCTATTTTTGAGCTGCTAAGGGCCTCATGACAATTTTTTTTTTTTTTAGTTCATGAACTCATAAAACCACATAAAGTTGCCACATAATAATTGTGGGTGTCCGTATCTGGGGTGTCTGTATCTACAATAATTTTTTTCTGCAGAAATAATTTCCAGTTTCATCACCCAGTTACCATTGTCAGTTGTTTCATGCTCCTAAAAGTCAGTTGGAATGAATCCTTGTTCCAAGAGCAAGCTTAATAACTTGTTTCCTTCAGCAAAGATTCCTATGCATCATCTCGTTAAAAAATGGACACAGGCAAAATTCATTTGTCTTGGCTCTCAGAGCACCATTCCTGCAATGTTACAAAACAGGGGAATTGCTGCTGAGTGACCAGCCACCTTTTCATATGGTCAACATGCCCTGCCATTTAGCTCCTGAATGCTTGAGGGTCAAGTAGCCATCTCTGTAGAAGTGAGTGCAATGCAGCATAGCAGGATGCAAGGTGTGCCAATTACAACACAGACATGTCTAGAGAGGTGGTCAATATTTTCACACACATCCGTGTGAAGAGACCACCAAACAGGCTTTGTGTGAGTGATAAAGCTTTTTAATCATCTGGGGGCAGACGGGCTGAGTCCGAAAAGAGAGTCAGCGAAGGGAGATAGTGATGGACCGTTTTATAGGATTTGGGTAGGTAGTGGAAAATTACAGTCAAAGAGGGTTGTTCCCTGGCGGGCAGGGGCGGGGGACACAAGGTGCTCAGTGGGGGAGCTTCTGAGCCAGGAGAAGGAATTTCACAAGGTAATGCCATCAGTTAAGGCAGGAACCGGCCATTTTCACTTCTTTTGTCATTGTTCAGTTACTTCAGGCCATCTAGATGTATACGTGCAGGTTTGGGTCCAGAGGCCTGACAAATATTGTATACACAAAATAAATTACTCACCCGTGATCATCATCTGTATCCTGTAGTTTATTCTATGATATTGGAAGAGTTACAGAGAAACAATTGATTTTAGACTCTGATGAAAATTGGCTTCTATCTATGATACGAAAAGATGTTAAATTACTTCACCAAGTTGCTTCGAGGCTATATGGATTTGGTAATTGCTTTGGTGGTTATTTGATATAAAGAAGTAAACAAATGGAGAGTGTTAGAGAATACTGAAAGATATCAGGGAAGCTTGAAAAATTGCTCTGAAAGTTTAAATTATTATGAGTTTAAATGATTATGAGGGCAGATCTTGTCAATATTTTTTAATATTGACTAAGAAAAACTTTAAAAATATTACAGGAACTACTTCAGAATACTAAACCATCATTCATGCAGATTCCTAATAATACATTTTCAATGGTTTCTTACTTTCAGCCAAACTCAAGAAAAAAAATGACAGTATAGCCCTCAAATCCCAAAATAATATTTTAACAAAATAAAATTATTTTATTAAGTGATTTTAAATTTCAGTAATAAATGTCACAACTATATTGATAATTAGGTAACACATTTTCACCAGACAGATTTCTTATCTTGAAAAATATGTGACCTGAAAATTTTATATTTCAAAATGATCAGAGGACCATCTCCTCTTTGGCTAATTTAGGCTTTTGAGTTTGTAACAGTGACTCAGAAGTAACTGACTACTTCTTTTTTTTTCTTCTTAAATTAGGTTGCAACTTGATTCTAGTACAAGAATAAATCTTAACATCACTAAACTGAGAAATGAGGATTGCCCACATTAACTAACTTAGAGGATGCTGAATGCTTCAAAATAAGAACTTCTGTCCTTTAGTTACTGATAATGTATCAAGCACAGCTACTTAATTATTTTTAGCAACTTGTTTGCCAGTGGAAATGTCAGTTATTTTGTAGTTATTTCACAGGATGCTTTTTGCCAGAAACATTAAAAATCAATTATTTTTAATTAAAAAGTGATCATACTTTGTTTTCAAAATCAAATCATTTATAACTTGGCCCAAGAACATTTGAAATTTTAAAATAATTATTGTTTTCTCCATATTTTATTTTCAAGTCTGAATTTTTAGTAAAGGTAATAAATACTTTAGATATATTTCTATTGTTCTGATGATTTGTATTTTATATTGTTTCAATGAATGCACATTTATAAAATCTTTTATCTTAAAATGTCAAATCGTTTTCTGCATTAGATATTATTCCATATAAAATAGAATGTTTATTATATTAAACCACTTGAGATTATGTATGGAGTTTAATCTATTACTGCACTGTTGTAGCAGGATGAGCAGCAGACAAAACTTCTCAGACACTGAGTTGTAGAAGGAAGGGCTTTATTCAGCTGGGAACATCGGCAAGCTACTGTCTTAAAATCCGAGCTCCCCAAATGCACAATTTCTGTCCTTTTTAAGGGCTCACAACACTAAGGATTTGACATGAAAGGGTCGTGATTGATTTGAGCAAGCAAGGGGTACATGACAGGGGCTGCATGCACTGGCGGTCAGAGAGAAACAGAACAGGGCAGGGAGTTTCACAGTGTTCTTCTATACAATGTCTGGAATCTATGAAAAACGTCGGTTTCTAAGTTATGAGTTGATTTCTAACTACTGGGTTTAGGCCAGGCAGGCCCAGGCCTGGTTTCGGGCCTGGCGCCGGGCTGCCTGTCTTTGGTTTTACTTCCCTGTTTTTTTCTTAAAACAGGTACTGAGTATAAAACAATATGAGAGGGTCTCTCTCTTCCCTCACTGTAGCTTAACTTGTCCTGCCTAATATATATCACAAAATGTGAGTTTCTTTGTGAAATCTTATGACAGATTGAAAGATCTTTTGGTGGCTTTCATTCTGTGGTCTCAATTAAAATTTGGAATCTATTACCTTTTTTAACGTATTTCTTGCATAAGATAATAATCAGTAATTAAAAGAACTTAAAGCTTTAAAATATTACTTTAGCAATGTATAACTTAATTATGCCTATATGGCTATGCAGTGTATTTACAAACATCGACTTCAGTAGCAATCTCATGTCTATTAATAAAAGTGTCTCATAGCTCCTGTTTTTTGAAAGTCGAGAACTTTCAGAGGAAAAAAATATATTCTGATGAACTACTCATGCTTTCTTAGTCTATATGAATAACATACAGATCAGAGAGTGGAAGTCAATAAATTTAGAAATGTTTATTTTTGGAATTGTATTTAATTTCCAAGTACAAATATATCTAGCTTGGTGTCACTAGGATGAAATATATTTTGTGTATGATACAAAAAGAAGAAAATACAAATCTTGGAGTGGAGCTATATTATATTTCCTTGGAGTGTGACTAATTATAGTGCAATTTGTGAAAGATTTCTATTATTTATTTTTAGAAAAACGGGTCTTTGTTTTGTTTCTACAAACACATGTTTACATTAAGTAATAAAATACAATTCTATTGGATAACAATATAAGCATATTGTTTAATTATAAGCAAAATTACTATTTTTAAGAACAATTTGCTATAATTTTAGATTGACCTACATGATTGAACTTGGCATATCTCTTTCTCCCTTCCCACAAATGAGTTAGTCCTATAAACTATAGGACTGAAGACAGTCCTATAAAAAAGAGTAGAGAAGATCAAAACGAAATGAAAATGGTCTAATGCTCCACGGGATGAGTGCATCATCTGTCTGCAAAGTTTCCCAGCAGGTGCTATTTAATTTTTTGAATTTGCCCAAAGTCTGTCTCTCAGGTTTGCAGAATTTGATATCACCATTATTTCATTAAACCAAGAACTGCTGATTTGTGCATTATGTATCAGTCGGGGTCCTGTTTGGAGAGAGAAATCACACAGTGATTTGGACAGAGAATATTTTACACAGAGATTTTTTAACTATAACAGAGCAATAGAGAAATATCAGATTGGTTAGTAATAGTAAAGAGAACTTGAAAATAATACAGCAATAGCAGATGTAAGGAGCATGCATTATTTTCAAGGCCAAGATAAAGTGCTCCAGGAAGAGATTCCAGGACTGCACTGGAAATTAAGATAGCACGGCTGTGGCTCACAGAACAGCAGAGAAGTCACTACGGTGCTGCACTGGCAGAACTTGCTGGAATTCCACCCTCTAAGGTGCCAGAGGAAGCTTTTTATGGGAAAGCGTCTCACTGGAAGCACGCCACTAGAAAACCATCTAACAGGGTGCTGAGGGAAGTTTCAGGCCACAAGGTGTGGAGCCCATTTCAGAAGAAGAAGCCATCCATACTAAACTGTCAGCAGTCTGGTGCTGCAGAAGCCGCATCTGCCGCAGGAGCCAGTCCTTTTGAAGGAGACAGCAGGCTTTTCTTAGAACTTTTTCATCTGTGCTCATTGATGTTTCTCAATATCAAGATCAGGATATACAGGAAGCCAAGAAAAATCCCACAGAATTCACCACCATGTTTTTCTTCAAGTCCCAATTCCCTAGTCTGTCTTCCTCCTTCTTTCCACTGTTCAGAACCTTCTTAGGTTTGTTTTACATATAATATCTAGGGGGTTTAGCTGTGTTTAGCAGGAGGAATAGGGAGAAATGGGTGTATTCCATTTGCCTGGAACTGGAATTCCATCTTTGCGTTAAAAACTATTTTTTCTTTTCTCTAACCAGTGCTTTTCTGACTCTTTTTTTTTTTTTTTTTATACTCTAAGTTTTAGGGTACATGTGCACATTGTGCAGGTTAGTTACATATGTATACATGTGCCATGCTGGTGCGCTGCACCCACTAATGTGTCATCTAGCATTAGGTATATCTCCCAATGCTATTCCTCCCCCCTCCCCCGACCCCACCACAGTCCCCAGAGTGTGATATTCCCCCTCCTGTGTCCATGTGATCTCATTGTTCAATTCCCACCTATGAGTGAGAATATGCGGTGTTTGGTTTTTTGTTCTTGCGATAGTTTACTGAGAATGATGGTTTCCAATTTCATCCATGTCCCTACAAAGGATATGAACTCATCATTTTTTATGGCTGCATAGTATTCCATGGTGTATATGTGCCACATTTTCTTAATCCAGTCTATCATTGTTGGACATTTGGGTTGGTTCCAAGTCTTTGCTATTGTGAATAGTGCCGCAATAAACATACGTGTGCATGTGTCTTTATAGCAGCATGATTTATAGTCCTTTGGGTATATACCCAGTAATGGGATGGCTGGGTCAAATGGTATTTCTAGTTCTAGATCCCTGAGGAATCGCCACACTGACTTCCACAATGGTTGAACTAGTTTACAGTCCCACCAACACTGTAAAAGTGTTCCTATTTCTCCACATCCTCTCCAGCACCTGTTGTTTCCTGACTTTTTAATGATTGCCATTCTAACTGGTGTGAGATGATATCTCATAGTGGTTTTGATTTGCATTTCTCTGATGGCCAGTGATGATGAGCATTTCTTCATGTGTTTTTTGGCTGCATAAATGTCTTCTTTTGAGAAGTGTCTGTTCATGTCCTTCGCCCACTTTTTGATGGGGTTGTTTGTTTTTTTCTTGTAAATTTGTTTGAGTTCATTGTAGATTCTGGATATTAGCCCTTTGTCAGATGAGTAGGTTGCGAAAATTTTCTCCCGTGTTGTAGGTTGCCTGTTCACTCTGATGGTAGTTTCTTTTGCTGTGCAGAAGCTCTTTAGTTTAATTAGATCCCATTTGTCAATTTTGGCTTTTGTTGCCATTGCTTTTGGTGTTTTGGACATGAAGTCCTTGCCCACGCCTATGTCCTGAATGGTAATGCCTAGGTTTTCTTCTAGGGTTTTTATGGTTTTAGGTCTAACGTTTAAATCTTTAATCCATCTTGAATTGATTTTTGTATAAGGTGTAAGGAAGGGATCCAGTTTCAGCTTTCTACATATGGCTAGCCAGTTTTCCCATCACCATTTATTAAATAGGGAATCCTTTCCCCATTGCTTGTTTTTCTCAGGTTTGTCAAAGATCAGATAGTTGTAGATATGCGGCATTATTTCTGAGGGCTCTGTTCTGTTCCATTGATCTATATCTCTGTTTTGGTACCAGTACCATGCTGTTTTGGTTACTGTAGCCTTGTAGTATAGTTTGAAGTCAGGTAGTGTGATGCCTCCAGCTTTGTTCTTTTGGCTTAGGATTGACTTGGCAATGCGGGCTCTTTTTTGGTTCCATATGAACTTTAAAGTAGTTTTTTCCAATTCTGTGAAGAAAGTCATTGGTAGCTTGATGGGGATGGCATTGAATCTGTAAATTACCTTGGGCAGTATGGCCATTTTCACGATATTGATTCTTCCTACCCATGAGCATGGAATGCTCTTCCATTTGTTTGTGTCCTCTTTTATTTCCTTGAGCAGTGGTTTGTAGTTCTCCTTGAAGAGGTCCTTCACATCCCTTGTAAGTTGGATTCCTAGGTATTTTATTCTCTTTGAAGCAATTGTGAATGGGAGTTCACCCATGATTTGGCTCTCTGTTTGTCTGTTGTTGGTGTATAAGAATGCTTGTGATTTTTGTACATTGATTTTGTATCCTGAGACTTTGCTGAAGTTGCTTATCAGCTTTAGGAGATTTTGGGCTGAGACGATGGGGTTTTCTAGATAAACAATCATGTCGTCTGCAAACAGGGACAATTTGACTTCCTCTTTTCCTAATTGAATCCCCTTTATTTCCTTCTCCTGCCTGATTGCCCTGGCCAGAACTTCCAACACTATGTTGAATAGGAGCGGTGAGAGAGGGCATCCCTGTCTTGTGCCAGTTTTCAAAGGGAATGCTTCCAGTTTTTGCCCATTCAGTATGATATTGGCTGTGGGTTTGTCATAGATAGCTCTTATTATTTTGAAATACGTCCCATCAATACCTAATTTATTGAGAGTTTTTAGCATGAAGGGTTGTTGAATTTTGTCAAAGGCTTTTTCTGCATCTATTGAGATAATCATGTGGTTTTTGTCTTTGGCTCTGTTTATATGCTGGATTACATTTATTGATTTGCGTATATTGAACCAGCCTTGCATCCCAGGGATGAAGCCCACTTGATCATGGTGGATAAGCTTTTTGATGTGCTGCTGGATTCGGTTTGCCAGTATTTTATTGAGGATTTTTGCATCAATGTTCATCAAGGATATTGGTCTAAAATTCTCTTTTTTGGTTGTGTCTCTGCCCGGCTTTGGTATCAGAATGATGCTGGCCTCATAAAATGAGTTAGGGAGGATTCCCTCTTTTTCTATTGATTGGAATAGTTTCAGAAGGAATGGTACCAGTTCCTCCTTGTACCTCTGGCAGAATTCGGCTGTGAATCCATCTGGTCCTGGACTCTTTTTGGTTGGTAAACTATTGATTATTGCCACAATTTCAGAGCCTGTTATTGGTCTATTCAGAGATTCAACTTCTTCTTGGTTTAGTCTTGGGAGAGTGTATGTGTTGAGGAATGTATCCATTTCTTCTAGATTTTCTAGTTTATTTGCGTAGAGGTGTTTGTAGTATTCTCTGATGGTCGTTTGTATTTCTGTGGGATCGGTGGTGATATCCCCTTTATCATTTTTTATTGTGTCTATTTGATTCTTCTCTCTTTTTTTCTTTATTAGTCTTGCTAGCGGTCTATCAATTTTGTTGATCCTTTCAAAAAACCAGCTCCTGGATTCATTGATTTTTTGAAGGGTTTTTTGTGTCTCTATTTCCTTCAGTTCTGCTCTGATTTTAGTTATTTCTTGCCTTCTGCTAGCTTTTGAATGTGTTTGCTCTTGCTTTTCTAGTTCTTTTAATTGTGATGTTAGGGTGTCAATTTTGGATCCTTCCTGCTTTCTCTTGTAGGCATTTAGTGCTATAAATTTCCCTCTACACACTGCTTTGAATGCGTCCCAGAGATTCTGGTATGTGGTGTCTTTGTTCTCGTTGGTTTCAAAGAACATCTTTATTTCTGCCTTCATTTCGTTATGTACCCAGTAGTCATTCAGGAGCAGGTTGTTCAGTTTCCATGTAGTTGAGCGGCTTTGAGTGAGATTCTTAATCCTGAGTTCTAGTTTGATTGCACTGTGGTCTGAGAGATAGTTTGTTATAATTTCTGTTCTTTTACATTTGCTGAGGAGAGCTTTACTTCCAACTATGTGGTCAATTTTGGAATAGGTGTGGTGTGGTGCTGAAAAAAATGTATATTCTGTTGATTTGGGGTGGAGAGTTCTGTAGATGTCTATTAGGTCTGCTTGGTGCAGAGCTGAGTTCAATTCCTGGGTATCCTTGTTGACTTTCTGTCTCGTTGATCTGTCTAATGTTGACAGTGGGGTGTTAAAGTCTCCCATTATTAATGTGTGGGAGTCTAAGTCTCTTTGTAGGTCACTGAGGACTTGCTTTATGAATCTGGGTGCTCCTGTATTGGGTGCATAAATATTTAGGATAGTTAGCTCCTCTTGTTGAATTGATCCCTTTACCATTATGTAATGGCCTTCTTTGTCTCTTTTGATCTTTGTTGGTTTAAAGTCTGTTTTATCCGAGACTAGGATTGCAACCCCTGCCTTTTTTTGTTTTCCATTGGCTTGGTAGATCTTCCTCCATCCTTTTATTTTGAGCCTATGTGTGTCTCTGCACATGAGATGGGTTTCCTGAATACAGCACACTGATGGGTCTTGACTCTTTATCCAACTTGCCAGTCTGTGTCTTTTAATTGCAGAATTTAGTCCATTTATATTTAAAGTTAATATTGTTATGTGTGAATTTGATCCTGTCATTATGATGTTAGCTGGTGATTTTGCTCATTAGTTGATGCAGTTTCTTCCTAGTCTCGATGGTCTTTACATTTTGGCATGATTTTGCAGCGGCTGGTACCGGTTGTTCCTTTCCATGTTTAGCGCTTCCTTCAGGAGCTCTTTTAGGGCAGGCCTGGTGGTGACAAAATCTCTCAGCATTTGCTTGTCTATAAAGTATTTTATTTCTCCTTCACTTATGAAGCTTAGTTTGGCTGGATATGAAATTCTGGGTTGAAAATTCTTTTCTTTAAGAATGTTGAATATTGGCCCCCACTCTCTTCTGGCTTCTAGGGTTTCTGCCGAGAGATCCACTGTTAGTCTGATGGGCTTTCCTTTGAGGGTAACCCGACCTTTCTCTCTGGCTGCCCTTAACATTTTTTCCTTCATTTCAACTTTGGTGAATCTGACAATTATGTGTCTTGGAGTTGCTCTTCTCGAGGAGTGTCTTTGTGGCGTTCTCTGTATTTCCTGAATCTGAACGTTGGCCTGCCTTGCTAGATTGGGGAAGTTCTCCTGGATAATATCCTGCAGAGTGTTTTCCAACTTGGTTCCATTCTCCATATCACTTTCAGGTACACCAATCAGACGTAGATTTGGTCTTTTCACATAGTCCCATATTTCTTGGAGGCTTTGCTCATTTCTTTTTATTCTTTTTTCTCTAAACTTCCCTTCTCGCTTCATTTCATTCATTTCATCTTCCATTGCTGATACCCTTTCTTCCAGTTGATTGCATCGGCTCCTGAGGCTTCTGCATTCTTCACGTAGTTCTCGAGCCTTGGTTTTCAGCTCCATCAGCTCCTTTAAGCACTTCTCTGTATTGGTTATTCTAGTTATACATTCTTCTAAATTTTTTTCAAAGTTTTCAACTTCTTTGCCTTTGGTTTGAATGTCCTCCCGTAGCTCAGAGTAATTTGATCGTCTGAAGCCTTCTTCTCTCAGCTCGTCAAAATCATTCTCCATCCAGCTTTGTTCTGTTGCTGGTGAGGAACTGCGTTCCTTTGGAGGAGGAGAGGCGCTCTGCGTTTTAGAGTTTCCAGTTTTTCTGTTCTGTTTTTTCCCCATCTTTGTGGTTTTATCTACTTTTGGTCTTTGATGATGGTGATGTACAGATGGGTTTTCGGTGTAGATGTCCTTTCTGGTTGTTAGTTTTCCTTCTAACAGACAGGACCCTCAGCTGCAGGTCTGTTGGAATACCCTGCCATGTGAGGTGTCAGTGTGCCCCTGCTGGGCGGTGCCTCCCAGTTAGGCTGCTCGGGGGTCAGGGGTCAGGGACCCACTTGAGGAGGCAGTCTGCCTGTTCTCAGATCTCCAGCTGCGTGCTGGGAGAACCACTGCTCTCTTCAAAGCTGTCAGACAGGGACATTTAAGTCTGCAGAGGTTACTGCTGTCTTTTTGTTTGTCTGTGCCCTGCCCCCAGAGGTGGAGCCTACAGAGGCAGGCAGGCCTCCTTGAGCTGTGGTGGGCTCCACCCAGTTCGAGCTTCCCGGCTGCTTTGTTTACCTAAGCAAGCCTGGGCAATGGCGGGCGCCCCTCCCCCAGCCTCGTTGCCGCCTTGCAGTTTGATCTCAGACTGCTGTGCTAGCAATCAGCGAGATTCCGTGGGCGTAGGACCCTCTGAGCCAGGTGTGGGATATAGTCTCGTGGTGCGCCGTTTCTTAAGCCGGTCTGAAAAGCGCAATATTCGGGTGGGAGTGACCCGATTTTCCAGGTGCGTCCGTCACCCCTTTCTTTGACTCGGAAAGGGAACTCCCTGACCCCTTGCGCTTCCCAGGTGAGGCAATGCCTCGCCCTGCTTCGGCTCGCGCACGGTGCGCACACACACTGGCCTGCACCCACTGTCTGGCACTCCCTAGTGAGATGAACCCGGTACCTCAGATGGAAATGCAGAAATCACCCGTCTTCTGCGTCGCTCACGCTGGGAGCTGTAGACCGGAGCTGTTCCTATTCGGCCATCTTGGCTCCTCCTCCCTTTTCTGACTCTTAAATTAGGGTATTGTGACATGATTCTGTGTCATAAAATACTTTTCTCTTCTGACATCTTCACTAAGGTTTATTTTTTTTCTTACCTTCTGTTTTCTTCTTGCTCCCTTTCTTCCTATTGTTCATTTCCTCCCATTTCAACTCTCCTTCCCTCCTCACTTCTCCTTTTCTGACATGGTGCAACTATTCAGAATCTATTATGTTAAGACATAATTCAACAGAAGTTTGTTTATCACTAAATTTTCCAATGAGATAACCTCCATAGCTATTTTGGGTTTAAAATATAAAAATGAAAAATGATTTTTATAGTTCCAACACACAATTTATCTAAGCAACTGAAGTTTTGGCAAAAAAAAATCAAGAGTTTTCATCATTAGAAATAATTTTATTATTTATTTTAAAGCAGTTCAATGTAACTGGTAGCAAAATGGTACAGACAATAAACAGAATCAATTCCCATTGGGCTACAAGGACTATTATTGACTTTATATTTTATTTTCATGTGCAAGTATAATTATTTTAAAAAGGCAACATTTCATTAAAAGTCTTTTATAAGCATGTTTTTATTCTTTAAATAACAGAAAGACTAATAAATTATCATTATTGTAGCAAGCTGGTATGAACTGTGTCAAATATTAAATTTGGACTAATGTTCATAGTCAAAAATAATTATTTTAAAATTTATGAAACAAAATTTTTAGTTATATAGGAAATATAATCATATCCTAGCTTAAAATCCTAGTCTCAACAACTGTCATAATGCAAAAATACCAAACTTCAGATCTTGTGGGGAAATAAAAGATTTGTAAAATCTTACATTTATTCCTAAAAATAATGAAGTAAAAAAAGTCAACTTAAAGAAACATCATACTTGACTCTTGATATGCAAATATAAAACAAGTTCATAAAATTTATTGTTTTTCTCTGTTACATATATTAGTTCCATTCTGCCTTCAGTTTTTAACAATTTATATGTGAATGTGTGTGTCAAATATATTTCACGTTTATAACATATACACATATATGCATACAATCTTTAAGTTTTAAGGCATGCTCCCAATTTTAGCTAACCTGTTATAAATTCTACTTCTCTGATCAAAGTAGATTAAATACAGGGTCTCTGTTTTAGGGGTAATTCTTGGTGTTCTTGTTATTCTAAAATGTGAATAATGTAAAATACCAAAAAGAAAAAAAGACATTTCATAGCCTCCAAGCCAAATTATACAATGACTATAATCTTTGATTTCACATTGCACTTTACAGTTTTATTTCTGTAGAATTATTGAGAGTACATTAGAATATCTTTTCTTTAAAAATTTTATTATCCTTTAAGTTGATCTGCTTCATTATGAAAAGAAAGGAAAAAAAGTCCCTTTCTAGTTTTATATGTATTTTTTGTTGTTGCTGAATTAAACTCAATGTCAAATTCAAAAATTAAAAAATACAAAATTAGAACAGTATGTATTTAAATTTACCAATGTTTCTTTTACAGGAACATTTTAACACACTTCTACTACCTGGTAAACTATGTACGCATACTCTTGTGCTCTTTTGATCTATTTCTCTAGGGGGAAAATGCAATACAGGTAAAAAATGAAAAACTGGATATCATCAATGGTCAATTTATATTTAAATTTATAACTCAAATTCTGCATGATTTGCATTAATGTTAAAAGCCAAGAACTACCTATTTTTGTTTTATGCTTTTCTCTCATAATGTTAAAGTATAGCTCATATATACGATTTCAAAATTAAGTCAAAAATTTTAATACATCCTTCATTGAGTGTTATTGTTTCATTACCAAAGACATAAGGACTTTTAATGTTTTGAAGTGTCTTCAGAGTCCATAAAAGGTATAAATTATCTTCTGTCAATTTTAAAAGAATTTTTCTAGTGAAATTTACTATATAGATATATGAATAGGAAAGATGGTAAAGTTCAAGAGTCTAAGGACAATCATTACTGTATATTTCAAGATATCCAGTTAATTTTTCAATCCTTGAATTAAATTTAAGTCAACAAATGTGTATTAAGTATTTTCTCTATGCTAGGCATTCGTTTAGGAGAATAATAGATATTTGCTTTATAGTATGCTTTTCTTGGCATAAAATATTTGCTAGACATAAAGTTACCAAAAAGTGCAGGAACCTAGTGTTTCTTTTCATTTATGTTTTAGTTTCTTCAATGTAATAAAACATGCTATGAACATCTCAAATTCTAAGATAAATATTTTTATATCGTAAGGCAGAAAAAAAAGTTAAAATGACTTAAAGATTTGTATTCTAAAGCAAACTATGATTCTTACACAAAAGTCAGCCACACAAGTTTGTTGGTTAATCTCTATGTGAGAAGACTAGACATTTACGATGAGCTCAATTTTGTAAAACAGTAAGTTTAAAGAATATAATATGACACATTTAATTTTTAAGAGGAGCAGCAGCATTCTGTGTCCATTGTGATGCACCAAATATAGTTAGATTTTGTCAACTTCATAAAACCTTAATAATTTTTAAAATTGCTTTCATAGAGTTTGGATTATTATAAAACAATTAAATGTCAGATTTAAATTTTTGTATTTTAATTTAGCTTTTCAAATTTATTCCATTGAGGTCCTTCAAATATTAATAGGGAGAGTACCAGTAAGTAGTACATTAAGTTTCAAAATGATCTATACTTCTAAGAGAAGAGATTACGTTTTTAAATATGAGAGAATTACATATATTTCCATCTAGTTTCTTTCGTGCCAGCAAAACTTTTGTGGTTTCAAGCAAGGTCTTTGTAGGAAAAAAGTTTCTCATTTTATTTTTATCAAAGTTGAGTTTCCTCCCGAGAATCTTGACCAGTGACATTGCAGATGCTGTTTCTTCGACTGGGCTCACTGTTTGGAAGGTAGGCCAGTGGATCTGGTCGAATTAAGTATCTAATAAAAGAAAACAAAATAAATAACTTTGCAATAGTAAATACAGGCAACATTAATTCACACTGACACTTCATATTTCTAATTTATTTGTTCAGTTTTCAGATTATCTAAACTGTCTGTATACAACATTGGTGGTAGAACTCACTGTTTGGTTGGCCTTTACAATTTGGCATGGTTAATATTATCATTTTCATACCTGAGAAGATTATGATGATGAATGCTGATGAATCAAGCACTATTATTTTTCTTCTTCATCTTTTTCCCTGTGCATGTTGACTGTCAGTCACCATTATTTTTCAATTATAATCAATTTCAGCACCTTCGTCTCATCAAAGTTTTATGATTAAGTATGCTGTTGACTTATTATCCCTTACTTTGGCCATTTTTCTATGAAGGAGACCTACATTTTAGCCATCATTCTTCCATTACTTAACTGTTCTTTGTCTTATTTTTATCACTTAAAAAATTAGGAGATTGATGTAAGCAATTTCTATAGTCTTTTCAATTTAAATATTTTATGAATCTATAAAATCAACAGTTTAACAAATGTTATAGTGAATATAATGCATAACGTTTAAATTAGCAGGAAAATTATTTATCTAAAATTCAGCTTATGGTATAGTAAGTGATAATACTAAAGTATAGAGAATAATTCTTAATTAATTCTGCTAGTAAATAGAAAAATGTTTATCTGCCAAACTCAAACATTTCATTAATGTGAGAATTTGTTTTCAGAGAGTTGTCTTACTTTAGACTGTCAAATGATGTACAGGCATGCCTTTTTTATTGCTTTTGACTTGATTGCACTTTGCCAATATTGAATTATTTATAAATGGAAGGTTTGTGGCAACCCTGAATCAAGCAAGTCCGTTGGAGACATTTTTTCCAGCATGTGCTCACTTAGGGTCTCTGTGTCAGATTTGGTAACTTGAACTTTTTCCATTGTAATTATATCTGTTATAGTGATCTGTGATCAGTAATTTTTGATGTTCCTATTGTAATTGTTTTGGGATACCACTATCCGCACCCATATAAGAAGGCAATTTTAACCAATAAAATATGTGTGTTCTGATCACTCCACCAACTGGCTATTCCCTCGACTCTTTTCCCTCTCCTCCACCATCTGTATTCCCCAAGACACAAAAACATTAAAGTTAGATTAGTTAATAACCCAAAAATGACTTGTAATTGTTTAAGTGAAAGGAAGAGTATCATGTCTCTCACTTTAAATCAAAAGCTAGAAATGATTATGCTTAGTGAGGAAGGAACATCAAAAGCTTACATAAGTTGGAAGTTAGGTCTTTTGTGCCAGTTAGCCAAGTTGTGAATGCAAAGGAAAAGTTCCTAAGGAAATTAAAAGTGCTACTCCAGTGAATACACAACTGATAAGAAAAGGAAACAGCCTTATTGCTGAGATGGCAAAAGTATGAGTGGTCTGGAAAAAAGATCAAACCAGCTACAACATTCCCTTAATCCAAAGCCAAATCCAGAGCAATGCTCTACCTCTTTTCAATTCTCTGAAAGGTGAGGGAAGTGAAGAAGCTATGGAAGAGGTTAGCTATGGAAGAGGAAGCTAGCAGAGGTTAGCTCATGAAGCTTAAGGAAATGAGTCCCCTCCATAACATAAACGTGCAAGATGAAGTAGATAGTGCTAATGCAGAAGCTACAGCAAGTTATCAAAAAAATCAAACTATTAATAAGATTATTGATGAAGGTGGCTAAATTAAACAACAGATTTTCAATTTGGAAGACAGCCTTCTATTGGAAAAAGTTGCCATCTAGTACTTAAGTAGCTAGAGAGGAGAAGACAAAGCCTAGTTTCAAAGCTTCAGTGACAAGCTGACTCTCTTGGTAGGGGCTAATGCATTCGGTGACTTTCAGTTGAAGCCAATACTCATTTACCATTCTGGAAATCCTAGGACACTTAAGAATTCTGCTAAATCTGCTCTGCCTATGCTCCAGAAATGGAAAAACAAAGCCTGACTGGCAGCAAATCTGTTTAAAGCATAGTTTACTGAAAATGTTAGGCCCATTGTTGAGACTTAACACTTAAAAAAAAGACTTCAAAATATCACTGCCCCTTGATAAGGCACCTGGTCACCCAAGAGCTCTGATGGAGATGTACAATGAGATTAGTATTGTATCATTCTTGCTAACACAACATCTATTCTGCAGCCCATGGATCAAAGAGTAATTTCAATGTTCATGATTCGTGGGATGAGGTAGAAATATCAACATTAACAGAAGTTTGGAAGAAGTTGACTCCAACCCTTATCGATGACTTTGAGGGGATCAAGACTTCAATGGAGGAAGTAACTGCAGTTGTGGTAGAAATAGCAAGATAACTAGAATTAGAAGTGGAGCCCAAAGATGTGACTCAACTGCTGCAATCTCTGACCAAAATTTGAATGAATGAGGAGTTGCTTCTTATTTATCATCAAATAAATTGGTTTCTTGAGATGAAATCTACTCCTGGTGAAGATGCTATGAACATTGTTGAAATGACTGTAAAGAATTTATATTATTACATAAACTTAGTTGACAAAGTAGCAGCAGGGTTTGAAAGGATTGACTCCAGTTTCAAAAGAAGTTCCACTTCGGGTAAAATGCTATCAAAGGGTATTACATGCTACAGATAAATATTGCATGAAAGAAAGAGTCAATCAATGCAGCATACTACTTCATTGTTGTCTGATTTTAAGAAATTGCCACACCCCTCCAACCTTCAGTAACCACTACCCCAATCTGTCAGCAGCCATCAACATTGAGGCAAGACTCTCTACCGGCAAAAAAAGATTATGACTCCCTGAAGGCTCAGATGACTGCTAGCATTTTTTTTTTAGCAATAAACTGTTTTTTAATTAAGTAAATTTTTAGACATAATGCTTTGCTTTTGCACACTTAGTAGACTAAAGTATAATGCAAACATAAATTTTGTATGCACCGGGAAACCAAAAAATTCAAGTGACTGGCTTGATTGCAATATTCACTCTATTGTGGTAGTCTGGAACCAATCCTGCAAAATCTCTGAGGTATGCCTGAGTATCTTTAGTGACTGCTTCTTGAGCACCTGTAGGAAACTGTGCTAACACCTTAGAATTAAAACAAAATCACAAAACATGACTCCTGTCCGGCAGAAGATTAAAGTAAAATTTATGAAGCAGATATAATGGAAGAAAAAAAAAGAAATTCCAAACATCATACAAAGTGAAAAAGAACAACAGAGAGAATTAGGAACTGCTTTATTGTGGGGTTGGGTTGAACTTGCCTCTCCAGGCTTCAGAGAAGATTTAGGAGGAAGGAACAGGAGGTGATCCCAAATGTTGTCAATGGAGACCACAGAGGATGGATGTTTCTGATGTGCTTAGAAATGATTTGACTTTAGAAAACTAGTAAATCATGGTAGGTAAAGTCAAAAACAAAGGTAGGAAACAGGTAATGAATGACCTTAAGTTTCAGAATAAGTAGTTTCAATTTGTGTTTTAAAGGCAGTAGGAAGCCACTAAGGGTTTGAAAAGGAGAGAAGAAAATAAATATATGCAACACAGCATTCTAAGAAAGTCATGTTCCAAGTCCAAATGAAAGAAGTATTTAATACTTCTATAATATTTTTAAGAGGCAGTATATAAAATGAACAGGAAAACTAATTAAAAAGTGAGAACGCTAATAAAGTTTGCACTTTTGTCTTAAAGACTGAAGGGAAAAATTCACAAAATATACTCCTTAATGAAAATGAGAAAAGGCAATCAAAAACACTGAGTCTATTTTCTTTGACCAAATAAAAGTTGAGACTAGTGTTCTTGGACCTATTAACTGGATTTTGTCATCTATGCACACTGCTTTATAGTTACTTTAAATATCAATAGCATTGTGGATTGATGAAGAAAACTAATAGTGCACATTACACTTTTTAATACCATATCATCTAGTGATTTATTATTGTTCGCATCAAATTAATGTTGCTTCTTCATTTAAAACAAACTTCCGAAAGTGAATTTTTAGAAAAACATAAAAGATAACAGTATAATCCATTATTCTCTGCATTCATTGATGCAGTAGCAAAAGTTCCTTTTCCTATTATTGTCACTACAAAACCTATGAGTCCAATAAAGCAAATTTCTTAAACTGTGTTTTTATATATTACATGTCATGGTAGGCATCTTTCAAATGATAATTTATCATTGTTCTGGTTCCACTGAAATTTAATTATCTCAATGCCACAAATACAGATCACTGCAATGGTGTAAGAAAAGCTTTTTTATTTTTTTAATAGCAGTCAAGTTGATGTTTTAGCTTAAAACTAATAAAAAATAAGAGTATCTAAAAGACAGAAAATTCTCTAAAAATATGTCTACTTTACCTGTCCACATTGTGACATACATATTTTATTCATAAGTAAAAAGATTAAACATCATTTGAAATCAAGAACATAAATATTTGACAAAATGACATGTTCTTAGTCTCAAAAGGGTGACAACATTTTCTTTGAACATTCTGTCAAAAATAATTATGGGAAATGATTGTATTAAGCTTAAGAAACATAATTTATTATAAAATACAAATAAGGTAAGCATAATTTTTTAAATTCTATATAATTAACACAATTATATTTATTTGAAAAAAGGTATAAGAAGGCTGGAATTAATATGGGTAGATTAGATATTTAATAAAAATTATCTATACTTATGGACTTAAAAGAAAAAAGACATGTATAAATGTGGATGCCATGAAAAAAGAACAGCTTTATTTTATTATCATAATATACTATGTGAAGGGTCCAGGATGAGTAATTAAAATCCAAGTGCATCATAAATAAGATGTTTTCCTCTAATTGAAGTCCTTTATAAATTCAATATCACCATCAGATACAATTTTTGACAGTGACTTAAGAATTCTACTAGCTTAAATTGTTATTCATCTGTTTCCCCAATGCTCCTGTATTCTAACCAGTATTATCAGATGGCAAAATAAAGCAATATTATACTTGATAGTTCTATCTTAGGTGCATTTTAGGAATCTTTTCACACTTATTTGGGGTCAGATTTACTCCTGCTGTTTTATTTTCCTAATAAGTTTTTGAAATGCTTCCTGTTTCTGCCCTAAAACAAAACACTCGTCAGTAGTACAACACTAATTATTCTACTGTTTCTTCTGTATTTATATTTTTGGAAAAAACATTCCCTATTTAGCCTTTTTCAGCTGGAAGATAAAAAATATTTTTTCTACAGAAAACTAGCTTATCTTCAAAGTTCCAATACTGTGTATCTAAATGCTTTCTAGACATTTCCTCTTTATACTTTAAATAACATATTTGAATGGATGGATGAAGAAAATTTGTGGTATATATGCAAAGTAGAATACCATTCATCCATAAAAAAGATGAAATTCTGTCATTTGCAGCAACATAGTCAGTGTTAAATGAAATAAGCCACAGAAAAACAACATAGTCAGTGTTAAGAGAAATAAGCCACAGAAAAACAAATATCATGTTTTCATTCAAATGTGTGAGCTAAAATAATTGATCTCATGGAGATAGTAGGCAGAATGTTACCAGAGGCTGGGAAGGGTGATGAGGAGGGGAAGATGGAGAGAAACTGGTTTATTAGTAACCAAAATACAGTTACACAGAAGAAATAAATTCCAGTGCTTCAAAGCACAGTAGGGCAACTATGCTTAACAAGACTTCATTGTATATTTCAAAATAGCTGGAAAAGAACATTTGGGATATTCCTAACACAAAGAAATTATAAATGTTTGGGGTAATGGCTACCTCAATTACCCTGATTGATCATTACATATTTTATGCATGTATCAAAATATCACATGTACCTCATAAAATGCACAACTATTATATATCAATAAACTTAATTAATTAGAAAGTCAACATTTATTAAAAATACATATATACCTGGACCCACATATCATCTCTTTTTTTTTTACTACCCAACAGCCCCTCTTTCCTGCCTGGAAAATTGTCTCCCCATTCTGACTTGTTTTGATGAAACAACATTTTTTTTTTATTTTTGTAATCACACAGTTTGAAACCCTAAAGCTGTGTTAAACTTCTTTTTCAATTCCCAAATCAATAATCAAGTCTCATTTTCTGCCTTCATAAATCTATTTACATAGGGGCTTGCCTTTACAATGCTTTATCTTGATGCTATGACAGATGGTTGTTTCTCTAACACCTGCTTTTTAACTGTTTTCCCTACGTTCATATTCACCCCAACCCTAACCCATCCTATCAGTCAATTCTATTGTTTTCTGCAGAACTCTTTTAAAAAAATCATACCCTTTTCACTCCAGTCGAAATCTTCCACAAAACTGACAACATATAAAAGAGTCTTCTAAAATTTTGCATATTATTACATTTAGTTCTAAACCTCTTGCATGGATCCATATTATGCTCAGCATAACAAAATGTTCTCAGTCCTGCTAGTCTCTGACTTTGTCACTTGCTTTCTGGATTACAGACACAAACACATCCTATGGATCTAATATCCAACAAAACATGTGGATCTTTGGCATTTGTTTTATGTCAGTAATACAATCTATAGTTAGTTACCCTGGGTAAACATCACTTGATCTACCCCAGGACAGGTCGTGTATCTCAAGGGAAGATTCTTGTAAGGAATTTCTTTCCTAGGCTTACACCAACAACTGTCAAAGTGCCTTTTCTAAAGTCTTGTTACATACTTGCTCATATATGTCTAAGTGCTGTCCATCATCTATAAGGCCAACTTTAAATTCATTTTGTCACGTAAGACCTTTCCAGAGGCAAATATAATTTATTTTTCCAGTATTACATTTGCCTTACAACAGAAATGCTAACTATACACAATTTCTACTCCAGTCAAATTGACACTGAAACACTTTATGCAATTCCTGCATTTTCCAAGCCATTCTTTCTGTTCTGGAATGTCCTCTCTTCTCCACCATCATAAATTCTATCTACCCTTCAGAGTCTAGTTTAAGTCTTACATTCTTTATAATTTCTCCAACTACTCAATAATGTCTCCTTCTATTAATTCAGAAAAGCACTGTCTATGTCACTCAACTGATGCTTAGTTTATTAGTGACAAAGTGCTATTATGTATTGCTATTAAATTTTTCATGTGTAAATTGTAGCTTTGTTAATTAGAGTGTAAGGACTTTGAAGTCAGAGAAAATGCCTTAGTCTTTCTATCTCACATCTTTAGGTGAGTGCTACCACTGTACATGTTCAATAATTATTTTTCAAGAAATAAAATTAGTCCCATAGAACTTTTTCTATTAAGTGTTTGACCAATCACAGTTTGGCTTTTGGGAAGTTGAAGGTATTTAGAACTAGACAGTGTGGGATATTTCACTGTTTCTGTTGAGTTGCTCTTTTATTCTTCCACGTCTTCACTTATTTTTTCCAAATATTTTTTAGCTCACATAATACAGAATTCATGCTGCTATTTCTTTATTTTATACTGCTTTTAAACAATCATATTTTTATATTGCACACAACACATGAAATGCATTTGTTTATTTATAAAATTAGGTATAGACTATTTAAGCACTTATAAGAAAAATAAGAGGCTATTATGGCCTAAATATAAGTACAAAAATAAATAGTAGTTTTCTAAAAATATCTGTCTTATATGAGATATGAGATCAACTTACACAACATCATTCAGCTCTATTCTGGTATCTGGAGATGGGTTAATCAGGATGTAGGAGAGGGTACTTTGATGATCATTCATTTCATCTAGAAGATAAATAAATGCCAAGTTTGTTATACTGCTTATAGAAAATTACAGGAATTACTAGTGAACAGCTTATATTCAAACCATATAACTGTCAACAAGAACTTGGTATAGTTTTGTCCACAGCATGATTGTGCACATAAGTTTGGCTATTTTCAAATTGCTGTCATTGAAAATATCTGACACATACTTATTTTTTGTTCCAATAGATGATAACAATAAAGTATCTAATTCTGTTCAGAATAATCACAGTTATAGTTTACCGTTTATTACACTGAAAAAGTATTTTTCTTTAATAAATGACTGGATAAGATGTTTACTTGATTATTATGCTTTATCAATTACAAAAAATAATCATGGTTATAGATAACAATCCTAGAAAAGAATATCCACACAGGAAATTCTTGGGAAAAATAATATAATTACATTATGTTTAGAAAACATGCTAGAAATGTGTCTAAAAAGCTTGAAGACCCTAAATATGTGTTTGGCTTCACTACATGACACATCTCATGTAACTCATCCTAATGCTTTTGCAGAATGCAAAGAATCCTCTAGAACAGAATTTAACCATGAATTTTAAGGGAAGTGTACTCCTGAATCATTTGTTTTTCCTAAAGCAATATATATATGTGTATATATTTAAAATGAAAAGCTGAACCCTTTTAATTTATTAATTCACTCTGAAAACATCCTCAGGCTGCAAGTTGAAATGTTGACCCTGCATTACATAGGACATTGAAAAAAATAAAAGGCAAACAGCTTTGTGGTCTCAATTTTTTAGATTTCAAGATTATCATAAGATGTAAATATAAAGTTATGTGGATGTATATACTTCAGTAAACATAATTCCTCCCATGGGTAAAGTTTTCAGTCTATGAGAATTCTCTCAAAAATCCTGTTTTTGAGCTATAGTATTCCAGGCACTGCAGTTGCAGACAAGAATGGCTCCTGAAGAAAGAACTAAATTTTTCAGTTTGACCCAAAGTCTAAGAATAAGTTTCATACCAGTCTAAGAAATGGTTTCATACCAATACCTATAGTATTTAGTGCATACTCAAATAACTGCATTAAACTAAAATCAAGATATTTGTAGCTGACCCTGATAAACAATTTGCTGCACTGGAATATAAATTACATTCATAAAATAATGTTGACTACTGTGTTCCTCTAACGAGAAACCTGTCACTTTAATATGAAAGACACTATTTTCGGCTATGGTATTTCAAGTTGATATGGAGATGTGCCCCATTTTTAAAGTGTAAAAACAAAAATCCTTATCTTTCAAGGCAGAAAAATCACAAAATAATTAAACCCACTGTAAGTTTGCCAGTAACATTATTACAATCAATAGCTCACCAAATTCATAATCAAATAAATTAGTATATTCAGCTCCACATCTATGGGATAGACACAAGGAATTGTATCATGCCATAGTGTTAGGGTTGCCAGGAAAAATAGAGAATGCCCATGAAATCTGAATTTTAGATAAACAACTACCATTTTTGTTGCTGTTGTTGGAATCTCAGTCTGTCACTCAGGCTGGAGTACAATGGCTTGATCATATAACTAATGTTTTTTAGAATAAATGTATCCCAAATATTGCATGTGATATACTTACACTAAAATATCTTTGTTGTTTATCAGAAATTTAAGTTCCACTGGGAATCATGTATTTTTATTTGCTAAACCTGGTGGTCATATCTAGTGTTAGATGGCTAAGTTAACTGTCTGGAGATTAGAATTCCAATGAATATATATTGATGCTTACTACAAATAAGGTATAATTCCAACTCAAAACATATTTTACTGGCAGGAGATTACTAGGATTATTTCTCCATAAGAAAAGAAATTTTGATTCATATGTGCTTTTTGAGAAATGCCCCCTTATTTGAATTTCTACAACTGTTGTGCAAAGGTACAGATTGATAGTGCATTGTGGAGACTAAATTGTAATAATCTAAAAAGTAAGAGGTGGACTAGAAAATCTACATCTTATTTGACTATATATAACTCCGTTTCTTTTATGAACAATGACATTATTGAACTGTGATACAGGAAAAAACAATTTAACAGATAACTTCTCAGTCAATATCAACACCTAGCCTTTATCCTTGATTATTAACAGGATATTATACTTCTTGGTTCTAGAATCAAGCCAAATTCTATCGGTGACCTGGCTTGCCTGTTAAAAATGTAAAAATTGTGTAGATAATTGAGAAATTTCCGGTGGGAGATATGATTTTTGTGCCAATATTTTTTTTCTGCTTAAGTAGCCTGTATTATTTATCCTACTGAAGATATTTATTTTCCCACAAACCACGGAATTGGAGCAAGCATTTTGCTAAAGTTTTCAATTCAATTATTATACATGGCTTATCAAGACGTAGAAAGCATCACAATCAGAAATAATCTCTCTTGGTTTCTTTCCTCACCCCTCACTGACTTTTCCTAAGGGAGGAGGAATGACTTATCTTTTAGAATTAGGTTAAAAGAATTTGCTGACTTCAAAGCTATTCTCTTTTTCTTTCACGTGTGCCTTCCTATAGGGTACATTTTGCCTGCTTGTTCTCTGCCATGCTGCTTTGCACAGAAGGCCTACAGTTGCCCCTCTTTTTTGTGACTTTGTGTTTAAGAAGCATTTGGAGAAATACCTAATGTAAATGACGAGTTAATGGGCGCAGCAAACCAACACGGCACATGCATACATATGTAACAAACCTGCATGCTGTGTACATGTACCCGAGAACTTAAAGTATAATAATAATTAAAAAAGAATTAAAAAGTGAGATTTTCTAAAAGCCTATTGCAGTCACACATCAAAACCACATTCAACAATAGTTTCTATTAGCCATGATCCTGGAATATTTTGTCTCCATCAGTCATTCTCTATGGTTGTTTTCTAGATATTCTTTCATTCTGGAGGTGAAAATGTGGCAAATTTGTAGGATCTTCAAGATCCTATCAATTATCATTGACTATGGCAAAGATACAAATTAATTAAAATATGGCTTTGCTCCAAGAATGCCATATTTACTGAATAAAATAAATTTTATTTGGTAAATTAGCTTCATGAACAACAGAATCTATTTCTTACCAAATAAAAATATATATGAAGGGAATTTGCAGTGAATATATTTACTGTGTCCCTGATAACCAAAATACGACATTAGCAAAATAAAAAAATTATAAGTTTAAATTATTTTCATTAAAAGTACTGTTTCATCAGTGACATAATTATTTTAATAAAATTACTCATAAAAACTGAAAATAATATTTTTGAATATTATAAACTTTAAAATAAATTATATGGAGAAAAATTTAAAGATTGCTACTAGCATTTACAAAGAAACTTCTTTTGCTATATTAACTAGCATATACAATTATTAAACAAAAATCTTCAAATGGCAAATATTTTGCTTAGAGTAGTTTGTGTAAATAGATCACATTAGAAAAGGGACAGAATCATATTCCTATGGTTCTTACAAAATAATTGATTAATGAGTCCTATTCCATACACATTACTTTCATATTTTTGTTTTGTTTTAAATTTTCATGTTGAAGTATTTTAAGAGGATTTTTGAAAGAGGATAATAGAATTTTGTAAGACAGAAATTTAAATATTTTGTATATTTGTGTAGGTTACCATTAAATAATATTTCTGTTATAGACTGAATTGTGTGTTCCCCCACAAATTCCAATGTTGAAAAGCTAACCACCAAGATGACTGTATTTGGAGATAGAGCCTCAAAAACTAATTAAGTTTAAATGGGGTCAACAGGGTTGTCCTCTAATCCAATAGGACTGGTGTCCACATTAGAAGAAGAAGAGATACCAGGAGTAAATACACACAGAGACAAGACTGTATGAGGACACAGAAAGAAGGCAGCCATCTGTCAGCAAACATGAGAGGCCTCAGAAGAAATCAAATTTTGGGCACCTTGATGTTGGACTTCCATCTTCCACAATTGTGAGAAAATAAACTTCTAGTGTTTAAACCATGCACTCTGTGGTATTTTTTTATGGCAGCCCTAGTACACGAATATAACTTCTGAAAACACATATCCATTGTATCATGTGTAGTCAGAGGAACATTCTATATAATATAAAGATATCACTTAGAACAAAGGCTCTGAATCCAGACTGCTTGCTTTGAAATTATGGATCTGCCAATTGCTTACTCTGAGATCTTAGGCAAATTATTTAATTTCTCTTAATCTCTCTGCGATTAACATCCTGGCATGAAAAATGAGGATAGCAACAGTGCAATCTCACAGGTTGTTGTTAGAATTAACATTTATTCTATTTATTCTAATAAATAAATAACAAATATAATTTAAAAATAATATGTTCACATTGATTTATAGTTCTTGTACTTAGTATCTTATTGCTATCAAGTGCAACATAAAGGTTATGTATTATTATAGTAGCAGGCAAAATCAAGCAGTAAGTTATAAAAAACAATTATATATGTATTGCTATGTGAAGGTGTGGGCATGCATAAATAGAGAAAGCGTGTTTTGAACAGATAGAAGGGCAAATGGCATAGCAAGAGATGATTTGGTTTAATTTGCAGAAAGTAGGCACCAGGGAATGGACTAAACTAAAGTGAGAGAGGAGAAGATTAATTTGAGATGATGTTGAACAGGCAAGCTGGGACCAGATTCTTGAAGGGCTTTACCCTTGGTCAGCAGTTTGAATTTTATTCAAAGTGCAATGAGAAAACATTGAAAGCTTGTAAGGATCGAGGGGAAGGCTGGTGGTATGAAACAATTTTACATTAAATATATCACTTTGATTGCTTTGTGGGAAATTAACTTTGTGTGGGACAAGTTTAAACTCAGGACTATTAGGTGGTCATTGTGAAACAGAAACCCATGTGAGAGATATTGGTAGCAAGAGAACAATAGAAATGGAATAAATTAGTAAAAGGGGCGAGGAAGAGAGATAGAAATGATGTGGAAGACAGAAATAGGAGAGAGAGAGAGAAAGGAAGACAGAGAAAGAGACTTAGAGAAGGAGACAGAGAATTTTAAGCTGGGAGATACCACAGTATGTTTGAATGCCAATGGGAGAAAATAAGTAAAAGAAATAGGTGCTATATGAGAAAGAGGGTTTTGTTTTGTTTTTGTTTTTGTTTTTGTTTTGTTAGTACAAGAAATACCTTATCAGGGAAGCTAAACTCAGTCATACTGTACTTACTTCTTCTACATAGTTGGTAATAGCATAATCTAGTGAAGATTTCATTTTCCTTCACCTGAACTTATATACACATTATGTGTTATCCACCTATAAAACTGGCTAGTTTTACAGTGCTGACTCAATTTGCTCATGTATTCCAGTTTAGTGCCAAATTATGTTTATGAGTACAACTATTTCATCTATTGTTACTGAACTGACCAGTATATTTGGAGGGTGTGAAAGGTGCTTAGAGATAAGAACTAAAGAAGAATAATTCCATTTAACTGACCTCTATTTAAAATTATTTTCATTATCATTCAAAGATTTTTAATCATTTTATGATAGGCAAGATAAAATTATTAAAAACATTTGAACTCTCTTAATTTATCTCCATATGAATATTCAGTGTATTCAACATCATATGAAACTATGAGCAAAATGAATAGAAAGATTTTCAGAACAAGCTACATTTTAACTTGCCATGAGCCACTCCATCACTTACTAGCTTCCTGCAAATAAAACTAATTACTTGATACTCAATTTTCCTTTCAAAATAGAGTATTCAATATTTCTTAAAAACCTATGTCACTACCCTACTTGTGTTTAAAAGAAAACACAGATTTTCTTTTAAAAACCTATGTTACGTTTCATAAATGTTGAAAAACAAAAACCACCTTGCAATATTTTTTAACAAGATAGAGATTCAAAAGAAAGCAAACATGAACAATTAGTCTAAATATATATGATTTCTTCAATGGTGCAAAGTCCTGTTTTGTTTTGTGAAGATGCTTTCTCCATTGCTCCATATCCCTTACCCTACCACAATCTTCAAGGCTACTGGGTGCCCTGGTGAATGGAAGCTATCAATAAATGCTAGTTTCTTTCAAAATACTATGATTACAGCTATTTTATATTAAAGAATGTGGGACAAAACTATACAGATTGTCTTCATAGTAAGGAACATAGTGTACATTTATATTTAAATAGAATATTCATTGCATGTCAACTAAAAGGTTTTATATGTGTTCAGGTGAAGTACTTCAAAATTTAGTGATGAATCTAATTGGTAATCTGAAAATGTAAAATCAAGACATTACAGAAAGCCTAAAAGATTTTGGAAACACAAATAGCATATTTATTATATAATTTTATTTTAATAATTGGACCCATTGATTTAAATTTAAAGTTACTACTACTGAAGTAATAGTTGAGGATTGAAGAAAACAATATTAAACATATACTTAAAAAATCTAAAAATAAGTACATACCAAGCTTTCCAATTTTGCAGCTCTCCTGCAGTACTTTCATTTGACTTACAGAACATTTTTATGATCAGTTGATAATTGTAATTTATTACATGATATTCATTATTTTTGTGTTCGATTAAGTCATTCAGTAATGATAACAGCATGATTATTTGGATCACAGATAACTCTAATTCTGAGGACACAGCAATGAACAAGATAGGCAAAGTTTTTGCCTTCACAGACCCTTTTAGCAATTTTCTTAGAATAGCTTCATACTATATAATACAGATCTTCAGAATAAGTGTCAGGAATCTTTACTTATAGGTTTACTATAAGTTACTGTAAACTTCCTATATAACTTTAAACATATCATTGAAGTTATTTTAGGATCACCATCACTGTTTTGATTATCTCATAGGTACGTTGGGTAAAAACAAAATAAGAAATTAACTAATCCCAAGTGCACATTCAATGAGTTTTGACAAATGCATAGTGTGGCAACTACTACCATAATTATGATGTCAAACATTTTCATAATGCCAAACAGATCTCTCATGCCCTTTTGTAGTCAATTTTCTCCTCTCAATCCCAACTTCTAGCAATCACTGATTTCAAGAAGCAGTTTTCTAGGAATAATAAAATGTGTTTCTATTTTTCTCTTAGCTATGCTTTTGTGCTGAATCCATGTTATTGCATGAATCTACTTTGATACTAATATAGCCACTCTAGCTTTCTTCTTTTCATTGCATGAAAAAACATTTTTAAGAAGTGTTTTTCCACAGAGGAGGTGAAGCAAGATGACCAAATGGAAGCTTCCATACTTTCTGCAAGAACACCAAATTGAACAACTATCCACACAAAAAAAAACACCTTCATAAAAACCAAAGATGAGGTGAGCAACTACAGCATCTGTTTTTAACTTTATGTCACTGAAAGAGGCACTAAGGAGAGTAGGAAAGACCATCTTGAATTTCCAACACCAACCCTCCCCTATCTTTTGGCAGTGGCCACATGGTGCAGGGAGTCTGTGCACTCGGGGAATGGAGAACACAGTGACTGTGAGACTGCATTGGAACTCAATGCTGCCCTGGAACAGTGGTAAGCAACACTGGGCAGAACTCAGCCAGTGCCCACAGAGGGAACACTTAGACAAGTTCTAGCCAGAGAAGAACTGCCTATTCCAGCAGTCAGAACCTGAGTTCTGGCAAGCCTTGTCACTGTGGGCTAAAGTGCTCTGGGGTTCTAAATAAACTTGAAAGGATGTCTAGGCCATAAGGACTGAAATTCTTGGGGAAGTCCTGGAGCTGTGTTGGAATCAAAGACAATGGACTTGATGGGGCACATGACCCAGTGAGATACCAGCTGGGATGGCCAAGGGAGTGCTTGTGCCACCCCTCCCCCAAACCCAGGCGGTGCAGCTCACAGCTGCAAGAGAGGCTTCTCCCTTCTGCTTGAGGGGACGAAAGAGTAAAAAGGACTTTGTGTTGCAACTTGGATACCAGCTCAGCCATAGTATGATAGGGCACCAGGCAAAGTCCCGAGGTCCACATTCCAGGCTCTAGCTCCCAGATGACATTTCTAGACATACCCTCGGCCAGAAGGGAACCTGCTTCTTTAAACAGAAGGATTCAGTCCTGGCAGCATTCATTACCTGCCAACTAAAGAGCCCTTGGGCCCTGAATAATCAGCTGTGATACCCAGGCAGTACTTGCTGTGGGCCTTAAGTGAGACTCAGAGATGTGCTGGCATCAGGTATGACCCAGAACATTCCCAGCTGTGGTGGTTATAGCAAGAGATTCCTTATGCTAGAGAAAAAGAGAGGGAAGAGTAAAGGGGACTTTGTCTTGCAGCCCCAGGTACCAGCTTGGTCACAGTGGTACAGAGCACCAAGTGGGCTTTTACTGTCCCCAGTACTAGGCCTGGGCTCTTGGTCAGCATTTCTGGACCTTCCCTGGGCCAAAGGGGTGCCTACTGTCCTGAGGAGAGAGTTTCCTGCCTGGCAACATTCACCAAAATCTGACTGAAGAGCATGTGGGCCTTGAATGAACATTGACGGTAGCCAGGTAGTACCCAACATTGGCCTGGAGTGGTGGTGGCCACAGGGAGAGATTTCTTTGCTTATAGGAAGGGGAGGGAAGAGAGGGATGGACTTTGCCTGTGGTTTTGGTGCCAGGCCAGCTGCAGTAGGATAGGGAAACAGTTAGAGTCCTAAAGTTTCTGACTCTAGGCCCTGACTCCTGAATGGCATCTCTGGACTTGCCCAGAATAAGCAGGGAACTTACCACCCTGAAGGGAGGAAAAAAGATGGGCTGGTTTTGCCACCTTCTGTTTGTAGAGCTCTAGGGCTTTCAGCTAGCATACGTGGTAGCCAGGCAGTGGTTACCACAAGCCTTGGGCAAGGCCCCATAGTGTGTTGGCTTCAGGTCTGACCCATTGCAGTCCCAGTAGTGCTGGCCAGAGGGGTGCTTGTGTTATCCCTTCCCCAGCTCCAGGCAGGTCAGCACAGAGAGAGACTCTGCTTGGGAGAAAATAAAGAAAAAGAACAAGAGTCTCTGCCTGGTAATCCAGAGAATTCTTCAAGATCTTATGCAATACCAACAATGTAATACTTTTACAAGTCTGTAAGAGCCACAGCATTACAGGGCTTGGGGTGCACCGTGAGTAGATATGGCTGCAGTGACCAAAAACTTTAAACACAAAGTCCAAGTCTCAGGCAGGTTGTGGTGGCTCATGCCTGTAATCCCAGAACTTTGGGAAGCCGAGGTGGGAGGATTGCTTGAGCCCGGGAGTTTGAGACCAGCCTGGGCAACATAGCAAGACCCTCTCTCTAAAAAAGCCAAAGCAAACCCAAAAAAATAACAAAGCCTAAGTCTGAACACCTGAAAAGCCTTTCAAGAAAGATGGGTACACACAAGCCCAGATTGCAAAGAATACAATAAATACCTAACTCTTCAATACCCAGACACTGATGAACATCCAGAAGCATCAAGACCATCTTGGAAACCACATCCTCACCAAACAAAATAAGGAATCAGCGACCAATTATGGAAAGACAGATATTTGATTGTTTAGATGGATTATTCAACATAGCTGTTTTGAAGAAACTCAACAAAATTCAAGATAACACAGAGAAGGAATTCAGAATCCTAACAAAAAAATTAACAAAGAGGTTGAACTAATTAAAAAGAAACAAGCAAAAATTCTAGAGTTGAAAAATGCAACTGGCATAATGAAGAATGCATCAGTCTCTTAACAGAAGAATTAGTGAGCTTGAAAACTGGCTATATGAAAGTACGGTCAGAGGAGAAAAAGGAAAGCACAATTTTAAAAAATGAAGCATGCCTACAGAATCTAGAAAACAGCACCAAAAGGGCAAATCTAAGAGTTACTGACTTTAAAGAGGAGGTTGAAAGATAGGCTTAGAAAGTTGATGCAACAGGATAGTAACAGAGAAATTCTCAAGCCTAGAGAAATACATCAATATATAAATACAAGATGATAATAGAACATCAAGCAGATTAATCAAAATAAGACTACTTTAAGACATTTAATAATCAGACTGCAAAAGATCGAGAATAAAGAAAGGATCTGAAAAGTAGCAAGAGAAAAGAAACAACATACAATGGTGCTCTAATATATCTGGGAGCAGACTTCTCAGTGGAAACCTTACAGGCCAGGAGACAGTGGCATTATGTATTTAAAGTGCTGAAGGAAAAATACTTGTATCCTAGAATAGGAATAATACTTGTATCCTTTTATCCTTGTGTTTTCAACCCATTGAAAATATTCTTTAAACAAAAAAGGGAAATAAGGACTTTCCCAGTCAGACAAATCTGAGAGATTTCATCAACACCAGACCTGCTATAAGAAATGCTAAAGAGAGTTCTTCAATCTGAAAGAAAAGGATGTTAAAACAATAAGAAATCATCTGAAGGTACAAAACTCATTGGTAATAGTAAATACACACACAAAAATATACTATTGTAATAGTGGTGGGTAAATTACTTGTATTTTCAGTAGAAAGACTGAAAGATAAACTGATCAAAAATAATAGCTACAATTTTTCCAGTTTTCAGGACATAGTATAATAAGATATAAATACAAACAAAAAAAAGTTAAAAAGTGGAGGATAAAGTTAAAGTGTAGAGTTTTGGTTACTTTTCTCTTTACTTGTTTGTTTGTTTATGCAATCAGTGTTATGTTGTCATCAGTTTAATAAAATGGGTTGTAAGATATTTTGCCAGCCTCATGGTATTTCAAATCAAAAAACATACAACAGATACATGATAAATAAAAAGTAAGAAATTAAAGTATACCACCAGAGAAAATCACCTTCTCTAACAGGAAGATGAGAAGGAAGGAAAGAAGTAAGAGAAGACCACAAAACAACCAGCAAAAAACAAATAAATAAATAAATGTCGGAATAAGTTGTTACTTATCAATGAAAACATTGAATGTAAATTGACTAAACCCTCCCAATCAAAATACAAGAGCACCTGAATGAATTAGAAAAACAAGACTTAATGATCTCTTGCCTACAAGAAACACACTTCCCTTGTAAAGACACACATAGACTGAAAAAAAGGTATGGAAAAAGACATTCCATGCCAATAGAAACCAAAAAAGACTAGGAGAAATGTTTTTACATCAGATAAAATAGATTTCAAGGTAAAAACTATAAAAAGAGACAAAGGTCAATATATAATGATTAAGGGGTAAATTTAGAAAAAGGATGTAACAATTGAAAATATACATGCAACCAACATTGGAATACCCAGATATACAAAGCAAATATTATAAGAACTAAGGAGAGATAGACTCCAACACAATAATAACTGGAGACTTCAACAGCCCTCTTTCAATGTGGAACAGATCATCCAGACAGAAAATCAGCAAGGAAATGTCAGACTTAATCCTTGCTATAGACCAAATATCTACTAAGATATTGGCAAAACATTTTGTATTAGTTGGTTCTCACACTGCTATGAAGAACCGCCTGAGACTGGGTAATGTATAAAGAGAAATTGACTCACAGTTCCGCATGGCTGGGAAGGCCTCAGGAAACTTACAATCATGGCAGAAGGGGAAGCAAACATATCCTTCTTCACATGATGGCATGAAGGAGAAGTGCTGAGCAAAAGTCAGAAAAGCCCCTTATAAAACCATCAGATCTTGTGAGAACTCACTATTATAAGAACAGCATAGAAGTAACCACCCCATGATTCAATTACCTCCCAGCAGGTCCCTCCCACAACAGGTAGGGGTTATGGAAACTACAATTCAAGATGAGATATGGGTGGGGGCACAACCAAAATCCATATTACATTTCATCCAATGGCTGCACAGTACACATTCTTCTCCTTAGTATATGGATCATTCTCAAGGACAGGCCATATGTTAGGCCACAAAACAAGACTTCATAATTTATTTTAAAAATGGTACTATAGCAAGTATATTCTCTGACCACAAAGGAATAAAACTACAAATCAACAAGAGAACTATGAAAACTATACAAACACGTGGAAATTAAACAGTATAATCTTGAATGACCAATGGCTCAATGAAGATATTAAGAAGGAAATTGAAAGATTTCTCAAAACAAAAAGTAATGGAAACACAACATACCAAAAATCTATGGGGTACAATGAAAGCGGCACTTAGAGGAAAATTTATAGCTAAAAGTGCCTACATCAGAAAAATAGAAAAACTTCAAATAAACAACCAAATGATGCATCTTAAAGCACTAGAAAGGCAAGAGCAAGCTAAACCAAAAATAGTAGAAAAAAAGAAACAATAAAGGTATGAGCAGAAATAAATGACATTGAAATGAAGAAAAAAATACAAAAGATCAACAAAAGAAAAAGTTGTTTTTTGATAAGATAAACAAAATTGACAAACTTTTATCCAGAATAAGAAAAAAAGAGGAAACACCCATATAAATAAAATAAGAGATGAAAACAAAACATTACAACTGATACTGCAGAAATACAAAGGATCTTTTAGAGGCTACACTACTATGAACAACTATATGACAATGAATAGGAAGCTGGAAGAAATTGATAAACTCCTAGACACACAAAACCTACCAAGATTGAAACATGAAGAAATCCAAAACCTAAACAGACCAATAACAAATAATGACATGAAAGCCATAATAAGAAATGTCCCAGCAAAGAAAAGCCTCAGACCCTTATGGCTACACTCCCGATTTTGACCAAACATTGAAAGAAGGACTAATAACAATCCTACTCAACCTATTCCAAAAAATAGAAGAGGAAGGAATACTTCCAAAGTCTTTCTAAGAGGCCAGTATTACCTTGATACAAAAACCAAATAAAGATACATCGACAAAGAAACAAACAAACAAAACTACAGGCCAATATCTCTGATGAACATTGATGCAAAAATCCTCAGCACAGTATTAACAGACTGAATTCAACAGCACATTAGAAAGATTATTCATCATGACCAAGTGGGATTTATCCCAGGGATGCAGAGATGCTTCAACATGTGCAAATCAATCAATCTTATCAACAGAATGAAGGACAAAAACCAAATGATCATTTCAATTGGTGCTAAAAATGGATTTGGAAAAATTCAAAATCCTTTCATGATTAAAAAAAAACTAAAAAAATTGGGTATAGGAGGAACAAACCTCAACACAATAAAACCATAACAACAGATGCACAGTTGGTATCATACTGAGTAGGGAAAAACTGAAAGCCTTTTCTCTAAGATCTGGAACATGTTAAGGATGCTCACTTTCAACGACATCATTCAACATACTGCTGGAAGGTGTATATAGAATAGACAGGCAAGAGAGAGAAAGAAAGAAAGGTCATTCAAATTGGAAAAGAAAGAATCAAATTATCCTTGTTTGCAGATGATATGCTCTTCTATTTGGAAAAACCTAAGGATTTGAACCAAGAGTATTAGAACTGATAAACAAATTCAGTAAAGTTGCAGGGTACAAAATCAACATACAAAAATCAATGGCCAGACATGGTGGCTCATGCCTGTAATCCCAGCACTTTGGGAGGCCAAGGCGGGAGGATCACCTGAGGTCAGGAGTTTGAGACCAGCCTGGCCAACATAGTGAAACCCTGTCTCTACTAAAAATACAAAAATTAGCTGGGCCTGGGGGTGCATGCCTGTAATTCCAGTTACTTGGGAGGCTGAGGCAGGCAAATCACTTGAACCCAGGAGGCGAAGGTTACGTAGTGAGCTGACATCATGCCACTGCACTCCAGCCTGGATGACAAGAGTGAGACTCTGTCTCAAAAAAAAAAAAAGTTAGTATTTTTATATGCCAACAGTGAACAATCTGATAAAATCAAGAAGGTAATCCCATTTACAATAGCCACAAATAAAATTAAATACCTAGGAACTAACTTAAAGAAGTGAAAAAGCTCTACAAAGTAAACTAAAGACATTGATGAAAGAAATTGAAGAGGACAAAAAAATTTGAATGATATTTCATATTCACAGATATTTCATGTTCACATATTGTTAAAATGCCCATACTATCCAAAACAATCTACAGATTCAATGTAATCCCTATCAAAATACCAATGATATTCTTCACACAAATAAAAAAAAAAGCATTCTAAAATTTATATGGTACCACAAAGACCCAGTATAGCTACCCTGAGCAAAAAAGAACAAAACTGGCAGAATCACATTACCTGACTTCATATTATACTACGGAGCTAAAGTAACTAAAGCAGCATGGTACTGGCATAAAAACACAGCATGAAACATGGTACTGGCATGGTACAGCATGGTACAGACACACAGACCAATGGAACAGATTAGAGAACCCAGAAACAAAACCAGATATCAACAGTGAATTCATTTTCCACAAAGGTGCCAAGAACATACATTGGGGAAAGGAATTTCAATAAATGATTCTAGGAAAACTGGATATCTATATGTGGAAGAATGAAGCTAGACCATTACCTCTCACCATTTACAAAAATAAATCAAAATTCAAGAGTTAAATTTAAGACTACTAACTATGAAAGTACTAAGAGAAAACATTGGGAAAACTCTTCAGGACATTGGACTGGGTAATGATTTTTTAATACCCCAGAAGCACAGACAACCAATGCAAAAATTGACAAATGGGATCACATCAAGTTAAAAAGCTTATTCACAGCAAAGGAAACAAACAACAAAGTGAAGTTACAACCCACAATATGGGAGAAACTATCTGCAAACTGTGTATCTGACAAGTGATTAATAACCAGAATGTGTAAGGAGCTCAAACAACTTTATGTGAAATAATCTAGTATTCAATTTAAAAATGGGCAAAAGAGATGAATAAACATTGGTGAAAAGAAGACATATCAATGAAAAACAGGTATATGTAAAGTTCCTCAATGTCACTGATCATCAGAGAAAGACAAATCAAAACTACCATGATATATCATCTCACCCCAATTAAATGCTTTCATCCAAAATACAGGCAATGACAAATCCTGACGAGGATATGGAGTAAAGGGAACCCTTGTACACTGTTGGTGGGAACGTAAATTAGTACAACCACTATGAGGAGAACAGTTGAGAGCTTCCTCAAAAAACTAAAAACATAACTACCATATGATCCAGCATTCTCACTGCTAGGTATATACCCAAAAGAAAGGATATCTGCACTCCCATGTTTATTGCAGCTGTATTCACAATAGCCAAGATTTGGAAGCAACCTAAGTTTCATCAAGAGATGGATGGATAAAGAAAATATGATACATATATACAATGGAGTAAAGACGCCTTTCTACTTTTTTTGATTTGCAGTTTCTAAGAAGAAGTCTGTTGTCATTTTACATTTAATCCTCATTCATAAAGTGTTTTTTTCCTCTAGCCCTTCCAAAGTGTGTTTAGCAGTGTGTTTTTTGTTTGTTTGCTTGTTTGTTTTTCTGAGCTGAAAAAAGAATGAGATAGTGTAATTTGAAACAATGTGATGGAACTGGAGGTCATTATGTTAGGTGAAATAAGCCAGGAACAGAAATAAAAACTTCATATATTCTCATTTATTTGTGGGAGCTAAACATTAAGACAACTGGACTCATGGAGACAGAGAGTAAAATGATGGTTACCAGAGGCTGGGAATGGTAGTGGGGATGGGAGAAAGGGGATAGTTATTGGGTACAAAAATATAATTAGATAGAATAAGACCTAGTATTTGATAGCAAAACATGGTGACTACAGTCAATAATAATTTATTGTGCATTTAAAAATAACTAAAAGAGTTTAAGTGGATTGGTTATAACACAAAGAAATAATATATGCTTGAGATTATAGAAACCTTATTAACCCTGATGTGATTATTATGCATTATTTGCCTTTATCAAAAGACCTCATGTACCACGTAAATATATACACCTAGTATGTGCTCACAAAAATTAAAAAATTTAAAAATATATTTTTCCTTTTAACCAATTTTGTTTTTAAGTGGGTTTCTTTTATGCAACATATATGGCGTTTTGCTTTCTTTAATGCCACCTGATGATCTCTGCATTCCAACTGAACTGTGCAGTCTCTTTATATTTAAAATAATTGTTAATATATTAGGGTTTAGATGTTTCATTTTGCTAGTTGTGTTTTCTTATTGTTTTATTATCTCTTCCTTCTTTGAAGTGAGTTTTTAAAAAAATTCTTCTTTTAATCATTCCATTTTATTTGCACTATTGGCTATTAGTTATATCATTTTGGTTTAGTTATTTTGTAGTTCCTTTAGGTCATAGGTTGGCAAACTTTTGTTCTGTAAAGAGCCAGATAGTAAATATTTTAGGCTTTGCAGACCATATGATAACTGTTGCATCTACTAAATTCTTACATTGTAGATGTAAGAGGCCATGCACAACACATAAACAAGAAAGGATGGTTGCTTTATTTAGCAAAACTAGTGTGCTATTATTTCTCACGCTATAGAGTTTACAATATACAGCTTTAAGTTATTACTCTCTACTCTGAAATAATATAATACCATTTCACATGTAGTAGAACAACCTTACTACATTATACGTCAGTTTTTCCTTTCCTGTTATTTCAGTTATTATAGCCAGACATTTTTGCTTCCATATGTACTAAAAACCACACAATGTTATAAACTTGCTTTCAACAGTAAATTATCTTTTAACAAAATAAAAACATAGCTTGCATGTTTACCTATATATTTACTATTTGGTCTAGATCCATAATTCCACCTGGCATCATTTTTCTTCTGTTTTGGGAAAGCCTTTTATCATTTTTTTGTAGTATAAACAAATTCAGCATTTGTTTGTCTAAAAATATTATTTGCCTTCATTTTAGAAAGATATCTATATTATATATAATGTTATAGGTGGGCTATTTTTTTTCCTACTCTCAAGATGCCTTTCTATTTTTTTGTTTTGTAAAGTTTCTAACAAGAAGTCTGTTTACATTTTACCTATATTCCTCATTCATAAAGTGGTTTTTTCCTCTAGCCCTTTTGAAACATTTTCAGCAGTTTTGTATATTGTTTCTTGGCATTACTTATTAATATGTATTTATTAGTATTTATATTTTTAAATATTTATATTGCTTGGGTTTCAATGAGGTTCTTAAATTTTAGGTAGAGTTCTCATCGAATCTGAAAAAATTTTGGCCATTGTTTCTTCAAATATCCATTCTCTTCTCTCCTTTTGGAGTCCAGTTACATGCATGTTACATTAGTTGATATTGTCCCACTGGTAACTAACATTCTATGTGTTCTTCGAAGTTTTATTTTCCCTCCTTCTCTCTATACTGTATTTCGGATAGTCTATTGCTATGGCTTTATGTACATTGATAGTTTTTTCTGTGGTAGGTATTCTGATGCCACCCCCATCCAGTATTTAACTTGGAATACTGAATTATGCATTTTTAGAATGTTCAATTTGGTCTCTTCTATCTTCAGTTTATTTCCTTATCATGTTCTTGTTTTCCTCTGCCACCTTGAACATATAGAATATATTATAACTATTTTAAGATCTGTGTTTTCCGAATCTGTTTCTGTTGATTTATTTTTATACTGGTTATGGGTCATATTTTCTTATTTTGCATCCTAGTCCTTGATTTATAAAGGAGTTAATTCATCTATTTCCCTTTCCCTGGGGAACAAAGTTATACGCTTCCTTTGTCCAAAGTCTGCACAATATTGTTTCACATTTTTTGTATTATTTCAGTTGAGAACATAAATGATGGTCAAAATCAGAAGTTTCTCCCTGTTGTTTTACAGCATTTAGAAAGCTCTTTCTTTGTTCTTTTGTTGACTATTTATACTCAACCACTCAACCCATAATAAACTGTTAAAAGTAAAAAGTTCACTCAACCAACTAACTTATTTCAATAACAAAAAAATTTTATTTGATTCAAATTGGCCTCTTTTTTCCTACACATGTGCCAAAACACAGCACTTGAATTTCCAGTTGTAAAGATTAAATATATGTATAAGTGCAATTAAGTATGGTGAGAAATTATGCAAAATATTGGTGTCATTGAAAAATTAATGCTCTAGGAAGGATATGATACAACTCTATAAAGTAAAACTTTATATTTTAATTTAAGGAGATAGGAACAATTTATTGCTCAAATATTTTCATTTACTACCTATCATTAACTCATCAATTACCCTTTTTGAATGCTTTATTGATTTATCTATTAAGAAAAAAGATTAGTTTGTTTACTCCTAATAAAGTTCTATGAACAGAATGAGATTAACATAAATCAAACCCCATGTATTCATTCTTGTGTTTTTGAGGGCCAACCCTGAGAGTTCTGGAAATATAGAATTATACAGAATATAATTAATTTTCTGGGGAAAATACACACACACTCATTTATATTAGGAAAAGCTAAATGATATATCTCAAAAAACAATAAAAATCCAGTGCCAATTCCTTCTGAAATAGTAAATTGTTAGTGAAGTCATTAGCATGATCTCAAATACTTGTATTATTCCTTCCAATTATTAAAAGTTGCAAAAAATTATAAAAGAAATAACTAGCCATAGTTCCTTTTCCCCAGTTGGTAATACGTTTTAGGATAAATCTGTGAAGAAATCTGTACTAGAGAAAAATATTTGATTTATTCGTTAAAAAATACGAAAACTTATGAGCTGAAAACAGAAGATGATGGTCTTATTATTACTACTACCACCATCACCACTACTATTACTACTGCTGTTAAATCTATCATAGTTTGAGTAACAATAACAATTCTTTCTTGTTAAGTTTGCTTATTTCTTTTGCATAAGAAAGACAATGACTAAGAACTAAGTCACCATGTTAGCTATAAAAGAGTTCTTGGTTACTCTATTCATTATTTTAGGCAAATTATAATTTCCTTGACAAAAAAATAAGAATTTCTCTTGGGTATAATAAAGGACAAGCCTAGACACTGTTAGTTATCTTGTTTTATTTAAAAGGATTTCTTTTTATTCTTCCCTTGGCTTTTCATCTTTTACTAACAGTATGAAATTTATAACAATACACGTCCAAATCAGCTAGTACCTATTATCAGCAGTCACATCAGGAAGATTTACTTGCCAATATATACTACTAGAAATACCATTTTATGGGCTAATCATAAAATCCATCAATAGATAACAAAGAGCAATGTTCGTGAGCGTGAGAGTCAGTCTAAACAGATTATTGAGGAATAATGTTAGTTATTAACAGAAAAAAAATTATTCACATTTGCAATAGAGTTTATAGATTAAAAAATCTTTTCACTTGCATTCTATTATTTGACAATTATAACTAACACATCATACCCCTGGGAAATACTTTATTATCTTCATTTGATGGTGGACAATAAGTTCAGAGAGATGTGACTTGCCAAAGAACACACGGCTTGTCCAACTTGGAGGTGAATATATTTTAAAAATTATATTGAAGAAAGTTACAAAAAATTAATTAAAAGCAAGCAGAATGTGTAGATTGTCACTTTAGCTGTTTCCTCAAAGCATATGGGTCCTCATATTTCACCTCCCAATCCCTTGGAGCTAGATGTGTTTGAGAACTAAATTTTTCAGATTTAGAAAATATTACTGAGCATATAACGCATAATGTGTAGCATCCACAGTAGGGTTTGAAGGAGCAGAGAAATTAATGGTTCTGCAGTAAAACATATATGTTCACAATAAATAGGATAAGTAAAGGATACTTAATCATTTCAGGTAGTTTGGATCAGTTTCCATATCCAAACACATTTTAGTGCCAAACTTACTTAAAACCTTGGTTTCAGAAATTATGGATTTTGGAATTACAAGTGAAATATTGTGTACTTGTATTCTAATGCAGAATCTTTTGGGAGTAGGTATATGTATATCTCAGATAATAAATGCATGAGAATTTGTATGACTTGATTATTTCAGCCTAACCTGTATATCAGAAAATATTAACAATTTTAATAGTGCTATACAGTTGCAGATAAGGTCAGAGTTTCAGTTCCTCCTGCATGTTAATCACTCTGGGCAAGGCATTTAATGTCTCATAACTTTGTTTTAATCTCTCAAAAGGCAAATAAAATGTGTCTCCACTATTTCATAGTTGAGTTTTCACATAGTATTATATAAGCATAAACACAAGTATAAAAATCTTGCCCTTCCTTTTGGAACTTATCTCCATATTTTTCCTCAACAACTGCCAATTATTCCATGATCATAAAGCAATAATTTCTATAGTCAAGCATCAGATTTTCAAAATTTACTGAAATCAAGTTTATAAACCTGGTACCACTGAGCCATTTTTTAAGCCTGGTATATCCTTTTACTCCCCCCAAAAAAGCTAACAGTTCTGCCAAATTTTAAACCCTGAAATCAATCATGAAAAAATTAAGCCAAACAAAAATGACATCCTTGTAAGCTGTGGTCCATGACAGCATTTTCCATAAATTATAATTTCACATTATTTAATTTTGGTTTAACAAAGGTAATCTGAAAAAACTTAATCAACAACAGTGTTGACTGCTCTATGATATTAGTGACAACTTGTATTTTAAAGTGTTTGCTAACTCTTTGAAAAAAATATTAGCAATTTAGTGACTTAAATTTTTAAATATTTTTCAACATTTCCTTATGAGTTTTTTGTGTTATTTGAGATATAATTATTTTTCTTTAGACAATATAAAAATAAGATTCCTAATACATCACTTGTAAAGCACCATTTTCCTCAAGTTTGACAGTTTCACAGGTGATTATCATGGAAATATATATATATATATATATATCCTTTGATCTGTTATATATATAAAAAACAGTGTTAGTGTCAGAAGCGTTTGAACCAAAGCAATTCCATCTTGAATAGGGGCTGGGCAAAATAAGGCTGAGACCCGCTGGGCTGCATTCTCAGTTATAATCCTTTTAAGAATATAATCACCTTCCATGTAAATTAATTGGCAGATAGCTATTAGTGGATTTCTAAAATGACGATCTTACTTTTTCTTTTAATTTGCTTCTTAATGTAAGACATTAAATGTGATTATATTAAAATTATTTGTCACAGATGAATCTGGACTACATTTAAGTAAGTATCATATAATTATGAACTATATATGGAGTCCTGACTACAACACATTTTAACTGTATGTCTTTGAGCAAAGTCTTTAACTTCTGAAAGTCAAAATTCTGAAAGGTAAAATGAGATACCTATCAAATCAGGGTTATAAAGAGTAACAAGAATATACACATAAAGCACCTAGCATAGTTCCTGGAGTAGCACACATAGCATGCTATGCATAGAGTAGTGCTAACTTAATATGTGGGTTTTTTCCTTATTCAAAGAAACAGAGGCAACTTCTCTTAAACTCTAATTCAAAGACTAAAATTTCTTCCTAAGAACATTGCCTCATGTTGAGATTTCAATAATAAACAAGAGAAAAGGGTAAATATGGAATACCTTCTATTTGATTCTTAACTTGCATGATACTAACCCTATCTGAGTTCCTGGTTTACCATGTTACATATTTATATACGTAAAATAAAACACCTTGTTTATCATTTGGTTTTCCTTTGACTGGACTAAATATCTTTTTAAAGTAAAATTCATACACTGATAAATGATATATTTTAAATGTATAATTGCATTATTTAAGCTTTGCATTATTTATTTAAGCTGTGTCTATAGTGTCTATATGGCAATTATGGATCATATATAGGAACTGAACAATTATTGAGACAGATTGGCACTATATGAGATAAAGCAGTATTTGAGCTTCAAAATTAAAGTTTTTGAAGATTTTGTTTCTAAACCACATACACTAAACAAATTTTATAAGAACATTTTGGTTTACCTGTGGCCAATACAATCAGTTACTTGTCAATGCCTCAAATTCATTTTATCTCAGGCACTAGAATAAGATGATAATTAGAAGGCTACCTGACTTAGGTTCTTTACTTCTAACATGAAAACACAGGGTCTGGCTCAGAGTTTTTGTGAAAATTAAAATTAAGATAATTCATGTAATGGGTTTAGCACAGTACCTAGCAGACTCAGCAAACGCTGAAAATTTTTAGCATTTTATCTTATCATCATCATTTAAATTTTCTGTAGGAGATCAGATGTATCACTAGTTTCTACTAATTGACCTGTGAAGCAAAAATTCAATTCTTTATTAAATTAGAACCAACTATATTACTACTAATGGCAAGAAATCACGAGTCCATATATACAGTAGTTTTTAAAGAGCATACCATATCCCACTGTAGAAAGACCCAAGTGTTTCATTCTATTTTTCACAAGTTCAGCAAGCTCTTGTCTTTCTGACCTCCTGTAGAGGTTCAGTCGCTGCTGGGTTATTTTTTCAGCTGTTTTACCAGAGTGTTTTGGGCCTTTTCTGCTCAGTCTTCGGGCCCACTGCATGCTTTTTCTCCGCAGCAAGGGATGGTCCGACTGATCACTGGATGTTGAGTTGCGGTGGTTGCTGCGGTGGTGCCCTTGTTCTTTGGAGTCTTTGGTGTCTTCCCACTCTTCTACACTGATAGATATTTGAGACTTTAAAGGAAATAGATATTGATAATTAGATACTTTAGAAATAAATATGGCTTGAAGTTGAAATAATATTTTATTTGCTAATATATTGTTATATTTCTACTCAGGAGAGTTTTCACAGAAAGAGCAAAATCAGTCTTTGATTCTAATTTTCCATTACTAAAAATATTAAAATGTATGTTTCCTTGAACGTACATATAAATCAGGCAAAATAAATACCTGTATCCTCTGGTACAAATTTTTATGAAAGTATTTAATTTTTAGGCATAAACTTTACTTAGCATACATAGTTATTTATGATATTACTAGCATACAGTTGTTTGAAACATACAAAACCAGACATTTTACAACTTTATCCAAATAAAATCCATGTAATGGACTTTTCTAAACCTATTACAAGTATTTCACACTCAATTTAAATAATTAAGATAACTATCTTAGATTTGGAATTAATGTTGTTTTTAAATTATTGCTTTTTCTAAAGACAGCACTGGCATGAACGTTATAATATGTGAATTTTTAAAATTCTCTCATATGCTCCAGAAGAAAACAAAACTCACTTTTTAACTCATGCATTTATTATTAACCATATAAAGTGCTTTTCTGACTAAAATATTAAAACATAATTCAGGAAGTATTCTAAGTATTCTGAGTGAAAATATGTTGTAAATATTAATGTTTCACAAATATACTGTAGAATTACAACTCAGACTTAAAACAGGCTGTTCTCCATAGGAGGGAAAAACAATGAACAAACTCACAAAGTCTATTATGACTTACTCTTTTATGACTAAATTTGATTTTTAAAGTAAGATGCTCTCCTTTGATTTTAAGCCTTTAATAAGCAATACTTACTGTTTCAAAATTGTTGCTTTTCATACTAGGAAGTCATATGAAATGCAACACTGATCAAAGAAGAAAGTCTTACTTTCTAAAAACATGCACATGCAAATGAACAATTTCCTGAATACTATTGTACTTAAGAGCAGCATTCATGAATCTGTGAACTGTGTTTCCCTTCTACGGATGGAATCTTGAACTTCAGTTATAGCATGCATGTGTTGCTGGCTTTTAAAGTAATAGAATTTAAATTACCAATTTAAGTAACGTCAGGAAGTAGATCCAATAAAATCCTTTAAAAGTGAATATAAATTATACAGGCTCAGTCAATGCTTTATATACAATTCCCAGTGGCAAGCTATGAAATTCTCTCACACTTAATTTCATCCAAAAATTCAAATACTAATCCACATCTGTTTCAAAACAGTACTATATCAGAGGGATATCCAAAAAATCTTCATCTCTTCATTATAAAATAATTGAGATTAAATGATTTTAGAAACCATATTTTATCTACCAGAACTTAATTTCTAAGCATTAAAAGTTTTTAATACCATGGTTTAACAATAATGAACATTTTTATAAAATTTTAACTCTATTCTCACCTACTTGATAATGTACTAAAAATTCACTTCTGTGGAAGTAAAACACATAAACTCTTAAGTAATACGTACCACCAACAATAATATCAATATGTATTTAGTAATATAGTTGTACTTTGTAGCAACAATGAAAATATGATATTTCAGTCATATTTAGAGACTTGCTTGCAGAGTTTAATCATAATCTTAAATTTATTTGAAGTGATCTTTTTGTTCCTCTTTCTAGTCATAAGTCCCTATGAGTGATAGTTTGATTTCCTACAAATATGTGGAAATAATAATCTTGCCAAACCAAACATTAAAGATACTATGTTCATCTAATATCACTTATAATTCAAGTCACAAAACCATAAATTAATAAAAAATTTTAAATGGGAGCATAGGGATTCACTTCTTTTCCAAGTAGGAGATGAAACACTGATTTTGTGAATGCTTTTCTTAGCCATGTGTATCAGGCATCATGTAAAGTATACATCTACAAGATGAACTGAAACCTATGTATACATTAGTTAAGCAATATTTAATAGCCTATTCAGCATTATTTTGAATACCCCCAAGAGAAACTGTCATAGTTTGTACATAAAAATCTGTAAGAATCTCATCTTTTTTTTCAATAATTCCATAAAATAAGTAACATTTCTTTACTAACCTCACTTTAACTACAGTAAAAAGAAATGAGAAGAATTTGAGGGTTAATTTTAGGAAATCCAAACCCAAAACACATCAATTGCTCTTTACATGTTTGGAATTTGCATTCTTTTCTCTTTCTTCCAACAGGACATAATAAAAAGTACATTAAGTTTATATGTATAATATACACAAATTTGAGTTCTGTTTTGAATGTTTCCTAACTCTTTCTCCACAATAAAACTGCATAGCCCCTATAAAAAAGTGAGGATAATAACAGCCATCTTCTATTTGACAGAAATGTGAAAATTCATATCACATTAATATATAAAGAAAACATCTGTCAACTGTAAACTTTCACATATAACAATAATATCATTAATATATCCTTGTAAAATGATCCACAATATCAATAACACTAGCAACAAACGTTTATTACTCTATTTGTTGGATATTGAATGTGTGTGTGTGTTTGTGTGTGTGTGTTTGTGTGTTTTAATAGGAGGTCCATTTATAAATATACTTTCCTGATGTCATTTCTTCTTCTAGTTGTAACTCTCCTGTGTTTTAAACATGCCATCATAATCTAGTGGAAATAGTATAGTGCTGGATACACAACAGTGCCTTTATAGTAGGACCTTCTCCTGAACTCAGAGTCACAATGATAGAGTGGTTAAAAGCAAGGTTTTAGCATCAGACCTGAGTTTAAATAACAGTTCTACCACTTACCAGTTTGCCTTCTTGGTTATGTAATCTAAGCTCTTTAAGTTTATTTCCATTTCCCTCTCTAAAAAATTGTCATTCTATTATTACATTACTACTTTGCCTATCAAATTTTTCTGAAGACATAAAAGAGATAATGCATGAAAAGGCATAGTAAGATGTCTGTCTTAGAAAACACCCAATAAATATTCATATTTTATGGCTTATGACCTTGTATAAAAGGACAGTAAAAGGAAGAAAATAATACGAAATAATTATGATGGGTATGTAAAAAGTGAAAAATGGGGATGAAAAAGAGAGGGAATCATTCATATTTTGGGTGCACTTTTCTCTATCACTAGACTTCTGAATAAATCAAGATGCTAAAAACATATTCTTGGCTGTAAAGATTTCTTGGTTAAAGTTTAGTAAATTTAAACAAAAACAAATTTTAAAGTGAAAGTGAATATTTTTCATTCTGCACAGTTTCTATGAATTATTTTGTACTTTTCCATGGAATAACTACAGAACTCTGACTTTTCTATTGTAAGGCACATAATATAATCGTTAACTTGAAAAATCAAAATTTAATACTAATGTTTGTGAGAATGACGAAAATACATTTGCATATGTAAATGAAATGCTTCTGGTAATATATACAGTTCAATAAAGAAGTGAAAAATTGATGACTACTCCAACAATTTCCATACAAATTTAAAATATTATCATTTTCTAAAAGTTATATTACTTCCTAAATATTTATCATACTTAATATGATTTTTAAGGCTAAAAGTATTTCTTCACATGAATAATAATTAAAAACACAAAAAATAAGAAAATATTTCTTATGCCTAAAATAGCTGATTATATTATAGTTTTAAGGAAAGTAGAAAGTGTCAGATACACTAAATACATCACTCTTTTCCCTACTCTTCACACACACATCAAAGTGACTCAATTCAACCTCTTCTTGATTTTTTACTGAACAATTATTCACGTCATAGGTTATTGAGCAATCTATAGAACAATGTAGTATTTTAAATAAATCAATTCACTTAGTAGTTTGAAAATGAGTGTTTGTAATCTGGACTCATGACTCCCTTAAGGATAGTTTTACAGACTTCATAGTACTCTAAACTGTGCTATTTAATTTATGATTGAAGTTAGAATTGTTGTTAAAGAAGAAAAGAAAATGAAATCACTAAAATGTGCTAGTTTAACATTTTCTCAAAGAATCCTTATCTGATATTTTCCATTAAGTAAAGGTTAAATTATAAGAATACTTGAGGGATCATCTAAATTTAAATATATAAGCACCAAGGCTTATATATTTCAGTGACTCTGAGTTCACTGAAAGCTTATTTTTATTTAAAAAAAAATCTAAAGAAAGATGTTTCACCAGTTTCCAAAGCTCAATTTAATATGTACACGTGGTCTGTGATCTATGCAGAGAAAGAAAATAGCTAGTTACACTGTATATTGATGCATTTCCAAATTAATTTTGGAATCAAAAAGACAATTAGAGAATAAACAATCTTATAGTCTAAAAAATGTTGAATTTGGAATCAAATAAATAAGCTGTGTTTTCAACCACCTCAGGAAAATATTTTATGACCTTAAGCAAATCATTGAGATTCTTAGAAAATAATGTAATTTTAGACAGGAAAATACCCTGTCTTCATGACAAGAAAACACAAAATTTATAAGAACCTAGTATTTAAACTCTAAAGCAAATTTAAAGCCAAATATTTACTAAAGAAATTCATGTTCAAATAATAACATTTTTAAAGCCAATAATTTGATGGAATGACAAAAATTATTTTAATCTTTGATTTCCTTTTTCATACATAAAAATAAGTTATCTCATCTGTGTGGTCTCTTAGGTATCTTTCAGTTCCACCTATATATAATTCTTTTTTTTTTTAATTTTACTTTAAGCTCTGGGGTACGTGTGCAGAACGTGCAGGTTTGTTACATAGGTATACATATGCCATGATGGTTTTGAAAATGTGGCAGATATATACCATGGAATACTATGCAGCCATAAAAAAGGATGAGTTTATGTCCTTTGCAGGGACATGGATGAAGCTGGAAACCATCATTTTCAGCAAACTAACATAAGAACAGAAAACCAAACACTGCATATTCTCACTCATAATCGGGAGTTAAACAATGAGAACACATGGACACAGGGAGGGGAACATCACACACTGCGCCCTGTCATAGGGTGGGGGGCTAGGGGAGGGATAGCATTAGGAGAAATACCTAATGTAGATTGCTGGTTGATGGGTGCAGCAAACCACCAATATATAATTCTATGAATATAAAACATACTCGGAGTAGGTAGAACCTCTATTACCTCAGCATTCCAATTCTATAACTTCAAAAGGCAAAATTTATGTATATGTCCAAGTGAAAAAAATATCAAATTATCTATTAAGAGATAATATTAAATAACCCACAAATTCATGCTAGTGGTTTTTCACTACTATCAAACGAAGCACCTCTTTCTCCATCCAACCTCATCTACATTTTGGTTAATTATCTCTAAAAGATAAATCAAATATAGTCACTGTTATATTTCTGGTTATTTCCATCTCCTTTTTATGATACATTTTTAAATGTACACATTAACTTGCACATTTACACCTCTTTGATGACTTGGTTTTACTGCATTGTGTGTATATGTGTGTGTGTGTTTAATTCAATCTCTACTTTCTACTTACACTTTGGTCTCTGTGGAATTTGGAATCTAGCTAATTTATTATCTTGGCATTCTTTCTCATCCTGCTGGTGATTTTTTTTTCTTGATCTTTCAAAGCTGTCATTTGGAAACAGCTGGTTTATAAGGCTTCAATTTCTTAATGCTTTTCCTATTGCTTTAAGCACAGAAAAATCTTATGTTTTTGTTCCTGTTTTATAACACTGAATATTAATATCATGTAACTGCTAACCACTTGATGACTGCCTGCTCTTAGAACTTAAATAATGTATCTGAGTTAAAAAGAACAAATTGAGAGGGGACTTTTTCATTGTTTTTAATGGTTTGTCTTATTATACTAGAATTCTGGTGATGTAATTCATAAATGGGAGGATGACAGGCAGAAGGTATATACATTACTTCCTGAGTTTTCATTACTTATTTAGAAATTTAAGTCTTCTCCATCAGCTCAAGATATGGAGACATTCATTTACCATATCTCATCATAAATAGTCTGCCTCCATTTTTGACATTAGACTGCTGACTGCTTTCAAGTGCCAACACTCTTCCTTTCCCTTTTGCCCCATGGATGGGGAAGCTGGTAAGTCCCAGTCTATATGTAGGACCTCACTCCAGCCCCAATATATATATTTTTTTAATTTTAAAAATTATTTATTTATTTATTTTAAGACAGGGTCTTGCTCTGTTGCCTAGGCTGGAGGGCAGTGGCAGGATCTCTGCTCACTGCAACCTCCACCTCCCAGCTCAAGCAATCCTCCTGCCTCAGACTCCCGAGCAGCTAAGACCACAGGCATGGAGCATCACGCCTGGCTAATTTTTGTATTTTTGTAGAGATGGGGTTTCACCATGTTGCCCTGGCTGGCCTAGAACTCCTGAGCTCAAGCTATCCTCCCATGTCAACCTCTCAAAGTGCTGGGATTACAGGCGTGAGCCACCATGCCCAGCCCAGCCCCAATGCTTAATCGTGATGAAAGCCAAGCCAGTTTCTTTTCCTTGCTCTTTCCAGCCCAAGCCATTTTTTGACCTGGTTGGAAGCCTGCCTCACTCTCCATGGAAAGCCTCATTATATGAGTTGTAGCCCTTTCAATACCCTCTTAGTGCAGGTGTGCAATCATCAGTCTCAACAGGACTGGATTTGGGATGGTGGTTGGGTATTATCCCATCTATGAAAGGTAGTCTTAACAACTGGCACAGCAAGGGGTATCTAGGCAATGACCACCACCACTGGGGGTCTCTCTTCTTATGTTTTGCCTTGTTAATTTGTTGTATTGTCGAGACAATTATGCTGTTTGAGTTTTTTTCTGCCCACTGGCAAGCATACTTTAACCTGTGCAAATTTATGCTGCATTTGCTGAGTCTTTCCAAGTTTCTGTTTAGAATTAAATGAACTTAATGCCTGGAAGCATCAGTAATATTTAGGAACGGGAGTTTGGTAATAGCTCCATGTCATGTGTCTTAGCCCAGACCTATCTTTGTGTCTAATATTGAATCAAGTGGTTGGTATCCAGTAAGAAATGTGGCTGACACTAGGCACAGGGGAATAATTCCTACTGTGTGATCACTGGTTGTATGTCTCAACCATGCATCAGCCCCCATTCTACAGTGTGTCCTAGGAAAAATACCTGTTACTTTGTGCACTATACAGGTCCATTGGGTGGTTGCTTGTATGGAAGAAGAGCAGTTACCATGTGGAATGCTGAGGTTCACACTCCTAAAAGGAGATAGCTCATGTGTCCACCCCAAAAAATGCTTCTGCTACTGTTGCTGTCTATGCCTCCATAACAGCACAGTTCCTGATCCCCACAGTTATAGAGAAAAGCAAACATGGGACTCTGTGGCATACCCAAGAGGTTAATTCAAACCCAACTTCAATCTAGGGAACTTAAAATCTGATGAAGCAACCATTGCCATCAGGGAGGCCCATAACCCTGATGATACTTACTTGAGACTCTCTGAAGGAGGCTTGTAAAAATGAGCAGGATAGAAAATAAAAACAAAACAACAAACAAACAAAAAACAGCACCAGCCCCAACAACAAAAACAAAACTGGATATAGGAGGAAGAAGCAGAAAACTGGATACACAGGAGAAAACAAAAATATAAACAGAAGTCTATAATTTGTCCCACTTGGAAATTCTTAAATTACTTGAAGAATTTATAAAGGCAGGTAAGTTTGCTGAATGGTGTTGTGCCTCTACAACATAAGCTCCAAATTAACTTATATGTTTCCTGAGACGCACCCATTGGCAAAAGTTAAGAAACTTAATCAAAGTTGAGGATTGAACTATAGTTATCACTGGAGATGCCACTAAATTTAAACAAAGTACCCTAAATATGGGAATTGCACTAAAATAAAGGTACCTCCCCTTACTCTTATGGAGGTGATTATCACATATAAAATACAGGGCAAATAAATATACCTTATCTTAACCATCAGAATTACTTTCTGGCCTAAATACTCCATGGTCATAACAGATATTGTCTAAAAATATCCCATAGTAGACATGGATGCTCTGAACCAATTAATGACAAATTAAAGTAAATCAAATCAAATCTTTGACATGTACAAGTAGTTTGACAATATAGAATCACATGCATTTTCTGTCTTCTCAATATAAGTAGTTAATAAGGACTACAATAACTGGAACAAGGAACCCCTTACCTAAGAACTATTTAGAGAAGGGGTAATAGTCACCACTGCTTCTCCTTTTAATAGTCAAATTTGGCCTGTTCTTAAACCTGAAAAAAATAAATGGAGGCTGGTAGTAGATCATCCAAAGCTTAATGCTGTGGTTCCACATATTAAGGCCACCATTACTTGGTGACACTACTGACTCCTTTCAATCAGCAATTTGTAAATACTTTGTAGTCATAAAGTCATAAGGATTTGACAAATATGTTCTATTAAGTGCCTCTTTTGATAGCCTCTTACACTCCTAAAAGGAGATAGCTCATTTGGCCACCCACAAAAATGCTCCTGCTGCTGTTGCTGCCTATGCCTCTGTAACAACACAGATCCCGATCCCCACAGTTACAGGGAAAGGCTTATAGCTTTTCTTTATCTTCAAAAGAACTCAAAATTCTCTACCTGACTACACATAGAATACTTAAACAGTCCTGCTGTCACAAACAATCCCTCTGCAGGCAGATCTTTACTGCATCCAAGTTTCTGTGGGAAAATAGGTATGACATTACATTGATGCCATGCTCTTCCAAGGAGATTCCTTTGACACACTCATTCAGGATGAATAAACATTCAAAAAGGAGCTCACAAGAAAGAATAGACCATTGTCTTATACAAACTGCAAGGCTCCCCAGTGTAGTCAAATTTCTGAGCATTATTTGATCAAAGGCTACTTCATCACTGACACGCTCGAGAAACAATGACCTGTCAGTATCCACAATGTTAAGACAAAACTAACATTTTTAGGCCTTTTGGGGTTTCGGATGGAAGATATTCCTCATTAACAAGTATCACTTTTTACTTAAGCCCATTTATGCTCCTACTTGCAAACTGGCCCACACTGAATTAGACCCCTTAAAACAGAAGGCTCTAGAATCTCTCCAAATTGCAATTACAATAGGCAATCACATTGTTCACCTCTTCTACTGCCTCCTGCATCAACCACAGTGGTGCTCGTGGGCTTCTGGTAGCAAAAACTATCCTCCTTGGTTACATGCTATATACCATTAGAACAGCAACTGCTGGTTGCATACTGAGCTCTACTGAAATCAGATGCCCTGCGCTCAGGACTGTGCACTCAGTGGTCCACTGTGCCTTTGGTTATGAAAGCATCACCCTGCAAGTCTGACATAGCCACCAAAGACTCTATAGGAAAGGGCCAAACTTGGGCATAAGTCACTTGCAGGAAGGAAAAGTTTCCCCTATCCTCAGCCCCTTGTCATATGCCATGGTACTTGAGCATGTCACTCCTATCCTAAATCCCTTGGCTACCTAGGGAGCCCCTTGGGATTAATCAAGTGAACAGTGCATGGATGGTGGTATTGTGTTAAATGTGATGAAGCTCACTGGAGAACTGCTGCTTTTGATCCCTTAAAATGACAGACCTAACAAAGGACAGGACCCAAAGGTTAGCAGGGAATCATTTGAGCACTAGACACCCTGGATAAAAACAGGTCCCACTTGCACATTTCTACAGACTCTTGGGTCACTGCCTGTGGTTTGGCCATCTGGTCCAGCCAACGGCAGAAACAATTCCTAATCCAAGGTTGCCCTCCAAGGTAAAGAACTCTGGGAATCCCTTGCCTCATACATACACAAAATAATAATCAAGGTCACACATGTCTTTACACATACATATACACCTACACATTTAAGACCATAATACAAGGCTCATCAAAACAATTCTTACCACCTTCTATATTCCAGACATCATTGAAAGTGACCAAGACATGAATTTCACTTTTCCAAAATACACAATGCTGTGCTTTTGAACAAGGCATTTAAGATAACTTTCATCTCCCTACTAACCACAGGCTACAAGCTTCACGGAGCATTTTATTAAATGAAACAAGGCACATTTCAGTCACCCATCCAACATCACGAGTGAACTGTAACAGTGTCTCACTCCAGTTTTGATGTTTGACTGCTGACAGCTTTCAAGATCCAATGCAACCTTCTGCCCCAGATTTGAGCTAGTTGATAAGAAAGCCTGGGCACTTCTTCCTTTTTCCCTAGCAGGAAGTTTATGCTCCTTATGCATGAGAAACCTCACCCAAAACCCAGCCCTAAACATGATAAAGGCCAAAACAAAAATGATCTGCTTCCTCAGACCTACTTAGGAGCCCATCTTGCTCTCCCCACAAAAAAAAAAGAAACTCAACAAAAACTCTTGGGGCATATGTGGCATCCTCAGTTTTAACATCCAAACCAAATTTTGGGTGAATTCTCCACACTGCCTCTGTGGAGTGGTAAAAATTCTCCTCAGAACTATATCCAGTTTATGTATACAATCATTAGATCTAGGTAAAAAATAATAATAATAATAAAGAAATAATGCAATACATGTCCCATCCACTTAGCACCTTATAATCTGTGAAGAAATCAAAGGCGTACAATCATAAACAATTACATAATAATTAAGGGTAAAATGATAGGTACCAAAATTAATGACAGAAGTGGTACAAATAAAATTGTGTAAAGATGGAATTAATGTAAGTGTGAGCAGATCTGAAAGAATGATTCTATGTTAAGAAAGATATCTGTGATTGACTTTAGCAAATATATGTTGAGCACTTGTGCAAAGCACATTGGATACAATAATAAAAACGTAGGCATGATTTCCATACTATTTATTTGGTATGGACTATAGTGGCCCAATGGTCTGGTTTCAACATGCGAGTGTGTGTATATGTGTGTGTGTGTGTGTGCATGTACGTGTAAAACCTACACACTACAAGGTAGGCCAGAGGGGCTATCACTCAATCACCTTCAGTGTATTATAGTCCAGAAGTTTAGAGGTAAGCTCCCAATTTCAAGTTTTATATCTCAGTATTTTCAGTTGTGGACTAGTAAGCAGAAGAGAAATTAGGAATTAAGAATATGGGACTATATACAAAAATTAGCTATCATGGAGGCCAAGGAAGAAGTCTTTTTCTTGGAATGAAATGAGGTGTTGGATATTATCAACTAGCTCTTACTACAGCCTTTTTTTCCCCTGTAATCTACCTGCCATAAAAAATACCTATTGTTATAAAGACACTGAAGAAGAGGAGAATTGAGAAAATGTTATTAGTTTATTTAGCAATGCTTATGGCGGAAGTTTCAAATACAGGTCATGCATCTTGCATTCATACAAGTATGCTACACAGGTTACCAATGACCCTGAGAAATAAATTTTCCAAATAACAATTTTCAATATTTAAGGTTTACAATCCTTTTGTAACGTACTCATAACTTTTGAGTTGTGGTGTTCAGAAATTTATTTTAAATACTTAATAAAATAGCCTTAATTTTCTCATGTTTCTCCATCATATGACTCCATTTATGTCACTAATACTATTTTTTAATTGTTTTTCTTATGAAATCAGACTATTTCTGTTTTCTTTCACTGTGCAGTAGTGGGATGTTTTTTATCTTTTCTAAAGGTATAGAATTGCTTTTCTTTTAAAAGTTAATGCAAATTTTAAAAATAATATTATTAGCACCAAAATTATTATTGATGTAAATTTGATAACTACTTTTTTGGATCTCAAAACATGTCTTTACCCATCTACTATTTATTTGGTAGGGATTATAGTGGCCCAAGGTCTAAATCAGCCTAGCCCAAATCAAGACTGATTTCATTATAATTAATTTTTCATTTGTTAGAAAATTAAAGAACGGTTTCTGTAACCAAAAGGTTCATTTTATGTCTAAATGTCTAGAAATCACATCACCAAATATAAAAACGTATTTGCTTTCTACACACAAAAAATTAAGTATGTATGCTTAGGTTTGTATATATTATGCATATTTATATATATTTGTAAAGAATATTGCTAGACAGCTGAATCATGTTAGACTCTATAATTGACTTACAAACAAAATCAACAAAGAGAAAAGCATTGTATAAACACACAAATTCAACGTACGCATACAGGCAGTCAAATTGTATGCATCATTAGAATCACGGTTTCATTGCCAGCTCTGTTAACTTAGCAGTGCAATTTATAATTTTCCAGAATTACCAAAATATATAGTCTAAAGCAATGGTTTCAACATGCATGTGTGTGTATATGAGTGTGTGTGTATGTGTGTGTGCGTGTAAGTGTAGAACCTATACACTATAAGGTAAGCCAGTTACTGAAATATATAGACTAAAGCAATGGTTTCAACATGCAGGTGTGTGTGTGTGTGTGTGTGTGCATGTATGTGTAAAACCTACACACTACAAGGTAGGCCAGAGGGGCTATCACTCAATCACCTTCACTATATTATAGTCCAGAAGAAAGGACCTAACTGTGAAGCTTTCAAAAGCCAGTACAGTGATTCTAATGTGAGTACAGCACCTCCCCAACCATACACAAAAGATTTTAAACACACACACAACCACACACACACAAACACACACGCACACACACATAATTCCCTTATCCTTTGCAGCATCTGAGAACCAATGGATAAATAAGCCTGTGGAAAGAAAATTTTTATGTTACATGCAATGCTTTAATTAAAGAAAAGAATACTATAAGACCTGGTAAATACAAATATTTGTATTCTTATGTAAATAGTCTATCTAAAATAGTACTATGGATCTAAATATACCACTGCTTACAGATCATGACTTCCTTATGAAGACCTAGGGAACTTAAATCAACTTTATAATTTTCTCTTCAGTTTTCATTTTGTAGACTAGCAGCCATTTGACAGGGAGCTGTGATTAAAAGCTTAAGTTACTTTCTGTGGCAGTGCTAAGTACAAGAATGATCTTTAGGCAGTTTAAGACGTTAAGTGGACAGAAAGCCATGACTACGTAGTTAAATTAAGTCAAATAAATTGGATGCATTAAATAGCCTCTTGTTAGTAAGTGTGCCAGTGAAACTCTTATTAAGTTAAAGTAGGTAAATAATGAAAGTAAGAAATGCTTTCCTGGGTTTGAGAATGAATGAGATTAAGAATCAGTAGAACTAGAAAATATTAGGAAAAAATTATAAAATAAGGTAAGAGAAAGATTTAAGAGTACAGTTTTTGTTAGAGAGAAAGTGAAACAGAATTACAGATGAGCTCAGACTCATTATGTCTGCGAGTGTGTGTTTGTGTGTGCCTATCTGTGAATTAGGATGCATCGAAGGTCAGTGAACACAGCTGTGCTTGACTAATATGAAAGTACTTAATCACGAGAATACTTACTTTACATATTTTATTTATAACTTTAAGTGAATTGACATGAACATTCTCTGAGGTGGTATCATCCACCCAAAAACAATGCACCAATGAAGAATGATGAAGTAAGATCTACGTTACTCTATGAGCTTTGCCACAGAATTACTTGCTTTTAACACTGAACAACTCACTCCACACATCTCTGCCTTTCTTCTACCTTGTGAAATGATAAGAATATGTTTTTTACTTAATCTTCACTCTGCTACATATAGCCAAAGTTCAGGCACAGCTAGTAAAAGGAGAGGGCAAGATTTAAACTCAGATCATTGTGTTCCAAGCCCAGTGCTAATTGGTCAGGCAAAATAATTGGATAAGTGACTTGTCCAGGAATGGGACAAGAGGATAGAGTAGCTTAAAATCCAGCAATAAAAATTTTTATTTGAAATAGTAGGCATCAGATATACACTACGGATTCTTTATCATGTGAGTAAAGAAAAATGATCATCAATCTGGCTGCACTATGCAAGATATTGAAGGGAAGAAAGTTTTGGTATATTAAATCCACCAAAATTAATTAAATCGAAGAAAGGCCATGAAGTTTTTATGTCAACCCTCTGAAAAACCTTTTTTTTGCTTATGTATCTTAAGTACTTACCTGGATGCATTTGGTGCCTAGTGTTACCCAATAAATATTTGTAATTCTGGTAGATAACAAGATGGAGAGGATCTTCCAGATAAAGTTTATGTATTTGTGTTTCATGTTAAGGAATTAGAACAGATAGAGCTACAAACCCAGCTTTGCCATCTATCAACATAGATGACTTGTTGAAACCACAGGAAGCGATTAACGCCCCAAGGTGATGTGTAGAAAAGACCAAAAAAACTATAAACATCTTTTGTAAACATGTGGTTTATTTCACTCAGCGTAATCTTGTCCAGGTTCATCCATGTTGTTCTCCTTCTCTCAAAAAGTCAAATTCATGGAAAAAGAGTAGGATGGTGGTTACCAATGGCCAGAGGATGGGGGAAATGGGAAGATGATGGTTAAAGATAACCTTCTGTTATAAAGTGAATAAGTTCTGGATACCTAAAGTACAGCATGGTAACTACAGTTAATGTATCATATGCTTGAAATTTGCTAAGAGAGATCTTAAGACGTCTCACTATAATATTATTAAGAATATTTACATACACCATGGTTAAGTAAAACATCTTCTGAAATAAATCAGTCTGAAATCTATAACCTTTTATGTCTAATTAGAGAATGCACTAAGAATAACATAAGGGTTCTCCTGCATAGTAAAGGAGGTCTACTCTAAAAAGTTGAAAAGCAAAAGAAAACTAGTTTTCTAATCACTTTAAAAACCATGATAATATCTTGAAATATCTTTCATTATTAACTTTAATTAGCACACAAATATCGAAACAAATACTTCTTAGAATTTAATCTTTACAATGGCAAATTCCAGGAAATTTACTGGGGAAATATAAGTACATTAATTTGAAAAGAAAACATTTATATGCATTTAAGTTTAAATGATTTATTTCATTTTAATGTCTGAGTATTAAATTCAATATTTAATATTATTTTTCTTTAATAGCTCTGAATTAATATATTACACCATTTGAGGAAAGGGAAACAAACAGAAAATACTTACTTGTGATGCTATTTTTCGAGACTGACACAACGGGAGGGAAAAAGAAACACACAAAACACAGTTTAAACAATGACTAAACAATAGATGCATGCCAACAATCAGTAACAAGGACAAAATGTAACATATACCCACATAACAAAATCCAATTGCATGCATATTTCTCGTATGGCTTTTGAACAAAATTAGATAAAGAATAAGCTATTATTTTTAAAGATTCAGTCTTGTTAGATTGTTTTTGTTTTGCTGAAATTGTCTTCCCATTGTAATAGTAGAGTGTTAATGATCGGCAGACGGGACAATGGTTATTCCACTATGCACATTTTTGGAATTTACAAGATTTATTCACTATAAAAGTAGCCATAATCCAGGGTAACACATTCCACAAATGTACTCCATACACTATAAATGATATTGGTACATTAATATGCTTTAAGTATAAAAGTTTGATAGAAAAAGTGGTGCTTGTAGAAGAAAATAAAATAATTGGTAGTAGCTTATAAAGCTACTATAGTCATAACAGAATACTTGATATAATTATTGACATTCTATAATCATTATTGGTGTTAATATTTGTACTATTTTTTAATTTCAGATCTTACAGTAAGATTGATTTTTTCTCCTACATACATATGTAATTAAGTTAGTTGACAGAAATATTCTGAGCTTTCATATTGGCTATGGAATCTAAACTAATTGATTTCCTTAATCAATGTATCATAGCTAAGTAGGGGTTATAAATAAAAATCATGCTGTCTTATTCTTCAAATTTAAAGAACAATAGTCTATTCATTTTTGAATAGGTGGAAGTAACATTTTCAAGTATATTATTTGATGTAATATAACTTGTAATATAACTCCTCTAGTGTTAGTATTATAAGTATTATAATAGTATTATCTATAACTGAAAATATAAGAAATGCATAATAAACATTTGATTGTGGGTTTCTTGAAACTATTTCAGGATTCCTTACACATGACACAATGGAATAAATGTTGTTTGAGAGAATAATAGCAAAGAATGGACAGGTAGAATTTTACAACCAGTCAATCCTAAACCTTATTAAAATAATCTTAATGAGATTTTATAATAGGTAAATTTGTATCTTAATAATATATTTTAAAAGCTACTTCCCATTGTAATAGTAAAGTGTTAATGATTGGCACATGGGACAATGTTTATTCCACTATGCACATTTTTGGAAGCTACAAGATTTATTCACTATAAAAGTGGCCAAAATTCAGGGTAACACATTCCACAAATGTACTGCATACACTATAAATTATGTTGGTATATTAATATGCTTTAAAAGATGTTTTTCTGGTTCCTAGTAAAATGTTCACTGGTTATAGTATACTTCAAACAAATGAGATTTTCTGCACACTGGAAAACTGGAGGCAAACATAGGTCTACCTTTTCTTAACCAAAGGACAAATATGCTTAATAATTCAGAATTGTTCAGATTTTGGAAAATTAATACTATGTTATATGCTATATAGTAGCTAATACCCCCAGTGGAACCTAGGTAGCCTTCATTTTCAAAAATTAATATTTCTGCAATGAAAAGTATAAATATTCACTCTCAATGGAATAAGTAAACATTATAAATAATCTCATGAAAATTAAGGTGACATTTTGCCACTAAATGACTTCAGGGAGCCTTTTGACATTTTATACTTTTATATTATGGATTGAGAAGGAAAATACTGATCCTTTTTGTCCACTAAGAGTAATATGTGTCCCTGTCCTTCCTATATATGTTGTTCGAACCAGGAGTATCTGATGTTTGTCAAAATTCCCTGAACTGAAAACACATAGATAGTGGCAGAAGTTCTCCTGGCATGGAGGGCATATGACTAATTATGAATGGGCAGTTCCATCTCTACTCTGCTTTCCATAGACTGATTTTCCAGCCACTGTGTGCACCCTCACTTTACTTTCTGCTGTGTTTGTGTGACTTCTCCTTTCACTAATCTACATCACACCAGAAAAAAATGAGATAGTATTCCAGGCCTTCTATAAATGTTAATAGTTTTGATTATCAATGTTCTTTACCAACGTTTGTCTTTTTAAAAATGTCAGCTAAACATTAGGCAGTGCTTTCCCACTCCCACAGCCAAAGCAGTTATATCAGAGATATAAAAAATGATAACTTTTGTTTTCTCTACTCAGAACATGGAAAGATGACAGGCTGGAAAATGATGTGGCATGAAAACCTGCATCTGCCTTTAAAAGTATTTTTTTTTCCATGAATAAACCAGAAAGCAAAGCCTAAAGTCTTTATATTAGTTTATCCTTATGTAAAAAGCTGATATTTAATAAATGTTCTTCATAGTACAGAGTAGAATTTAGCATTTAAATGTGTATATACTAAAGAAATAATTAATGAATGGGTCTGATATCACCACATTATGCCTTTACATCTGTTAGTGCTTTTTACTAGTTATACATGCATGGTTTGAACAGTCAGAAAATGTTATAGCTGGTTTAGAAAAATAGCAGCTTATAGCATAATATCTCTTAATTCCCTCTCATAAGACCCATCTACTTTTGCCTCTTTTAGTTGGTTATGTTGTTCTTTCTCTCTCTGTTTCTATAGAATATGCCTGATTATTATTTCATGTTTTTTTCAGTTTCTGCTTTTATCTATTGACTTCTCACTCTGCAAGAAGAGTCATTAACAGTCTTTTCCATATATTCCACTACCTTTGCCCTCATCATCTCAAAATAGTTCAACATAATTTTTATTGGATCAAAATTCAGGACATACCATGACTAAGTATACTTTACAGATAAGATATATAGGTATGTGGTTAGTATTCATTTCCTGCACACATTCTTTCATTGTTGATAACGATGTTATATTCCTAAGGTCAGTAATTGCTTTATTGTATTAATTGCTTTGATATGTAATTAGATATATGCAATAATTCATCCTGAACTCTTTGGCAACTTTCTAATATTAATTTAAAACATTGAGATGCATCAGGATTAATCTTCCTAAAGAATTCTCTCTGAAGCCTTCTGACCTGCTCTAGGTCTCCCTTTATGCTTGGGGGTCTTTACATCACCATCCTATTGATCCTCTTTACTTCATTCTTGTCGCTGGTTTCCATAAAACGTCTGGTTTCCTGCAGATCATTATTTCTCCTTCATTTTACTCATTCATTCTGGTGGGAGTAGTTTCCTTAGACAGCAGACTTGGGAAGGATATTTTTGGAGAATATATATATTTGATATCTGATTTATTCTACTCTTACACAACTTTGCTTTGACTGGATAAAAAAATCTAATTTGAAAATAATACTCTTTCAAAATCTTGAGAGCATTGTTTCATTTTATTCTGGCTTGTGGTATTGCTGTTGAGAAAACCCCAATAGTACCTTGTATGTGACCTATCGCACGTCTCCTGCTCATCTCTCTGAAAGATTTTAGGATCCCCTCCTTTCCTTCAGTGTTTTGAAAATTGGTGATGTGATTCACTGTTTAATTCACTGTTGTGGACACATGGTAACCCTTACCATTTGGAAACTAACACACTACTGATTTTTCTAGAATTATTACAGTAATATTTCTTCAATTTGTATGCATTTCCTCTTTCTTGAAATCTTGTGATTCAAATCTTAGAACTCCTAGACTAATTCTCTAATTTTATCTTTTCTTTACTCATTGTCCATGTTTTGAATTCTTGCTCTAGTTTATCAATAACTTCCTGAACTTCATATTATAAGCTTTTTCACTTCTGTTGGGAATTTTTAGTTGTCTTCTTCTTAGAGTAAATGACTAATAAGTTAACTGAAAGCTCTGGGTGAGATTCTTTTTATTGCTGCATTTCATGGTGATCTGGCTGGATTACAAACTTAAAGAATCTCCCACATCTGTATTTTTAGGGCCTTCCACGTGGGTTGGTCAGTTTCCCTAAGAAAGAGTCTTTCAATCTGCTGAAGTGTAAAGCGTACAGAATGTATCTTTTAACTTAGCGTTCAGAATTCAGTGTGATACTCCTAGCCCTCAACTCTTTCCGGGGTCCAGAGGCCACAGACCACTTCCATAGACTAAACCTTTAATATGTGTTTATATGGAGAGACTGACAGCAGCAAAGCTTTCTGAACTGTTGAGGAAAATTGAGATCTGACAGCAACCTAAGCAAAAATATAGACTCTCCAATAGTAATTACTGAAAGAAGTTTCTAATTCCTGAAATCTAGTGTCTTTCTTTAAGTTCAAGTAAGAGAACAGGGCCATTTTGAACACTAATGGTTATTTAAATTTCAAAACTTTGTTTTTGAATCATTTCATATTTGAGAGACATGGTGAACTGTCAGAGTCAATTTTATTTTGTTAGATCCACTAAGCTCTTATTCTGCGTTTTTATATAATCTTAAAAAAATAATGTTTTATTCTTTAAATACAAAAAAAAACCTCAATGTCTTTATTGGGTTAATATTTAATTGATATCCCTTCCTACTTTTTTAGTTAAAGATTAATGTAAGAGATATGCACTTTAATGGTATTTTTTTCATCTTGCAAAGCTATGAGCAAAGATAGATATTACTCATCATGGTATCTAAAATCTCCAAATTCAGGAAGCAAATAATATACTCATTCTTTTAAAAAATGACCAAGAAAAACAAATCTTTTGCAAGATGAATTTTATCCTTTCATGTATCAGACCATAATTACTATATAGATCAACATATTGCTATTTTTTACCTTATTTACCAGGAAATTAAAAATAGAAGTCAGGCTCAACTGTAGCACTCAGTTTATGCTAGTACAGTAACACTAACTTCTCAAAACATTTACGACAAAATATTTTGTTGTAAAAAGTGCTTGATGTTTCTACTGTTTATCTTTGTTAGTTGCCTCAATTCTTTCTACAATAGGCAGAATTTAATTTAATAACAATATGTGTGTCAGAAGATGGATTGAATTCAGTAGAGAAAAACAAGAGGCATTATTTTTATTTAAAACAGTGTCCTTTTATCATCCCAATGATATATATTTTTAATATAATCTAGATATTTGAGAATTTACAAGCATTTTAATGAGGTAATCTTTATTTGCTATGGGCAGAGTTGACTAAATGTAGTTAAATACTCCTTGATGACAATTCAAATACTCAGTATCCTTTTCCTATCTGCAATGTCAACAGCACAAAAGAAGTATTTTAATAATATATGAACATTATTATAATACATAATACTGACATGGACATGGAGTTGACCAAGGCCAGAATTTACTGCATTACAATTCCCAAAGCCTATATGTGAGACAAAAAATCAGGGCAACACTCTACTGTATGAAAGTCTTCTTTGTACTTGCTATGGTCAAATAAGAAATGATTTGTATACACTAAATATTTGTTCTCCATCACCCCACAATGCATATGTGAAAACCTAATCCTCAATGTTGATGATATTTGAAGGTGGGGCTTTGGGAAGGTGATTAGATCATGAAAGAGCCTTATAAAAGAGGACTCAGAGAGATCCCCTTCCCTTTCCACCAGATGAGAATTCAGTGAGAAGATGCCTATCTGAGAACCAGGAAGCAGGTCGGCAACAGACACGTAATCAACTGGTGCCCTGATCTTGGACTTCTCAGCCTTCAAAACTTTGAGAATTAAATTTCTGTTGTTTACAAGCCACCCAGTCCATGGTATTTTGTTATAGCAGCCTGAACAGATCATGATCGTGCTTAATTACTTGGGTATGAAAGCACTTGATCTTCTCTTAACCTTTAATTAAATAATATTGTTTTGAATCCAGTATTCTTAAAATTTTAGGCATATCTAGACAAACATCTTACATATTTAACTGTCTGGTTTGTTTTTCCAGTCAGTCATTCCTGATTTTCTCTTGATTTGTCTCATTCTTTGCAGTGTGAACCACAACCACCACAGGAAAAGAAAAACTCAGACTCAGGAGGAGAGACGGCAGCAAAACTCCATTAAAAAATTTTTTTTTATTATTATTTGAGACAGAGTCTCGCTCTGTCACCCAGGCTGGAGTGCAGTGGCGTGATCTTGGCTCACTGCAACCTCCGACTCCCAGGTTCAAGCAATTCTTCTGCCTCAGCCTCCCGAGTAGCTGGGACTACAGGTGTGCACCACCACACCTGACTAATTTTTGTATTTTTTTTTTTTAGTAGAAATGGGGTTTCACCATATTGGCCAGTCTGATCTTGAACTCCTGACCTTGTGATCTACCTGCCTAGGCCTCCCAAAGTGCTGGGATTACAGGTGTGAGCCACTGTGCCAGGCCACATAGCTCCATTTAACACTCCTGAAGCTAAAGTGACACCACCAAGAAGCAACTCAGAAAAACTAACCTATTTTCTGCTGGTAACTTATATAAGTGTCAAACTATAAATTTGATCAGCAACAACAAAAATCTACCCCGTTATCTTTATGCTTTCTATAAAGTTCTTTTCTATATAGGGATTTATTAATTTTGTCACTAGGTGGTTTAATGATCATAGAAATTACTGAAATGTATGTGTCTGATCTGAGCCTCAAAGTTGAGGTAATTTTGTATCAGACCAAAAAAAATGGCTGACCAAAATTTCTTTTTAATTTGTAATAACTTTGAAGTGTCTGAAGAAAAAAAAATTCAAGAATACAAACCATAATTTACATTAAATAATTTTATAGATATTGATAGAATGATGAATTCATCCAAAATCTTTATTTCAAAAAAGAGTCTGACCTAAAAGGTGATATTACACTAAGGCTATAAAAATTACTTAGAACAACATGAACCACATGAAGTGATCAAATCAAAATGCAAATATGTTTCGGGTGCATGAACTTACCAGAGATTCTCCTTCCATACTAACAAGATCAAGTTTGCTGTTAAATTTACTGAGGTTTACTTTGGGAAGATCTGACACTACTCTTATACTCAGAGTTTTCTTTTGGCTTTAGAGTGGTCACCAATCTAGAGATTGAGAAATGTGAATTTTAACACTTACTAAATTATCTTTGCTTTGCTTCCTTCAAAATGCTAATATATGCAGTAGGGGTATACATTAGAAATCTAGGTTGCTTGCCCTGAGAACTTTTCTTATGTGTCAGAACCTCAAGGTTATTTGTAATTAATTTGCTTCCTGATAATCTTCCAAAACAGCTAATCCTAGATCTACAAAAGTCATCTAAAGCCCAACATCCATAAACTTAGAACAGCCCCTTAGCCAACAATATTTTTTGGAAGACTGACATAGTTTAGTAAAACAAATAGTTGAAAAAAAATTTGGTTCTGAGATTTAACACTACGTATTCAGGTAGCATTCTTTTTCACTTTCTCTTGCATTTTTTATAAATCAGTTTATAAGCTTATGAATGATTGCACTCATCAGATTAAACATCAAAACAAGAATATTTTGTTATTTCCAAACCTCAGATGTAGTAAGTTTCTGAGACTCAGTCCTGTAGATTCCAATGGGAACATCTCCAGTAGAAGAACACAACTTCTGATAAAGTCTGGCATAAGTTCTGATCCATAAGTCATCTGCAGTGATTTTCATCTATAACACACACAAATTATTTACATATTAAATGTGTCAGAAATAAAAACCTAGTGGTAACTTTACATTTCTTTATTTGCTTATTTTTGTGGGGGGCAGGGTCTCACTCTGTCACCCAGGCTACAGTGCAACGGTGCAACCATGGCTCACTGCAGACTCAACCGACATCCCTGGCTGAAGCATTTTTCACTTCTTAAAGGGAGAAATTATTAGTATTTGGAAATCTCCAAGTAATATTTCATGCTTATCCATGTATTAAATTTATTTATTATGCATCACCAAACTTAAGAAATCCGAGTACTCAATTTAGGGCAGTATGACATTATATTAGTTCGTTATCAGTAGGCAATAGAGCACTGGTAATTGACTGGGAAATGTAAAGCATATGGAAACTATTTTGCATGCTGCAATAACTGGAGGCTGACACTGGTATTTAATGTACAGGGTATGCTGATGTTACCAAATGCGAAGTGCAAAAGACACTCTAGCACCATACTGACTTGTTCCACCCAATGTTCCAATAATGCCTATATTGAGAAAGATGAATAGTAGAATAAGCATCGTGATACCAGACAGGAAACAAAAATTGTAGTGCCCCTTTGCTTCTTGTAAATCTGAACTGTTACCAAATCATTTCATTCAGCATACTTGGACAAAGTATACTTATCTATAAAACAAAGGAGTTAAAAAGCATGATCACCGTTTTTGTGGACAGTATAGTATCCTACGGCAGTTTCAAATTGCCAGTTAACAAAAAAAAATTCATTCAACATTTTTTTTTTTTTTGAGATGGAGTCTTACTCTGTTGCCCAGGCTGGAGTGCAGTGGCGCGATCTCGGCTCACTGCAAGCTCTGCCCCCTGGGTTCACGCCATTCTCAGCCTCCCGAGTAGCTGGGACTACAGGGGCCCGCCACCACACCCAGCTAATTTTTTGTATTTTTAGTGGAGACGGGGTTTCACTGTGTTAGCCAGGATGGTCTCTAACTCCTGACCTCATGATCCACCCGCCTCAGCCTCCCAAAGTGCTAGGATTACAGGTGTGAGCCTCCACGCCTGGCCAAATTCATTCAGCATTTTACACAAAATGGCTATTTATTATGATTATTAAGTAAAAATAATATGTTTTCCTTGAAATTTTTAAAGGAATTTTAAAAACTCAAATGCATCTGGATTCACAATACAAAAAATAACACATGACATAGAAGAATTAGCAAAGTACACGGTAGATAGATTTCAGAACCTTCTATCACAACTATCTTTTATTCTAGAGATTATTAACTTACAGAACAAAGAAACCCAGATCCTGGTGTAGTGTCCAGTCCCAACAGAAGTCTCGTGATAGAAATCATATAATCCTTCACAAATGACTGCAATATAAACAAACAAACAATATATAAATGTATATTTATATATAATGTGTATGAGATGTGTAGAACAGCTAAAAGTGTGAACATCTGACTTCTAAAAGATTATTTCTCATATCACATTTTTAACCCTCCATACAAAAGTAAATTTAATCTATCTTGTTAGTATCCTAGATAAACATGTACAGTTAAGCTGTTCATAAGGAAACACAGGAAATAATTTTTGTCTAGAAATATCTAACTATGCTTACATTTTATGTGTGTTATTAGGCATGATAAAAAATTTTTAGAATTTTTAAAGCAAAAACCCCAAATGAAATGATGACTATCATAAAAACTTGAAACAATTAAAACAAATTTTCAATGAAAAATTTCAGTCTTTTTTTAGTATTAAGCTCTAAGCTAGTGAAGTAAATTTCTAAACTATATTTATCATTTATTATTGCATATTCTTTTTCCACAACACTTCATGATAAAATAGGGCCTTCTATTTATTTATTTATTTATTTGAGACAGAGTCTTGCTGTGTCATCCAGGCTGGAGTGCAGTGGCATGATAGCGGCTCACTGCAGCCTCCGCCTCCCGGGTTCAAGTGATTCTCCTTCCTCAGCCTCCCAAGTAGCTGAGATGACAGGCATGCGCCATGGCGCCTGGCTAATTTTTGTATTTTTAGTAAAGACAGGGTTTCCCATGTTGGCCATGCTGGTCTAGAACTCCTGGCCTCAAGTGATCGCCTGCCTTGGCCACCCCAAAATACTGGGATTACTGGCATAAGCCAACACACCAGGCCTAAAATTGAACCTTTAAAAAATTAAGGAGGTGGCTCATGCCTGTAATCCCAGCACTCTGGGAGGCCCAGCACTCCTGGGAGGTCCCAGGAGATCGAGACCAGCATGGCTAACACGGTGAAACCTTGTCTCCACTAAAAATACAGAAAATTAGCTGGGCGTGGTGGCGGGCACCTGTAGTCCCAGCTACTTGGGAGGCTGAGAATGGCGTGAACCCCGGGGGGCAGAGCTTGCAGTGAGCCAAGACCACGCCACTGCACTCCAGCCTGGGCAACAGAGCAAGACTCCATCTCAAAACAACAAACAAACAAAAAATAAATAAAATGAAATAAATAAATAAATAGATAAATAGAATCATTGCATTTCCCTGGGGTGACAGTGCATCTCTTATATTATTGGAAAGGTTGAAAGCTAGAATAGTCTTTACAGACACAGACCATTTTGTTAGTAAGCAATTAAAGAAAATGTGACTGAAAATAATTCCCAATCATTCAAGAACCATTGACAGTAGATCAAAAGTCCCACTGAAGAGAAATTATGCTCTGGATTTTACTAATTCAGAAGTCCTCTACTTAAGTGTTTTTTAAAAAAGCCACAAAATAGTTATGAATTAATGCCAGCAATTTTTTAAAATGAAATAGAGTATATTCAGTAAGATAGAAAATAGTACAGCAAATTATGAGCAGAAAGGGTAAGTGTTGTTAATATTTTGTTTCAGTTATATATACATACACATCTACACACACACAAATGCAGGTATGTATTGAAATGCAAAATATGTTTACTGTGTCAAAATTTAAGACTTTAGGCTGAGCACAGTGGCTCACACCTGTAATCTCAGCACTTTGGGAGGCCAAGGTTGGCCGATCACCTGAGGTCAGGGGTTCGAGACCAGCCTGACCAACATGGTGAAACCTCGTCTGTATTAAAAATACAAAAATTAGCCAGATGTAATGGTGCACACCTGTAATCTCAGCTATTTGGGAGCCTGAGGCAGGAGAATTGCATGAACCTGGGAGCTAGAGGTTGCAGTGAGCCGAGATCGCACCACCGCCCTCTAGACTGGGCGACAGAGCAAGACTCTGTCTTAAAAAAAAAAAAAAAAAAATATATATATATATATATATATATATATATAGTTCTAGTTCACTCTTTCTTCCGAAGTTTCAGAAAATCATGCAATTTCCTGTATCTCTATTTATAACATAAACGTGAGGCAAAAACAAAGAGAAAGAAAAAACTACTGCTTTCCATTTCTATAGAACAGTTTTTAGAACAGTTTTTCTTCTATTTAACTTATACATGAGATTTCCTTACAAGATTTTATTTAAACAGAGGATACTGTGGCTAAAAAAATCTTAAAACTACTGGTGCATAATGGTACCCAAGCATTTGGCTCCTATTGATATAAAATCTTCAGTTTCAACACTGCTCTTCAAATAAACCATCCCCTGCAATTTAATCTCTTTAAGAGATCAGAAGTATGTGTGTTTGGTAACAGTGTTTGGAGTGGGAGCCCTGCCTCCTGTAGTACCCAGATAATATGTCTGGAAACTTTAGGGATAATAGGGGTATTTATTCTACTTTGTTGTGTTTGCTCCAGCTCTCATCTGACATAAGCAGATGGTTCCTGACGTTGCTAGAGGCATAATCATGGGCAAAATTAGCCCAAAGTTCTGCAGAAAAGCTTTAACTTTCTTTGGATTAGTTTGTTCAGTCAAGCAATTATAGAAGACAGTACATAAATAAGCAAAAAGAATAGGTACAATAAAATGCTGAAATGCTTAATTTGAGATTAATGTTATCAAATAATTTAAAACTCTACGAATATTTCTTTCTTCTTAATGGAAATATTTAGAGATTGTCTGATTACTTGAATCAGAAAAAATGAGATATTACTGCTATTCAGTTTCTGGCAGAGACAAAAACGATGATATTAGTGTGAACAAACACCTCCACAAACCTCTTAGCTATGATAAAATGAAAAAGTTAACTTGGCATTCAGGAACAAACTCAGTGGTTTTAGTTGTTGTAGTCTTTTCATATTTTTCTAAAATAGGCAATAATCAGCAGATTCTTAAAATGTCCTTAGTTTATCAGTTTATTGACATCAATTTGGTATTTTATTTCAAACCTGGAAAAAATGTATACTATAAGGAATGCTGTTTTTATTAAGTTGGTAATTTTTTTTTACCTTTTTAAATCCAGTAATATGCTTGGAGTAACATGCAAAATGTACTAAAATGTATTAAATATATTAAACACTGCAGGGCACTGGTACAAAAGAATGCCTGAAATAATTTCCATAGGTTATTTTTAAAAATAGTATTTTTCTTACAAAATGTTTCATAGGAGCATTTATGTCATTAAGTACATGAAATAAAATACTGAATTACTTTTGGAGCCAATTTTAAGTTAGTAGCTGCATGTGAAACACTAGATGTATTATTCATTTAAATAAAATCTAAAACAGAAAACAACCATTTTAGAGAAAATAAAAAGAAATATTGTATACCTGATACAGCAGAGTGTCCAACATACTGATGCTAAACACCCTCCCAGCAGCAAAAGGCAGTCGAAACATAAAGGCCAAGTTAGAGCCTCTCTCCCGTTCTTTCTGTTCAGAAATTTGAGATAGAAAAATTTGTGAGCATTCCACATTTTATGCATTTCTGCCTCAGTAAATTGTGTTGACATACGTAAAAAGTTCTCATCATATGGTTCTTAGCTATAAATGTGTCATTACTTCACTGATAATCATATTTTTTAAACTGCCCTTTCGTTTTGCTAACCACATTTTCTCAGTTAAAACACCCAATAGTGAAGAAAGATCAACATTTTTTGTACATTAAGCATGTATTTACTCTTCATACAAGAAGAGACATCATAATGGAAACAAATAAAAATCATTGAAAAAAATGTGAAAAAAAAACTAACGTCACACGATGTACCATAACACTGAACACTGTAAAGAAGACCTGCTTTTAAATATTCTCATGGGTGAGAACAAAAAAATAGGGAGGTAGGCACCTGTTATGGTCTGAATGTTTGTGTCCCCTCAAAATTCATACATTGAAATCCTAATCCCCAAGGTAATAGTATTAGGAAGTGAAGCCTTTGGGAGGTGATTAGTTCATGGAGGTGGAACCCTCATGAATGCAATTGCCTTTTTAAAAAAGAGAAACTCTTTGCCCCTTCTACCATGTACCATCTATGAACTAGGAAATGGGCCCTCACCAGACACCAAATCTCCCAGCACCTTGAATGTGGAATTCCCAGCCTTCAGACAGTGAGAAATTAATATCTGGTGTCTATAAGCCACCCAGTCTACAGTACTTTGTTCTAGTAGCCCTAACAGACTAAAACAGGCTTTGTACATCCAGTAGTCTCTAGCTGTCCATCATCTTAGTTTCATTTCTCCACCTAACTGATAAATTGCATCTGGTATATCAGTTTGCAACTAATCTTCTGTATATCACACACACACACACACACATACACACACACACACACACACACACACGTTGTTTATGTATGTTTGAATGCTTACGAGTTGGGGGGTGATATGGTGTATGAGGGTTTCTTTTTAAAAATTCTGTTGCAATTTTTTTTTCCTTTAATAAATGAAGGTAAGAGAGCAAATGTCAAATTTGTTTAAGTTTAGAAGAGTTTCTTGAGAATGTAAGTTAAGCTTCTATTTAACAAATGGTAACCTCAAAAATTCTAGTTTCTTTTGTTGACAAATTCCCTTTACTAGGAAGACTGATACAGCTGAAAATAAGAAATCAGAATAAGATACAGAAAATAAGAAATCAACCTTCACTTCTTGAGGCAACAGAAGCAAGCTCCTGTTTCTAATGTAATAAATGTGTGGGTTCTCGTGGAAGGGAAGCCTCCCATCTCACGTGTATCTATAGTGTCTGTCTAGTTGAGATGACTATCACTATAAGAGCGTCTTCACTTGAGATACAGGGAGAAGGTAAGGCAAAGGATAGGAAAGCGGTTCCACATTTTTGTCTATGTCTATGAAATCCTAATATATTCTCTAATTTATAAACCTAGGTGTGAAGAGTGCTTAACTTGAACAGCTCATGTGAGTGGCTTGCAGATGACTGGAGTTAGCTGTTCTTATTGTGATACAGCTAGGTTTTCCCGTGAATTTGAGGACAAACCTAGTTCTCGAGGTGTAACAAGTATCCTGGAGAAGACCAAGCCATGATATGTTAGACCCAAATTAAAGGGAGTAGCCAGAATAAAGTGCTGGAACGCCTGAGAATTTGATGTTACATTTACTCTTCAAAACAAACAAACAAACAAACAAACAAACAAACAAACATTCCTTGGTTCAATTACATTACCATTTCACACACTATATTTTTCAAATACAGAACAGTTTTTTAACCTACAGTGCTTATTCCTATAGGAAATGAACTCTTCCCATCTCCACACATCTGAATCCTATTGATACCACCTTAAACAGCAACGCTAATTAAAATTAATTCCATTCACTATTAAAGTCCCCAAACACCAATGTATTCATTTGTGCATTAAAGTAGTCACTTAATAAATATGCGTTGAGAACGTACTTTGTGTAGGGCATCAATCATCCTCAGTGCTAGGAATACAGAGCTCCTATATAGAACTAACAGTATCTTATCAGTTAATAGAAGTATTATGTGTTGAATATGGGCCAGGAGCTAGTTAAACAAACAGGGATATTTTCCTTGTCTGCAAGAACTTACACTGCTGTGAATGGTAACAATAGCAAAATAGGCAAAAACACTTGGGTGAATATATGTAATAATTAGGCAGTAATACATACTTAGGAAGGGCACCTAGCTTATTCTTTTAGTAGAAAAGCCAGAGAGCTGAATTAGAGGTGATGTCTAAGTTGAGACCTAAAATTGAGTAGAAATTTGGGAAGAGTGAGTGTTAAGTTGAAAGCTATAAGCAGAATGTCCAGCATGTTCTCTAGTGGAAGTAAAAAAAAATAAATAAATAAAAAATAAAAAAATAAAACGCTTGAGAGACTTCAGGAACTACAAACAATCCAATAGCATAGAGTTTAAGTATATGGGTTGAATGGAGAGGTCAGAAATGAGACTAGAGCAATAAGTTTGGACTAGGTCTTAAAGTACCAAGATATGTTTTAAGGTAATGGGGATGCAGTTAAGAATTACACTGAAAAATAATGATATAAGTTGAGATTGTCTAAGAAATAACAGGACATATGGTTACCCTACTTTGAAACCATGTTAAGTATTTTGAATTTCATCTTACAGGCAATGGGGAAAAACTAAAGTGTTTTTAAGAGGAGGAGTGATACGATTATGTTTTTAGGATGCTCACTTTGATGACAATGTGGAAAATGGCTTGTGAATGAGGAGGTGGCATGGGAAAATTGAGCAAGATAAACTATAGTGTTAATGCAGCAATCCTAGTGAAAGACGAATGTACATTCTACTGTGGTATTTGCAGAAACAGATCTTATTCAGAATGCATTTAGACATTCAATTTTAAGAGGATATGATGATTGAATTTGGTACTAAAGTAGAGAGAAGATGAGGATGATACACAGGTCTCTAGATAATGAGGCAGATGATTGCACCTTCTGTAAAATAGAAAGTGTGGAGGAAGATCAGATCACAAGTTGATTTGGACTTGGGTTTTGATGCCAGTGGACAGGTCCACCTGCCAAAAATATGGATCATACAGGCAATACAACATACAATGGTTTGGAGCTTGGATTCTGAAACCACATACAATAGTTTCAGTCAAGTGTTTCCGCTTACTAATTGTATGATCTTTTACAAGTTACTTAAGCTCTCTGTTCCTCAGTTTTATAACTGTGAATTGGGATTCATATTGACATCTACATCCCACTGTGATTACAAAAAATAAACATAATAAAACCTCTAAAATTACTGTATATAGTAAGTACTTAAAAAGATATTTTTATTATCAGTTGTTTGAATATGCTAAATTATATATTACCTCAAGAACTTTGTATTTTTTTATCCTTCCTATAATGCTACTTCCCAGGCTTTTACTGGACTAGGCTGGTGTTATCATTGCAGCTAAAATATTACCTCCCCAAAGAGGTATTTCCTTATCACCTTACTTAAAACCTGTCTTTCTGCAGTTACTCTTGAATATAACCTGTTAAAACTTTCATAGCTTTTTTGAAACCTATTACACCTTGTTTATGTTTTTAATTTATTAATAATCTATCTCAGCTAGATCCTATGTTCCAAGAGGGCAGAGACCATGATTTTGCTTTCTGTTACTTACACAATGCCTAACACAATGCCTGGCACACAGTCAGTGACATTTGATTGGAAAAATAAATAAATTTTTTCTACTTATGTTAGCGGCCTACATCAAAAGACAATTTATTGCATAGTTTAATGCTTAGAACATTCATATGCCAGAAACAAGAAACAAACGTTCGAGGTTCACTCAATACCTCTATTTTGTCACTTTGGTTATTTAACAGAGGTTTGAGAATGTGAAGAATTGTAATGTCACAATATGCAAAGCTTTTTTACTTTACTATGTCTAGTTATTGGGTTTTACAATAAATGTTTCTGCTATTGTTGCTAGTATAAACATACACTATGATTCCTTTTTGTTAAATTTATCATATTTCTTTTCTAGTAGAATTCTGAATTCAATTGAAGTTTTACTGATGATATTTTTTTCCTAACAAATACTTATATAAGTATCTAAAAGAATACCAATGACATTTAAATCATTAAAGATTTCAGACACTTTTAAATGTTTGGTCTTACCTACTTTTCCATTTGTTTTATTATCATGAACATGTGCCTTTCTTGGAAGAAGGAATGTGTTTCTGGCAGAAATTTTGTTTCCTTTAATCTGTGTCCATCAATACCATATGGAATGAGATGATAAAATTATTGGATTTAACAGAACAGTGTGGGAGGTAAAAAAAAAAATCAAGAATTTTATTGGCACAAATTACTGGTTTCTATCCCCTATTTTCTCAACTATAATTCTTTTACATTCCTTCATTCTTTCCTCTGGACCCAATCATAATGTAATTCCTAAATCTAGTGGTTTTTGTCAGCATTCATCCTACTTGAACTTTCTTACAGTGTTTGACAAACTACATTCTAATTCTGGAGCTCTGTCTTTTCACATCACTCTATCTCAGCTTCCAGAATACTCTTGGACCCCTTGCTCATTTTCTCTGATTTGTCTTCTTTCTAGACTCTCCTTTATGAACCTCAGGATAAAGTCCTTAGTTAAACTCATCTTCCTTGTGGTTCTTTTTAACCTTCCTTATGGCTCTCTAAGCCTTACATTTCTTAAGGCTTTACAATTATACATTTATGTGCACAACCTTCAAGTATATCTATGCATATACATATATATGTGTGTGTGTGTGTATATGTATAGGTGTATATATATATATACACACACACACACATATATTTCATCCTGTTCCTGAGCTTCATTTATATATCACCACTTATTTTTTTACTTATGTACTATAATTTTAATATACTTAAATAAATGTATCATTTATCTCACTAAGGTCAGTTATTTCCCAGAATTCTCTCTTTGTTTTTAATCAATATATTCACCCTAACAGTCCTAGACCAGGTCTTTATTATCTCATGCCTGATTTATTGAAATAACTTACTAACTCTTTCCCTTTTCCCCATAATGTCTCTTTTCAGATAAATACAGAAATTTCACATCAATTTCATAAAAGTACAAGTCTGACGATGCCACCTCCCCCATGTCCTCATTTAAAAACTTGCCATGACTCCCCATTCACTGCATCAAAAACTCCAAAGACTCAGCATTCAGGGCATTCTAAGGTCTAGCTCCCAAACTGCTTTCCAGGATGACTTTTCAGTACTTCCCAGCAGACTATTAGTAAGTCAGATGATTGACTATTTAGCTAAATACTGAAAATTTCTTCCTCATATTTGGGTTCCAACTCACTGTGGGTAACAATTTCATATAAGAGATTTCAAAACAATCTCTGCAGGTCAAAACTCTGTTTCAAAACCATCTCTGCAGGTCCTCCTCATCCTTCAAAATACGTATCATGCTACCCACTCTATGAAATCCTTTCGTACAAGCACAGTGATGCTGCCCTTCTGCTTGTGTGAATCACTCTGCATGTATGATTTCCTGTCTTTTTGTTATTAACTTTCCTTACAGAGAGGAAAAAAAGATTTTTATGACACTATTTTCAAAACCTATTGACTTTAAAGTTATGTAAAAAGTAAGATTCCAAGCATCTGATTCCATCCTGATAAAAATACATTACACAATTACTTTCTCTTTTAATTCTGGACAATGAAGAATTTGGATTAATTTTATGAATTGCACTTTATCATGCTGAATTTACATATGAGAAATAAAAATTAGGGATGATTAATACTTAGTATTTCCTATCCAGTTAGATTTTTGTGACACTATCATTAACCTACCTCTCTGTGTCTCAAGAAAACAACATATGGCTAGAAGTTACAAACTGGCAGTAATTAGTCCAAATCTGAACTACAGAGGAGTTTCATTTGGGCTGCCTAAATTTATTGAAGTTTAATAAGTTCCATCATTTAACATTTAATATAAAAATCTGCACTTCCGACTTATTTTAAATTTGGAGAACCAGATATCATAGGTCATGGTAGCAACTGGCCAGAATTTTTCACTTCACTAATTTACATTCCTTACTTCCATTAAAAGGCTCTTATTTTACACTTCGGAAGATAAAATATTTAGAAATTAGTCTAGGGATCTACTAACTCAAATTCTGCTTAAAAGTAACTTGGGTGAATAGTAATTATATCAGAAAATAACATAGTAAGTAATCTAAATATATATTTTAAATGTGTCTTAAAAAATAGAACATTTCTAATTGACTACAAAATATTCCATGGCTTAGGAGACAATTCTAAGCAATACAACTAAGAAATATTTCTCAATTTACTTTTACGAATCAGGCACTGACCTAGGTTCTTAGCATACAAAAATAATTAACAAAACTTTCCAGTTCTACAGGGATATATACTTTTACTGAGGACACACTTAAAAATCAAATATTGCAAGGTCATGTATAAAAAGCATTTGACAAAATTCAACATCCTTTTATGATGGAAAACTCTCAACAAATAAGGCATAGAAGAAATGTACCTCAACATAATATACGCCATGTATAAAAACTCCACAGCTAACATTACACTCAATGGTAGAAAGTTAAAAGCTATTCCTTCTAAGATCAGGGGCAAAGTCAACGTTGCCCATTCAAACAACTTCTGTTCAACACAGTATTCGAAGTTCTGGCCAGAGCAATCAGACAAGAAAAAGAAGTAAAAGGCATCTAAATAGAAAAAGGAAGTGGCCGGGCGCAGTGGCTCACGCCTGTAATCCCAGCACTTTGGGAGGCCGAGGCGGGCGGATCACAAGGTCAGGAGATCGAGACCATCCTGGCTAACGCGGTGAAACCCCGTCTCTACTGAAAATACAAAAAAATTAGCCGGGCGCCTTGGCGGGCGCCTGTGGTCCCAGCTACTCGGGAGGCTGAGGCAGGAGAATGGCGTGAACCCGGGAGGCGGGGCGGAACTTGAAGCGAGTGGAGATTGCGCCACTGCACTCCAGCCTGGGCGACAGAGTGAGACTCTGTCTCAAAAAAAAAAAAAAAAAAAAAAAGGAAGAAGTTAAATTGTCTCTGTTTGCAGATGCCATGAACTTACAGTATATTGAAACCTTAACTACTCCACCAAAAAGCTGTTAGAAGTGATAAACAAATTCAGCAAAATCAACACATAAAAGTCAACAGTGTTTCTTTACCCTAAAAACAAACTACCTGAAAAAATAATTAAAACCAGTCCCATTCACAATAGCATAAAAAAAAAATACTTAAGAATAAATGTAATCAAAGAGGTAAAAGATCTTTATACTGTAAATTATGAAACACCAATAAAAGAAACTGTAGATGACACAAATAAATCTAAAGCGTTATTGTGGTCATAAACTGGAAGAAACAATATTGTTAAAATATCCATACTATTCAAAGTGATCTTCAGATTTACTGCAATCCTGATTGAAATATCAATGTCATTTTTCACAGAATTTTGATAAAACAGTCCTAAAATTTGTATAGAATCACAAAAGACCTCAAACAGCCAAAGCAATCTTAAGAGAAAAAAACAAAACAAAACAAAACAAAAGAAAAAACAAATCTGGAGACATCACAGTATCTGACTTCAAAATCTATTACAAAGCTATAGTAATCTAGATAGAATGGTACTGGCATAAAAGCAGACAGGAAGATTGACCAATAGAACAGGATAAAGAGCCCAGCAATAAACCCATGAATTAATGGCCTATTGATTTTTTTAACAAAGGTGCCAGGCCACACCATGGAGAAAAGATCATCTCTTCACTAAACTGTGCTGGGAAAACTGGATATCTGCAAGCAAAGGCATGAAATTGGACCTTATCTCATGCTATATGCAAAAATTTGGACCTTATCTCATGCTATATGCAAAAATCAACTCAAAGACTTAAATGTAAGGCCAGAAATTGTCAAACTATTAGAAGAAAACATAAAGGAAGTATTCCACAACATTGCTCTGGGCAATAATTTATTGTCTAGGAACCCAAAAGCACAAGCAACAAGAACATAAACAAACAAATGGGATTATAACAAACTAAAAGGCTTCTGCACAGTCAAAAAAAAAAAAAACAAAAAAACAAAAAACAAAACAATTAATGGAACGAACAGACATCCTATAGATTAGGAGAAAATATTGGCAAATAATACATTTGATAGGGGGCTCATATCCAAAATATATAAGGACTCAAACAACTCAACAGCAATAAAACACATAACTGAGTCACAAAAAAGACAATGGACCTACAGAAACACCTCTCAAAAGAACATATATAACCGGCCAACACGTATAGGAAAAGCTGATCAACATCACTGATCATCAGGGAAATGCAAATTAAAGCTACAATAAGATATCACCTCATACCTGTTAGAATGGCTACTATCAAAAAGACAAAATAAGTGTTAGCCAGAGGAGTGGAGCAAAGAGAACCCTTTGCACTGTTGGTGGGAATGTAAATTAAGGCAGCCATTATGTTTTGTTTTTTTGTTTTTTGAGACTGAATCTCGCTCTGTCGCCAGGCTAGAGTGCAGTGGTGCGATCTCAGCTCATTGCAACCTCCAACTCCCTGGTTCAAGCGATTCTCCTGTCTCAGCCTCCCGAGTAGTTGGGATTACAGACACGCGCCACCATACCCAGTTAATTTTTGTATTTTTAGTAGAGACAGGGTTTCACCATGTTGGCCAGGATGATCTCAATCTGCTGACCTCATGATCCACCCGCCTTGGCCTCTCAAAGTGCTGGGATTACAGGCATGAGCCACTGCGCCCGGCCAAGACAGCCATTATGAAAAACAGTATGGAGTTTCCTCAGAAAACTAAAAATAGGCATGCAATAAGTAATCTCACTTCTGGGTATATATTCAAATAAACTGAAAAAGTATGTTGAAGAGATGTCTTGCATGCCTATGTTCATGGCAGCCTTATTCATAATAGCCAAGATATGGAAGCAACCTAGGTGTCCATCATCAGATTAACGGATAAAGAAAATATGATATATATATATATATACATAATGGAATACTATTTTGCCTAAAAAAAAATTATGTCATTAAAATTGAATTCATAGTAGAGAGTACAATGATGGTTACCAGAGACTGGTGGAAGGGCATAAGGGGATGTTGATCAAAAGAGTGCAACGTTTCAGTTAAGAGGAAAAAGCTTAGTGATCTATTGCAAAAAAAAAATGCTAACTTCAATAAATAATAATGTATTGTATATTTCAGAATTGCTTGAAGAGTTGATTTTAAATCTTTTCACTACAAAAGTAATAAGTATGTGAGGTCCTGGATTTGTTAATTAGTCTGATCTAATCATAACACATTGTAAATATATATATGTGTATATATGTATATATGTGTATATATATAAATGTCACACTGTACCCAATTAATAATTTGTCAATTAAAAATAAAAATATAGAATAAAAGAATAAAACATTTGTACTTTTTAAAATGATAATTTGGAGAAGTTAAAACCAGTGTTCTTTCTTGTGCTTTTATAAACTATAAAATAAGCTATTTGTACCTATAATACTTAAAAACACAAATAAAGGTAAGTTCTGTATGACTTATTATTGTTCAAAAATTGTAACTCTTAAGTTACAACTATAATTCTAAAAATAACAAAAACAGGCAAAGTCAACATTAATATTCATGATAAGGTAAAGTCTGAAAACCAAAAAAAAAAACATTGTAAAATGCAAGGAAAGAGATGGAGAATTCGAACCACTCAAAATGTCTACAGAAACATTTGGCAATCCCCATTGGGTGAAATTTTTGAACAGAAAAGGTTAGAAAATAGTCTTCATATAAGAATTAAGGAGGATATTCCACTCCTTTTAACTACAGTATAAGTGTAAAAACTAGGTTTTGAGTAAGGCAAAAAAATTTAAAAATAATATTTTTATTGAGCATACAAACCATCATTCAAGATATTAGTTTTAAGTTAGGAAGTCTTATTTTTATTGAGCATAAAAATCATCATTCAAGAGATTAGTTTTAAGTTAGGAAGGCTATAAATTTAAAGATAATATTTAAATATCTGAGTCCTTAGAAGATAAACAAAGGATGCATAAATTTTTTGTGTAAGTTTTATGACATGGAGGGTTGTCAATGTAAATTATATCATGGTTTTGAAAGATTAACAGGAGTGCATATGAATGACTCATTGCTGAGTCTAGACTACTTTGTTGTTTTGATACACCAAAACTGCTCCATATGTTACACTTCTAAAATACTGCTTAAATCAGTTATAATCACATGAGCATATGATGAATTGCATTCAATAATGGGTCCCACAGATCAAAATCACTTTCAAAATAAAGAATGAAATTCTATATAAATATACTATTATCTGTTTGATGTATTAAAGATAAACTGTCCTAAGTTTAGTTTTATGATTTGATGACAGTTTGAAGCCCCAAGAATTAAGTTGAAAAATATTACATAAATAAATAAGAAAATATGATAGTTATAGAAATTACAAAAAATGAAATAGTCAAAGAAGCCAAAGAACATACTTTTTTCAAAAAGAGTTAACAGTAATTTAAATGCATCCATATTCAATTAATCTGATACAGTTTGATTATAACAATGAATATATTACAAATATGAATAAGTATACGGAGACTATAATTTTAGATTCCTAATATATTACTGGAAGGAATTTGGAAGGACTTTAAATACAAATGATACAAATTCTACATCTTGTGGAGAAATTTATGCACTGAAAATAGTAAACTAATTATTTGAACATTTTCTGAGCCTGTATCCAATTAGTTCAAGCTAAATATAATGACAGCATTCAGCACAGAATCTCTCAAGTAATTCCTCTACAGGTTATAGCAACAAGAAAGATACTTAAAATAAACTCACAAATAAGTGTCCATTTTCCCAATATAATAAATCAGGTACTCTGTTGGCTTTAATGTTTTGAAATGTTTTTTTATTTGACTTGGGCTGTGAAGTCAAGGGTTCCTATTTCAGTTCTCTCTGCCTTGAAATGGAAGGCTGAATAAATGTACTGTACTCTCTTTGACTCTGAATTCAAAAATGAGTAGTGCCTTGCAGACTAGCAAAACAGAATCAAATAGTGATGGACATACTTATTAATGTAGAGGAAGAAATAATAAGCAAGAAAAAAATCATTGGTTTCATGTCCTTGTCTAATGTGATATTCATTTTAACATTTCAAAAAGAAAGCACACCCAAAAGTAACCTTTGTCATCCTAGATGATACTTTCTTTTTTGTGACTTATAAGCATTTTTATTTCTTTCATTTATTGAGAAGTGAAATAAATTATGCAATCTCTCTCTCTTTCTCTCTCTTTCTGTAGATGTGTGTGTGTGTGTGTGCATATGTTTATGAAAAGACAATTGTTGGACTTCCTAAGAATAATAAATAGTTAACTACTGTATTATAAATTATTTATTTTCATAAAATGATTAACTTCATAAAATTACCACATTCTAATAATTTAATTTTATTAACTTAGTTACATAAATTCATTACTTTTCTGCATTTAATATTTTGATTTTAATGGTTTTAACAATTTGCTATACATTTTCCTCTTCACAATAGACACATATGCAGCAGCTGTGTGGCACTCTTCCATGGGGAGCTAATTACACTGAATTTGAAGTGAATGTATGCACTGCATTGTCTTAGTAGCATAATGTGAAGACTTTGGGCTCATTATGTACAATCACAATCCTATAAATATTATTAATAGACAAATTTATACATTAAGATTGTTATCCATATAAATTGTATTTATAACTTTTCTAGAATAGATTGAACAATGTTTTTCCTCATTTAAAGAAATAGAAACTCATTAGCCTTCTTTTCAAATTATTTTTGGATGAATATAGAGACAAGGTAAATATTTTCTTAAAAACAGGATAAGAATCTTTCTTAATGAATCAAACTCAGTGTTGGCAGGTAGCACCAAACTCCCACTCAGCTGTTCCAGAACCTAGATTATGAATAAAATGTAGCTTAAGTTGTCTGGACAGAAAAAATTAGTAGGACAATGTGCTTTTGTTTGTTTTCATATATCTGTGTCACCCATCATATTATAAATTCTATGTGGTTTATTCAATGTTGTAATGCCTAGAATTCAGCAAGGCATTTGGCTCGTAGTATGTGCTCAGTAAATATTTATTCACTTGAGTTTAAATTGAGAATGTGTAAATTTTGCCTTCTTACTATTCTATAGTGAAAATATATTGAAAAAATGACATTTTTACCATATTTCTCCCAGAAGATATCTCCAATCACTGGTAGAAATTCTTATCGTTTTGTTCTACCACTGACTATAAAAGTAATATATAACTTATAGACATGACTGTTTGCATTCTGACATAAATTCTGTTGCATCAAGCGTGCATCCTACAATTAAGTGCAATTGTGACACTACCTGGAGTTGGCAAAGACTCCACAAGTTAAGGGGCTCAGTCCCAGAAGACTGCACCCAATTTAAACACCAGCCATAAGTCCTAGGTACCCTCAAGCCAACTGTATTCCTGCCCAGCCAGCTACAAATTTGGGGCTTCCCATAAACCCTCAGATTCAATAATTAGCTAAAATAACTCACAGAACAACAAAAGCACTATGCATATGATTACAATGTTATTATGAAGAATATAAATGAACAGTAGATGAAAAAGCATGTGGAGGAAAGTCTTAAAGGGTCTCCCAATCACAGGAACTTCCGTGACTGTGATGTTGGGGTGCCCCATTCTCTCAGGACGTCAACATGTTCGCCAACCGGGAAGCAATCCAAGCCTTATTTTTCAGTTTTTATTGAGGCTTCATTATGCAGGTAAGATTAATTAAATCATTAGCCACGTGATGAAACCCAGGCCCCAGCCCCTCTGCCCTCCTTGGAGTTGAGGGTAAAGGCTAAAAGTGTCAACCTTTTAATCAGAGCTTCCTTTTTCTGCTGCCCACACCAGCTTATAGAGGTGCCCCTCCATAAGTCCCTTTGTTACCATAGCATCTAGTATGGTTGGAAAGTATGAATAACAAAAGACACTCCTATCACACAGAAAATTACAAGGAGTATTGAAGTTCTGAGCCAGAAACCAGGGACAAAGACCAAGTATTTATTTTTATTATACCAGCTAGTTATCTCAGATTTTCATTATTTTGCTTCTTACATCAGGTGTAATTATCACATGATTGTATATTGTGATTATGACCATCATTTGGGAATGGTGATCATTCAAAAGCAATTTTAAAGAAAGCAGTCTTGAAGCAAATTGTGCACAGATACACACATTAATAAAAGGCTTTGTGAAATACATCAAAGCAAGAGAAAAGAAATAAGCCTTTGGAGGAAAATGAGACAAAAATTTCCCTTTTTTTTCTATTGTTGTTTTCTTTTCCATTTCTTTTCCTCCTTGCCTTCTCCATCTCTATTTAGCTCTTCTACTGTTGCCTGTTACACCTGTTACACCTACTTTGTTGGGAGAAGGTGTCAATGACATTCAAACATGAAAAGTATCGCTGACAAAACTGTAGTGGTGATGTAAATATCCAAGACAAGGATAACGTAAAAAAAAAATCAGCAAAAAAAAGTGGGCAAACAATAAAAGAAAGGTCAGATGAAAAGGAAAATGGGCACAAATGCTGTTACCAAGATGGCAGAATAGAAGGTAACCTGCTCATTTCTCCCCAAAACAACAAAATGCTCAACATTACTAATCATAACGGAAATGTAAATCAAGGCCACAATGAGACATCATCTCACCCCAGTTAGAATGCCTATTATCAAAGTATCAAAAAGACAAAAAATAACAAATGCTAGCAAGGATGCAGAGAAACGGGAACGCTTATAACTGTTGGTTATAAGAATGCAGAGTAGTACAGCAATTATGGACAACAAAATGAAGATTCTTCAAAAAACTAATAGAACTGCCACATGATCCAGTAATCTCACTGCTAGGTATACATCCAAAGGAAAGAAAATTAGTATTTCAAAGAGGTATCTGCACTTTCATGTTTATAACAGCATCATTTAGAATGGCCAAGATATGGAATTAACCTAAGTGTTCATCAATAGATGACTGGCTAAAGAAAATGTGATATGTATACACAACGGAATATTATGGATCTGTAAAAATAATGAAATCGTGTTATTTGCAGCAACATGGATGGTTTCTCTTAACATAACAGTCATTATGTTAAGAAAAATAAGCCAGGCACAGAAAGGCAAATATAGTCTGAAAAACCTTTAGTCTTTGTAAGCTTTAATAAGCATAAAAATCTTCAAACTTTCTCAAACTTGTATAGGCATGTAGCAGGCTACAAAAATTACACAGGCTGCAAGGAGTGTATATTTCTGAAGTTACATAGGTAATGATGGCTTGAGAAGAAGCTTGAGTGGAAAGACAGGGGCTACAGAAGACAGTGGAAAAGGGAGCTCCTCAAGATGGCAAGGAATAGTCAATGAACTTCACAATATTTTTCATATTGTTGTTATGAACTAGTTATCCTTCCGTGTTTTTAGCTCTTTTGATTTCTCATTGAAGGACAGTGTTGTGGTGATGGGATTCAGGACATGCTACTCCAAAATATGTCAGCTTGACATGTGAGAAAATAGCAGCAGCAGGATGGACTCTAACCTTCTCTCACCCCTTCTTCCCTGAAGCAGGCCATAAAATTTAGCTGACCTTCCACTGAAATTAGGTCATAAGATCCTCATTCCAGAGGGCTCCCCCTCTACTCAGAGGAGGGCAATGTCCTCATATCTGAAGACAAAGAGATGCCAAGAAGATCTGAAAAATAGGCCTTGCTAAGTCACCTCCCTAATTTATTACCATGATACCCCCTTTGTCCAATAATAATTCTGTACAGCTGTCCATGCCTAGGCATACAAATACACAGATTCCCTGTTTCTTTGAGTCTTTATTTCTGAAGACATTTGTCACATAAGATTTATGTTCAATACATTTGTTATATTTTTCTCTTGTTAATCTGTCTTTTGTTACAGGGACCTCTGCCATGAACCTTGCAATGGGTGAGAAATTTTTTCTCCCCTATTGGAGCTCAGAAACTAATACCCCAAAATATAGTGCCTTGACATGCTGAACAGAATAAGAAGCCTCTCAAGATCCCTCTGACTCCCCACCGTCCTACAACCTCCTGTCAGTCCTCTCTCTCCCAAAGCACAGGATGAAGTTGTTCTCTGAAGTTCCCTTATTGGCCTAAAGTCTGGACCTGCCAAAGAAGAAAACAATTACTCTGGTCTCTTCTTTGAGTTTTCATTAACTAAGCTCACATCACAGGAAGCAAGACTGAAGTCTGTCAACACACCTGAACAGACTTTTGTCACAAACCATTGTCTGCTCTGTGGGCCCAACCGATTTTGTCCCAGGCCATATTATATGTTCCTCAAGTCTATTGAATTTCCCTGAAGATCATTTACTATGTGTCCCCCCAAAATCATTCATACCTCCCGTCTCCCTTTCCTCTAGAAAGAAAGTATATAACCATGTGTACCCCATTGCATGGTGGGGCAATCACTTGGTGATTCTCTCGCATGCACACTAATAAATTTGCATGCCATTTCTGCTATTAATCTGCCTTTTGTGAGTTTCAGCAAACCTCTGGAGGGCAAAGGGAAAATTTTATCCTTACCCCTATATCCCCTACAGTAGATATTCTTCACTAAGTAGCTACTTTCAGAAAATCTTTACAGAGTATTACTTCTGATACCAGTGGAAACCATATATTAATATTTATTAGAATGCAAGGTCTACAAGGAAAACATCAAAGCTTAATCGTCACAAAAGTAAAGTAATTGGGAATAATACAGTTTAACATTCCACACCTATCCCTATAAATCCTACTTCTTAAACATGAATGAAGACCACTTAGTAGCAAAATAAAAGTGTGAAAGTGTGTAAGCAGCCAAGCTGGTGTTTATTTCTGATTTATTTATTTATTTATTTAGAGACATAGTCTCTCTCTGTCGCCCAGGCTGGAGTGCAATGGCACAATCTTGGCTCACTACACCTTCCACCTCCTGGATTCAAGCGATTCTCATGCCTTAGCCTCCTGAGTAGCTGGGACTACAGGTGCACACCACCAGGCCTGGCTGATTTTTGTATTATTAGTAGAGACAGGGTTTTACCATGTTGGCCACGCTGGTCTCGAACTCCTGACTTCACGTGATCCACCTGCCTCAACCTCCCAAAGTGCTGGGATTACAGGTGTGAACCACCACGCCCAGCTGTGATTTAAAATCTTAATTGTATTTCTAAAGGTGAAGGTCTCACCTGTGAAGGTGCAAGGGCATCTACTTATAGATAGATGGAAACAATATTCATAATTGTTTGGAAGAATAAAAATCCATGTAACCCTCAGCCAACAGTAACTATAGAAAATGCTACTGATTATTTAAATATTGGAAATAGAGATCAGTTTTCTAATCCTAAAAATCTCCTTGCACCCAGAATACAAATATGGAAAGATAATTAAATACTGTGTTAGCTGTCATACCAGTAAATATTACTGATTAAAAAAAAACCTTGATTGGAAGATTTACCATATCATTCATGGAACATTATTTGATAGGGCTGCCATAACAAAGTAATATCGACTGGGTGTTTTAAACAATATAGATTTATTGCCTTACAGTCATGGAGGCAAGAAGTCTGAAATAAAGATGTTGTCAAGATTGGTTCCTTCTGAGGACTGTAAATGAAAGATCTGTTCCAGGCCTTTCTCCTTGGCTTATGGAAGACTATCTTCTGTTTCCCTTCACATTGCCTTCCTTTAATGTGTGTCTGTCTGTATATCTAAATTCACCCTTTTAATAAAAATGTCAGTGAGCCATAAATTAGAACCCACACTATGGTCTCCTTTGAAGTTGACTGCCTCTCTCTAAAGACCACATCTGTAAGAGTTAGGACCCCAGCACAACTTTTTTTTTTTTGGATGGGGCATGAGATTCAACCCACGAGACTATAAAAGACTAAAAAGTTTCTACATTTTTAAATTTTTAAGTTTCTGAAATTAACTTTAACATAATATGGTAACAAGTGGATCAAAGAATTTTCCACAGCTTTATAACATTCAAACTATTTATTTTAATCCCACTTCCTCCAGCCTTCCTATCCCTGAATAATTTGGAAATATGTTGATGTATTGAGTTTCTTTTTTCTTCATGGGAAAAATCTAAAAGACATAAGGACAAATGCAAATCTTAAAAAAAAAAAAAATACCCTGATGACAAAAGTCCCTTCCCTTTTCCTTGGAGCATTTTCTTTAGAAAACTTGTAATTGTAAATCCTTTCTCTGTCAAAAACTTGTAACTGGAAATCCTTTCTCTGTCCCTGAGATGGATGCAAATCTCTGAAAAGCTGAATAAACCTCTAGCCAGTTTTGCATTCCAGGAATGTTTTTCTTGTGGGCCTTGGGGTATCTTTTTGAAATGTGAACATCAAGGAGGAAGGCAACTTGTGTCTCTCTCTTTGGGAGTTTAGCCTAGATACCTGGTATTAAATTGTGCCTTCTTGCCTGCTGCAAAAATATTAAGTTTTATTTTTCCTTTGGATAAAGAGATATATGTAATTGACTGGCATATATACCTCATATTTTTCTTCTTTTTCCCTAATGCAATAAGCACACAAGCATGTCAATACAAATGCTCACAAATACTGAAATTACCTTCCACAATTATGACCTTGCTACGTCAACTGACTCGTCAACAACTAGAATGCACAGAATGAAATATTTATTAGTGACAATATCAACAAATATAAAATGTATCGTTATGCTTTTAGTACCATTTATTTGAGTACTAATTATATGTCAAATGCAGGGCTAAGTGTTTTGCATAGATTATGTGCTGTAATCTTTATAATGACCCTACTATTTAAAATAGCTCCTACCACTATTTTCCACATAAGAATCCCAAGGCTACGAAATAATTTATCCAGTTTCCATTTCTCAAAAGCAGTGGTGAATTGGACCAATCTGACTACAGATCCTGGCTTCTTCATCACAAGTGATTCTACCTCACTTCCCATGAAGGAGGCTGTACTACTACATCATGCCAGCACGGATTCCTGCTGGTTTTCTGATTATTTGGTTTGCTTTCAAGTCTGAGTCAATTTAGCCCTGCTTGCCATCTTTTTTTATGTTGCTAAAGCAACGTGGCATAGTGGAAATTTTCTGTCCTGAATATTAATAGCCTTACATATGCCTTGCTGAATTGAACTGGTAGCTGTATAATCTTGGGAGAGGTATCTATCTAGTCTCAAACTCAGTTTCCACATCTGGAAGCAGGGCACAACAACAATTTCCCTGTGGCCATAAAAAAGCAGGGTAAGGCTCTATAAACATCACGTGTGTGACTAGCTTTGGATAAATCAATAGATGAGGGTACAGACACAACCTTACTCAACAATATGTTTCCCAGGAATTAGGACAGCATCTGGTCTGTCATAATTGGTAATTAAAAGAAATAACTAACCAAAAAATATAAGGCATCATTTTCTCTACCTCTTATATTGTTATAAGAAATGAAAACAGCCTAGATTTAACTATTTATTTATTTTTAGAAATGGGATCTCACTATGCCACCCAGGCTGGAGTGCACTGCCATGATCATAGCTCACTGCAGCGTCGAAATTTTGGGCTCAAGGAATCCTCCTGTCTCAGCTTCCCAGGTCACTCTGATTATAGGCACGAGCCGCCACACCCAGGTTAACACATTTTACATGTATAAGACTGGGTCTTTTTTTTCCTTTCACATCTAATTCTCTCAGTACACTACTATTTAGTAGTAAGTAAAAGCTGAGTGCAAAAACCATCTACACCCACACTCAGCCTGTATACTGAAAATGGAAACCAAATCTTTCTGACCATATAACATTACTTTGCAATTCCATTGTCTCTATTAGCATTATCCGGATCTCTTCCCAATCCCAGTCAAGTCCCTGTTTTGAAATATCATCATTAAATTAAATTCCAGTTCTCAGTATATTTTGACCTTGTTTTCCTCCCTCTGAGACCTTGCCAAACTTCTACTGGGGAGGTAGTCTCCCCTACCTAGGTAAGCAATAAACTTAGCTTTATGTCAGGTTGTATTGGTGACATCTGGGAAGCCAGCATTTTCATGACATAGCAAGTAAGTGAGTATACACATTTCTGTTGCATTTAATTCTTTCACAAATCATGTGTTTAATACTTAATAATAATAGAACAAAATATCTCCATCATATTTACCTGTGATATAAATCGTTCAAATCTGTCAATTCACATTTTTAAAAAAATTATCAATTAGAATTTCATCTCCCAAATAAAAATTCAAAACAGCATTTTAGTTTTACTATCTCATGGCATTTTTTTTATATATTTACAGAGTTAATTTCTGAATAAAGATGGTTAAATCTAATTTACTTGATAATGTGGGGTCTTACCTTTTCCAGTTTTGAAAGAGCAAGAGAGTAACAGTCTTTGGCTCTGAATTGCATGAATCTCATGTTGGCGGGGTGAGTTAGCTCTGTGATAATACTGAGACTGGAAAACAACCTACATTTCAAAAGAACATTTGCATTACACTAACAATCCAATATGGTATTTTTTATAACAACATATTTATGAGTGAGTGATTCCTAGCCTTGGGCATAAAACTATATCCAATTACAACAGCAGGCAGTGCCACATAAAATCTTCTATACAATGCAGGAAAAATGAAACACTATTTCCCGAAGAATATTTTAACAGACATTTTAGCACAATAAGAAAAATAAATTCAGTAATTTGGCTTTTTTTAGACATTTTCTCTTTACAATTATGGAACAACATAGAAGAAACTCATAAAGCTGATTTAAGAAGTTACAAGGTTACTTTGTGGATGGTATTGAAACAGAAATCTATAAAGATAAATAAGCTGATTGGCAAAAATTTCACATAATGAGCTTCTTGTCTACTATGTGAGCTCTTTCATGTCCTATGGCTCCTTATTCTCATAGTGGGCAATTTTTAAATGTCAAATCTTGCTACAACAAACTTCTGAGATGAGGAAATAATTTATGTAAAACTTCATTGTAATTAATTGGGGCCAAGGCTAAAGCATTGATAGTGTTCCCCAAAAGTATCCTGAAATTTTTTTTCACAGGTCCCATGGCTTCATATTAGCTTTCTTCCCATTTGACACTCTCTCAAATATATACCAAAATGAGCACACATACGTACACGCTCACACAAGATTTCTTTCCCCCAGAGAAAAGGGGCAGGATGATACCACAATAAATACTTTTTATTTTTGCTGTTGTTCATGATCTGATCCTTACCTGATATCTATGCATCCCTGGTAGCTTTCCTTGTTAAATATTTTGGTATTCTCTGTGGCAGCCACTTCTGTGATAATCACCTTTGTTTTTCATATGATATGTCTTTAAACTAAGTTATGACCACTTAAAATTCCCATCACTAGGTTGAACTCATCCCTTGAACTCAGGGACTAAAACTGACTGCAAATATGCAGAATATAAACAGCCTGTTTGTGTGGCTCAGGAACAAATCAGCTCCTTCTGCTCTCAATTTATGAATTTATGAATTTATGCTCATTCAGTCATGAGGGTGCTGTTACTTCCATGTGCCCGAGTGCTTGATGTGGTACATGCTTCTTTTAAGATGGGAGCCCTGTCCTTGAGCTCCAGCATTACAGACGAGTTTTTACCTTTCCTCAGGTCCAACTCTGGAAGGTTGATGGATGATTTGCCAGGAATGCTCCCTCCTGCTGGGGAGAGTGTGCCCACCCTACTGCTCTGCAGCAAGCAGGGCCTTTCTTAGCCTTCAGACCAGGCTTCTCTGATTATCTGCCTCTCAGGTGTGTTTACATTGGGCTTTAGTCACCATTCAGGTTAAGACACTAACACATTCTTAAGAAGAGTTTTGGTTTTTTTTTGTTTGCTTGCTTTTTTTTTTTTAGAGTTGTCTGTAAAACCTAACACGCCCTCTTGGCCATTAGCACAAATGGACTAACATTGGGCCTTACCTAATCAAGGCCTTTGAGAGCTAGGATATCATTGGGTATTTTGTGAAATCTTTTAATAAAATTCACAAATTATAAGTATATACGTATTTTTCTAGGGGTAATAAATTGTGGCTGACTAAACAATCCTAGTTCTTAATCTTCGTTTTGGTAATAAATACTACTGTAGTTATTGATTCAGGTAAATTGTAGTAATTGTTATTAAAATAATATCAGGAAAACAACAACCACGATATAATTTCTTTTGCTGACTTTTAATGTTAAAAATACAGTAATTTTATTTGTGCAACTGATAACTTTTTCAATAGTTCTGTGACCTTAAATTCATTACAGAAACTCTAAATATCAGATTCTGCAAAGAAAGGATGTAGCAAAGCATGAAGCTAGTGGCTACATACAAAAGGTACTGTTTCTTAGTTAAATCGGTTATTACTATTTTCTTAGTTTTTAAAATTTTTCTGATGTTATTTCTGCCTGAAATGCCATTTCTTTTCTGTTTACTTTTCTCCTGAATCTCTATACTACGAAATCACTACCAATATTTAAAGTGGCTCTCAAATCCATTCAAGATGAAACTTAAAAAATTTTTAAACTCAGAATCATTCTCTCCAGTTTGGCTGCCCAGTATCTGATTTATTGATTACACTACCTGTTGGCTTCTCTAGCTACCTGGTTGGTTTTATTCATGCCTTAGCTCTCCTAATAAATCATAACAACTAGAAAGCATGGTTTCCCTCTCAAGTGACTATAACCTTATATTCCTTTAATTAACAAATCTTTGTTAAACAATTTCTCAATTCATGTTTGTGCATTTGAGATTAAATCTTGATGAAGAGGGCACTGAATTTAATTAGAATAGTTTATGGAGAAACATTGTATTATCCATATTTCACATGATTTTCTTTTAGCAGCTCTATTCTCACTCAAAAGTCACCCATGATAGTGCATTCAATAAATAAAAGTTATTTTCTCAAAAACTCTTTAAAAATTAGAAAAGTGGCCTGATGGAAAAAAAATGTCAATTGACTTTTGGCTGGCAAACTCCATCTGGTAGGCCTGGGAAATGCCACCAACTGCCAAATTTCATACCATATGGGAGTTTCAAAGTATTTATTTAAGAAATATTTTAAAATAACAATGTCACTAAAGATATTCACCATATATGGTTGTCACAGACAAAATTCCATCATCTGGGGAAATAGAAACTAAAATGAAAAATAGGACAAAAATGAATCAATGAGCACAAAGCCCTATAAACTCATGCAGACAACAAATCCCACATTCATGCACTGAACTTTAAAAAGAAAAATTAACGGATCTAAGGTTCTCCTCTTTGTCTTTTCCTCTTTTTTTTCTCTCCGATGGGTAACACACATCCATAAAACAATAACTATAAAGCACGGCTCTAAGAGTTGTCTATGTAAGATTAACTCATGTAATCTTCACATCAGGTAGGAACCCTCTTGTGTTTCCATCTGTATCCTCTCCTTCCCCAGGAAGAGCTGAGGGTGCCTGTCTCAACCCTGACTCTATCTTTTCAGTGTCTTTAGATGTGTACTGGTCTGTGCCAAGCTGTGAGGAGAGATAAGCCCTCTAGGACAAGTCTTGTGGTTGTCCAGTATGTCTCCTCACCATGGTTCTCAAGGGTGGATTTTAAAAGCCCACTTTTGCCTACACCAAAGTCACATCTTCCTGCCTAATATTTTTATCTCTATCTGCCTGACTTCTTTGGATCTCAATAGTTTCTAACTTGTGTTAGAAATTGAAAGGGTCACATCACCTCTTCAAACTACAAAAAACTACTCTATGATTTACCTCCAATTATTAGTTTATAGATGAGGAAACTGAGGACCAAAGAGACAAAATAGTATGTTCAAGGTAACATTCTAGTAGGTGGCAGGGCCTGGGTCACACCACAGCATTAGGTTCTGAAGCTTCCCCCACCATTATAATAAAGAGGAAGATAGACCAGTGTAAGGAGACACAGATGATCCAAATAAAATAAATTATTAACAATATCTAGCAATGGATTCATGTTTCCTATATTAAAAATCAACTCTTTTAAAAATAACGTTTTATAAATTACTTCAATTTAGCCTTAATGAATAATTATCAAGTTTTTACTATTAGAAATTTCTGGTCTCCAGGAGATAGATAAACACATAAAGTAAGATTCCTGACTTTAAACACTATAATATAATAGATGAAACAATAAAAATTCACCAATTATAAGGATATATGTATTTTTCTAGGGGTGATACATTTTGGCTAACAAAACACTCCTAGATTAAGTAGCATTAAGACACTAGTGAATGGATAAATTATGAAGAACATTTAGGACAGTGTTGAGATATCAGGCTAGAGATAGAATTTATGAGGAAAACGTAGCTACAAACTAATGAAAATCAAGTTTAACTTTTGGAACATTTTTATTTCCCTTAAAAATATGTATTTTATCTTTGATATAAACCAGTATTCTCACTTTGAATCAAGTTGTGGTTACCTGGATTCTTTGGTTTATTATTCTTTTATAACACATTTTATCAAATAGAAATATACACATATATGTAGCTAGAAGTATTTGGGGTCTTAATAAAAGTGAGTGAAAATATGGTTGAGTGACCCAGTCCTTGTATTTGAGTGGCTTCTGGAGTTGAAATTAAATAAGACAACATAATTTACGTGATGTGCCTCCCATTTCTGTTCTACATAAATGAACCTACAACATTTATGTTATTTTGGACTGAGAAACTGAAAGTATTAGCTAAGCCTGCCACCTAGTGAAAAATCTAGAACTAATACTTACATAATGAAACACTGTATGTTAACCCCCTTTATATCCATAGACTATTACTTGTATTCAGTTATAATATTTTATATTTACAAATTTGGTTGTCTAATAGATTTATTTAGTCTCCTTTGAAACACTAACACCATAAATCTATTTCTGGGTCTTAATATAAGCTAAACACATTTTGCATGTAGAACATTTTAGAATTAAAATGAAATAATACGTCTCTTTTCCCTGGGCACTAGAAACATAATAGAGCAATACTGTAATTAAAAAAAGAAGATATAGTTTGTTCTATTTAAAACTTTTCTACAATTACTTCGTGTTCTGACTCAGTGATGTAAATATAATTGTGGAGATGTGTAAAATATCTATGGAAGAGTTCTCTGCCTGCATTAATTTATTCAATAAATATTTTTACTAACCAATATAAAGATGAAAAACACACCATATATTCTATTTCACAGGCTACTGGGGGAACTCTGAAACTAGCTGTATTTGTATCATAAAGCAAAAAACACAAATATAAGAATATTGGAAAATGTTTATGACACATTATTCAAAATATTACCTACTGAGCTATATATTACACTATAAATTCTGATTTGCCATGGTAGCTGGAAATAATGTTTTTAATTAACAGGGGGTATACATTAATAGGAGGTATACAGACACACTTAGATACACATAAAACACTACTTGGGATTTTTGGACTGCAATTGACTATCAACACTAAAACAAGTATAAATGTATGTAATCTTTCATAAATAATTTTAAAATACTTCAGGGAGTCTGAGTTAGTAATAAATGACAGTATGATAAATATAAGGAATCCTCTGTATTCAAAAATCTTATCCATGTAAACCATCACCAATCTAAACATTAAAAGTGGTTTTCACTATATAAAGATATCAATCTTGTATTTATACATGTTGAGTATTTTAAATTATTTACTTATGGTTATATTATTTAGAAATCTGTCATTTTCCATGTGCATGTACATGTTGTTTCCTTCGTAAGATTATGACTACTTGTGCCAATCTAAGACAATATTCTTTTCTTTAAAAAAACAGAAACAAATAAACAAAACTTGCCCTTCTATGCTCTTATAGTTGTGGCAATACAGAAGTCTTTTAACTGGTCGGCTCTCACCCACTCTTTCTTTTCCTGAAACAATTCTCTACATTGTACCTGCAGTTATCTTTTAAAATTTCTTTATTCTTCAATGATTTCCTATTATTCTTAAAATTCAGACCAACATATGAACATACTTTACAAAGCCATGAAAATATGGCTTCTAAATTCCATTTCAGCCTCCTCGCACCAGTCTTCCTCTTGCTCTGCTCCAAGTCCTTGAATAGTCACTACCAGGATCTCAGAGCTTCGTATATGCTGCCGCCATATGGAATGTGCTGTACCCATCCTTTTGCCCATTTAGTCTCTCTTCACTTTTCAGGTAAAAGATTATCAGTTCCTCAGGAAGACATTCCCTGACCCATGGGACTAGAGCAAATATTCTTATTATCTGAGTCTATATACAATTCTACATATTTTCCCCAATAATTGCCACAGTTATAATTCTCTAATTAAAATTTTAAATGACTGGCTTAATACCTTCTCTGTTAGACTATTAGTATTCAAAGGCCACCAGCTATGTCCACCTTGTTCATCACTGCAGCCACAGCATCCTGTACAATCCTGACACTTACTAGATGCTCAATAAACCTAGGGGCCAAGCATGATACATTAACAAATCACAATTGCAGGCATGGCCACAGAAGTCATCCTGTCCTACTATAGATCTAATGCAGGAGTTGCTCCATTCCAACCAGATAACAATCCATGACCTGTTTCAATGTTTCCATTGACATTGCTCATTATCTTACAAGTGTGGTCAGCTAAAGTTCAGAAAACAAAAGCAAAAACAGCAACCAAAAATCTTTGTATTAAAACAAAATCAACCCAAGGGGACTTCTCAACTAGGTCACGCCTGGACTTTTACCATACAAATTCTGTACCCATTCTGCCCTAAACATTATATTCTGTGTGCTCTCCAGAGAGACTTTTTTTCCCCAGCTCCTAGGTAAAGTTCTCTTGTCTTTCTTGACACTCTGGTCATAGCCCTGAATCTGCCATTTTTTTTTTAATTCCTAGATGGGCTAAGATGAGACACTAAATTTCTCTAAATGTTTATTTCTTTCTCAGTAAAATGAAAATAATGACAGATGCCAGTGACATGCCAAACAGCCACCAAGTGGGATATTTTGGTAGATCAATTTGACATAGACTTTTTACTGTGGTTGTTTCTAATCCAAAGCACATTTTGTTTTGTGGGTTTAAACTTTGTTTAGATATTAGTACTTGTTCATACAAATATGAAAACATGAAATGTTTTCCAATTGTAATGATTGTCTTGTTAGCTAAATCTTTAGAAGGATACATTTAAATTTGAAATTGAGGACTTGCTTTTCTTTCACTTTTTAGCAGCTCTTTGTACTGGGATGGCTTACTTGAGTGTCTTCTTTTAGATGTGTAAATAAAAACCCTTTTGGGGAGAGAGGTACAACAGGATCTAACCCGAGGAAGATCTTATCTCCTTATTGTCTTTGATATGCAGAAATACTGTGTAGGGAGGCGAACAGCCAATTGCTTAGGATTCAAGGAGTCTTCTGAGTAAAGGAGTGGAGATACACTATTCCTCCAGGGAATTTGGAACCTCTGGACTGGAGGTAGTTCCAGAGAAAGTTTGCTGCTTTAAAGGCCTACTAAGAGTGTCCCCTCCGCGAGAAAAATAAATAAATAAATAAATTTAAAAAATGATAAAACTCATCATGAGAGAAGGAACGAATCAGGGTAAGTGATAAATAAAAGGCCTGTCTAGGTCGTTCTAGGACTCTCATGATGTCTGTAATTTACTTTTCGAAACACTTCAAAATAAACAATGTGATACGTGCATGCATTGGTTTAAGTTAAATACCAGGTGCAGCAGGCATTCTATTTCATCACCTAAGCTTTGGTTTTTAATCTGAATGTTCACACAACATTACTTCTGTTATCTGTACTTCTATCAAAGTCTTAGGCCTTACTAATCAACGAATTAGAAATTGGCTCTTGATTGAGAATATTAATGGTGTTCTTTAAGATACAAGGATTGGCTGAAATATTTTAAAGATACTATTCCCGCATGCATAATTAATGTATAAGAATTTAGTTCTCTTAGAGATGGGGCCCAAAGCTTTAATCCTAAATAGTCTGATATCCAGCCATTGTGATTGGATTTCTAGTTGTCTGATGCTTACTGATGAGGGTAACTGGATCCTACCTCTGGAATGTTGTCATCTGCCTCTAAGGAATTTCATGCAAGGTGGTGGGTAGAGAACCTAAAAGGAGAGAAAACTGGGAGTAGGAGGAAGAGAGAAAAGGGAGAGAGTTGAGATCAGTGTCAGTGTGTAGTAGATAATCAGTAATTATCCATTGAGGATTTCAGTGCAGCAGTGATTATCATGACTGATCATAGATTTGAATCTGGGTAAGGAAGGGAAAAAGCCCTCAGGTGACTAGGGTAAGTAAAAAGGTAGTAGGATCGGTGGATGACAGGTTCCAGTGTGGTCAAAGGACTATTAAGAGTTGAGAATATTAGAAGAAATTAGATAGAAAATGAGTAGCACTACTCAGAGTGTTGAATGCTAGAAACTGAGAATGTGGAGTGTAAAATTATTCATAGTTCAAGGTTTAGGCTATGACCATGAGAATGGGTGGTGAAGGTCAGATATTCAAAGGATCATCTAGGTAAGATTGTTGAAATCATCAATAATTATGATAATCAGGGTTGGCAAGAGTCATAGTAAATCAGGAACTAAAATCTCCAAGGAATGCAGAAGAGTGATCTGGAGGATGATAATTAACCACATCTGTAAAATGCAACTCCCAAGTCTGTGTGATTTTGGTCATTTATGAGCAAAAGTGATTCTTCTTATATCATAGAAACCTATAAATGTCTGTCTTACTTTTTATCATGTAAAACTAGCCTAGCTTAGCATACACAGATTAGCAGCTTAACACACAACACAAAAAAAAAGTTTCATATAATTTTTTCCTAAAAAATACTGTTATATACTTAGAGAAATAATAGTAATGTCATGATAGGGCATAAGAAAGGAAAGAACAGAGGTAATTTCTTTGCAATTTGGGTTTTTAATAGTTCTTTTGAAAAATTCTGCTCAAAACTATTCAGTCTAGATTACTATATATATACCATAAAAACTATATAATTTTTAAAATATACTGCTGAAGACAGATAAGCCTAATAGTTAAGGTATCCAAAGTTATTAATTCATTCATTCATCCATCCATTCATTCATTCAACAAGTGGTAATCACATCTTCAGCTAGGTACTCAGAGTAACATAGCCTTTGCACAATTAGTTGCCATATATGTATCTGTCCATGATTACTATGGTGAGTTAATTTGTTTTAAATTACTAATTACAGCCTTTGAACCTCTCAGTAAGATGGGGATTTATTATTTCCTTGGAATCAAAATAATTCATCCAGAGAATATATAATAAAAGTTAAATCAATAGAAATGTCACCATAATAGAAATAAAATTCATGGTAAATTGAAAGTTTAAATAACATGTTTAATTAAAAAGACCTAGGATCCTCTTTTATATAATTAGCTTTTGCCAAGCATGGAATCAAAAAGCATGATTTTTACCCTACTCACTAGCTATAAATCTCATCCTTGAATTAATTTTCTACCCTGTAATTTTCTTTTATATTCTCTAGAGAAAAAAAATTTATATATCTGTAATATTTTAAACAAGTTCTATATAGTGTCTTTTAAAAATGTACTGTTTAATACAGCTCACTAGTTAACTAGTTAGCTATATTCTAAGTGAACTGCTGCATTATAATAACTTTAAAGTGTGTATTTCTTCTTCTGGAACAAGAGGTTCTTATGCAAATTCAGTGTAGATTTTCCAGGTGCTATGACAGATTCTTTAAATAACTGATCTCTAATCTTTACATTAACACTGCAAGGTCGGTTATTTTCTGCAGCATTTTATAGATGAGAAAAACTGAATCTTAATGAGGTTAGGAAGGTCACAAAGTTAGTGACTGTCAGCTGGAGCCTCTAGGATATACATTGTGCCAGATAAAGTTTGCTGCTGTATAGTCCAAGGTCAGTGGCTTTTCCCTTCTGCCACATGGAAGTGATAATTATACTGCTAGTAATATTAATAGCTAATATTTATTAAGTAATTAAAAATGACCAGGTATGTGCTAAGTAAGGCATTGCATGTTTCTAAATCTTTAATAATATTGTGATTAATATATTGAGATGTAGAGAAGAAAAGTAATTTGCCTAAGATCATACTAAAAATAGGCAACTTAACACAGACACGCATCTAGGCTCTCTCCTTTGAATTTTGAACTCAAATTAGAAGGCAAAATAATTAACCTCAATATATGCTTTACTACAATATGAAAGTATGAAAGTGGAGTGAACATGGATGATGAGAAAGTTGAGATTGTTTCATTTACCTCTGTAATTTGGTAGCTCACGTATTTTCTTCAGGCTTCTGCAAAACTCATACAACTTAAAAAATGGTCTTTTGGATATTTAAAATTTCATATGATTTTAGGGAGAATTGTTCCAAGTGAAACAGATGCCTTGAATGACAGACGAGTTTGACTTTACTTATAGCATGGCTCTTTCTCTAGTCAGGATTGTTTACTCTTACCCAAAGACAACCATAATGGGGATTCATATCCCCATTAAATTAAATTCAATTAATTAAATTCAATGGGTACATTTAATTAATAAAAGACAGGAAAACAGTGAAAATGATGTCATGACTTTGCTCCTAACATGGGTAACTTACCTGTTCACAGCTGTGCAGTCTTTCAGTCCTAGCTATTCAGTATGTAAATGCAAATATTTGGTCACTGCTAGGCTTAATACCAATACGAGAACATGGGCTGCTTGTCAAAACTCATGACTACTAGTACACATGATTTTCAAGAATTTGCTACTGTTAAACTATCTGAGAAAATAGATATATCATTCAATTTGTTTTATGAGAAGCATTACTGATCTGGTGTTAAAAATTTAACTTTATGCAGTGCCAGTCATGCTCAATAAACATTTACTTTATGAAAAAAATGAATAAATGAACATAAAGTTGGTGTGTCTCATGTTCATTCCTCACAGAGTCAGTGTCAAATATTTTACCAATGTTTAGCACAAAGTAAGTGGCAAGGTTGGATGATTCAGCCACTTACCTGAAGAGTGTCTGCACGTTCACAATGGTTTTGGCATCTGCCATGTAGTCTTCCTCGGCACTCATGGTGCTCTCTTTATCCACAACCACCATATTAGCAGCAAAAGTCACTCCACACCTGAGTAAGTCATCTAGGCTTTGATAAAAATCAACAGAGAAAAACAAACATTAAATAAATCACAATGTTATAATCAGTGCTAAAGTCTAGCACTATCCCCTGTGCTTATATAAGTTGCCTTTAGAGGTGGCTTTTACAGAGTGTGCACAGGTAGCTATTAAAGGGAATTATGATACAATATTATCTACCAATATGAAATAATTTTTATTTTGGGTACTTTACATGTCATTAGATCTCAACTGTTTCAAAATATGTGTGTTAAAATATTTTCTTTAATAATTTTTATTAATTATATACATGAAATATGGAATACATCCATTTTGCAATAAAATAGAGCATATTAGAAATTTGTTTTTACAGTTAACATACTACTTCAAAGACACATTTACTTTTTTTTACTTCTAAAGTAATTTTGGTAAGAGAGGAATAAATAAGTGCTATGTTAATTTAGATGGTCAAGCTTAACGAAAAAATACAAAACTATGAAATGTTTATTTTTAAATGTTTATTATTCCTTTATGTAAGACCTATGTGCTATAGATTGGTTCTACACAACCAAGAGCATATAAAATATACAAATTCTGTTGTATGCAAGCCTACTGTTTAGCCAGCCTAAGTTTTTGAGCAAGTGATTGAATAACCCGATTTCTTTGGCTGGATGAAGTAATTGCTAAAGTAGGAAACACATACCTGTGAGCTAAAATAGAGTCAGTCTTCTTCCCTATCACTGACAAAAAAAAAAATCTTACCTATCATTCTCCCAATGAATTAAAAGAAAATGTTTATTTACCGTTAAAGCTGAAACAGGGAAACATTATTCTCATTGCCTCTGCTTCATGCAAACTAGAAAAGTAGAACTGAATTGGATAATGGAGACTAAACTTGAATGAGTACAAGAATGTTCTAGGTACAGAGTTGATTGAAGACAGATAAGAAAAGATAGGTTAATTGATTTCCGTATCTTCTGATTTATAATAGGATGTTTAAAGCTTAAAGAGCAGTAGTTTCTCTTAGGTTTTTAAATTGAAGAGTGAAGTCCCTGAGGATCTTTTCCAAGTGCATGATTGGTTGAGTTAGCCATGTCACGTTAGAGGGAATTATTTTCCTTTTATGGGAAGGCGGGAGGCAGGATTTCTTACTCTGTTATTAGGCGACAGGGTATTACCAAAGCCTTGAGTCCAAGATCCCCAGGAGTAGTCCAGAAAAAATATTTCGCTTGAATCAGGAACAATGGTCTGTGGCAGAGATTTTATGGCTAAAACTGTGGAAACAGAATGTTATTCCAAATAAATTTCCTATGATAAGAGGGGCCAGGACCATAACATCCAACCACTATGATGACCTTCAAGTTTAAATGCCTAGGGATACTTGGGTCTTTCTTTTATTCAGGAAATTTATCATAATTTTTCTTAATTTATTAAAGTACATTAAAAAAGAAAGAGTTAGATGGAAAATGAATGTGTTATGGCCCTTGTGGACCATCAAAATGACGCTTAAGTCATATGTCTTCACACCACCTTATCATAATTTTACATCACTTTCTCATATTTCAGCTTTCACAATCTTTTTTCTTCATTAATAAAACATCTCCATTATAATTACCTATATAGGAAAAGGAAAGGATAGGGCAGTCGAGGATAAGAGTGACTGGATAAGTATATATGCATAGAAGTGAAGATAGGAAAGATGAATAGTTAATCATCAATCATTCAATGACGTTGAAGTGAACATTTGACCAAAACTTCACTTTGAGAGTACCTGTGCTAAATAGCTGTTACCTATACCCACGTGTGTCGGTTAATTCCAGTCTCAAAAATACTGGCTGTTATAGTTTACTCATAACCTTGGCAAATTATCGTTACATATCAATTTAAATCTATATAGAAAGTAGATAAATTTGGAATAATATTTCTGAACCATGTGGAAGCTTTTTAATTATTTTCTGCTTTAAGATTATATTATTATTTTTCTATTTACTACTGCATTTATTTTTTTTTTTTAAGTAGGCTGCCAACTTATTCTTATAACTCCTCTCCATCATAATTTCTGCAAGGCCATTGCCTTATTTTTCCCTCAGCATGGCTGCTTTACACAGTGTGGCCAGCAGATGGGAGCACAAGAAAGTCAATCTAGATGGAAAACAAGTTATAGGGATAATTGGCAAAGCCTCCCTTTCTATCCCTCTCTAAGACCCCTTTTTGCAAGGACTAGAATGTGAAGTACGTAAGTGTAAAGAAGTGTTCATGAATGTGTTTTAATTCATTCAAAGAGGTATTTTTAAAGAAAGATTTCAAATACAAGCAAAAGAGGAGAATTGTTAGATGAACATAACTGTCCCCAGACCAACAATTATCAATTCGTAGCCAATTCTGTTTTATTTCTGTCCCTAGGAATTTGATCCTTTCAATTATTTATTCTCTCACCATAAATACTTGTACAGAGGAAGAATCCACTTCATAGTTTGCATCAGAAAAGGTATATGGGACGTTTATTCTTTAGCTTTTAGATATACTGTTTTTCTAATAAATTTTAACAGAACACTATTACCTCAAAAGATTTCAAAAAAGATGATTGGTTATAAAACATGTGTAGAATTTAAATAGTAATTTTAGTACATCTAACTACAGTTTATTTACTTGGTTAGTATTATCATAACTGATGAGGTAAATTATATTAACATAGAATGGAGGCTAATCATATTTTAGACTGTTTGACCTTTAATGTATCCACAGCACTAAATACTTTCAAAGTTGTAAAACTGTGTTTTCTTCAACATCTACAGGATAAAATGTAAGTGTTAAAGTTCTCAATTGGTAAATTTTAGCATTTTATTTTGAAGGCTCTGGCTGACATTTTTTAGAAGTGGAAAAGTAACATATATTATTTCAAGTATATTAGCGTTTTGATCTTTTATTTTTATATATATTTTTAATGTCACCATAATACATGTATAAGAATTTGTATTTAATTACTAATGTATTAAACACATATGACCTTTTCATTAACAAATATTTTAGAAATTATAAACTCTGACATGTGACCAAAGTAAACTCTAAAGGAATTGCTCCAATTTATAAATCTAAGTTAAAATGAGCATTTCTAAATTATTTCAAAGTTTCCAGAAGTTATCGTAACGCTATCAATGCATCACAATATTGCAACTTTAGTTTTCTCTACCACTATGTCAATAGTAATAATGTTGTTATAGATGACACAAAACTAAAACAGCATTAGAAACTGAGCAAAACTGACAAAATTGACATGCAGCAAGATTTGTTTTAATTCAACAATAGATTACTACTCAGAAAGTTTAATACAAGATGTATAACACGAGAACATAAGCTCTACATGCAAAATATATCATATTTGCAATACTGACACGGCAAATTACACTCATCATGCAGTAACAAGGCACAGCACATGACAAACCACAGGACACTACACTAGTTAGTGTGCCAAAGATTTTGTCACCTACTTGTCAATAGAGCCCACCATGTAGTAAACCATTGGAAACCAACAGATTGCATCCAGAAAATGCATATCTGGCCTAAGTAGTAGATGGGTTACAAAATGAAACACAATGTCACAACAGTGGCAGCACTTCTAGGGAAAGGAAGTAAGTTGACTTAGTTTGCATTTCCAAAACTCAACACTGCTGACAAAATTAATTTTCAGTGCTTTTTTTTCTTAACATTAACTAGAAAATGTCATTTGCACTTGTTATGAATCATAAAATGCCCTCAGAATTATAAAAACAAGTTGTATTTCAGCTTTCTAAATCAGAAACATTATCGCATAATTCTACAAAAATACAGAATTGATATTCTTAATTATGACCAAGAAATCTTATAAATAAATTTAAAAGTTATCCATGCACAGGAGGCCTTGTAAAATAAAAAAACTAATGCATTTTTTTAGATGATCTAAAGCAATGGGTACTAATGCCTCTTAGTGAGCAACTATTAAGCATGTCTATTAAGAACTACTTTCTCTAAGGGATATATGTATAATCACAACATGCCCTATATAATATGTCAGTATGTCAAATAAATATAGTATATATGCTCATGCAAAATATGTATTATATAAAATTATAGTGAAAGTAATGCATTTTTAAATTTATTGATATACTCTCTATATATTATTGAGGAAACATTTATGACTGAAGTCTTTACTTATATACATATTTGAGGAAAGAACCATAAACTGGAAAGCTTCCTTAGAAACTGCTTAATCTATTGTATTCATTTCACAAAGTTATTAATTCCTTCATGTATCTATTCACTCAGCATATATGTATCCAAACATTTTATTTAATAGACATTTTAACACATTCAGGTATATGCAAAAGAATATCCTGTTAACTTGTAAGAAATAAAGAGTTTTAAAAATTATGTACAAAATCATACAATTCTATTATATATTTTAATCTGTAAAAACAAACAATATGTTATATTTAGGAGGCAGAATTGAGGAACATTTCACAGAGCTGATATTTAATTTGAATGTTAAAGGATTAGTAGGAGTTTGTTCAGCATATGAGGAGGAGAAGAAAATTCTAGGCCAAGAAAACTGGTACCTACAAGCCTCCCTGGCTAGATGAACTTTTTGTTCTCTCCCTGACTTATTTCTCTCCTGTTGGTCATCCTTCTAGCTCTTTACACTCTGAAGAAAAAGAATGCTTAATACAGCAAAACATTTAAAGAAAAAAAAAAAAACTTGTAAAGAATACCATTATTTTAATTTTGATTAAATTTCTCCTATCATTAATTTTCTTTGTAGTCATTAAAATGACCCAATAGTATTACATCTTACGAATGTACCACAATTCATTCTTAAAATCTTCAGTTACTTATTTTGTAAGTTATTTTCACTTTTTTCTGTGAAATACTGCAGTTATCAGTTCTTTGCAGTACCTTGCTATCGTATTTAACACTGGTATTCACATCTTCCGAAGACCTTATTTTCTTTTTTTTTTTTAAGCATTGATTTTTTTTTTATCATTATCCCAAAACATTTATGGAAGGGATATTAGTGGATCACAGCCTATAAACAGTTTTAAAGATCCTGATATATGTTTTCAACAAATATTATAACCAAATATACACTCCAGTAGCAGTCTCTGATAGTGCCTTATGGTAGAGATTTCTAGTTATACTCTTTCTAGGTACTGTCCTGCTTCTTAAAATTAGCAGGGCTATTTTAATTGCTGATTCAAAACCCTCCACATCTCTCTCACCCTGTCTTGTAATTGGAGAAGCACATAGGAGGATGCAGGTACCACAAGAGTGGGGCAACACTGGGCTGTTGCGGTGATCTGAAAAATCCCTTCGCCTGTGTCTTGAGGTCACTGTGGACAAAGTAAGTCTTGATTTTATGCCAACCCTTCTACTAGAGTTAAAAATGAAGATAAGGCCTTTCTATTTTGTTGCTTTGTCTAGCAGAGAATATAAAAGCTAACTGGCCATCAAATTTAATCATTGTTATGCTTTAAGAAACTCATGAATTTCAGTCACATGCAATTCTACCACAAATATGTACTTACAATGGGCAAGCAATGTGCCAAATCCTTGGAAATTGCTTTAACATCTGTATTGTGGTAGTATGGTTCATCCTTACATGAATTCAGCTATGTTACAAGGTAAATGAAGTCACCTGAACCCTACTAAATATATAATCCTGATGAAGGATATCTAAGGTAAGTGGTCTATTATGCCGTATTCTTTGCAAAATTTAATTTAGCATAATAGATAGATTCATCTACTACAGCTATTGAAAAAAGGTGGCTTAAAAGGAAATCTGAAACATAAAGAATAAATAAATTGTGCATTTACATGTATTATGCCAGCTGACCTAAATACATTGTCAACAGTGTTCATGGCACCGACCTGTTTAGTAATTGAGTAACATAAATGATATTATAGGCTCATAATAAAACAATTTTTTAATCATTGGGAGGCAGCTAATTGGCAAGCACAACCTTTACATTGGGAAGCATTATTATTGAAAAACATTAAACAAAAACATAAAACATTCCTAAAACTAGATGTCCTTTTCCTACATTATGTCCCCAAAGTACTGATGAAGAGTTTTATATTTAAAAAATTATGCAGTAGAATAAAATGTATGCATTTTAAAAAATCTGACTGCTAAACAGAGAAGGCTTATTTACGTTGGGAATTACATTAAGGAAAAGTGGTGACAATGATTGACAGATTTAACTACATAGCTCATTACAAACAGATTAATAAGAAATAAATGTCGAAAAATTGTTACTTATACAAAATTTGTAGACCACAGTTGCTTAATATATAAAGAAGTATTTGATAATCAATTAAAAAGGTAAACATGACAAAAAATAGATCCAGGGAAGAATAAATATACATGAATCGAAACAAAACAAAAAAACACAGGCTGAAACTAACCGGTAATAAACAAAATAAAAATTCAACAAACACAAAAAGTAACTGATGTTAGTAAACAGAAGGAAAATGAGCACATTCATTAATGAGTCTTAACTGTAATTCTATTAGAAAAGATGACGACTTATGAGCCAAAAGCCTCATATTCTTATAGAAATTCTCATAGCAAAAGTTGCCATCCAAATATTAGTCAGTGACTGTTAGGAAGTAAAAAAGGTTTGCAAATTTGTATGAATTTGTAAAATTCAAGGCCATTATTTTGTTCCCATTTAACTAATAACAATTAAAAATTAATTTCTTTATTTCAAGTTCAAGAAATGAGCATAGCATGCTTTTATGAGCACAGTTTATTTTGTTAACATTTCCTAATTCCACTTTTAAGTACTTTATTCCTTGCTAGACAATATGAAAGTAGTTTAATTTTAGCTACTTAAATAAGTGTCCTTTTTTATTAATTGGGTTTTCATAATCCGTCCATCAGTTTGAATAGTGACAGTGTTATTTTCTTGATTGGCAGAAGAAAAAAATGATGTTTCTTATCTTCCTTTTATGAATCAGATATTGCACTAGGATTTTATATACATTATCTACATCATCTCACAATAGCTTTTTAAGATAAATGTTTTAACCATTTTACAAATCAGAAAAATGTGGCTTAAAAAGACTCAGTAACATTTAACAGACCTATCAAGAGCATAAATTTAGAACTTAGATCTGAATAAGTCTAAAGTTTGAATTTTAAAAATAAGAACACTGACATCAGGGATTTTATCATTACTTTCAAAATAAGCTGAAGTTTACTTGGCACCATATGTGGAAAGAAGATTGATTTAATGAATGGATAGTGTGAAGAAGACCTTGATAAATATTAAGAGCAAAAGCCTGGATCTTTCCCTTCATCCTTATGTAGCTTTGGATAATATATTCTAGCTTTTGACTTGCTTTTCTATCTTTCACATGAGATGATGTTAAAAATGACTAGATGACCTTTAAGGTTGGGGTGGTAATCAAAATATTTAAAATCAGTATGGCACAACAGACCAAACAGAACAGATGGCCAGCCAATCAGAACTGACACCAGCTCTAATGAACCAGTACCAACTGAAAGATGCTTTTCAATATGACTGAGTTTTATTTAATTACCATTTAAGATCTAGAAAGGTTTATATTTGAAAACATTGTGAACACTTATTTTGGCATATTATGTGTATGAATATTATAAATTTAATTTACATTTTAAAATCCCATGCTTATTACATCTGCTATTATTTATTTCTGTTATATTGAATTAATTGCCGTTTCGACTAATTTTTAAAAATAGCCACATACTGAATACTATTTTCAGCTGTACTCATGTGAATTTTAAGTCAAACCCTCAAAACTAACTAATAATTCTAGAAGGGTATGCAATCATCATTGTAGGAATTCCTATAATATGGAAATATTGTAAAGAAGAAAGCCTCATTTTTTTTGTAATATTGTAGGATGGATTGCAAAGTGCTCTCCATTTCAGAGCAACAGGCATCTAATTGTTAAAAAAAAAAAAAAAGAATTGCATAAAACTTCCTGGACATTGTTAATTGGTGTTTAGTTTTAGTTTCCTCATTCTTAACCAAAGGAACAGAGGACAACAAATAAGAATATTCGACAATACTTTCGGGAAGTACACAGAAAGCTAACAGATTTTACAGCGTGAACTTTCAACCTAACCCTTTGAAATAAAGTCAAACCCTACAAGAATTATTTAATAACAATATAATGTGGATTGTTGGATTCCCAAATGTAAGCCATTAGGAAGGCAAAGGGAACTTTTAATGCAAAAATAAACCAAAGTTAAGATATATTCTTGTTTTCAAAAAGTATGAGCAAGCAACATGTATTTTTTTCATATATGAAAACCCTGTAAGTTGAAAGAAAAATAAAACAGAAATTTCATAGAAAGGTCTAATTCAAAAACTGACCATGAAAAAGGTCATTCACCTTCTTTGTGTCTCTTTTACATCCTCTTAAAATAAGAGACAGTGTTGTAGCCACCTCACACAGCTTTCAGTTTATTTAAATGTTTACATCGTAATTTGAGATTTTAAACTGCTTGGCACATCTCTCTAAGACTAAATCATCACTGTAATGTAAATATGTGACTTGTGCAACTAAAATGTAAAGTAAAGTGTGTAGTATGATGACTGACATGTAGTAGTCATTGTAATTATGAACAGAGGATGGAGGTAAATAATATTAACTTTATTGAATAATCTTTATGGTCTTATTCAGATGAATTATTATCTGATAAAAGCCACATCTATATTTATAGAGAAATACTAACCAGTTGTCAGTAATTAAGAGAGGTAGAGTTTTCAGATTATTTTGTGATTGATCAAGGAATGAAGACTGTGTAGCCAGTCCTTGAACAATCACATAATTGATTTTATAATCCTAATATACAAATCAATCAATCATTCAGTAATCAGACATTTTTGTAACCTGTTTATTCAAAACCAAACAGAAAGGGATTGATTTGGTTATAGCTACTCTAAAATCTACATAAAACATACAAGTAAAACACTTCTTAGCTCCTGTCACCTGTGTGATGGTGAAAATGGAGACTTAGAGATTTGAAATAAGGTTACCTAGCAAGACTGAAGATTGAAAATGAGGAGTCCATCTCTGTTCATAGAGTGAACTCCAGTCCCAGATATGAAGAGACTGATTTTTGGTAGGGAGGTTTACACATCAGGACAAGAAACTTTATCTTGAAATTATGTGAAGAGGAGGAAAGTACAGTTTTGTCCTTAGTCCTATCAGAAAGATGCTGTAAGCACAGTTCCACTTTTTTCTCAATCCACTTCCTACCTTCCTGTCTGTAACCTGGTACCTGAATTGATCCAGTTTGATCCAAGCCATACAACATATAGCTACTCTAAGGCAACGTTTGCAAATGCCATTGTCTTAACTTCCACTTTCAGGGCAATGTACTCATCATAAGCAAAAGAAGCCAAAAGCTGACACATTTGAACTCACACAGTTAGGCATCCCTCCTGTGGCAGCTCAGCCAATTTCTTGGAGCTTCCTAGCAGAGATGCTTCAGAATTAAGATTATATTTGAAAGAAGTGATTTACAACCACTGTATTGCCATAGCCATCCCACAATGCAACTTTGATTGTTCTAAAATTTGTTTTAACAAACTTTTATTTCTTCTGAAATTTGGTCCAAGTTTCTGTTCCCCTTCATTTACCCTAAATATGCCTCAGCTTTCCTTAGATGCCAAAGAAGTATAGAAAAAGTCATTGAGTAATCATATCTGAAAATTCTTCAAATGAAAATTCTACAAGTGTGATAAATTTTTGGAGTTGATTATTCTTATAATGATGATTCTAAGAAAGTTGCATCAATAAGTATTTTGATGTTGGTAAAGTGAGAATAAACAACACTATAAAGTTATAATGTACTGGGCAGATGTCTCTCTTATGAAAAACTTTGATAATTTTGAAAGGCAGAGACAAGGCAACGGAATTTGGCCTCATTTAGTAATAGTTCATCTTGACATTTGCATCACATTGGAATGGATGAGGAGAGTGAGAGAATCCTAAAATATGGTATTAATCTAAAGACCACCTGCTACTAATTTCCAGTCACAGAGACGGATATTATAATTTTAGAATAAAATGGCTTTGACTGTCTCATTCAGTGACCCATATTTATATTTGCATAAGAATTTTGAATTGCTTAAGTAGTCCTATTTAACAAAAGTAAACCAATCCAATATTTTCCAAATAAATGCACAAGGTAAAGCATTACTTCTATTATGTCATAGAATGTATGGTTTAACAGTGGTCCAGTCATAATAACCTCTGATGATGCTTTGTGTTATAACATATAAAAATGGATCAGTAAATGCTTCTCTGATAATTAATGGTTCTTTAGAAAGACAAAAAAAAAATTGTCCAGTTTTGGCAGAGATTTGTCAGGCTAGTTGATTAATTTAAGGAAAATTGCAGTAATTATTTCAGTGGCCTATTTCCTGTGGTATTATGAGTAGATGACCACTTGCAAAACAGTTTTAAATAAAATTCTCAGAATATCCCAGTTTTAAGTAGTATTTATGAATATAATCATATTCAATGATATATTTTGTATCACAGCACAGAATATATCTCCCAATGAATCATGTACCATAATGTATCTGATTTAAAATACTACCAGAATATTACAGGCAATTATTTTTGATATACATTAACATACTATTAAAAACAGTTTATCTTGTTTGTGTATCTTAAAATATACTTACGGGTTATCCAATAGCAGTACTATGGGATTAAGTTCTTTCTTTGGTCTATAATATGCCCTGAGAGGAACAATAAAGTTATATAATCCATTTCCAGCTGTTTCAGCTGCAACTATAATTAGTTTATTTTTGAATCCATAGGCTTTTGCATCCTCATAGTAGTTATGTTGGCAACTCTAGAGAAGAGAAAGTATACATTGAAATGCCATTTGGATACTTCATTAAAATTTGGAGAAAATTTAAGCTATAGGAAAATGTAAAATTAATTGAACAATGTAAATCCTTATTTTCTAATAAATTTGAAAATAGTTACATTTTTCTGTGCCCATTTCTGCAACCTGCAGTAAGAAATAAAAGTGTGCATGGACAAGGAAAATGAATTGCAGGTTTGTAGCTTGATGTTGAAAGAGCCAACATTTTGTGTGTGTGCTTGTTCTATTGTAAACTAAAGTTTGCTGCTAGAAGACATCCAGGTATACACTTTTACAAATTAATTTTCTCTGACTTTCATTTCCAGAAATATAGTAATATCATAATTAGGTAACTTCAGGAACATTCCCAGTACTGAATGCTTAAAGCGATGAAGAAAATAAAACAGTGAAAAAAAAAACCAAAAAACAAAAAACCCCTAACTGTCTACATGCATATTTGAGCTGGCACGATAATGATTCAAATACTCTAAAGTAAAATACCCAATAATACCAACAAAAACAAGAACAAAGCATTACCAAAACTCATCGTTGGGCTAAGGGCATTTTGCTATTTCATGGAGTCTAGAATTTGACAGAATTAGCGTTGTTAACCCAATATTATTTTCAGATAAATTATCTGCACGGAGAACTGTTTTGATGTTCTGCTATTTTACCTTTATATGTCTTTATGTTCATTTCTTATTTATGTGGGTTGAGATTAGTTAGTTGTCTGGAACATTTATCACCTCTGGAATATTCTGATCTTTTTTTTTTTTTTTGAGACAGGGCCTCACTCCTGCCGCCCAGGCTGGAGTGCAGTGGTGCAATCATCGCTCACTGAAACCTCAAATTTCCAGTCTCAGGTGATTCTCCCACCTCAGCCTCCCGAGTAGCTGGGACTACAGGTGGGCACCAGCATGCTCGACTAATGTTTTTGTATTTTTGTAGATACGGGGTCCTGGGCTCAAGCAATCCACCCACCTCAGCCTCCCCAAATGCTGGGATTACAGGCACGAGCCACCATGCTCGGACACCTCTGGAATATTCTTTGCCATTATTCTTGAATAAAAAAATTACAAAACACTGCTGAAAACAAAGCACCATGAGTAAACAGAAATAATCATAACAAGATAACTAGACCCACAAAGACTACGAATTTTGTGATTAAATTCAGAATATAAAATGAGCACATTTAACATGTTTAAATAAAAGAAAGAAAGTATTTAAAGCCTGAGAAAAGAACAAGAGGCTATGTAAAATAACATCTAGCAGGTAGATATTAAAAATAATACCTAAATCTATTTCTCTGTATCTTCTTGAAGTAAAGAGTGTAACTCAAAAGATTATTTAAATTACACTTAAGATTCAGCCAAAGGGATCACGTGCGGGACAGAATGGAATACAGAAACTAAAATGAAAGGCAGAGAAGAAAAAAAACAGAACCTAGGGTGAAAAAATTAAGACTTGGAAGCTATCGTGAGAATATCTAACATTTATTTAATCAGAATATCTGAAAAAGAGCTAAGAGAGAATCAGAAAGAAAACTTATTCAAGTAAATATTGGCTGAGAGTTTTTGAGATGTGATGAAAAATCAAATGAGAAGATCTTAAAGCAGACACAGAGAAAAGAGCCACATCTACAAGAAAAAACAATTGGAATGGTAGCTGACTTTTCAGCCATTATTTGGAGCACAGAAGGCAGTAAGTACAGTCCTTAAAGTGCTAAAAGAAAAAAAAAAAAAACCAGAAAACTAAATTAACAGCCTGGACTTGCACACAAAGTAAACCATCTTTCAAGAATGAGACCAAAATAAAAGGAAACCATAATTAAAAGGATTCTCCACCAATAGAATCTCCTTAACAGAATTTCTAAAGGTGGTAATCTAGGAAACAGGAAAATGAATCCAGAAGGAAATTCTAAGGTATAAGAAAGAATAGAGAACAAAGGAAATGGTAACAAACAAGGGCAACAAGTCTTTATTGAAAGGGTGCTTGGAGAATTATAAACAGAATCTGAAGTAATATAAGAAATAAAGTCACTCAGAAAGAGATCATGCATGCAACAAGAATAGTGTTGAGCTGATGTTTGGATCATCAAGAATGTCAATATTTATAAGATAAATAAAGGAAAAAATAACTTTCCCTAAGGAGATTTAGAAATAGCTCAATTAATAGGGAAACAAAGAGCAGAGAACAGAGAATTTAGTGTTCATGAACACTGACCAGGACACCAGCCCCACTGATACTGACACAGAATAAATTGGATAAGGCAATCCCAACTCACACACTTCACAGACACAGTAGAGTCAGCTGCATAATCCCATACTGTTCCTAAAATCCCAAAGTGGGTGCTCATTTACATAGCAGACCACCTTCTATCAGTCTAATGCTACCTAAATAACCAATAATTCCAGGTATCACTAGACAATCAGCAACACCCAGAAATTTTGCTTCATTAATATGGTAAAGAGACAGTTAATAGTCCTTTGATATTAAAATATCCTCTTATTGTGCCTCCATCAATCCTGTTCTCTGAAAGTTTAGCTTTTCAGTTAGATTGGGATCTCTGTTTGGAGATAAATTATTTCCACTTTTTTGTCTCCTAATATTTTTTTCTACTTTAACTGTGCATTTAAAGAAATAAAAACCAGAAGTGAATCCAGGTTTTGTGGTGACTGAAGCATATATTATTTTAAGATTTATCCATAAAGAAAATAACAACAATATTATAAATAATATTAGTCTTAAAAGGAGTCAATGTGGGGGAAGGGCCTTGAAATTTAGGATTTATTAATGTTACTGAAAATACATAGCTTGCCAGAAATATCAAGTGCTTCATAATATTAAAATAATAAGGACCGCATATATATACACATATATATGTGTATATATGTAAATATATGTGCATATAGGTATATATATGTATATATGTATTTATGTACATATATGTATATATGTGTATATATACACTTATATGTGTGTGTGTGTGTGTGTGTGTGTGTATTCATCTGGGCCCATTGAAATGGATAATTCTGTTCCTCAAGACATATATATATATATATATATATATATATATATATTTGAATGAGACCAATATATATATTCAGTCTTGAGGGACAGAATCTCATTTGAATGAAAGCAATATATATATATTTGGTCTTGAGGGTCAGAATCATCCATCTCAATGGGCCCAGATGAATATTTCAGAGTAATGGCAAAGATTCTCAAAGCAACTTCAGGGAAACAAAGGCAGGAATTTTCTAATGTTCTGTAAATCTTCTTCCTCAAGAGTGACAGTAATAGTCAAAATTTATAATATTTGTCATATAAAAATAATAGCAAGAATATATTAAGCACCAACTCAGTTATTAACTTTCTTGCACTTCATTAAACATGCACTAAATTATATAATCCCTGTAAGAGCCTTATGAGGTTCATATTAAAATAATATCCACTTTAAGGATGAGGAAACTGAAACTTGGTGAAGTTAGTTGCCCAAATTACATGACTTGTAAGTGGAGAGCTGAGATTTTTAACTGTAACTTCAAAACTTAATGTAAAAGAAAAAATCCCTAGCTAGAATTAGTGGCAGATCTGAATCTCCAGGGGCAGTAAATATAAGGTTCTTCCTTTTATCAGTTTTGTTATTCTTCAAGAGAATAAATTCATACCAGTCAAGCCCAATGGTTATATTGTGAAAAAAGATAAAAACTCTAGCATTCTTAGAATTTTTATCTTTTGGACAGCTTCTCTTGGACATCCAAGAATGACAGTAAAATTTTGAGAAAGGAAATATTAGGCAAGACTCTAATATGAGCTTTCACTTTAGTCATAAATGAATCTTTGTGTCTAACACATGGACTTACTCTTCCCATCATGTCAAGGGATTCCATAATGAGATATAAAGTAATAATGTTAAAATAAATAATGCACATTTGACCCAAGTGATTTTTGGAGACTTTGGTTGTTGAGGGTTCATAGGGATGAGATTTGGTACCTTATTTTTCTCTTTAACAACATGACTAGCAGATCCAGTAGGCTAATATGGTAGAAGACTAAAGCATTTGGGTAATCATTTGTGCAGTTAAAAATGTAAAACTGACCACTTTATATAAATTTACATTGGAAAAGATAATACCAATACCCCTTAAACATATTGTAATCAAAATGCTGTACAAATTACTTAAATTATGTAACTATAAAATGCTATAATTTTATTTTGTAAACAAAAAAGCATCAACAAGTACTTACCTTGTCTAATCTTAAGCAGCAAAATGGTACTTTTTCATGAAGGAGATGACAAAAAGTGGGTGAACTTCCTATATATGGAGAATAAGGTGGGTAACCTTTAGCATACCTGTAAAATAATACAAAATATTACCCTTGGATAAGGCATGCAAATTTGAGAAATTAAGTTACGACCATGTTCCTCTGTTTTAATAACATTATAATCAATACCTCTGTGTTGCAATTATATTTTGATAAAGAGGTAGTTAAGAAGAGAGGTAGGCAAACTGTGGCCCCAGGATCAAATATGGCCCTCCACATGGTTTTGAAAGGGTTGTTTCTGCATTTTAAAATGGTTGGAAAAAATCAAACTAGTATTTCATGTCATGCGAAAATTATACGAAGTTCAAATTTCAGTATCTATAAATAAAGCTTTATTATAATTCAGCCACACTCATTCATGTATGTATTGTGTATAGGTGTTTTTGTGCTTTGGTAACAGAGTTAGTAGTTGCAACAGGGGTCAAAAAGCCTGAAATATTTACTGGTTGTTCCTATTTATAAAAAGTTTGTTAACTCACAGCTTAGAAGATTTTCATTTTTAAAAAATAAATAGTAATGGTAATTTTTACAAAATACATTTAAGGCAAAATGCATTATTATGATTTGCTCTATCAATATTCATTAGCCATAACTACATAACCGAAATGGAACAAATAACTGAGCTAATTGGTTAAAAACATAGTTTTTGTTGTAATCATACTTAAAACATTATCAGAGAATTTAGCTTGCTGACTTTTAAAAAACAGCCAACAGCATATTTCGGCTATACTGACTTTCAGAATGAAACTTCTAAAACGTAGCAGCATAAATGAAAATTAGGCAATAAAATAAAATTTAGTGAAAATAATATTCCTTTATCCAATAAGAAAGTGTTTGATTTTAACAAATTTACCTGCTAAGCCATAAAATTTCTGACCTAGTTAAAACTATTTTATCTTAAAGAAGAGATGCAAATCAGCATTTTCAGGAAATAAAGTTCGTTGGCTAAGAGATAAAATTATAGGGTAAAATTTTGTAAATTTAGAAGTTGGTAATCTCTACAATTACTCAACATCTCTTTCGTTTTTCTAGAAATAAGAAAAAATCTTTTACCTCTCAATTTTTTAAGAAGTGTAAAGAAAGAATTTCAGTCGCACTCCAAAACACTGTTTCCTGTGAAGACACTGGTTGCCAAACCTATCCCTGTTCCCATCCTAGATTCCAAATACATTTGAGGACTTTGACCATTAATGTCTTTGAAGAGTAGATTTGGTTTTGTGGGTACACCAACCTTTCTTACAGTATTTTTTTAAGTGTGAGAAATTTAAACAAAGAATATTTTCAAGCTTCAATGACACTGAAGTTCTTCTTAGTTCAACATTACTTGAATTTACATTTTATGAAAGACACTGGAAGAAATGTCAGAGATTATGCTGCCAATGCCACTACTACCCGTAATATGACTAATAGTAATTAATACTAATTGAACGCTTACTCTACACAAAACATTGTTTTTGTATAAACACTTTTTCTCCATTATCTCAATTAATCACTAATAGCTTTCTGAAGTAGTAATTACACTCAGTTTACAGGTAAATAAATTATTGGCTAGTTTTTTTTTTTTTTTTTAAGACAGAGTCTCACTCTGTCGCCCTGGCTGGACTGCAGTGGCAGGATCTTAGCTTACTGCAACCTCCACCTCCTGCGTTCAAGTGATTCTCCTGTCTCAGCCTTCCAAGTAGGTAGGATTGCAGGCGCGCACCACCACTCCTAGCTAATTTTTATATTTTTAGTAAAGTTTGAGACCAGCCACACCACGTTGGTCAGGCTTGTCTCAAACTCCTGACCTCAAATGATCCTGCCATCTCGGCCTTCCAAAGTGCTGGGATTACAAGTGTGAGCCACTGTGCCCAGCTGCAAGTTTTTTTTTTTTTTTGTTTGTTTGTTTAATTAAAGTCACTTGTACACAACCAATATAAAGTGGAACTGGCATGGCAAGCAATGTCCTTAGTACTCCACAGTCAAGCCTGTGGACTGCTGTGTTTTCCTGAAGAATGACAATTTAATATGTGGAATAAGACATGCAAACAAACTCTACTGCAAGCTACAATGTGATTAATACTATATAGATTGGCGTTCTATTATTATGGAAGCCTAGAAAAGGGAAACAGTACTCCTTTTATTCATACATTTAAAATAATTAATGAATAGTGTATGAAAGTGCTGAACACTGAGATAAGTAAGGAAAGCTTAATGGAAGGGGCTGTGTTTTCATTTCATTGAATAATTGATTGAACTTCAATATGGATGTGCAATAAAGTAAATTCAAAGTATAAAGTACAATATACTATAAAAACCATACAATTATGAAAATGAAGCTTATATCTTGGGAACACTGATTTTTTTTTCCTTGAGGATAAAAGATAATTAAGAGCAAAATGAGACTGGAAATATATGTTGAAGCCAGAAACTTGAGGGCTTATAATGCTCTGCAGTCAAAAGAGATACTGGCTACTAGCAGTGCGTTTTGGTAGAAGTATATAGGAATGATTCTAGGATGTTCAGAAGGAAAGATCATTAGCTCCTTACCTATTGGGAAGGTATGTAAAGAAAATACTTAAGGACATTAGCACAAAACCCAGTAATCTTACACCTTAGAGTATCTGAACATACTCTAAGTTTGAAGACATTTCTTCATCTGGTGTAGTTTCATCTTCTGATTGGTCACTTAGAAGATCACATGTTTGAATCGATGATGTATCTGCAACCTCTAAAACAGGAGCAATGCTAGGTCTTCTTATTTCTTTGCTTCCCTCTGTAGGAAGAGACAGGGTAGGGCCACTTGCTGATCTACAGCTTGTATCTTGCAAGTCTATAGCCACAGTACCTAAAACAATAAAACATGAAAATTTATCAAGGCGTTTGCCATATTGATCACTAGTGTTGAAGGTTACATGAAATATGAAATATAATAAACACAATAAATATATATATAGAGAGAGTATATATTTATGCGTGTGGTGTATAAGTTTAGTTCTGATAGCTAAATATTTCTTTTGCACACAGGCATTTTCCTGGACAAGAAAATCTCTATTTGCACAAAAGTGTATTTGCAGAGTGTTGTTCTATGGCACAAAACATAAGATTTGTAAAATCCTGAAGTATATAGAAACTTAAAGTGAAAAAGTATACCCTGATGTTTCAATTTATATTTATTTAAAATTTATTCTTTTGTTGTTGACCATGTCCATTTTGTGAATTTTTCATTATGTGTTTCCCCTCTTTGCTTTTTCTTTTATTTCTTTCTTTCTTTCTTTTTTTTTTTTAAGACAGAGTCTCGCTCCAGGCTGGAGTGCAGTGGCACAATCTCGGCTCACTGCAAACTCCTCCTCCCAGGTTCAAGCGCCCCCTTTTCTATTGAGCTATCTTTTTGTAATTGATTTATGACCACTTTTTAAAATATCGGAACTACTAATATGTTATACTTATTTTGTATTAAATGAATATTTATTGAGTGCCACATATGGGGAGCACTGTTCCAGGTACTTGAGATCTGTAGAGAAGACAAACAAAGTTTCTACAAGATGAAACCTGTATGTAGCAAGTAGACAAATAAATGGATAATTGTAGACAATAATCAGTAGCATGCAGGGAGAGGAATGGAATTTTTATTTGATAGGAGAGAAGGCCACTGTGAAGTTAGGACATTCGATTTTTGACCTGAAATACAATAAGGAGCACACAAGTCATGGAAGTACCTGGAGGCAGTAAGAATGGCAAGCCCAAGCCCAAGTGGCTTAAGGTTATTGAATACTTGAGGCATTCAAGGAATAGAAGGCAGAAGAAGCAATTCCCTTTGTGAATTTTATTGAAATGTAAAAATTAATTTTAATATCTATTTATGAAAAATTGAGGTTCCTCTCCTTCTGGAGAAAATAACGATGAAAGGCATCATATTTCATAATTACTTATTTCATTTATGTACTCAGTGGCACCTGGTCATCCTTCTAAAAGTTGCTAGTCTTTGCTTTGTCCCATTCTTTGAAACAATTACAGTCATGCATTGCTTAAAAAGGGGGATATGTTCTGAGAAATCTACCATTTGGTGATTTCTTAGATATTCAAACATCATACTTACACAAACCTAGATGAGGTAGCCTACTATCCTAGGCTATATGGTACATAGGCTATATGGTATAGCCTACTGCTATATGGTATAGGTATAGCCTACTGCCCCTAGGCTATATGGTATAGCCTACTGCTCCTAGACTACAAATCTGTACAGCATGTTACTGTACTGATTGGTGTAGTCAATTCTAACACAATGGTAATCTCAATATAGAAAACATACAGTAAAAACATGGTATTACAATCTTATTGGGACCACCATTGTATATGCTATCCATCATTGACTGAATTTATGCAGCGCATGACTATTTAAAATTCTACTTTCCTCAAACCTCTGGCCTTCCAAGCTTCTTCCTCATTATAATAACATGAACTGAAGAAATTTTTACCTTATCTCAGCCCTTCACTTCCATAGTGATTTTTTAGACCTTGTTATAACCAATAAAAACAATGTTGCACACATTTTTATGCATTCACCCTTTGATCACCACTATTTCTTGTTTGTTCAGGTCACTCTCACTGATTTCCTAACACTAGCTATGATTTTACCATGCTGGAACTTCAATTCTACTGATGATACCAGAGTTTGTCTCTCTCATTCCCTTGATGCTCTCTCTTCTCTTCTTAACTATCTTAAATTCCATGTTTAAGCATTATGATTATTTTCTTGCATATACCCCTGGATCCCTTGATACATTTTTGCTTCATTCCACCCTCTTGACAAAATAGAACCCTGCTTAAGTTAAACTCTCCATGTTCCCCATATCTATACCTATGCAACTGAATACACCCAGACAGTTTAGCTCTTGCATCATTAATAGTCTCTCCACATTGTCTGTCCTGATTTTTGGCAGTTTCACCATACACATAGATGATCCTTCCAACATTCCAGACTCAACTCCTTGTCCTCTTCTCTAGTAATGGCTTTTTCTACTATCACTCTTCAGTCCTTCACTCTCATGGCCACACCTTAGCTTTTGTAATTATTACTTGCTGCACATCATCTCTCCTTCTGGCATCTCACTCTTTGACACCTGTACCTTGGCTTTCCAGCTCTTTCCCTCTTGATTTTCACTGGAATTAGAATCGATTAATCCACTCTCCTTTCAGTCTTTTCTAACCAAAATACATCTTTTCACTTCCTTACTTAAATTAAGTTCCATGGCCTATAATTATATACAATCTATTATACAAACCCTCAATCTCTCTGCCTTCCTTACTTGCTTGTACTTTCAACACAAGCTACAAATCCATTTCTTTTCTCCGTTTTGCAGTCAGACGTTTTAAGAACTGTCCAGACCTACTGTTTCTAATTTATCTTCTACCATTCTTTCCCAAACGTAGTCCAATCTAGCATTGTCCACCACCACTCCATTGAAACAGCTCTTATGAGGGTGAACAATGATCATTGCATTGCTAAAGTCAATTGACACTTCTCAGTCCTTATGTTACGACCTATCAGTACTTGGCTTTCAGCCATGACCTATCAGACATGGCTTTACATGGTGTTGTCTTAATGCACTTAGCTCACTTGGATTCCAGGACACCTCACTCATTGGGTTTTCCTACTAGCCTGCCAGTAGCTCCTCTTTGGTCTCCTTTGCTGGTTTCTTCTCATCCCCCTGATACTTAATCTTAGTATACTGCAGAGCTTTGTCTTTTATTTTTTCCTGCCTGTACTCATTTCCTCAAAGACTTCATTTGGTCTTATGGCTTTAAATATATACATAAGATCAGAAATACAAAATTTACTTTTTCAGCCTATCTCTCTCTCTCTCCTGAAATCTAGACTCTTACATACAACTTCCTGTTAGACATCTTCAAGGTGTTCCAAAATACTCTTTATCTTCCCTTCACCCCCGCAAAACCTGCATTCCCCCTAGCCTTTCCTCTAAATTTATGGCCATTCTCTTTCCCTAGTTGCTTAATCCGAAAACCTTATGTTTCTTCACACTTCTCTTTTTCTCACAGTTCAATTTCATTTTGTAAGGAATCCTGATTATCCTCAAAGTACATGCAGAATTTTCTCCTTCTTACCACTTCCACTTGAAAATAGTCTGATCCTTGCTCCAAACCATCTATGTTCAACAGCAGCCTGAGTTGAGCACTCAGCATAGGTGAGATCAGGTCAATGGCTCTGCATAAAGCCTTGCAATAATTCCCACTTCACTGAGAGTAGAAGCTGCAATCCCATATGGACTTAAATAAGCCCAACAGGATCTGGCCTCTTTCTACCTGTTCGTCCTCATCTCCTACTATTCTTCCAGCATTCACTGTGTTTGAGGCACAAAGGGCCCTGTTACTGTTCCTGGAGAACCCCAGCCAGGCTCCCACTTTAGGGCCTTTGTACCAGCTGTTATCTCTTTCTCCAGACCTCCACAGGACTAATTCCTCATTTCTTTCAGGTATCTGCTCAAACATCACTTTCTGGCCTACTAAGCACTTCATTTAAAATCTGCTCCTCCCAAAAATTAATTATCTCCTATACTAGCTCTGTTTTCTTCTTTTAGTTTTTCCTTTATAACTTATAACCCACTAGCATATTAAGTAATTTACTTATTTTTTTATATGTACTTTGGTTATCGCCTGTCTTCTCCATAATAGAATGCAAGCTCTATGAACTAGGGATCTTTGTTTCTTCACTAACGTTTTATCACAAACACTTACACGAGAGTTCTTGGTACATATTAGGTACTCAATAAATACTATTTTGGGTACATATTAGGCACACAATAAGTACTTTTTGAAGACATTAAAAATGAATATTGCTACTGTAGAATAAAAATAAGTAAATGACAAATAGGATTACCTAAGAAGGTCTAGGTAAAACCATGGAATAGTGTTTGGAGGGAGTGATATTTTGACTAAGATATAAAGAATTAGAAGTCATTACTTAGGGAATGTTGGGGTGTGAGGAATAGTTCCATCAGAGGAAACTTAATGTTTTAAGGCCCATTGGTGAAAAAAATATATTAGTGAAGATTGAAAGAAAGTGAGTATGTTTGGAGCTCAGGAGAGCAGCAAAGAGGTGGTAAAATGTGGAGCTAGAAAAGTCAGAAAATATCACTAATAAAAAGCCTATAAAGAAAATGATGAAGTAATTTATTTTCTAAACTAGGATACTGCAGAGTAAAAGGGGGTTCTTTTAATAATTACATCAGGACAATTATATAAACTGAACAATCCTAAGAAACTGGAACATTCCTAAGAAAACTAGGATTGCCTAATGCAAACAAGAACTTTTGGTTATCCTATTTATAAGTTAAGTCACACTACAGAATTTAGACTTTTTTTTCCAATGGGTAGTATAAAGCAGGTGATTTGTTCAGGAAATGATGCTATCAAAATTATATTTAAAAATTTTTACTCTGGTGGCAGGATGGAGAATTAAGTGTAGAGTGGCAAGGCTGGAGGCATGGAAAAAAGACAAGGTTGTTGATCCTGCAGTTCAGGGAGAGAAGGATGGAGGCACAGACCACGATGATGTTGGTGGTGGACATGGAAAAAAACTGAATGATTCTAGGGGCTATTTACTGACCAGATTTAATAGAATTTGGTTAATGATGAGGTATGAGAAGAGCGGGTGGTGAAAAGTCAGAATGGTGGCCTTACAGATCAAAGGATAATGGTGTCATCTGCTTTTTAGCAAAAAAAAAAAAAAAAAAAAAAAAAAGGAGAAGGAGAAAAACGGTGTTGAATGACTGAATGAGAGTGTAAGGATCAGTTTAATTTGAATATGCTGTGCCAGTTTTTCCCACAAAATACTCAAACAGAAATAACTAGTAGACAGTTCGCGTTGCTGTAAAGAGATGTTGAGTTAATGCTTTAGACAGAGGAATAATCAGTTTACGGACAATAGAATCCATGAGAACAGAAGTGACCACACAATGAAAATGAATGTGCACAAAGCAGAAAAAAAGGCATTAGAGTGTTTCAGGAAGAACATGGTCAATATTCTTGTCATATACTGTGAAGACAATCATTTTAGATGTAGTGACAAAGAGGAACATGGTGACCTTGCCTGAATAGTTTCAGTGATATGACTGCAGGTGTCAGATTGAACTGGGTAGAATCATGGACATAGGACAACAATAAAATTTAAAGCCTGCCACTAAACACAACACTTTGGAGAAATTTGTCTCTGAAGTTGTTATCATGGAAGGTTCAAAATTACAAGTGTATGGTGCACACAGAGATATGAAGAGACACACACACACACAGAGAGAGAGAGAGAGAGAGAGAGAGAGAGAGACAGAGACACAGAGAGAGAGAGATCAGCCAGTGATTCTGAATAGAAAATGAAGTTAGGTAATGAGGAGGGATTAAAGAGTAAAGTCTCTGAGGAGGAACAAGGGCATGGTTCCTGGAATAAATGAATGTATCAGTATTAGTTAAAAATGACACATTTTCCTTGTGACAGATACTAAATGTTTGTAGGTTTGTAGATGGTTTGGAGGCCAAACCGTAAAGAAATTCTTATTTGCATGGAGGTATTTTTTCTTTTACCTTTCTTCTTCTGTGTCATAGAAGCCAAGTTCAGTGGTGAGAGTGAGGTAAGAGATGGAAAGAGAATTTTGAGAAAATGAAGAATATTTGAAATAGCCTCTCTTGATGATAATTACAAAGAGAACTTACAAAAGAAATATAAAAGTGTGTGGTGCTTTATATATAATGAGAAATATAAAATGATTGTTGATTGTGTTTTTGTAATATCTTAGATTGAGGTTTTTTTGGACACAGAGTCTTTTTCTGTTGCCCAGGCTGTTCTCAAACTCCTGGCTCAAGCAATTCTTCCACCTCAGCCTCTGGAATAGGTAGTATTATAGACATATGCCACCACAGTAGGCTAATATCTTACTTTTTAAAAAATTCACAACTTAGAACTGTTGTCCTGTATACCTAGTCATACCTAGTTTGTAAAATGCAGCATGTTTGAAATTTTCTTTAAACTTTTAATAAAAATTTAAATGCATTGGTATTTATCATTATTTTTTATTTTAGAAATAAATTAATGATATTTCAAATTTGTTTATACTTACCCATGCTGGCAATTATGCTATGTACAGGTAATCTGGAAGGTCCATGATAAAACGACCTGGACACATTGCTTTTTCTCTGCTGGTCTTGGTTTTTAAATGCTGAATTCTCTTCTTTGGTAATATTAATATAAAAGCATATGTCTGTAGAATTCATAATGTATCGAGGACCTGGATTCAGCAAAATGTTTTTATTATCCTCCCTCCTAACACCAATCAAGCAGACGCCAAACCTTAATTTAAAAAAAAAGAGAGTTTGTAAGAAAATTAGTAAATTATTGTAAGGCTGAGGAAAATAAAAGCTTTAAATAATAGCATTTTAAAGCTTGAAATGATCCTAGAAGTTCAAGATCCTCATTTTTACAGGAAAATAAACTATGTGCTTAGTGTGTTGTAAAACCAATTTAGCTGATTATGACCACTATAAATTTACATTTTAATGAAAATGAATGGAAGAACATAAGAAACATGAGTGCATGTATACACTAAGGGTAACATTATTTTGCGAATTTTTACAACAATTTTACTTTGGTCAAAAAACATAAACAGCATATCTTACTTTGGTTAAAAAAAATAAATAAAAAGCTTAAAACTATTGGCCAAAGGAAAGAAACTTACCCATGGTCACCTGAAAGAGAACCAGGGTCCCTGAATTTATCACAGTTGGTTTACTTTAAATTTTAGAAAAAATATATATATTTAAATAGTCTTAAATAGGTATGTACTTAGTCAGAAAAAAAAAGTAAAGTAGAATACAGAAGCTCCTTGACTTATAATAGAGTTATGTCCTGATAAACCCAGCATAAGTTGAAAATATTGTTAAATAAAAAATGCTTTTAATACAGCTAGCCTAACAAATATCATAGTTTTAACCTAGCCAACCTTAAACATACTCATAACACTTACATTGCCTACAGTTGGGCAAAATCATCTAATACCAAGCCTGTTTTATAATAAAGTGTTAAATATCTTATGTAATTTATTGAATATTCTACTGAAAGTGAAAAATAAAATGATTGTATGGATACTGGAAGTATGGTTTCTACTGAATGGCTATTGTTTTGTACCATCATGGTAAAAAAATAGTAAGTCAAAGCATCATAAGTTGGGGGTTCCTGTACATTACATAATAGATTAGTTAGTAGACTATATACGTATATTGTAAATCCTCCAAAATGTGTCACATTAAAACATTTAATACAGATAATATGTTATTTTCATTATATACATACATTTTTACTTCTTAAGTAAATCCTTTTTTTTTCCAAAAAGGAAAAGAAAAAAAAAGTTCTATGTTTGAATTGGAAGGTAGTTTTATTTATTTTTTAACTTATTTCTCAGGCCAAAACAAGGGCCACCATCAGAGATTTTTTTTTCAAATGTACAGTTTTTAGAAATATTAGTGTTACTTTGTTTTAGTTCCTAATCAACATCTTAAAATTCAGATCTGTGAAGAAGATTTTCATATGTATGTAAATTCTTAATGGATTAAAATATTTTAAAAAGACTTTAAAAGTGGCTAAATGAAATATTCCTACTAAATTATAATTTACTCCTGACTGTCTTATAGAGACCATACAGACACCAGGGTTCAAATGTTTCAACATTGGGGAATATTGTGACAAAAATTCCGGAATGCCTAAACACATGAACACAATATGCATTCTATTTTTGAAAACTATTTTCACATGATATGCTTGACTGATTGATATTTTAATTTTTCTCTGAGGCAGAAACATACTTTTTGTGTGCATGGAAAGAGGCATATGTAAAACTCTTTCCTTCATATTCAGCAAAAAATGTACTTTCTTCCAAAACAATGTGGTAGACTTCATTCCCGGAGCATCTACCGTACATCTTCTGCCATTGTTCTGGCGATTGCTGGCCTTCTCTGCAACACAGGCACACACACATACACACACACAAAAAGAAAACACAGTGAATGTGGTTAAAAAACAGTTGTTATAGAACTGTTTCTCAACTGTGTAAGAACTGGCAAGCACAATCCAAAGGAGCATCTGAGTAATGCTTTGAAGTCTGAAGATGACATTATATGCAAGAGTTTCTAAAAAATTTTGAATACTATATATATATATATATATATATATATGTATATATATATATATGCTTGAGAAATGACAGTTTTGTAGAAAGTGGGAGTTTTCCAAGATCCAGCTAATGAAAAGCTTTACTCTCACAATGAATCAATGAGATACAGGATTTTAGTCTCTCTTTATATACATATCCTATCATGTATATCTTCTAAAATTTGTTGTACAGTCTCCATAATATGGCCAACGTTATCTTACCTATGATACCTGCGTGGCTGCTGTAGGTATTTTATTTTGCTTTATACTTAAAATTACAAATTTATCTCAATTTATCTTTGATTTTATAGAAAATATACCTTTAGTTTTTGTTCATATCGTAGCAATAACTTTCTTCCAATTGTATAGCAGTCACGAAAAGACACTTTTCTTATTTTAAATGTAAGGATCTCTCCAACTAACTGAATATTCTTGTAACCACAAAATTCATGTTGGAATCCTAATCCCATTATGATGGTATTTGGGAGTGTGGCCTTTGAGAGGCAATTAGGTTATGAGAGTGGAGCCCTCAGGAATGGAATTAGTGCCTTTTAAAAAGATGCTAAAGAGCTATCTTCCCGCCATGTGAAAATACAAGTCAGCAGTTTAAAACTCAGAAGGGGGCCCTCACCAGCACTGGATCATGTTGGCACCTAGATCTTGGATTTCCAGCCTTCAGAACTGTAAGAAATGAATTTCTGTTGTTTATAAAATGCCCAAGCTGTGGTAATTTGTAATAACAGCCTGAACTGACTAAATCTCCAAAAGACATCCCACAAAAGTATTTTTATAAAGAAGATAATTTTACCACAAAAAGTACAATGTCTTTTGTTCTGGAACGTTCTGCGCTGCCCGCCTAACTCAGTGGCTTTAGAAATATATTAAAAATTCAATTTATGAGAAATTCATAATGGATATATAAATAGGTTATTTCTCATTTTATATAATAAATTCATTTACCTTTGCTGAATAACACTTATGAACTCTACAAAAAAGCACATTTTAGAAGCAATATGATAAATATATAAAAATCAAAATAATTTATCATAATCTCTAATCAATTCTTAATGGATCAAAACAGATCACAAGACATTACAACCATGTTTAGGACTTTAAAGGCCATTTTAAACTGAGTATTGTCTAAAGGGTTATTAGGAAGGTAACATTTGTCAATATTTTCAAATTGTCAATAAGCTTTAAAAAATATCTATATTTTCTAAGTATGCCTCATTGCTGCCTCATTCCTTCTTAAGTATGCTTAAAGAGTTAAGAGCCTGGGCCCTGGAGTTTGATTGTCTAATCTGAGTCCCAACTCTATAATCGTGTTTTGTTTTGTTTTGTTTTGTTTTTATTTTTATTTATTTGTGTGTTTTTAGAAGGAGTCTTGCTTTGTCGCCCAGGCTGGACAGCAATGGCACGATCTCAGCTCACTGCAACCTCTGCCTCCTGGGTTCAAGCGATTCTCCTGTCTAACCTTCCCGAGTAGCTGGGATTACAGGCACCTGCCACCATGCCCAGCTAATTTTTGTATTTTTAGTAGAGATGGGGTTTCACCATGCTGGACAGACTGGTCTTGAACTCCCAACCTCAGGCGATCCGCCCGCCTTGGCCTCCCAAAGTGCTGGGATTATAGGTGTGAGCCACCGCCCCTGGCCAAACTCTACAATCTTTTGTGAGTTATTTAACTTTTCAGTGATTCTTTATCTCTTCAGTGACAAACAGTATCAGCTTCATTGGGTTAGATAAAATGAGGTAACACAAAGAAATCACTTGGGAGATGTTGGGATCAGAGAAAACACGCAGTAAATGTAAGCTGCCAATATTACTCTGATGTTACATCTTCCTCATTGCTAAATTCCGGAGCTATTTTAAATAAACCTAGTCGACTTACTAAACAATAATGCTTTTAAAACCTGTGCCCATTCTTCCATAATGTTAACGTATTTTTGGAAGTAGGAAAACAACAACATAAAACAGTTTTGATTTTTGATTGCATATGACTACATCTAGCTACTACTTCCTAAGAATGATTGTCTCTGGTGGAAAAAACGTTCCCTTTGGCAAACAAAAATAAAGTTATTTTTGTTTTGTACCACATTACTATTTAGCAAGATGATACTTGGCAAAAACAGAATCTATCTGAAAGGCTGAAAATGTATGAGATGGTGCTGGTAATTCATCAGTATTTGTTTGAGATCCAAAAGCCAGCATGAGGTCAACTAATTGTCATGCAAGGGTACTAAAAGCTATTCAAGAGAATTAGAAATCTAATTCCAGAAGCTGACAGGGGAACACAATGTGGTAACTTGGAAGGGAACAGAAATGGATGGAATCGGACTAGGACAGTTCAGATAAATTTTCTTAAATAATTTGCTTATTGCCTTGCTATTTTATGCTGGCACATTGCCCCTCAGGCAGCATCTTTTTTTAGGATGTCATTTCGTTGGAATTTTTTTTTTCTTTATGATTTCTTCAAAACCTCTAATAGTTAACCTGGAATCTCTAAATTAATCTAATTGTCAGTATACAAACTTTGTTATTTTCATCGCATGTTATTTGCTTGAGAAATGCTAGACATCAATATTACATCTAATGCTGATGTGTATATCCAGTCCCCACTCATTAGCTAATACACAAAATATTTATTGAGCACCTGTGAAACGTCAGGAAAGGCTTTAGATTCAAAGGTTATGGCAGTTAACAAAAAAGGTAAAAATATCTTGTCTCATAGAGCCACTAGTGGGAGAGGGCCAACAATAAACATGAAAAAGCAAATTGTGTTGTGTTTAGAGGTGATAATTGTGGGGAGAAAAATAAATCAGAAAGGGAGCTAATATTTTAGCAGGTAGAATAAAATGTAAATAGTGTGACTAGGGAAAAGATGATATTTGAGTAAAAATCTTGAAGAAGGCAAGAGAGGTCTGGGAGAAGACCATTACAGGCAGAAGTAGCTACAAGCACTTCCCTGAGACAGTTAATGCTTGATGCGGCTAAGGAAGAGCAGGGAAGCCAGTTTAGCTGGAATTCAGGGAGGGGGAGAAAATGGGGCCACAGAGGTAACTAGCTGGGAGGAGGGATCATGTAGGACTTTATAAATAACTGTACTATGGCTTTGACCTTTCATTGGGATGACTTGGCAATCATTGGAGATTTTTGAAGACTAGTACAAAAGGTCTGATTCATATTTTATAAAATCCCTCTGGTCATTGTGTTGAAAACAGATTGAAGAAGAGACAATGACCAGTGAGGGGATTATTGCAATGATCCACCTAGATGATAATGGTTTGGATCATGTTAGATTCTGGGTATGTTCTGAAGGCAGACTTCGAGAATTTGCTAATGGAAGAGAAAAATATATAACAATCTTAAATATTCTTAGTCACAAGAAACATGGATAGATAAACAAACAAATAAATATACATATAGATAACAGTGAAAATGCAAGTCCCAGTGCTTACAAGACATCATGGGGAAATCTTAAATACAAAATGTTAAATAAAATAATAGTCTGCAGATTCAGCTTTATAGCAAACTAAGTCCTAGAAAAAGAGAGGAGATGTCAAACAGACATAGTGTATGTGAGGTTTCACAAACATTTGGCATGTTTATTTTTTTAAATCTGGAATACTAGGTACATGGGTGTTCATAATAATATTCTTATACCTTTTGAATGTCTGAAATATTTTCTAATAAATAAAAAATAAAATGCATCACAAAAAGGCAAAAAAACTCCTCCATGATTGGTACCAATAATTAAAGCTTTTTGTTTGTATATTTTTCACTGCTTCCTTGCTGTGTTTCAGGGCAGCATTTGGTCTACATTACATAAGCTTCCCCTATCCCCTACTTACTAATATTTTAGGACTAATATTTTCTCTAGGCAGAAAGTAATCATTTTTCCATTTCTATGATGAATGTATTGAATTTAGCTTTTTTGAATATCCACCCAGTTACTCAATGTATTGAATAATCTATCTTTTTACTCACTAATTTAAAATAACTCCTTTATCAAACACCAAATTCCTAATTATCTGTGCCTGTATTAGAGGTACATATAATTTCTAGCCTGTTAATTGATTCTTCTCTGTGAATTCACTAATAGCACACTATTTCAATTATTGTAACTGCACATTATTTTTAAGTATATAAGATAATCCCCTCTCATTATTATTGACCTTGAAAATTTTCCTTGCTTGTCTGATTGCTTCATTTTATCATATAAAATCAGCTTATCTATTTTAAAAAAGAATGTTGTGTTGGTATGATTGTTGGGATGGAATTAAAATAATAAATTTGGATGAAATTGACATCTTTATGTTAGCAACATATTATACCTTCATTTGAATGCTAATTACTCTTTATTTCTGCCACAACATCTCACCCAACACCAATTGCAGCAGAATGTAGCAGTGGAACCACTGAGCCCTGTTGTTTACTTTGTTTTCTGGAGGATTTCTGGTGACTAGAACATGTTCTAAGACATAGTAGATGTTCAAAAATATTTATTTAATGAAAAATTTTATTTTCCTGGTAATCTATGAGATATATGCTTTTACCCCCATTTCACAGATAAAGAAACTGAGGTTCAATGGCTTTGATGATCTTGCCAGCATGGGTAGATCAAATAATTCAACCCAGACACACTGGCTAAAAAGCCAGCACTTTGTTCAGGAACGTCAGTTCTGAGGAGCTCCAACATTCAGTGTGAATGTTGCTGCTGTTTTATTTCCATTCTTGAGGCTACTAGGATATTAAATGCCAAGTTTTTGTACCTTTATTGGTAATGCAGGACATTTTACATCCTATAGATCTATCTAAAAATCATTAATTTGTCTTCAGCTTACAGTTCTATCCCAATTTTCTATTTTTCTTATATCTTACTTTTTATATCTGGGTAGACTTAATTCAAGACTGATTTTGAATGAGGGAGAAATAATTACATAAATAAATAGTACATTTCCAAACTTCTTATAGCGGCAAATCTTTTAATTCTATCACCCAGGTGTGATTTGTACTCACCTATTTGTTTATTCCTTCCTCCATCATCAATTCTTACACCTTTAAAACAGTCCTAACTCACTTCCTTGTTTCCAGTGAATGCTTTCACAAATCCTTTTACAGTAATGTAGTAAGAGTAAATTTCAAAATCTCAAATTATTTCATGTCACTCTGCCATTGAAAATGCTAAAGGGCTTCCTTCTTCCATCTGATAAAGTTAAACTTTGAAAAATTGTCATTACAAAGCCCTGCTCACCTGTTCTATGACTGTCTTTCAGGTTTCATCTGTTACTTCTGTCTGCTTTCTCTTATGCACATCAGCCATTAGAAGTCTTTAATTTGTCCTGAACAAGACACTGTCTCTTATGTCTAGGATTTTCCACAATACTTTTCTCTCTACCTCCTATGGCGTATCCATTCTTGACCCTCAGCTTAATCATTACTTCCTCAGTTTTGCTGTAGTGTACTTCTCCTTTCATAATACTGTAACATTAAATTGTGTTAATTAATTCTTAATATCTTGCTTCCCTGTGAAATAAGCTTTATGAGAAAAGGGATCATGTATTGTTTACCACTATATCCCCAAGACATGACATCGGTTCCGACACAGAGGAAGAGCTTAATATATGTTTTGTTAAATGAACAAAGAATAATCTAACAATGTTCTTCATGCTCAATTACTAAATGTTCTGCTTTTCTAATTATATAATTCCTTTTGCCTTCACCAGAATAATGTTTAGGTCTAATGAATTACTTTCTCTATGATAAATGTGTCATTAGAATTAAAAAAAAAAAAACTGAGTTTCATAATCACTAATGGACATGAAGTGAATTTAATATTATATCAATTTAGTGTTGTAATTAGATAAAAATAGCAGCAATAAAAACATAAGAAATATTATGGACAAAAAGCGTAGAGTGGGAAGCTCATCGAAAATTATGAAAAACCATTTAATAAAGATTTAAGATGTGTTTACAGCAACTAAATGAACATTTAGGAGAAATAAGAGGCTTGTGTAATTACTAACTGTTAACCTTGAGGTACACTCCAACCTCTAAAATAGTATAATCTGTTATCTACTTCATACTCTTGTGAGACTGTTCTACTATATTGACTAGTCATTGAATAGTAAAGAATCCTTCCTAGCCAAGTTTATGTCCACATTTGTTTTCAAAATCATTGCTAGCTACAGCTACTTTTAATGATCTCGGATTTTAAAAAAAGTTAAAAAATAACAGAATATGGAGATGAAACATTATATTTTAAAAAACCAAATGGAGTACAGAAGAACAGTATATGTTTAATATTTGAAAGAATCCCGGCCAGGCACGGTGGCTCACGCCTGTAATCCCAACACTTTGGGAGGCTGAGGAGGGTGGATCTCATGATGTCGGGGGTTTGAGACCAGCCTGACCAACATGGAGAAACCCTGTCTCTACGAAAAATACAAAACAAAACAAAACAAAAAAAATGCCTGGGCGTGGTGGTGCATGCCTGTAATCCCAGCTACTCCAGCCTGGGCAACAAAGGAAAGAAGAGAAAGAAAGAATCCCCTAGATCTCTAGTCTCTCTGAATAAAGGGGCATGCTGTAGAGTTCATGCACCCAACAGCCAATACCAGTCAAGAGAGCCTTAGAAAATTTTTGATGAGACATCTTGGAAGGAAAAGAAGCTTGTGTTTATTATCCTTGACATTTTTATGCCCTCAACAAATGTCTTAATGGAAAAAAATTAAAAGGAAAGGATATTGGAAGACAAGTTGATTGCTTGGGAAAAAGGAAAAAAGCAGTCTAGTGAAGTAAATAAATTACAAATTCCGTGACTTTGTAGCCTTCAGCCATACAATTTCAGATCTCCCATTCCTATCATTTAATAATATTTTAGGCAGATCCCATTTCTTTAAAATCACATTGGAGCTCCATTTAAATCCAACCCAGGCCTATCAAATTTGAAGCTCCAATCTTACCAGCTCAGGCTTGTTCTCCCTGGGCTGTCGCTGCTCTGCAGGCTAATTCTAACTGCCATCATTGTTTTCTATGAAGATGGTAACCACATGATGCCTATCTTATAGAGACATGAAAATGTTTTTCGGGGAGTGAGAGGTGGGCCTCTGTATGACATCACTGGTAAGCAAGAAACTGCATTCCACTCTTCCTTATTTCCTAGCGGTACACCCTATAGACTCTAGCTTCTTCAGCTGCCTCACTTTGTGGAGTAGATGGGGTACTAGAAAGATAGGTCAAACCTTTTTATTTTATTTTTTTATTATTTTTTATTCTTTTATTTTTTTATTATTATTATACTTTAAGTTTTAGGGTACATGTGCACAATGTGCACGTTAGTTACATATGTATACATGTGCCACGCTGGTGTGCTGCACCCATTAACTCGTCATTTAGCATTAGGTATATCTCCTAATGCTATCCCTCCCCCCTTCCCCCAGCCCACAACAGTCCCCAGAATGTGATGTTCCCCTTCCTGTGTCCATGTGTTCTCATTGTTAAATTCCTATCTATGAGTGAGAACGTGTGGTATTTGGTTTTTTGTCCTTGCGATAGTTTACTGAGAATGATAATTTCCAATTTCATCCATGTCCCTACAAAGAACATGAACTCATCATTTTTATGGCTGCATAGTATTCCATGGTGTATATGTGCCACATTTTCTTAATCCAGTCTATCATTATTGGACATTTGGGTTGGTTCCAAGTCTTAGTTATTGTGAATAGAGCCGCAATAAACATACGTGTGCATGTGTCTTTATAGCAGCATGATTTATAGTCCTTTGGGTATATACCCAGTAATGAGATGGCTGGGTCAAACGGTATTTCTAGTTCTAGATCCCTGAGGAATTGCCACACTGACTTCCACAATGGTTGAACTAGTTTACAGTCCCACCAACAGTGTAAAAGTGTTCCTCTTTCTCCACATCCTCTCCAGCACCTGTTGTTTCCTTAATTTTTAACGATTGCCATTCTGACTGGTGTGAGATGGTATCTCATTGTGGTTTTGATTTGCATTTCTCTGATGGCCAGTGATGATGAGCATTTTTTCATGTGTCTTTTGGCTGCATAAATGTCTTCTTTTGAGAAGTGTCTGTTCATATCCTTTGCCCACTTTTTGATGGGGTTGTTTTCTTCTTGTAAATTTGTTTGAGTTCATTGTAGATTCTGGATATTAGCCTTCTGTCAGATGAGTAGGCTGCGAAAATTTTCTCCCATTTTGTAGGTTGCCTGTTCACTCTGATGGTAATTTCTTTTGCTGTGCAGAAGCTCTTTAGTTTAATTAGATCCCTTTTGTCAATTTTGACTTTTGTTGCCACTGCTTTTGGTGTTTTAGACATGAAGTCCTTGCCCATGCCTATGTCCTGAATGGTAATGCCTAGGTTTTCTTCTAGGGTTTTTATGGTTTTAGGTCTAACGTTTAAGTCTTTAATCCATCTTGAATTAATTTTTGTATAAGGTGTAAGGAAGGGATCCAGTTTCAGCTTTCTACATATGGCTAGCCAGTTTTCCCAGCACCATTTATTAAACAGGGAATCCTTTCCCCATTGCTTGTTTTTGTCAGGTTTGTCAAAGATCAGATAGTTGTAGATATGTGGCGTTATTTCTGAGGGCTCTGTTCTGTTCCACTGATCTATATCTCTGTTTTGGTACCAGTATCATGCTGCTTTGGTTACTGTAGCCTTGTCGTATAGTTTGAAGTTAGGTAGCGTGATGCCTCCAGCTTTGTTCTTTTGGCTCACAATTGACTTGGTGATGCGGGCTTTTTTTTGGTGCCATATGAACTTTAAAGTAGTTTTTTCCAATTCTGTGAAGAAAGTCATTGGTAGCTTGATGGGGATGGCATTGAATCTATAAATTACCTTGGGCAGTATGGCCATTTTCACGATATTAATTCTTCCTACCCATGAGCATGGAATGCTCTTCCATTTGTTGGTATCCTCTTTTATTTCATTGAGCAGTGGTTTGTAGTTCTCCTTGAAGAGGTCCTTCACGTCCCTTGTAAGTTGGATTCCTAAGTATTTTGTTCTCTTTGAAGCAATTGTGAATGGGAGTTCACTCATGATTTGGCTCTCTGTTTGTCTGTTATTGGTGTATAAGAATGCTTGTGATTTTTGTACATTGATTTTGTATCCCGAGACTTTGCTGAAGTTGCTTATCAGCTTAAGGAGATTTTGGGCTGAGACAATGGGGTTTTCTAGATATACAATCATGTCGTCTGCAAACAGGGACAATTTGACTTCCTCTTTTCCTAATTGAATACCCTTTATTTCCTTCTCCTGCCTAATTGCCCTGGCCAGAACTTCCAACACTATGTTGAATAGGAATGGTGAGACAGGGCATCCCTGTCTTGTACCAGTTTTCAAAGGGAATGCTTCCAGTTTTTGCCCATTCAGTATGATATTGGCTGTGGGTTTGTCATAGATAGCTCTTATTATTTTGAGATACATCCCATCAATACCTAATTTATTGACAGTTTTTAGCATGAAGGGTTGTTGAATTTTGTCAATGGCCTTTTTTGTATCTATTGAGATAATCATGTGGTTTTTGTCTTTGGTTCTGTTTATATGCTGGATTACATTTATTGATTTGCATATATTGAACCAGCCTTGCATCCCAGGGATGAAGCCCACTTGACCATGGTGGATAAGCTTTTGGATGTGTTGCTGGATTCGGTTTGCCAGTATTTTATTGAGGATTTTTGCATCAATGTTCATCAAGGATATTGGTCTAAAATTCTCTTTTTTGGTTGTGTCTCTGCCCGGCTTTGGTATCAGGATGATGCTGGCCTCATAAAATGAGTTAGGGAGGATTCCCTCTTTTTCTATTGATTGGAATAGTTTCAGAAGGAATGGTACCAGTTGCTCCTTGTACCTCTGGTAGAATTCAGCTGTGAATCCATCTGGTCCTGGACTCTTTTTGGTTGGTAAGCTATTGATTATTGCCACAATTTCAGATCCTGTTATTGGTCTATTCAGAGATTCAACTTCTTCCTGGTTTAGTCTTGGGAGAGTGTATGTGTCAAGGAATTTATCCATTTCTTCTAGATTTTCTAGTTTATTTGCACAGAGGTGTTTGTAGTATTCTCTGATGGTAGTTTGTATTTCTGTGGGATCAGTGGTGATATTCCCTTTATCACTTTTTATTGCATCTATTTGATTCTTCTCTCTTTTTTTCTTTATTAGTCTTGTTAGTGGTCTATCAATTTTGTTGATCCTTTCAAAAAACCAGCTCCTGGATTCATTAATTTTTTGAAGGGTTTTTTGTGCCTCTATTTCTGTCAGTTCTGCTCTGATTTTAGTTATTTCTTGCCTTCTGCTAGCTTTTGAATGTGTTTGCTCTTGCTTTTCTAGTTCTTTTAATTGTGATGTTAGGGTGTCAATTTTGGATCTTTCCTGCTTTCTCTTGTGGGCATTTAGTGCTATAAATTTCCCTCTACACACTGCTTTGAATGTGTCCCATAGATTCTGGTATGTTGTGTCTTCTCATTGGTTTCAAAGAACATCTTTATTTCTGCCTTCATTTCTTTATGTACCCAGTAGTCATTCAGGAGCAGGTTGTTCAGTTTCCATGTAGTTGAGCGGTTTTGAGTGAGTCTCTTAATCCTGAGTTCTAGTTTGATTGCACTGTGGTCTTTTTAAACTATCGGTTGTGCTTCAGGAAACTCACGCGCAAGAGTATGGGCTGCTCCACAGCAGTCTCTACTCCCTTACTTGTCATCTCCCTGACTTGCCATCTCCTTCTCTTTTTCCCCTCATGGTCAAATAATCTCAGGAAACTACATAAGCAGATGTCTAACTGGCAAATGAGATATTAGTTCCTACTGCAGGCAGACATCCTATTTTCCATGAGTAATAAGTAATTTTTTTGGACCTCATCTCACTGGGCTGGGGGTGGATGCATAACCACTGTGCTCCTCTATCTGTCACCCTCTCCGATCATCTCTTTTTATAGAAGGGTAAGAAGATTAGCAAATAAAATACTTGAATCATTTTTGTCCTCAGTTTTGGATTATAATCACCAAACCTGGGGCAACATGAAGGTTCCTCTCAGCATAGTAACTATTGGTTAGAAAAAAACAAACCGCAAAAAAGCTGTTTGTTCCCTTCTGTTTATTGTTTCCAAGGTAAAGATATTATCTGTTCCATTAACTTTTGGATTGTGTGTAAATCAATTTGTACAATTTTTTAAAACACGAGTTGCATATTTCTCACTTAACAATGATTGCATTTTCAAGGCAAATGGGTATTTATTGGCAGAAAGAATTAACTCACATATTAGTCTACTATACTTCAAAATAATCAACCAAGTGGAATAAGGGCTGTTAGCTAATAAGTAGTTGGATCTGTTTTTTGCGGAAATGTATTTCAATACAGACCTCTGAATGCAGTAAAAGAACCTTATATAGTTTTGTTTTTAAGAGTTTCCCCACATCAGTTTTTCCAAAGGGAGAAATAAAGGATTTAATTGGAATTTCCTGTCCTAGATACAATATTTTGAAGTCTTAATATGTTGCATACTCTGTTCTTATTTCAGGATATGCTGTACTACCCTGTTCAGTAAAGTAGTCCCACTTTAATAAAATAGCACAAAATCTTATTATACTGATGACTTCCTACGTTTTTATGAACCTGTATGTTTTTGTGAAATTCATATTAATAGATGTTAGAAAGTAGAATTTATTTTTTTTAATTTTCATATTTTCTTTATGTATATAAGAATGCCATCACACTAGAGGTAAACTAAAGAAAAGCCTTGGTGTTATGAAGCACTGCCTTTAAAATTGTAAAATATAATCATTAGTGGGAGTCTACCTCTTTCACAGCATTGTTTTAAGCACCTCTACACTGTAATCCTTGGATTTAGTTTGCTAGTACATTTTGTTCTCTTTGATCCTAAATAATGTAGCTAAACAGATGATAAATAATTTACTTCAGATTCACCAAAATTGACACAGATTTTCATATTAGTTACTTTTATATATTTATATTTATTATCAAACTAAGTTATCTTTGCATCAATGGGAATAAAGAGCACCTTGTCACAAGATAACTTTAATATATAATTCATTCTCCACCATGTAGTAAAAGTGTTTACATATATATAACTACAGAAATTTTTGCATATACGTAACTGTAGAAATATTTTGACATTTTTGGGAAAGAATTTCATTCCAGTTTGTACTTAAATAAGATTAATGAGTTAAATATAAATTTCTTTATTGATATTCTATTTTGAAGAAGATAAGAAAATGTATTAATTCACTATATTGATTGCAAGGAGATTTTAAAGGTCTAAAATAAGTCACCAAAGGGTTTAAATCTAATTAAAATTAATGCACTTTATTTAATTCCATAATCTATGGAAATAATGTCCATTTGGTTGCAATCAGTTTGTTGTTTGTATACTTCCCAGGGTGTTTTTTTGCACTCATGAATTACATTATTTCACAATTATTGCAAACTTTATTTAAAAATTAAAATATTTAAATGGTATTACAATTTTGCTTTTACTATCAATGTTAGGAATCCACAGTTTAGCCACTGTAGGTCAAATAAATAATTCTGACAAATCGTAGCCAGTTTCATTGGAAAGGTAAATATAATTTACGGTACGGGGGTATGTGGGGTACACAGAAGCTTCCAAAACAGATGAGTTTACAAAATAAACAGCTAACACATAACTATGTATTATATGAACATTTATTCTTGTAAGTCTGCAGATAGAACTGACTGTACGGATGCAGAATATCTAGAAAGAAAAGTACTTGAGAACTCCAGATAGAAGTAATAAAAAAAAAAAGACACCTTGGTCTACTAGGAAGATGCTTATGAATTCCAATTCTTGAACAGCAGAACTGCCCCAACATTGTAGGTCACCAAGCATCAAATTAGAAATCTGAGTTCTAAGATTAAAAGTTGCAGACACAATATAAAGCATGGTAATCAATTTTCTACCACCAGGTGGAACCGGAAAGCTGTTTGCCATTTTCAGGATAAGAAAAATGGCCATCAAAAGTGGAGAGAATAGGAAAATGCTAAATAGTTTTCAAGCATTATTGACAGTGATCATAAACAATGAACACCATTTTGAAAGGCATCTACTTCAATGAGAAATAAAAAAAGGTGCCAAAGTTAGATTTTAAAAGTTGATTGTACATGAAAGTAGCTTAAATTCACTGCCCTTAACGTTGGTTTCTCCTTCAATAACTCTCAACGGGTTTTTTGAAGTGTTCATTTAATTCCTGTTACCACCACACACAAAAAATACCCTAAAATTGTGTTAAGACTTTTCATCTACTTTTTAAACTGTCAGGTGAAAAAATAAATTCACTTGTAATACTGGAGCTGCATTCTCAGCTCTTTAACTCCATTATTAAATAAGTTATATCTCACTGATTTTCAACTGTTCTACTTCAGCATTAATAAAATTTTATAGCTACATTGTACTTTCCCCTCTCTCACACAGATCACAGCCTGCTTGCTTAGTGAATACCATATGCTTCGCTTCTATTCAAGTGCTTCATGCCATTGTGCATTTATATTACATTGCTATATCTGTACCTTTAGTTTAAAACATTGTAGTGAATTTCCCAGGCAAGATATATTCCATAAATATTAATACTTAGACATGTAGGAACTTACAAAGCTCCTATTGCTGTTATTTACATTTTATCATTTGCCCTTTAAAATAATTATAACTAGGACATTTCTGCTGTCTCTCCATGTTGTCATTTGATTTCTTCTCAAGTAATTAATTCTTACCATAACTAAAAATAATCTTCATTAGTAAAATAAAACCATTAGGGGAAATTTGTAATACATTCCAAATACATATAAAAGCAATATTAAATTTCATCCTGCCCTGCACTTAGTCTGAGTAATTGTCTATTAATCAGACTATTGGTCTGATTTGTGATCACAATGTATTCAAGCTTATATTCCCCAAAGTCCTAACATGGTACCTTACATAGTATGGATGCATATGATGATTATTTATAAAATGACTAAATAAATGACCAAACCATAATAATGTTTTAACTCTTAATTAAATGCTATTTTCTCATTCATAGCTTAAATTTTGATCAAAAAAAATTAACAACACATGCTTCCAAATCCTGAGCTTACTTCAGAGAGTTTTAAGGTATCTCTTAATAATATGTTACCACATTTACTACCCTATTATTGTAGGTACTACCTATTGACCTCCTCCTGTAAGATATAACAGAAAAGAATTTTTTCACAGTGAATTTCCCCAGAGTTGCTTATATAATCATATTGCTATTTTTAATTTCTATTTTTCAATGTTCTGACTCTAGTGTCTACAGAGCAAATTTAGTAAAGTAAACACATAAGTCAGGCCAGATATAGGATATAAGGAGTGTTCAGACTTGTGGTGAATTGGTTGTTGGATGTCTACTGAACCGCAAATTCGAAGAAAACAATTCAAAAGGAAAAAAAAAATGCTGACACCATGTTGGCAGCCAAATAAAACTTATCTACTGGTAGAATTTGTTTCATATGCAATCTCTGATTTACTAGGTACTTTTTAACTTACCATACTTAAAATTATGTTTCACTAACTATAGACAGAGTCTTGATTTTCTATTTTGGAACCTGGGGATGATATTAGCTACCCTCTTCATTTCCATATCTTCTCATTTTTATTTCAATATTTATTTGTTAAATCTTGAACATCGTTGAAGTTGTAAATATTGGTGTTTTGTTTATTAGCTATAAGTCTATGACTTCAGATTTAAAGTAGAGAGCCTGTGAGCAGTGATTACATTATTATGCGGATTGCAATAGAGTTCATTGAGAGTCAAGTGGAGGGCTTCAATTATATGACCTTATCTGCAGTTCCCTGAGTTATCCAGAAAGAATGTTCAAATAATTTCTCTTTACTTACTGACTACTTATTGCTCTATATTATGACATGTTTTAATTTGCTTTATCATAAACTCTTTATTTCTTGGAGTTTATGGTTTTGTTTTCCAGCTGGGAGAAAAAACAGATGCATTCCATTTGATATGTTGTTTTTAATTTATTCCAATCCCTTGTGGAGACTGAGTGCCTGACTTTTCTAATTTGGACCCCTTTTCAGTGGTAAATTTTAGGAATCATTGGTTCTAGCTGTGGTGCAGACATGTGGCCTGGGTTCCAGCAGTCAGATACAAATATAGGTGTTTGTTTTGGAATTGAGCTAAGGGAGGAAACAGGCAGGGTGGGAGGCATCCATTTTGTTGCAATGGATGGCTAGTAGAGGTAGTATTGTTCTGGGGGCTTTTAGAGGCCAAAGCTCCTTTATCTGGTTAGTTGCTTGGTGTGGTAGTGGGAATTTTTTATGCAAGTTTAACATAGAGAGTAACTTTATTGCTTTCCCAATGACTCTGTGACTATATTCCTTTATATTTCTCTTTATACTTAAAACTAGGCAATGGGTAGTCTTGTCTAAAGTTTAAAAGCTCTAATCAATACTGAATTTCTTTTTCCTCTTTCCTTTTCAGAAAATTTTCTTCATCATTAGTGTTTTTATAATTTGGCAGTGCTAAGTATCTAAGAGTGGTTCTTTTTTATTTATTACGACTCACACTCAGGAGACCCTAACAATTTACAGGCTTGAGTCTCTCCTCTTCTCTTATAATTTCTAACTATCATTTTCTCTAACCTCTCTTGGTGGAGCTGCTACCAAAGCAAATATCATCTCTTCTGGATTGATCTCCTGTGCTTCTAGTCTTTTTGCTTGTATATTCCAACTCTGCATTTTTATCTAAAATCCTAAATATTTCTATGAGATTATCTTCCAAAACAATTTTTTTTTTTAAATTTCAGCAATCACTCTTTTAATTTCAACAGGTCTTTCCTCTCCATTTCTCCACCACAACTCCTGTTCTGTTTGAATCTTGCTGGGAATAATAATTATCATTATTTTATTTTGGATTTCTGTATTTATTTGTTATGACCCTTTTATCCCCTTAATACTGAAGACAAAATCAGCACCTCCAGAATCATGTTCAACAGAAATTTAAGTTAAATATTTAAGCCTGTGGAAAAACAAAATCCATAAGATTTTATTCCTTTGAATAATCATCACCACCCTTTATAATACTTCAAAATAGTCTTCTAAATTATTGTTTATACTACTCTACTTTTCAAATACATGCTTGAATCTCTTTTTAATGTACTTTGTTTTCACTTACTGAAACTCCTTGTTTTGAAAATATATATTTGACTCTCTTTTTAAATATTATAGTTTTGATTTTTTTAAACAAATCTATGTTTACTAATGAGTGTAAGTAACACCCAACCTTAGCTATAGACCCAAAACAATTTCAGTACAACAGAACAGAAGTTGTTGCTCTCCTTTGGCTGGATATATTTCTCTCATCTCATCCTGCATGCTGATATTCAGCAAATAACAAGAGCCATATTTCAAATTTCGAGTACAAGATATAAGGACATTAAATGGATTCCTTTGTCTGTGAATATGATGTGTTAAATGGTAGGTTTTACCATATAGAAAGCAAAAAGAAATTAGACTACTCAATCTGGGGCCTCTCAAATACCAGATTATAGAGAACTGGAACCCAGCTCCAAATTATCTGCTAAGGTGGACTTCGTTTTATTTAAATTATTCTAGGAAAAGTTTTATTTTTCCCGAATGATAAATGTCTAGCCAGACTTAACTGCAGGGAAATAGTACTGTGATTAATGAAAGAGGTGTAAGTCATCGTTCAATATACATAACTTGAATTAATATTTGCCCTCTTTTTCTAGGCACCTTGTACCCTCAAAGTTTCATCGGGGACTGGCATTTTGTCTTACTATATCACCCTTTAAAGAAAGTCTGGGCCGTGATTTCCAACAGAAAATATTGCTTTGTTTACTTTCCATCTCCCAGAAATTCATTCAATTCTCACTTCTTCTATTTATTTTTCATCAATAAAAGCTTATAATTTATTAAAAATTTCTTTTTCCTTGTATCAATGGAGTCTCATGAGAGAGAGCAGATAAATGCATATGGTTCATAAACTACTTGGAACCAGGGCATAGACCCAAAGAATAAATCATCTCAATCTTTAGTGCATCTTATTTCATTTATTTAACTAATATTTGTTGAAGATGCATGTGTGAAAAACATTATGGAAGGTTTAAAGATAAGCAAGATATGTTCTCTATATTGAATGAAATTACAACCTCATAAGTAAAGAAAAAAATGAATAATACCTGCTCTGGCAGAACATAGTAAAATCTATGCAAGTTCATAGAAGGAAGAAATCACACTGAATTAAGGAGATTAAAAATATTCATGAAGAGATAGAATTTTTGATTTAACAAAACCTTCTAGGAAGGCAGAGGAAACAGCATTAAAAAAAGATGTAGAAGGCGGAAACCACAAAGTATATTTAGGATCATGTAATTTGGAGTACATGCTATATATAAGAGAATCAAGAGATAAGGATACAAAAATAAATTAGTACTAGAGCATAGACAGCCTTAAAGAATTAAGGCAGATATATTTAAATCTAATTTAATAATGAATGCTGAACTATTAAACACTTTCCAAGCATGGGACTGCCAGACAAGGGTCAACATCCAGATTCCTCAAAATATGTTTAATAGAATACTTGTTCCTGTTGACCTTTTAATGAGTCTGCCTAGGAAAACATTTCTCAGTCAAGTAGATTTTGGGATACATCAAATAAAATGCCTTTCCATATAGATTTTTAATACACATTGCCTTATATTTTTTAAAAAGTAAGATTAAGAACTTACTTTTTTATTATTTACTATTACTATTATTTTCTTTTCCTGTGATTACCTCCACTCAGATCTCCAGCCTTGTAGTAGGTTTTTTTTTGTTCTTGTTTGTTTGTTGCCACAGGAGAAATGGAGAAAGGACAACTGGGGATTGCATATCATCTTTCTTAATTCCCACGACTAAAGAAGCAGGCTTCTGTGGAAATGGCAGAATTATTTGCATAGAGGCAACAATAGCAGTTGGTAAATGTGTTTCAGTAGAACCCATGGTGTCCCCACCTCCAGGGTGTTCCTCAGCCAAGTGTGTCCCCCAACAATTCATATGTTGAAGCCCTATCCCCCACCCAGTATGTCAGAATATGACTGTATTTGGAAATGGGCTCTTTGAGATGTGATTAAATTGAGACTGTTGAGGTGGGCCCTATTACAATCTGACTGGTGTCTTCCGAAGAAGAGGAAATTTGAACACACAAAAGACATCAGGAATGTGGGCGCAACAGAGGAAACCCCATGTGAGGACACAGCGAGAATACAGCCATCTGCAAGCCAAGGAGAGAGGACTGGGCAGAAACCAAACATTGATCTCGGACTCCTAGCCTCCAGAACTGTGGAAAAAATAAACTTCTGTTGTTTAAGCCACCCAGTCTGTGGTAGTTTTCTATGGCAGCACTAGCAAACGAATACTATGGCCGCAAAGATCCATGTAAGTTAGAGCAGAATAGTGCAAGGTGGGAGAGTTTTAGAAGAGCAAGTATTAACCATTATGTAGTATCCTGATGAAGTGAAATTCATATCCTACAGAGGAAAGAAAGGGAATGATATGGGATAGAAGTAAGAAAAAGGCCTTTCCATGTTTGGAAATCCACTCAGCAGAAAGTTCCACATTTCTTCCCAGGACATAGTTAGTTGAACAGCAGCCTATGGAGCGGATATGCAGGGGCATGAAGTAGGTTAAAAGAACCGGTTGAGTTAGCCAGATAAGAATCACCACAAGCAACGCCCTCTCCAACAGACACCAGACACACACACACACACACACAAAGCATCCTACACTCCCTGCCCACACAAACAGAGGAAGATGAGAGTTTGCCATAGATAGTGTCTGTATATATCTTTCTCATACATCCATTGATGAGGTAATGGATATGTCCCGAAGGTTACCTGAGGGAGCCTAAGGAGACACCAGAATGATGCAATTAGACAGCCAGAGATGACTGAGAAGCAGTTGGATCCCAGGAGCCCATTCATAAAAAAGCTCTGTGAAGTAGTAAGTAGGGCAGATGTGTGTCCTCAGAACAAGCAGTAGGCATTGGACTTATGGCTCACCAGGAAGCTTGCCAGAAGATGACATTAGCTGTTGTCAGCAGCTAGATAATAAGTAGCTACACTGTCTACCTGAGAAGTTTATGAGACCAGAATGAGTCATGGACCCATTGATAAAGGGCGCTTCCCCACTTTGCTGCAGTCAGAAAGTCACCAGGTAGCTGGTGGTGTGGGGTAATAGGAGTGGGAAGGAGATGTGGGGTTTGGAAAAGAAGTCTGTTAATACTTTCAAATCTGACTGAAACCACTCAAAAACATACTTTAATCTATTAATGAAAACAGAGGCTCAGATTTAAGAAAGTTATATCAAATAAAGTTCAAGTTGTATATGCCAACTAACAATTAGCAAATTTATAGCAATCAATCACATTAAGACTTTAAATTGTGTGTGTGTTTGTGAGTGTGAGTGTGTGTGTGTGTGTGTTTCACTCTAAAGGGAAATCAAAATGCCTCTCATCCTCACTGGTACTCTATTTTATCCACCTAAGGAGGAGGGTGATGGACTAGATTTGCCAGGTTACAAAATATAGTTCTCTGTCACAGTTTTTGAGTGTGAAACTTCCAAGGGAACTAAAAATAGTTCATTTGAGCATGCTCCCCCACTTTTTTTGTTTGTTTGTTCTTGCTTTCTTGCAGTCAGTGTGGTAATTATAATCCCTATTACTTTTGAGAAACTTTCTCCTCCTCCCTCATGACCGCTGATTCCCTGGGGCTTCTGTGAGGAGTTTAGGATTAAAGGGAAACAAAGTCTTCCTGTCTTCCTGTCATTACCTCCTTCCTTGCTTTCCTCCTGCCTTGTGGTCTTTCTCAGTCCTTCTTTTCTGGTGATGATAAATGACAATGGATTTTTATTTTCCCTTATCACAGTGTTTAGAATTGGAGATTCTGGATGCCGGAGCATGACAGACAAGGAAGATCTCATGGCTAATTTGCATCTGAGTTCATTAGCCTAATGGTCAGAGAAACATTGAAGGCTTCTGTCTGGTGTAGTTCAGATCCTTAAAAGTTCTGCTTGGAATTTGGGTTCAAGGCAGTAAGAGAAAAAAGCATTGCTTTACCTGACATTTGCTGGCCTTTCTTTTCTTCCAAATACATACTTTCATAAAGGTTTTGCTGAGGGAAATCCTCCAGTCAAAATACTATCTCCAAATATTTAAAACCTCCTCGAGTTAAGCTAAAATGTTTTAAAATAAAGTTTTAATTCCTCAGTCTTTCTTTGTTGAAGACTTGAAATTTTAAAGAGTTTCAGGCAGTCATTTTGTAGGATGCTCTCAATATTTCACATGATTAGAAAATGTTGGCAGGAATACCAAAGTAACTTCTTAGTGCATCATATGAAAGGCAACATGAAAACATCTTTATTGATTGTGGTTATCTTGATCCCTTGGTTTAGATGGTGTCTCCCAGGTTCCTCCATGATAAAGTTACAAATTTTCCCTTAATAGTTATTAACTATTTTAGGGAGGCATGTCAAAAGCACACAATTATACTAGTTCTCCTCAAACTTTCACCCCTAATATTAGTACTCATTGAGGAGTCACAATTATTACTGTAGTGTTTGCCTAATGGTGACTTCATATTTTTCTCTTTCCTTCTATATTTATTAGAATTCTTCAGTAAGAAAGAGCTATGCCTTATCCCTTATTTACTTATTTATATTAGTATGGACTACTGGATGTTTATTTTATTTTATGGGCTAAAACCTAATATCATTATTTATTTTGTGGCCCAAAAGATTCCATCTTAGCCCATTAGGACTTCCTTCATGTTGTTTCTTTTGACCAGCCCCCATATAATTCTGAGCAATTCCTTACTTTCTGCCACCACAACATTTTTCAGGCTTATCTTGTATTTTCCCTGCCCCATTCCTGGAATCAACCAATACTCCAAGGAGCCCTGGATATTTATATTGGAGGATGATGTTTACCAATCAAGATCTGAGCCTTAAGTGTTGCTAGGATTTGAATATGTTCCCTAAAGTTCATGTGTTGGAAACTTAATGCCCAATGCAACAGTGTTGGGAGGTGGGGCCTAATAAGGCCTTATTAGTTCATAGGGCTCTGCCTCATAGAATGGATTAACATCCTATGGCTGGAGAATGGGTTTGTTATAAACATGAGTTCACCCTCCTCATTAGCTCCCTTTACACATACTGTCTTGGCCTTCTGCCTTCTGCCATGGGATGACACAGCAAGAAGGCCCTCACAAGATTCTGGCCCTGAATTTTGGACTCCCCAAGAAAATAAATCTGTCTTTATAAATTACTCAGTCTCAGGTATTCTGTCGTAGCAACACAAATTTACTAAGACATGTTTGCTCATTGCTACTGAGATGTCATTGCCTCTGTTCTGTCTCAGAGACATGGCCAGGAATTGTAAGTATATATACTAGCAAACATACATAGAGGCACATCTGTATTTCTGTATCTATCTTTTTTGTTTATATACATTGAAAATCATGAGTTTATACTGATTCCAATCTCATCCACAAGAACTGTCACAAATTGGAGGAGGTTAAAGAGAAATAACAACTAAAGGCAATGCAGGATCTTAGAGTTGTGGAACAGAAAATAGACATTAATGAAAAAAAATAAAATTCAAATAAGGCCTATAATTTAGTCAATAGTATTGTATCAGTGTTAACCCCTTCTTTTGATAATTGCACTATGATTATAAAAGATAAATGTTAAGGGAAGTTTATGTATGGAAAGCGTATGTGTGAACTCTACTGGTTTTCCAAATTTTGTGTAAGTTTAAAATTGGTTCAAATTAAAAGGTTTTTAAAATGTCATTAAAATATGTTTAACCTAATATTTCCAAACTTCCTTGAATACGTAATTTTATTTTTCAGGAAAGGTATTAACACCCATCCAAAAACAATAATTTTGCCTTGTAACACAAATTTGGCAACCATATGAAATTACAGAATCACTTTTTATACAGCATACACACAAATTAATTACATTGCATTTTGGCTTAATGTGTTTCTACTGTGGCTGCAGATTTTGCAAAATTATTCAGCAATCTCTCTGGTGAAATAGTTTTTTGAGGAATCCTAAAATTCCCTTAAGCTTAAATGCTCATGATAGAAAACTGAATAAAACCACCTTTCTGTAATTTTACACTTAGCAATTGAATACAGGCATAATGAAATCTTGAAAGCTAAGCAAACAAATGTAAATCAGGTATTCTGTTTTTCTTTTCTATTTTTAAAGATACCAATTACTTTGAACACAACAGATAAACTTAACAGCTAATGTTTATAAGAATTTTCATTTCACAAAGAGCATTGCAGCAATATCTAGATCTGCTGTTTGAACTTGTTTGTGAAAATAACATACTTTCCCAATAAGTTAATGAAGAACTTCTTTTGAAATAACCACCTCTGAGGAACATATTTACAATGTTGCAACTTTTTAAAATTAATTCTGCGCCATGTAAAAGCAAATTTGCTTCCCCTTACTTTTAATATATTTATAAAATATAGCATTGGAATTCTTAAATCTTTTCATCCATTCAGAGTACTTCAAATATACATTCATATCATAGACCAACTGATTAGTATTTGGAACCTTCTCTTTCTTTGGTCTCATAAATCAAAATAACGTTATTTCAAAATATCCTTGTAATAATGTGTTATCAGTATTTGAATCTAATAGCAACTATTATTTGCTTATACTAATAGAAGTTAACAATTATTTTCTCTGATACCTATATTTTAATCTTTATGTCTTCTGATTAATTTTCAAATAAATTTGTCTTATTTAAGGCCTCTTCAATAATTCTTTCTTCAATTCTTTATATTGTTCATTTCAAATGGTCACTAAAAACATACACCTTTTAAGCAGACAAAAGAGTTTTATACTTCCTGTAACTCATGGTGGCTTTCTTCTATAAAAATCTTCTATGACTGAATAATATATCACTTGAAAATAAAAAGGTTCAACATTATAGGTATTTAAATCACCTTTTTCTCAAAATACCTTTAATCCTAATTTCTGTAATATTTAAGGCATTGAATCAAAAGATTGGCCATGGTTAAAAACATGTTGTCGCTGTTCTTGCATCCTGTTATCTATTTGTTTGTTAATGTCATTGTTCCAAAAAAAATCTAAATAAAATTATGAACATTTATTCTCTTATAGTCATGAAATTGTGATGTTTTGGTATAGGCTTAGGAATATTCTGATTTAGATATAAAATACAAACATGCAAGGCATGGGACTTTTTCTTCTACTCCATCACAAATACAACATGTGGTTCTGGGTATCCTGTTTTGTCTTCTCCTGTCTCTCTCAAACTGCCAATTTTGACACCAAATTAAAAGATTGACTCTTACTTGTATAGATTCTGACTGATATAGATTAACAAAGCCAATGAGACAACTAAAGACCAATTACTATGGTTGGGCATGGCTACATAATTTTCAAAGTAATCCTGTGAGTTGACTTCATCCAGTTTCAAGGCTTTAAATGGGGTTTATATGGTCATGACAGCCAAATTTGTATGTTCATCAACATTCTTATAATGGCCTAGGAGACGCTACATGACCTGGCCCATTGTTTCTTTTCAGATCTCAACTTTTACTACCTTTCTCTTCCTTCACTCTGCTCTATTTATGCATGTCTTCTTTATTTACTTATTTATTTAATTATTATTTTTTTTTTTTGAGACAGAGTTTCGCTCTTTTTGCCCAGGCTGGAGTGCAATGGCGCGATCTCAGCTCACCGCAGCCTCTGCCTCCTGGGTTCAAGGGATTCTCCTGCCTCAGCCTCCTGAGTAGCTGGGATTACAGGCATGCACCACCATGCCAGGCTAATTTTGTATTTTTAGTAGAGATGGGGTTTCTCCATGTTGATCATGCCAGGCTCAAATGCCTGAACCCACATGATCTGCCTGCCTCGGCCTCCCAAAGTGCTGGGATTACAGGCGTGAGCCACCACACCCGGCTTTTGCTTGTCTTCTTGATGTTCCTCAAGTCATCAGATGTGCTTGCATCTCAGAGTCTCTGCTTTTCCTTTTGCCTGGAAAACTTATATCTCAGATATGTGCATAATTATTACTTTAATTTGCTCAGGTCATTGTAAATACCAACTCCTTGATGAAGTCATACAATGACTGTATCATTTAAATTAAACCCACTGCTACATCCTTGTGCTCTTCATTGCCCTTCCCTACTTAATTTTTCTCCATAGCACTACTGCCAGCAGAAATATTTGTATTTTACTTGTTTATTATTGTTTATTTTGTCTCTCCAATTAGAATAAAAACTCCCCAAGAGCAGAGATTTTTCTGGTTTTTTAAGAACACCTGAAATCATTCTGTCACACAGTGAATATTCAATAACTAATTGCTAAATAAGTGAATAAATAAATGGATTAGGTAAAAATTATTATCTCAACTTTCCATATAATATGATTGAAAATTAAGTGGAGTAGGTTGGTTCAATGTTAATTGGGTTTGGCAGTTAATGAGTCAACCATTTCTGTCTGCCAAAACCAGTGTTCTTTCCTCTATGCCACATTTCCTTCCTGAATTTGCAACACGCCTACTACAAAACAGAAAGAATTTTGTTTGTGATTAGGATTTGTGATTCCTGAAGAGTATAATTTCAGCTGCTGCTTTACTGAGATAAATTTCTTTATCATACATTTTATAATAATAATCATATGACTTGTTTTGGTTTGTGACAGGAAACATTAAAATTCAGGTAAAGAACTATAAAAAAAAATCATGTAGTAACTATACCATAGGTATACGTAATATTTATTTTAGCAGAATGATTGCATCACCAAATTTGAGCTCTCTCTTTAATGACTGTCAATGACCTTCGTGGTACTTCACATGTAAAACTTAGGTGATCTCAGTTATTTGTATGATTCAATATATTCCCTTCTAAGATCCTTTGATTTACCATTTCGTTCGTATGATATTTAATCTAATGATTTTTAAAAAGTAAACATCCAATTCTAAATAAATGTATGCATATGTTTGTATGTAAATATATGTGTAGATGTATATGTACTTTATAAATATTTACATAACTAACAGATACAACTAGAATCAAGCCTACATTTGAATATGTGAAATATATCCTTTATGCAAAATATGAAAGCATAGTTTCTTTGCTATGTATAATTTTTAATGATAATCACAAATCTGTGACAAAATGACAGAAACTGTATTGACTACTCCAAAATGTTTTATAAACCACTCTTCCCTTGCCTTTCTCTATTAAAAAGCTATAAATCTAAAATACTTAATGTTTCAGGATGCTTGAGATATGTCTGGAAACATGTGACAGGGCTCTGACCAATTATATGTTAAAAGGCAATGAGTGGGACTCATGGAAAGCCTTAAATATAGCCTCAGTTGGCAATAATCTGCCCCTTTGACATTCTTCCATCTTCTTACCTAGAAGACTAGCCTGAAGCAGAGAATGCATTTTACGATTACAATAAGAGAATCCTGAAGGGTAAAGACTATAGGGTAAAGATGTTGGAATAAGAAAACAGAACAACGTGCTCTGATGACGTCACTGAGTCAGATAGCCTGCTCTGGATGCTGAACCCATAGTTTTTAAGGTGTAAACTAAACACCACCCCTACTTTCAGTGAGATATTACATTACATGGGGCAGAACACATTTTTAACTAATGCAATATTCCTTATTCCACAGAAATAAAATTAGTGTAAATCACCACTTGCCTCACCCATTACTTCCTAAGGAATAAATGATTTTCCCTTTATCATGCAGAAGCATTCCAGTCTCCGGATCTCATCCTTTACTCCCTCACTGCGTTTTCAATCTCTTTTTCTTTAGTGGTACTTAAAATTTAAACATTAAAAGCAAACAAAAATAGATAAATACTTGTGTACATAGAAAAAGCTTTCCTTAACATTTCTGTGCAATAGGACTTCCATTATTTTTCTTTCTTCGATTAATGAACAAACCTAATGAAGTAGCAATCTCCAACCACACTTCATTTCTTATCATTCCTTAATTTGTTCATATTTTCTCACAATAAGAAAATCCCCATTGTAGAAATTGTTTTTTCAGAAGTCCTCAGAGAACAGCCTCCAAAATGCTTGCTCAGTCTTAATCTAGAATCATCTATGTTGTTAACAATCCAGTTCCTTTTAGAAATCCTATCTCAGTGTTATTTTATTATGCTATACTATATTTGCTTTCCTTTTCTTCACTCTATTTCCTAGAATTAATAAATTCCTAGAAAATAGTCTCAAATTGTCATTTCTCCCAAATCCCTACTACTTCCTCCTTCACATTTGTGAGCCTGACTGGCACGATCCACCACCTCAGGAACCAAGCGTGCAGCAATTCCTACCACATTATGTCTTCATCAGAAAGCAAATACATCCAATATCAAACCACTTTTCCTTCTGCCAACTATGTACTTCATTATTTTCTACTGTCCAGTGTCAATAAGTGAGGAGATTTTCTTTTTTTCCCCCTCTCTCTTTTCTACACTCATATCTAATCAGTGGCAAACTTCTGTGAATTCTAACTAAGCAGTATTTTTCTTATCAATTCTCTCTTTTTCTTACCCCTCGATTATTACTGAGGTGAAAAAGATTACCTCATGGATGGGACTAATTAAGTATTGTGAAAACAAATTGAAAGACAAAGAAAATGAATTGCTAAATTTTTAAAATTCTGATAAAGCTGAAATGTAATCAGGATGGGCCAGTTGAATGTTAACAAACTGGACTGATAATCCAGCATTTCCTTGTGGAAATCATTATAGTCCATGTTCAAAGGTGATTTTTTCTAAAGAATAAATTTTTTTTTATTTATTTTTGTTTTTTTATTATTATACTTTAAGTTTTAGGGTACATGTGCACATTGTGCAGGTTAGTTACATATGTATACATGTGCCATGCTGGTGTGCTGCACCCACTAACTCGTCATCTAGCATTAGGTATATTTCCCAGTGCTATCCCTCCCTCCTCCCCCCACCCCACAACAGTCCCCAGAATGTGATGTTCCCCTTCCTGTGTCCATGTGATCTCATTGTTCAATTCCCACCTATGAGTGAGAATATGTGGTGTTTGGTTTTTTGTTCCTGCGATAGTTTACTGAGAATGATGATTTCCAATTTCATCCATGTCCCTACAAAGGACATGAACTCATCCTTTTTTATGGCTGCATAATAATCCATGGTGTATATGTGCCACATTTTCTTAATCCAGTCTATCATTGTTGGACATTTGGGTTGGTTCCAAGTCTTTGCTATTGTGAATAATGCCGCAATAAACATATGTGTGCATGTGTCTTTATAGCAGCATGATTTATAGTCCTTTGGGTATATACCCAGTAATGGGATGGCTGGGTCAAATGGTATTTCTAGTTCTAGATCCCTGAGGAATCACCACACTGCGAAGGACATGAACAGACACTTCTCAAAAGAAGACATTTATGCAGCCAAAAAACACATGAAAAAATGCTCACCATCACTGGCCATCAGAGAAATGCAAATCAAAACCACAATGAGATACCATCTCACACCAGTTAGAATGGCAATCATTAAAAAGTCAGGAAACAACAGGTGCTGGAGAGGATGTGGAGAAATAGGAACACTTTTACACTGTTGGTGGGACTGTAAACTAGTTCAACCATTGTGGAAGAATAAATTTATTTTCATTGAGAATAAACTTATTTTTGACAAGATTGCCAAATAAATAAAAATGCTAATTTAATCAACAATAAGACATACCACTGCCAAGAGCACAGAACACTCAAATGTAAATAAAGTGAGCGGGTCTGAAAAATGAGGAAAAAAATTGAGAAGCATTAAAATACAGAATAAACTCTCTAAAAATATAAATTACACAGTTCTATGAAGTCATCTAATTTATTTATGACTGACAGATCAGCTAGAACTGGAATTAACATAATAACAAATAGAAAAAGAAAATGTTATATTGTAAGAGTTTTAATCAGCCTTGGGAATTGTATTAGTCAGAGTACTGGGTAAGTTGCTGGAGAGACCACTTCATGCCCACTAGGATGGTTATGATAAAAAAAAGCGCGGATAATTACGAATACTGCTGATGATGTAAAGAAAGTAGCATCCTGATATATTGATGATGATAATCAAAGTGCTATTGGAAAAATATTCTGACAGTTCCTAAAGAAGCTAAACAGAGTGACCATACGACCCAGCAATTCTACTCCTAGATATAGACGCAAGAAAATGAAAGCCTATGTTACACAAAAACCTTTTCACAAATGTTAACAGCAGCATTGTGAAAATGTTAGAAGCAACCCAAATACCCACCAACTGATGAGTGGAAAAATAAAATGTGATATATCCATGCAATGGAATATTATTCAGTTGTAAAAAGGAATAAAGTGCTGGTGCATATTACAATATGAATGAACCTTGAAAAACATTATGTACAATGTTCAACATTTGGGTGACCAGTACACTAGAAGCCCAATCTCTACCATTATGCAATGCACCCAAGTAACCAACATGCACATATATCCCCTGAATCTAAAGCAAAACCAAATTATTTAAAATTCTTTACGTTCATTTATTTACTGTATTACCAAATATACTAAAATGATTTCAGCTGAGCCTAATGGCTCAGGTCTGTAATTCCAGCACTTTGGAAGGCCAAGTCAGATGGATCACTTGAGCCCAGGAGTTCGAGACTAGCCTGGGCAACATGGCAAAATCCCGTCACTACAAAAAAAAAAAAAAAAAAAAAAAAAAAAAGCCTGGCATGGTGGTTCATGACTATAGTCCCAGCTACTGTGGAGGCTGCAGTAAATCTATAAAAGCAGAAATAGATTGTGGTTGCCTAGGGCTGCAAGAATTGGTGGGGGGAAAATGTAGGGTGATGCTAAAGGGTAGATAATTTCTTTATGTGGTTCTGGAATCATTTAATGGTGATGGTTGGATAATTCTATGAATATACTTTTAACATATTGAATTGTACACTTTAAATGGGTGAATTGTATAGTATGTAAGTTTTATTTCAATAAATCTACTATAAGAAGTTATTATGGTGGATGATAGCATTTACTGTGACACAGTTGTAAAATAATTTTGCAAGTCACTCTTATTTAAAGGAAATCCTTAATTATATAACAATGTTTTCAACAACATTGCTTTCTTTTTTAATAAGGCAAAATTCATTAGAGTATGTTGGGAAACGTCTTATTCTAAGGATCACTAAAATCTTTTTTTAACTTATGTGAAGTATAATTCTTTTTCACCAGGCAATACTGTTTGTCAATAAATAATATTTACTAGGAGATGCACAACGAAATTTAACTTCAGTCATGAGTAATGAGCTGTGTTATATAGTGTTTATGGGACTTATTTTATCACTCATGTATACAACAATGAAGTTGCCTAGATAGTCATCATTACAGTTGTCTGAGTCTGTACGAAGACGTTACGGAAAAATAATGAAGACACTTGATGAGTTCTATGAATGTTCACTTAATTGGTGTTAAAATAATTTTTAGTACTTTATTTAATTGCATCAAAATGACAAACACTTTCTGCAAAGAAGATAAACGTCATTCCTAATCCTGTTACATCCTTCCTATTGCACAGATTAAAGGCTTGTAAGTATATAGAATAGAAATATTCCTATTCACAACTTTGAGAAAATTGCTCCTAAGAAACTTTTACCATCCCAATTAGGCAGTCAGAAGTAAGACAGTAAAATCTAATTTATATAACACTGAGTATTTACTACTTTTAAATTAACAACTTATCCATCTATAAATAAATCTCAAAAAAGAATTTTCCTTTTTCTGGATTTATTTGATTTGACACTTCACCTAAACAATTATCAATTAACTTACTTAATATGAGTAATCATAACCACTAGCATAAGTGGAATTTACTTCGAAAATCAACATTTTGTCTGAAATATAAGATTAGAAATATGACAAGATATGAAATGAAGTACATTTGTCTCTTTAAATAAGAGCAATGACTATGTTCACTAGTTATATTTTCTTTGATCATCCTAGTCAAAAACAACTTCTGTATTTCATAAAACTCTATCAAAATAAACAAACAAGAATAAAAAAGGTTCTAATGGTACAACTTTCTCCAACCTTGAAATGCATATAAAAAGTGATTTATACTGCATTAGCTAATTTTATACAACTACTTTGTTATTATTCTATTATAAAATTGCCATTTTGACATCAATTGTGTACATTAAGCTTTCAGATAAAACTTACCTCAGGAACAGAAAAATTTGACTTTAAGTTCTTATACTAATAACTGTGAGAATCCTTTAATTAAATGTTTCATTTGCTGCAGAAGTATTCATCTTTAAAATAAAAATAATGTCCTAATCCTAGGCCTAACAAATGATGCCGGCACTTAGAATTTACTAATAAGTTGCAACAAACTATCTCAAGACTACTGAGAAAAGACAGCAAATTACTCACTTTTTGTATGTCTTGGATTCTTTAACATGTCTTTATTTATCTACCAGATAAAGATAACTCACACAAATTCAAGTATAGGTACATATCTAGCTGTATACGTAGGCCTTCTATATTTTTAAATCACATAACTGCCCTTATTGTTTTTTATATAATTTAAAAGGTTAACTTAAAGAAAAAATATACTTACTGCCCTCTAGAGGTATGAACCAGTAGTGTAATAAGTGTAGATGTTGCTGGGCATATACAGTTTAAAGCTAACATGGCGTATTTAAACTCTTCTTCACAAACAACATGATCTGTTTGAAATAAAATAGGTAAATTAGAATAATTTACCTTTGGAGAGTAATAAAATGTAAAAAATAAAACAAAATGAATAAAATGGTAAAAGTCTCAATATAAACATACTTGTTTTAGAGATGTTTTTACAAGTGCAATTTTATCCCCAGGAAATATATCTCCTAAGAAAGAGTACTGGAGTATGGGTTAAGTGATTGGCTTGGGGGTCACTCCTGTCTCAACAAATTTAGCAACCTTTGCTAAAATGCTTAACCCTGTCTTAACAAAATTGGCAACTTTTGGTAAAATGCTTAATCTTCCTATGCCTAGCAGGTGGGTTTGAGGTGTGGTCTAAAATATTTCAAATACTTTATAAAGTCTCCTTTTGTTCTGATAATTCTATAGTATAAAATACAACAGTACTGATTTAGAAGAGTACTGATATATCAAATTCATAATGACACAGCATAAATTTTAGAAAGTAATTATTAAAAGATTTAGCAGATAATATGTGCCTAGCATAGAAGAAATATATTTGATACTATGAAAATAACTGTAATATCAAGCAATAGAATTTGCTAAAATAAATTGAAATTAAAATTGTACTTTAACTCCAAATTCCTAAAAGTCATAAACCCAAAAGATGATAGGGTCCAACCAGAAAACATAATAAATGGCTGCTGAAATTCAATGACATAAAAATAATAGTGCTAGAAATGAGAGCACATGGGAAAGTGCAGGCCACATCTAAAGAGAATGATGCTACTCAGGCCAAGCATTGTTATGCAGGAATGAGGGCTCAGATGCCAGATATTCTATTTTCTACAGAAGTCGTGTTTTTAAAAAGTGATTAAATAGTGTTTATTTTGGAAAAAACAAAAACCTGTTTTCCCAAATAAACAAGTATAGCTGGTATTAAAAATAAAGAGAAGGTTTAAAATTCTAAGAAAATACATATTCTTAGGCAGAAAAGTAGCACTTTTAGCAAAATTAAGAAATAGAAGATCAAATTTGTCAGTGAGCTAGATCTATAAAATGAATACATAACACCATACAATTTATGAAGAAAGAAGAAAAGGTTACATGGGAAATGGTTTAGCAAATGCTCTGGACAAACATTGACTTTCGTTCTGCCCTGTTTTTATAATATGATTTAGTACATGAGATAGCATACTACTTTTTATTTTGCTTTCATTTTTTATTGTTTCTCTTTCACATTTTATGGAAGAAAATATATACTATGGATATATGTCAGGATTTACTCAAAAATACAAAAATATCAAGTTTCTACTGATAATCTCTCTCCCCACACCCACTTGTCAATATATTATAATTGACATAAAATGTTTTTGAAATACATAACCAGATTATTTATTGCTTTGCAGGAAAGGCAAGCAGATTCTAGATACAATTTTGAATGCAGGGAAGTGTACATAAGATTTGCAAAAGAAGAGTGTTTTTAAACTATCATTTCAATATTATCTCAAAATAATTTTGAGTGTGTATGCCCAATCTGTGAAAATAGAGTGACAAAACTGCTAAACCCGGAATGTTATTACTGTAGAATCATATGATATCAATACATAGGGAACCCATAAATTTCAAATCAAAAATTAGAACAGATGATCTGAGAAAAATATGTACATTTATTACCACATAGAATTGTTAAAATTTCAAACTGTAACAGAAAATTTGGAAGGTATGATTACCATATATGCAATGTAGCATGCAATTATTAACTTTTCCTTACTACAGTGCACAAACCATATTTCTTTCAGTAGGGGAATGTGAGAAAATGTGATGGATGTGTTATACTTTGAAAATATCTCATTGTATTTTCCTTCAATAGTTAAAAAAGTAAAAAAAATAATTAGGTCTCCTCCCTTTTCTTCAATAAATGTGTGCATCTGAGTTTGGGGGGCAATGGCTGTGGGAAGATTTTGCTGCAGTGGCTAATGTTTCAAAAACTGTACTAATCAGAGAAAATTAGAAGGAAGCAAAAGATTCCTACATTTCGATAGTCATTTTTGTATTTGCATGTGTCTTTTTTCTACATTTGGTAAAAGTTTTACAGTGTCTATCAGCCCTTTCAACAATAAGTATATGTACTACCATCAATGGTGGCAATTTTACACATAAACACAAAGTATGTATGCACTGTTCCTTTGTACACTGAATTATCTAGGGATGCAACTGCGGTGTAAATTAAGAGAAATTTTACTTTATTATGTTTAGCATTGTATGTAAGTCATTAATAAAAATTAATATATGATATGTATCAGTCAAAACCTAGCACCTTGTCATTGGTAAAAGTGTCTTTTTTTCCCACTGTCTTCTTGTTTATTCATGCCTGAGTGTTTACATATTAAAAAAACATGCTTTTTATTATTATTTCCATTTTTTCTCTTTCATATTAGAATTAGAATATTATACTAACTTTTTATACTTTATGTGTATAGATAGTTATATTTACTCTGAATTTCATTTCAAAATAGTGTAGGAAGTGTTGCAAAATATTTATTATAAAAAGAGAGTACTGGATCAGAGAAAATAACCATTTTTAGATAAATAAGTTAATATATAATTATCATGAAAGCCTTTGTTAGAACAAATGTAAATTCAGTACTCTTTTCATTAAGAAAGCTATTTAATTTCTAAGAATGGAAAATACAAGGAAAAAGATATGATATAATATTCAACTGGATAATAATCTTTATTTGCATGCATCACAGAGAGCTAAAACTCAATCTGAAAAATAGAACTGCTTCTATATCTAGACTTGTCCTCTTAGGTCCAAATCCATCCTTCCTCTTGGGACATTTTTTAGAACTAACCACTAATCCTCAGCCTGAATTAAAATACTGAAAATATTCCTTCATTCTAACTGCCCCTCATTTCCCAATACATTATAATAGCCAAAGTTTATGGATTATACAATCAAATTCCCCTCTCTTTCTTTTTTTCCCATTGTCATTCTCACTACTTACTACAGGTTTCTAATACATCCATAATTCTTAAGGCTCAGATATCAAATTTCAGAATTAAAAAATATTCAGATTTTAGAAAGGCAATATGTTTCATCTACCAGACACTATATAACATATCCAAGGAACAACCTATTCCTAAAAATATCATTGTTTCTGCAGCTAAATGTTTGAATATTTATACTAAGTAGAAAAAATAAAGGGTTAAATAGCTTCATGGCAGTTCAGTGCAGGAACTACCACCAAATAATTTCAGATAATTTCGTGTTTTACCACCAAGACTACAAAAATATTTTCATGTTGCAGAGATTCCTGGTTTTGGAATTACAGCTAAGGGATTGTGGACTGTTATTCAAACTCTGATGTTCTTTCCTCTAGGCTAACAACTTTCTAATTGGTTTTCATGTTTTCCAACTCTTTAGCATTCCACCTTGTAAGACTTGATTACATAATTTGGGTCACTCTTGACACATTCAACTAAAATAAAACCATCCCTATAAATTTTATTAAACCAATTAAAAAAGAAAGAAGGAGGAGAAATGAAATAAAACAAGCTTGCAGCACCATTCAGCATTAATCATTAGGTCAGCTTACTTTCTGACCCGCTTCCTCATAGTTGTTTCCCTATTGCCCACAAACCACATAAACACTGTCACAAGTGTAATCGAAGATGTAGGTTATTAATAATGTGCCATGACATTCAAGCAGGCTAAGAAGGGAAGACAAGACCTATGGGTGTAAATGGCAGTGAAGATTTGGTAGGGACAATGAATTGTAGGTCTTGTATGGTCAAAAGATAGTTGAAGTTCTTCATTAGAGGGAGTGAACTACAAAGATAGGAAGTGGTGGTCAGAGAAGGACACACTAGGATTGGAGATGACAGAGGAGTGACGTTTATTGGTAATGATATGATCTAAGTTACAACCCTAGAATGGTTGCTGAGCTAGGATGAGCTGAGCAAGAACACTGAAAGAATGGAAATTACAGAAACATTATTCTAGAACATCAAAAGAATCCTTTTCATGGGCATAAACATCATCAGATAGTATGACCAAGCAGTGTTGGAGAGAGTGACGGTGAGCTGGGAGAGAGAGTACATTTTCAGGTTTATCAGATACATTTTTTTTGGTGGGGGGGAGAATTTCAAGTCAAAAACTGCCAATTTTTATCAAATAATTTTCTAATTAAAAATAGAAGAGACAGTCACAAAATTTAGATAATATAGAAATGCATACTGTAGAAATACATCAATAACAGTAACTGCTATTTTTCCCTACTACCCATTTTCCTCTTTGTATGCAAAAACCACCTACCTATGGAGAGATGTTTAGAAGAGGTGGTTGAAAAGGGCAAGTATACTAATGTTTGTTCACAGCACCTTGCTGATTTTAGTCAGCAATACATAGAGAGCTGATCTGAGGTAAGAACTGATCACTTTGCAAGCAGAAAGAGAAGGGAATAGAACTCTCTTAAGTAGTACATTGTTTGCTTGTGATCAAAAATCTAATAAAAAGTATAAAAATGAACACTTGCAGAATTGAAAAAGTGAACTGTATCCTAAATAGCAGGAGATGACATTCCCTTTCAGAGCCTTTATCAGAGGCCTCTAATTTAGACTTCCCAGCCAGACCAATAAAGACAGACCTGTGACAAAATCAGATTAAAGTGCAGTGCTGCCTTCACATTGAAACTTGTTTCAGATGATACCAAGGTATCCACCATTGCAAGAAAGATGGTGATATGGACAGGGCAACAAAATCCAGTAAGTCAGGTTTAACAAGGTTCTTAGAAAAGAACTTTGAACACAGTTACTGACACATAGAGAGGCCTAGAAGAAATCCACTCGAATTTCAACTTCAAGAGTGGCCACAGAGAATAGTGAGCCATGAATATGAATGGACAAAGGAATTACTCCGTAAAGAGAAGAATCAAGGTTTAATTAAGGAATTTTATATGTTGCTTTGGAGGTTTCTCAATTCGTGTGCCAAAGGACATACTATGGACCAATGACTACTGTGCATTTCCTTCTTCTGTTTTCCAAAAACCATTATTTTATTACAACTTTCTTCCTCTACTATTGTGTATCTGTATGGGGTAGTGGTCCTGGGACCACTTAGCAAATTTATTAATGTGCATATTGCTAGATTATTAGGAGCCACATCTAGATCCAACTTTACATTTTCCAGATATCCTGAACTTTGAGCTGGATGTGTCATTTGATGAAACTTGGAGTATTTGTCTTAGGGAATGGATGAGTGTTTTCTCATTTATTCCCTATGTCAAATACTCCAAGTTTTAGTGGCGCTATATGAATGCCATTTATAGTAGCCAGTAAATGGCTAATAGACATACTAAAAAGAAAGAAAGAGAAAATGAATACTGGGGGAGAGAGTAGTTTTAACCATAGTTCAAGCCTTTAGGCACCCAAGAAACCATGTACATTATGTATTATATATATTTATATAGACAAACAACATTATATATGTAAGTAATATATATGAAACAGCAATATAATATATAATAATTTAATATATAATACAATATGTAATATAATATCTACTAAATCAATATATAATATGTAAACAACATTGTATATATAATTATATATATATATTATATATATATAATGTTATGCATGGTTACTTGGGTGCCTAAAGACTAGAACCATCGCTAAAACTACTACCTCCCCCAGTATTCATTTTCTCTTTCTTTCTTTTTAGTAATAGACGCTCTTATTCCCCCCACCCCACTTTCATATTTTACCTGGATTCATGGCTGCTCTGGTAGAAATTACATATCTCAGTTTCCCTTTTAGATATGGCCACATTACTAGGGTTTGTCTGATGGGACAATGTGCAGAAATGGATAAACTCTGGATTACTTTTTGTATACAAAATCACTTTCCCTAAACTCTTTTCTTCTTGTTGGTGAGACAACATATGTAGCAAAAGCACAGCTTTGATTATGCAAAGAAGGACAACTCTTTATCAAATATAAATCTGTCATTTTTTTTCCTTCTAGCTTCTAATTCCCCTCCTTTGTTGAAGAAAGTGTTTCCTATTTAAAAATTATATGTGGCAGGGTGTGGTGGTTCATGCCTGTAATCCCAGAACTTTGGGAGCTGGAGGCGGGCACATCATCTGAGGTCAGGAGTTTGAGACCAACCTGGCCAACATGGCAAAACCCAGTCTCTACCAAAAATACAAAAAATTAGCCAGGCGTGGTTGTGCATGCCTGTCATCCCAGCTACTCGGGAGGCTGAGGCAGGAGAATCACTTGAACTCAGGAGGTAGTGGCTGCAGTGAGCCAAGACTGTGTCACTGCACTCCAGCCTAGGTAATACAGTGAGACTTTCTCTCTCTCTCTCTCTCTCTCTCTCTCTCTCTCTCTCTCTCTGTATATATGGAGAGAGAGAAGAAAATACAAGATATATGTACATGCATCTTATCTTGTATTTTCTTCTCATCCATTTAAAGTTTCTGTTTATTCTGACTTAGATCTTTCTTCACTATTGCTTGTTAAGACATAAGCACATGAGATCAAGTGGTCAAGTGGTATCACCAGTGAGTGTGCCAGGCCATGGGCAAATTTCTTAATCTGTAGGCCTAACAGGCCTTATCTCTAAAATGTGAATTACAGTAGTGTTTACCTCATAGAATTGTCTGAGGAAAAAAATAGAAAATGAGTATAAAATGCTAATTAGAATTCTAAACAAGTATTATGGATCATCACAATCCTGCGTTATTAAAATCAAAAGATAGATTTCAATAAACTATCTTGAAACAAATGCCAACAGTATACTTTTAAAACGTAAGTGGCAAAACAATATAGCATAATTCCATTGTTATTCAATTAAAAACATGGTCTCACTTTTGTAAAAATGCTGAATTCTGCAAGAATGCTCATGTGTATGCCTGTATGTGTGTCTGGATATGCACAGAAAATAGTGTGTAAAGATAAGCATCAAATTGTCAATAGAAACTGCCTCAACAGGTGGGAAAGAGTTTTAGAAGCATATGACTTTTAAAATAGTAGTATTTTGTGAGATTATTGATTTCTTCTTTGTTATTCTAATGTCTGTCATTTTCAGTTTAAAAGCTTCTAAAATAAAAAATTACAATTGAGATGCAAATGCATTGATAAATATGAATCAAAATTGTCTTCAAGTCCCTTTTACTTTATGAAAAATAAAATTGATAGTTACTTTAAAACAAGTCAGAATATTTTCTTAAAGGTCTACATCACCTTATATTCTGAGCTTTTGTGTGATTTAAAGTACTAGAAACCTCTTCCATGCAGTTGCTAGGTAACAGCTCTTTGGAAAACAGTAAATAGTGGAAAGTGCAGTAAACCAATCTAGTGCTGGGTTTTAATTTACAGAAATCAAATATCCTTTGGAAAATGGCTTTTAAATAGAAAAACGAACCAGGGTGGATTTTAAAATCTAAATGTTAGTCATTTTTATTTTATGGGGAAAAAGTTTATTAAATAGAACAACTGATTAAATTGCATTATAAAATCTTTCCCATATCCTTTGCTTATTAGATTCTATTTGCAAGCAAGAGTGGGTTTATTGCTACAAAAAATTGTATCTTTTTCTTATATGAGAATAGATAATGTCTTGCAATCAAGTGAGTTTTATTTTGATCCTGTTACTTTAATCAATAAAATAACCACTCGTGTGTGCATGCGTGCGCGTGCATATGAACACGTCAGAAACTTTGCCAATTCAGATTGTGAGGCATTCAACCACTAAATGGCTAAGAATAGATTTAAGTAAATCCTTAAAAGTCACTTAGTTTCACTAGATCTAACTATAAGAATGCTTATTAAATGCATAGAATCTAACCCAATTTGAGATTTGCAATTTTCTGTAAAACAGATTTATTTCATTTCAATAACACAAGTAAAAAGCACGTTTCTGTTTTTCCAGTTGCTTCAATACTTATTTTAGTACAATAAATATAATCTTTTTTGATGTTTCAGGCTATTAAATACTCAAAAGGGGGCTCAAATTTCCTCTACCCTAGTGCAGAACAGTTTTAATTTCATTAACCTCCTTTTCTTTTATACCTCTCATAAATACATAGCAGTCTTAATATTTTTGAAAAATTATTTTCCTCCAATTTCTTTAGGTTCTAACCAAGAGTATACTTTATCAGCTTCTGATAGTATCGAAGATACTTACTGAAGCTTCTTTTTAGTAATAAAATAATAATACTAAATAATATTTCTGCTTTCATGCTAAGTTATATATATATATTATTAAACCTCTCAAAAGTTCTATGATATATATTGTGTTAAGTAGTTTTCAGATAAGCAATCAGATATTCAGAACAGTGAAGTAACTTGGCTGAATTTATTACTTATTAAATTCAAACTATCTACAAAGGACTCTACAAAAGCTATACGACTCTAAAATTGATTAACCAGCACTTAAAATAGGTAACAGAATGTAGCAGTGTTTCCCTCTGTAGAAACCACTTAAAGATGACCACTTGCTACCAGATGAACAAATGGCTGGAGCATCCATTACACTGAACTGATGACTGAGAAAACACAACCACCAAGCTCCCCGAACACCTGTCGTGTAATAGTGAAGTTTGAGAGAACGTAGGCAAATTTGCCTTTGAGATCAGTTTCATTCCTTTTCAACCACAAAACACAATATTGTAGCTGAACTAAAATAATTTGAATGACTGATTCAAAAATATTTTGGAAGATTTCTGGAAGATTTATTAGTAGCAAATAAATACTGCAATAAATGGTAAAAAGAAAGTAAATGCATATGTATTAAGAGGATATACAGATACTTTGCCTGCTCTGAGGGAATGAAAAAAGCCTCACTTAAGGAAATAATGTTTAACCAAATTTATTTATTTATTTATTTATTTATTTATTTTTGAGATGGAGTCTCCCTCTGTCCCCCAGGCTGGAATGCAGTGGTGCGAGCGCGGCTCACTGCAAGCTCCGCCTCCCAGGTTCATGCCATTCTCCTGCCTCAGCCTCCTGAGTAGCTGGGACTACAGGTGCCTGCCACCACACCCGGCTATTTTTTATTTTTTTTTGTATTTTTAGTAGAGACGGGGTTTCACTGTGTTAGCCAGGATGGTCTCGATCTCCTGACCTTGTGATCCGCCCACCTCCGCCTCCCAAAGTGCTGGGATTACAGACGTGAGCCACCGCGCCCGGCCTGTTTAACCAAATATTTTAAAGATAATTAAGAAAAGTTGTTTGAAAGGTGAAGAAAGTATGCAGAATTTCGTAAAAATAAAATTGGAGAGGTAGGAAGAAACGGAAATGTTTACACAAATATATTAAGAAAGAAAGAAATCTAAAGATTAAGGAAGGAAAAATATTGCTGAGGTTGCTGATAGGGTATGAGGTAATTGGGCACTCAGCAAAGATATGGAAAGGAAATCCATCAATTATAATAGGAAAAAGCAGGAAGCAATAAGTGAACATAAATTAACATTTGGAAAATAAGTTGCAAAATTTAAGGAAGTTTTCATGTATTGGCTTCCCATATCTCTGTGTATTAGAAAATGAGATAAATTTGAAATAGTAATTACAAGAGCAAGAGAATAATTTGATTAAAAGAAAAAAACAAAAAAACACAACGTTAAGGGCCGCTTTGAGCTGCCTGAACATGAGTTTATGGTAACACAATCTGACCCACTGAGTATTATTGTTTTTCCAGGAGTGCCAGTCAAGGAGTGAAAAAAAAAGGATCAGCGTACATGGAATTTTGTTTGTTTGCATGTGTATTTACTTTTGATCAAAAGCTATGGGAAAAAAATGAAAAACAAAGGAAGTCAGAACACTGACATGTGGCTGACTGAATGAAGTGGCAGACTAGGGAGTTCAGGTTCCTTAGAGAGGGAAAAAGAGAAGAAATGGAACTGAGGCACAGGAAGACTCTAAACTGATGATGAAATGGAATAATGGTTCTCAAGCTATTTGTGATGAAGGGCCAGTTTTCTTTTTCTTTTTAATTGTAAAATAAAAAGAAAGAACAGGTCGTAACCCATTGCAAGCACATAGGCAGCTCATGCCATATGTGATTCACCTATGATTTTGATATAGCCCAAACTATGTATATGCTTAGTAGTCTATATGTTTTCCAAAGAGACAGTCCACTAATTATGCATTTGGATGTCATGGCAATGTCAAATCGCTATCAAAATTTCTAAAATGCTGCTCTCAATTGCTGTATTTATCATGTTGTAGCTTGATAAAAGTCTGTGGAATGAAACTGGTCTTTGGACCACACTTTGAATAACACTGCATTAGATGAGTTGATGAGGTGGAAGGAGAGTGTTTTATAGCACTGGGTGATTGAATAAGCAAAATGGAAAGAAGATTGAATTTGGATACTTTATGGGCTGAACAGTATAAATAAGACTGGAATCATCGGGAGTGATGACAGGGTCCAAGTATATCTTCTATTATACATCATTTTTACTGTAACCCTCAGGAAATTCGTGTCTTTAAATCAAAAAAATAAACTTTTGAATCACGCATTCTATGAAGACTAAAATGTAACCCCAGCACTTGCAGAAATGCTATATAAAGTAGGAAAATGTATTCAATGTTGCCCTGTGCTTGATTTAAAGAATCATTGGATTTGGAGTCACATGGCATGAGTCTGAATCCCTTGCCTGTAAGTATGTTAAGTCTTTGGCCAGCTATACCTTGCAGCAAATTAGATAAAAAAATGCATAGTTATTTTTATAAATCACAAAACGCTGTAATTCTTATGTAGTTAACAATACTATATTTTATACTTGAAATGTGCTGAAAGTAGACCTTTAATATTCTAACCACACACATTAAAAAGGGAACTATGTGAGGTGATGGATGTGCTAACTAACTTGATTGGGTAAATAAGTTCATAATGCATATGTATATCAAATCATCACATTGTACACCTTAAATTTATACAATTTTATTTATCAAATATACCACAATAAAGCTGTAAGAAACTAAAGCTGTTAACTTCAATTGAAGTGACTCAGGAAAGCATACAGTAAGCTATAAATCCTCATAACAAGTAAAGTTTTGTTTGATAAAAATAAATAATACATAGAAATGTGCATTTATGTGAGCCCACCCATACTCTTCCCTTACCAATGAGGAAAGATGCTACAATTTGCCTGATCCTCCCAGACCAAAAAAACCCAGAGCCAAATTTATGATTGTCACATATAATCTCACGCCTGTAATCTTAGCACTTTTGGAGGCCAAGGTGGGCGGATCACTTGAGGTCAGGAGTTCGAAACCAGCTTGACCATCATGGCGAAAGCCCATCTCTACTAAAACTAAAAATAAAAAATTAGCTGGGCATGGTGGTGCACGCTAATGGGTGTAATCCCAGCTACTTGGGAGGCTGAGGTAGGAGAATCGCTTGAACCCAGGAGGCGAAGGTTGCAGTGAGCTGAGATCTTGCCACACTCCAGCCTGCAGCCTGGGTGACAGAGTGAGACCCCATCTCCAAAAAAAAAAAAAAAAAAAAAATCTGTTAAAACTGTTTTGGCAACCATTACTCTGGACAAAATTATTTAAAAAAATAAATAAATACAATAAAATACATAAAATCATCCCTTGAATTAGGCATTTAGAACCCACTTTTTGGCCACTGGTTATCTTTTAGAAGTCTCGCATAACAACCTAATCTTCATTCCCTCTTCCTCCCAAATGTCTATTTTTATGGAATAAGAGATTGAGAGACCTTCAGACAGACAGACAAATAGGCAGATGCTACTATCAACTAGATATTCACTTAATAACCCAAATAAACTAACATATAAAAAAGATTGAAATTTCAGTTTCACCAAGAGAAATATGCACTTTAAAAGGAATTCTTAATGCAAAGTAAGCTTTATTTTATGAGACAATTGAGCCAAATGTTTTGTCTTGTTGGAGTCCTTACCTACTCTGAATTGTCCTTCTTCAACATCACCAACTTCAACCACCCCAAACAGCCCACACAACTCTTCAATATGATATTCACATCAGCAGATTCCAAAAATAAAATCAGTTTGACATTCCAATCATGTACTATCCACACACTATTTTTGACCTGTACAGCATACCACTGTACTGAATACTGTGGGCAATTGTGACACAATGGTGAGCATTTGTGTAACTAAACATGTCTATACATAGAAAAAGGTACAGTGAAAAGATGGTATTACACTCTACGGAACCACCACTGTGTATGCAGTATATTGTTGACTGAGACGTCGTTACGCAGCACATGACTGCATATAAAAAGCCAAATTGCTACTAATTTCAGAATATAAAAAATCCCTATAACTCATTAAAAAATCGCCAAACAGAAAATAAGGGCACAGGGATAAATTTTATATACAAATGCAAAAATTAAACAAAAAATACAAGAATGTACAACTCTGTGTAATAAATAAAGATTTAAAATTTTAATGAAGAATTAAAGGCAATACCACATATCTCTTAAAAGCACACATTCTGGAGACAGAGAATGTGGATTCAAGTACTGTCTCAACCAGTTAGTATGGCACCATTTCTGCATTAAAAAAATATATATATATATATATATTTTGGATCTGTTTCCTCATCTGTAAAATTGAAATGATAATATAATCTGTCTGTGGTAGCCAGCCTCCAGGATTGCCCCAAATAACTCTTACATGCTGGTATTCATGCCTGTGCTGTTCCCTCCTACATAGCAGAATGGGGATGAACCATATAACCATTAGGATATTGCAGAATAACAAAGTGTGATATCTAAGGCTATGCCGTAAAAGGCATTGTGACTTTGCCTTGCTCTCTTTTGGATCATCTGCCCTGGGAAAAGCCAGCTGCCACATCATGAGGATGCTCGAGCAGCCCAGAGGAAAGGTCCACATGTAAGAAACCAAGATCTCCTACCAATAGCCAGCACCAACTTGGGAGCCATGTAAGTAAACCACTTTGAAAACAGATATTCTACGCAAGTCAAGCCTTCAAATACCTGTAGTTATTTGATAACTGCAACTACACTAAATAACCTACATCTTCATTGTAACATCATAAATATCCAGATTATTACTTCTCCCAAATTCCTGACCCACAGAAACTGAGATAATAAATTTACATTGTTGTTTATACCACAAAGTTTTGGGATAGTTATGCAGCAATATGTAACTAATATACTAGCTTACGAAATTGCAATGAGAACTGAGTTAACCTATAAGTAGTGCCTTAGAACAGTAGCCCTTGCACAGGAAGCACTACATGTGTTGACTACCACTATTATTATAATAATTATTGTAGTTCTTATGTTATTTTTCTTTCTACCAAAGGGCAAAAGTTAATATTGCCCATTTCTTCAAAGGTAAGTAATATATTTCTGGAGAGCAAATTGGCATTGTGTATTAAAAACCATAAAAGTACAAATACCATTTAACCTAGAAATCCTACTAATCATATTCATCTTGGTAATATTTACGAATAGCTACCACTTTTTAAATTGCTTTATTTCTCATTCCTTATTTGAAGCAGAGTTAGCGTTCTCAAGAAGGATTTAGCTATTGACAGATTTATCAATTTAGTCCTTATGATTGATTATACAGCATAGCTTGATGGCTTAAATGAGAATTTGTTATGAATGAAAGTGGCTTTATGAAAATATTAAGTGAGATCGATCATGGGTTATAAAATGTAGCAATAGACTAATACATATTCATAAATTTATATATATTTCACTAACAGTAACTGATATTTTACTTCATGTAAACACAGTTTTGTAGTCTATATAAACATAACTTATAGTTATAATTAGGTGAATAACAATCTCACTGCTTAGATATAACCATTCACAAATTTTATCATGGTATTAATTATGCTTGATTATTTGGATCTTGTTAGAAAAATGAGAATATGCAAAAATCTATAAGTAAATTAAAAATAATAATCATCCACAAACCCATCTTCTACCTACTACTATATATTCCTTTATAAAGTGAATTATAAAGTTCTTCCTAATCTTATTTTTGCCTTGCCCCCATTTCCTACTATCCTCTATCTTGGTGCAGCCATATTAAGTGTTTTCAGTTCCTGTTAATTCACCATACCATTTTCTACCTTGGTTTCTTACTGTATGGCAACATTCAGGAATCACTCATATCTGCATTCATTTAAATATAACTAACCCATTCCTGTGTCAGTGTATAACTTACATGTCCCTTTGCCAAAATTCATCTATCATATCTGTATGTCCACCCTATTTTAAGCTTTCCTTGATGCCTGCATTTTTTTCCCTTAATAGCCATCTAAGCACTTTCTTGCTCAAACCATCTTTCCCACTAGAATGTAAGCTTCAAGAGGGCATGAGAGCTTCAGTCACATGATACTAAGAATCCTTTTAATGTTTGGCATTCTGTGTGTGTAATGGTATTGCTTTCCAATCTTCATTTTGCTGATGATTAGTGATATTGACAATCTTTTCATATGCTTAATGGTCATTGGTATATCCTTGTGTGTGTATAAAATATCCGTTCGATTCTTCTACCTATTTTTATTGGTTTGTTTGGACTCTTAAAATTGAATTGTAGGAGTTCTTTATATACGTTTGGATTCAAACTTTAATCAGATATATTCATTGTGAATATTTTCATTCCAGTCTGGGGTTCGCCATTCTTTGAAATTGTCTAGTGAAGAGTGGAAGGTTTAATTTTGATGAAAGCCAATTTTTCTTTTTTTTTTTTTTCTCTTATGGTTTGTGGTTTTCGTGTGTCTCAGCTAAGAAATATTTGCTACTCAAGTCTGTGAAAACATTCCTCTATGTTTTATTTTAGATATGTTGTAGTCTCACTTTTTACATTTAAGAGTATAATTTATTTCAAGTTAATATTCACTGTGTGGTGTGAGGTAAGGCTCAAGATATACATTTTTTCCAGAAGGATATAAAGTTGATCCTGAACTATCTGTTGAAGATTATTGCCTCTCCAAGGTAATTAACTTGGCATCGTTGATGAAAATATACAAGTTGATCTACTTCTGGGTTGTATTCTGTTCCATTGATCTATTTGTCTATCATTATGATAATTTCATGCTGTCTTTAATACTTTAGTATTACAGTAAAGCTTCACAACAGAGGTACTACGGATATTCTGACATGAATCTTCTTTTTCATAGTTGTTATGACTATTATCTTTACATTTTTATATTATTTAAAATAAGATTATTAATATTTCAAAGTGACAGCTATAATTTCAGTTGAAACGTATTGAATCTGTAGGTTAATTTGGATATAATTAACATGTTAAAATATTGAATCTTTTAACCCTTGAAGTAAGCTACATTCTCAGCTTATTTAGCTCTTTAAGAATTTCTCTCAGCAATGTTTATAGTTTCTTTATATGAGACTTGCACATATTTTATTAAATTCTCCCATATCTATTTCATACTTTTGATGAATTTTAAAGGTTATATTTAATTTAAATTCCTAAATTATCTTTACAAGCATAGAAAAATAAAATTGATTTCTGTATAAGGAAGATCATTTTGATATTCCTAAGTCATTCATTAGTTCTACTAGCTTTATTATAGATTCATTACCATTTTTAAAGAAATGTTCACTTAGCCTATTAATAAAGCTAGTTTTACTATTTCCTTTCTAACATGTACATTAACATTTATTTAATTTGCCTTATTGCACAGGTTAGGACCTTCAGTACAGTGTGAATAGAAGTAGAGCACACAGCTTTGACGTCTCAATATTAGAGTTTAGTACTCAGCCTATAAGCATCAAGTATAATAAAAATATGATGTTGCTTTTCTTCTATTTCCAGTATGCACAAATTTTTGTTAAAAACATTACTGATTTTTAAAATGCGGTTATTGCATCTGTTGATATGATCATATACTTATTTTCCCCTTTAATGTATTAATATGGTGAACTGCTCTGATTTTAAATGTTATATGACTATTGTAACCTTGGGATAAACCCAACTAGGTAACAGTATGTTCTTTCTGTATATTACTGAATTGGATTTGCTACTGATTTGTTGGAAGATTTTTGCATCTGTGTTCATAAAACGTATCAGTTTGCAATTTTCTTTTCTCATGATGTCTTTGGCTTTGGCCTAATCAAATAATGCCGGCCTTACAAAATCACTATAAATTTTTTTTTCTCCTCTCCTTTATTTTCTGGATATAAGCTTGTACAGAAGAGGTTTTATTTCTACCTTAATCACAGTTGGAATTTCCCATTTATTGATATGTCTAGTCATTTCAATTGGATACTGGCCAATGTGAATGTTATCTTATACAATGTTTAAAATGGGGTGCTTCATTTTGGTAGAATTAGTTTGATACCTTGAAGGTCTGCTGGATTTTTAAACTTTCAAGGGCAGTGTTAGTAGACAAAGTTCTAAGATGTCAAACCTCAAATGAGATTATAGATCAAGTGGATATCTTCACTGCAGACTGGTGAGACCTTGATGAGGGGAGCTACATAACCCATTCCTGGAATCATTACCCACAGAAACACAGATAATAGGTTTGTGTCACTGTAAATTGAAAAGTTAGTGGTAAGCTTTTATTACTGAAAACTAATACTGATCTATTTAGAGTACCCTTTGCTCTGGGGCTAAGTCAGTCTTACTAGCAAACTATGTATCTCATAAGATTTCAAATGCCCTGCTGATCGCCAAGGTCATTCTACTATGTCTGCTCAGAGTGTGAATATCTCCCACCCTGTCTGAGCACTGAGAATTGTTCTGCTTATGATTCTTTGGTTGTTTTTAGCCTGGCTTTTAGAGTTTCATTTTGTACATGTGTGACCTAATACTCAGAAAAAAATTACAAAGCGCTGTTTTTAGATTTCTGGTGCTCTTTTTTCTGTGTCACTCTCTCCTCTAGAATTTTTTTTTTCCACAACATGATGGAACATTACTTGTGTACTTGCAAACTATTTCATATATTTTGGCATATTTTTTTATTTTACTAGGTTATATTGTCACTTTTCTAAGTGGATCTTTTAAATCGTATATTCTGTATAGTACAATAATTACATGTTATGTGTCAAGCACTGTGCAATCACTGGACATATAAACTCATATTCTGGTGTTAAATAGACATTGAAATGACTATGAATCAATAAGTTCAGTACTCTAACAGAATTTATATTAAGTGTGAAGATATATGAAAAAGTGAGAGTAGCAAAGATAAAATGATTTTCTCAATCTCCCTTGGTTGCTGCAGTCAGCTGATTTTTAAGTCTACAGAAAATATATGGAATGTTTTACGTATATGTTCTCACTCCCCATTTCCATTATGATAGCACTCTCCATATCTTTCACCTGGACAACTATAATAGCTTCCTAAATAATCACTCCTATGAGGTTTTTTTTGTCCTCCTCACTGCACTCAACATTTCCCCTAGAGTTATTTTTTTAATCTAGTTAAAATTTTATGCCTTTACCGAATACTTGCATTATTCTCACACTACTTCTCCAAAAAAATCTTAGTAAAATTTAATTCACAATCACATGTACACACATGGATGCATACACATGTATTTGTGTATGTGTATGTGCACAATATGAAGTTCCAAGGCAAGGTGATTTGAGGTAATGATAGTTTTAACACCCCATTATAAGAATTGTCATCTCCACTTGCTGGCCATCCTACTGTTAAGATCTCATTCATTCTTTTTTTTTTTTTTTTTTAAAAAAAAACATATGTTAGGAGACTCTTTTCAAACCAAAACCAATTACTTCTGGGATAGGGAAACTAAATAATGAAAGCCTTAACTATCTATTGTAGGTGTATGAGATTGACTAAATTCATCAAGCAATATACAGTGAGACTAGAGCATAACTGGAATAATTGGTTTGATATACATGGAGGTTATGAAGGGCAGGAAAGGGGGGTTGTAAGGCTCCAACTAAAGCTCTATGTAGTAAGGATAAGCTCATTGGAGTGGTATTCTTGGGAAGTATATAAAAGTGCATTGACTTTTTTACAGGGTGACAGGTAAAGGCAATGAGACAAGCTGCCACTGGAATTGACACCTATTACATCTTCTTCATCATTATGTCACTAGCGCATAGAACAAGAAATTGATCATAGTACAAATCTAGAAAATGTTATGAAAAAGTATTTAAGAGTGAAAGAGAGCATACCTGGTCTTTTTCATAAGACATTTATATCAAGGAACTACTTGGCAGACTAAATACCATAGGCATAGGATATGATAGAATATGTCTGGCACTTTCTAAAAAAATAAGTATTATTTTACTCTGGTACTCAGAACCAAGAAATTGGGTGTTTGAAAATATACAACTATAAAAAACATTAATGGAGATAAACAAAAGATTATTTTAGTTAATTAAGTCATAAGTGGCCCACAAGAAAATGTCTCAAAATACCTAATATCCAGTGTCAATTTAATCAAATGTCAAGGAAAATAAACAGGAAAGATGGCTTAAACATCTTTTGCAATATTTAAATTTTTAAATTTTCATTTAAAAATAATCAACACCAATGTTAATTTCTTGTTTTGATTAAATGGATAATGGTTATATATACCACATTAACATTAGGAGAAGCTGTGGGATGTAGAGGGTATATAGAACTCTTTGCACTATCTATACTGCTTTTCCATAAATCTAAAACTATTGCATAAAAATTTTTACAAAGAAATAAAAAACATAAATGTGGTAAAAATAAAATTTTGAGTTAATACTGAATTTTAAAATACAGATTTAAGGAAAATCTGAGGGACAATTGATAACATTTGCATATAAACTGGATCCATAAAATTATTATTGACCATTTTAGGGGTAAAAATTTTAGCATTGTTATGTAGCAGAATTTCCTTATGCTTAAGAGAGCTCCGCTGATATAAAAATATGTGTGTATTTAGGTATGCGTACAAAGAGATTAGTCAAAAGTGGCAAAATGTTAACAGTTTTTGCAGTTTTTGAATGTAGATGGAGAGAATATGGTTTTTTTTAATTGTGTAACTGTTTTAAACAGTGTAAGTTTGATTTTTTGAAAGTAAAAAATAGTGAGGAATGGCATAAAAAATTAAAGATTCTCCAGACAGTGCTGGGCTTGAACATGGCCTTATGTTAAGTAGTTTCTGATGATCTCCACGATAATAAAAAAAATCAAAGAGAAAAGATTTCCATCCAAAAAAATGAGAATTTTCAAAGGCTTAATGTTTTATATTTTGAAAATATAACAACTCTAAGCATTATGTTCTTAAGTAGGTTGTAAAAATGAAGTTTAAAATGATGTCTATGTGGGTGTTATATGGGAAATGAAGAAATCATTCAGCATGAAAAACTCACACTTTACCATTTGGTGAAAGTCAAGCCTGCACATCCATATGTTATTTAGAAACAGCTAAGATGATTTCCAATATTTATATTGCTTGGAAATATTTTCCCACTCTCTTTCTTGGGTAGGAAAAAGTGATGCATTGGAATATCTAGTGATTTAGTACAAAATGGATGATGGCTAAGCTGAGCAAAACCTTCATTTTCTGGTCAAATCATTTCTCCAAGATATGTACATGTATGTGTGTGCACTTTAAATATTATTATTTTTATAATGGGAATCAAACTCTATGAATGATACATGTTTAAACAATATTGTCTGTGACATTGCTAAAAATACATTTACTTTTGCTTGGACTTTTAACTTCTTATTGTAATTAAAAATTATTTTAATTGTTAGAAGAACTAACTCCTACTGTTCTGGTATAATGTTGCATTCTTCTAGGCAGGTTTGAATTGCGAAGTACAAAGTATTTCATTCAGTCAACACTTTACTGTTGAGATATGGTTCTCCTTTTCGTGAACAAATTACAATCAAATTCTGTGATATATAAAATACCGTAACCAAAGCATAGAAAATATCTCAAGGGTAGCCTCTGGACTAAAAAAGAAGCATGGAAAGTAGATAATTCACACTTTCATTCACTCCTTTGTTTTTACATCCTTTACTCCTACTTGTGAGTGAAAATTTGCCAATTCGATTGTTATTTCTTCTCATATCTGTTCAAATGAAGTGGGAGATTTTCAGAGGACTCAACAGTTGAAAGAAAATTGGATGAGGAAGCTAAGAGAACTGAATATTCACAGACGACATAACACTTTATTGGGAAGATAGAGATATTGTGTTTATCTAAATTTAGCTATTAATTTACTCTTAAAACATGAATTCACCTCCCACTGATTTTCTGAGTAACCTCATCTGACTAGGAGACAAACAGCAAACTTCATTCAGCTGAAATTGATTAACTGGAGAGCGCAGTTTATTTTCAAAGTTCATTCAAGGTTTTTCAATGAAGAAGTTATCCTCCTAGTAAAGTACATGTTTTTTCTTTTTTGTTTTGGGGTGTGTGCATGTATGTGTGTGTGTGTGCATTTAATGATTTAGGAAATGCACAACAGAGAAGAAAATATGAAGTTTATTTCAGTCAGATTAAATGTTGAGCTACAGAAACATGTCTGATAACTAAACTGCTATAATATTGTGCCCTTTAATCGTGGTTTGCAACTGAGGAGGGGAATTTATGAAGGGTTCCACAACATGGAAGCATAAGGTTTCCCCAGGTGATTGTAGATCCGATATTTGACCCTAGAGAAGCTTTACTAGAATCGCTACACCCACAAGAGCTTGACAGAGAATACAAAATGTTACAAAAACACATTTTTGTATTAGTCATGTCTATGGCACGCTGCCATTGCCTCTGTCATATGTTTCAGTACCAATTGCCACTTCTAACAACACTATTATATTGGTGAAAAAAAGTCTCTCACTGGAAAAAAAATGATTTGACATAACCAAAGCCACGCTAACATCTGAATTTTGAACCATAAAAGGTGACACAAATTATTCACAAGAAAGAATCTTTAAAAAATAATGATATTGTGAGAGGGTATTGGAATTTGTATCCTGGTAAAAGAAAACGAGTTTAGGCTGACAATGGAGGTATGAAGATGGAGCCGCCTCCTGTGATACACAAACAGCAATAACTGTTGCAAATGTTCTGGGGGACATGAAGTGCAGCAGTAAGCTTATAGATACAACATGTGAATACCCAGAAAAAGATGAAAAGGGACTCTTTTGAAATAGCCTAAAGTGAGAGATGATAATGGCGTAGACTAGGGTTGTGATGCCGCTGTGGATTAGGTAGTACAACCGATAGGACAAGATGTGGGATTGGATGCAGAGAAGGAAAGCATGACTCACAGGTTTTTGATTGAGTTCTATACAGATGGTGCTGGGAATAATGGGTGAGAAACAGATTTTAAGTCAGAGAAAAATCAATAACTATTTTTAGACATCTTAATTTTAAGAGGGCTGTTAGAAATCTAATAAGAGATATTGACCATGCAGTTGAAGATTCAAAACTGAAGCTCATAGTGGATACTGAAGAAGAGTTTTAGTTTTGCAAATTATATAAATAGATGAGATCCTCTAAGAAAAAGATGAATAGAAAGAAAAAAAAACTCTTTTTAATTTTCCTTGTAGAGAATTTGATGATACATGGACAATGACAATTTTATTTCTTGTGTTCTGATGCTTATATCTTTTACTTTTTTCCAGCTTCACTGCCATTTTTATGATTTCCAGAAAAATACTGGATAAAAGTTGATTTAGTAGACACCTATGTTTGTACCTAAATGACAGCTTTTTAATATGTGATTATTAAATATAATTTTTTCTTGGTTATTTTGAAGATAACTTGTCTTAGATTAAGAAGTTCTTTGGTCCTAGCTTTCCAATAGATTTTTTTTTTTAAGTTTTAATTATGAATGAATGTTGAAGTCTGTCTCAAATACTTTACTACATTCATTAAAATTATGATATGGTTATTCTCTTTTAACATAATGATCTATTTCTGGAATAATTTCAACTTGGTGATTATATATTCTTTTATAAATATATTACTCGGTTTGTTTTCCTAAAATATTTTATATAATTTTTCAACTCTGTTAACCAATTAAGTTAGACTCTAAATGTTATTTCCAAAACTATCCTGAATGAGTTTCGTATCAAGGCTATGTTATTCCCGTTAAATGAGTTGGGAAGATATATTTTCTATTCTCTGAGAAAATGTGTGTAAGCTCAGAATTATATGCTTTTGAAATCTCTCTTATAAACTGTTTGTAAAACATTATGGGAGAGCCCAGTTAGTTTTCCTCTAAACAAGTACAATACAAATTTGTTATGAAGATGACGAATAGGCACTCAAGATATAAATTATACCAGTTGCTTAAAATAGCACTGGTGGCTTAAAACATCACTTACTGGTGGCTTAAAAATTAAAAAGATACTTCCAAGTATCCTTTTTAGTATTATAATGGCATGAGGGGGTTGTTTCTCATATCATCCCCATTTTACAACTTGAAAAACTCGAGCTTAAAGACTTGAAGAAGCCTGAGGTCATGCAGTCAGTACACAGGACAGCAACTACATCACCATGAAATGTCTCACTCCAGAATTCGCAGTTTCAATCATGTTATTTTGACAAATTTATTATAAAAAGGACAATTTTCTGAAAGTAAACTTTGCTTACTTTTTAAACATAAATTATAATCATGATTATATTTCCACAATTTAGGGTAAACCGAAGGAGCTATTTAAATAAATGGAAATGCAAATGCCTCATTTCATATCTTGTGAATATTGGAATCTACATATTTAATACCTATGAGAGTACAAGGACAAGAATATCATAAATATTGTCAAGTAAATACGATTTTAAATTAAAGTAATTATTATTTTATCACCAACAGTATTAGTTATCTACTGCCACATGACTAGTAACCTCCAAACTTCAGTGACTTAACCACCATTTTATTTCTCAAAACTCTGTGGGTCTGCATGATTCCTTGGGTTGGCTGGTAAGTAAGTTGGGAGCTGGACAGGTGAGGTGCTGGTATGGATGAGCCTCACTTTCCAAGTGATTTTTCATCCTTAGAGAGGCTAAACTGGGTTTCTTTATATGTAGTCTCTGAGCAGTGTTCCAAAACAGCAAAAGCAGAACCAGTATGACCTTTTAAGTCTTAGCTTCTGTTGTTACACAGTGTAAGTTTTGTTAGATTATATTGGTCAAAGCAAATCACAAAGCAAACCTTATATACAAAGATGGGGAAATAGATTTCACCTCTTCATGGTAAAAAGCTGCAAAATCACACGGCAACAGGGCACAGATATATACAGCATGGTTTCTTGAGGGCCATTATTTAAAGAATCTCTTACACAAACTAAGTGACAGCTTGATGCACTGCCTTTTGAAAGGAAAAGTCCATAATTTTTTAACTTCATGCTGAGATATAAAATATATGGTATTGTTTTGAGAGCTTCATACAGCACTCCAAACTCTTTTTGTGGCATTTTAATGAAACTAGGATGCCTTCATCTTTACACAATGTAAAAAGAGATCCTCTGAAATGTAATCTCAGTCATAAAAGAATGTAGGCACTAATAAAAAGAATTTCATCAGGTGTCAAAATGAGAAATATTGAGATAAATGGTTGGGATAGAATTTGTAAATAATCTATTCATTTTGAAGGTATTATTAAAATAATGACAAAATGAGAATCAGAAAATAGATTAATACAAATAGTCCGTATTTTTTTTTAGCAGTAGACTTTTTCAGCAAATTTGATCTCTCGATGGAAGCATACCAACGGCGTGCTAAAGGGAGAAAGAACTGAAGCCTGCTCTGAATTTTAGTTAAAATACACTCAAAATCACAAATTGTCTTTCGAAAATACATATTGTTTTAAGGTCTTGATACAATATCCATTCATAGAACACTTAATATGTTTCAGACATTATTTATTAAATCCTTACTATTAACCCTGATAAAACAGAGACATAATCTGTATGGCCTTTTAGTAGACAGGAAATAAGGCTCAAAATAGTAATCTGCCTACCTGTCTTAAGTGGTGGCACTCAAATTTAAAGTCATCATTTTAAGAGTTTACTTAGTGTTAATGTCATTACTGCCATTCAAAAATTTTGTCATAGCAAGTCATCACCATATATATTTAAAATTTTTCAAAAATATTTCTTTTCTTAAATAATAATAAAAATAAGATAGCCTAGTTACAAAGGTCTTTTTAATAAAAAGTTGGCATTTGATGAATGCTAATGATATACGTAACAGGTTGTAGATGGAGTACTTCACATATATTTTTCCATTTAATTTCACAAAGCCTTCTACAAAAGAGGCACTGTTATTTTTAAATTTCAGTTAAGAAATAGTCTTAGAGAGGCCCTAGCACCTATCATACTGTATAAATCAGAATCTCTATGATCAGTACTTTAGAAATTCTTCCAAAAACATACTAATGTGCAACCAGAGTTGGAAGCTATTACTTTAAATTGTTTGCTATACATTGTTAGGAAAAAAAGTGATGACATAAATTTGGGGAAGGCTAGAGCAAACTGAATAGCAACCATTTCATAATTTTCTTATCATTGCATCAAAATTCCCTAGTATTTACAATTTTTCATTTCAAAATCATACACTAACAGGTAAGAATTTTAAGATATGTAAACACATTTTCTGAAGGAAATACGTTTTGCTGACACATTGCTAAAATGTATTACATTTTAATGACTTTTGGAGCTTTAAACTTTTAAGATAGAATATAATGTAAAACATGGGATATTTGTGATTGTGGGGAAAACGTGCACTTGAATTACTGCTTAAATCAACATTAGCGGTTTTTTTTACAGAAGCATTTAAGAAAAAAAAAGCAAGTACAATTTTGCTGTTCAATTTTCTAGCAATTCAAAGTATAATCTCATGTGATCTGTCATTTTTAAAGCAGTACCTTCAAAAAAGTTCACATGCATCTTTTTCTTGAATTCTTTTCAAAGTCTATTCCCTAAATTAACTCTATTTACATATACCTGAATACATTTCAATGTATTAGTCTATTGCATGGTAAGCCTATGTGTGTATTAAACAATTATCTATAGCCAAATATCACCCATCTATGTGTAAACCTATGTATAAATGAGTAGATATGGCACTTGAAATTTGTGTCTATATTATGCATAAATCTACTACTGCTAATATATTTAGGCTTATTAAGGCATCCATTATGTTAAGGTACTAAAATCACCAAGTTATATAAAAAAATTAAGACTCAAGCAAAAGTATTATCTTGTCACATATTAAAGTGGATAAATCCTCTCGTATCAAGTAAATTAGTTTTAATAATCATTTTCAGTTCTTTAGAATCTTGAATACTTTAAGTTGCCACTTAGTTCAGAGACTTAACCCTTAAGCCACTATAGGAGTTTCAGGAAATTCAATGGATCTCATGCAAGATAAAAACTTACCAGCAAATTTGATGTGAAATTTATTTTCAGGCTTTAATATCTGGACATACAAAGGACAATTTGGAGCAAAATCTTTCACAGCCCATGCTCTCAAAATTGTTTGGTGATCCTGAAGTGATCAAAATAAAAACATCATAGCATAAGTTACAATGTTTATAACATATAAAGTAAAAGTAAGCAATCAGTTTGCTTGGTCACATCCATAGTTAAAACTTAAACATAAAAATTACTCTGAGGACTTGTTAAGGATACCTATTATTTCCATAGAAGAAGGTAGTAATAGCTAATTCAATCATAGCTAATTACTAGCACTTAGAATATTAGAAAAGATTAAGAGAAAAAATAGCTAGACAGACTTAAAAATAATTTTCCTAGAAAATTTCTGCAGTCAGAAGCTTTCAGACATGTAGCAAAACTAATAGTTTGTAATAGGAATTTCCAAGGAGAAATCAAAAATGTACATATAATAATAACATGCTTAGAAAATTACTTTTTTATATAATAGTAAAGGTAAAATAATTTTGACCTGTGTGTATGTGTGTGTGTGTGTGTCTGTGTGTGTACCTGTGTGGTATGTTTGAAGACATAAAAAACTCTTAGATATAATAAAATACATCAAAAAAAGTTTTTAAAAAGACACTTAAAGTAAGAAAAGGAATCAAAACCATGCTTAACACGAACTCCTTTACATAGTAGTCACCCCATAAATTCAATGAATTGAAAAAATCAAGGAAGATTATTAGATAAATGAACCACACAGTTAGCTAATACATTTTTGGAAAGGAAGCACAAAGGTGCTCTAGGGTAGCACTGTCCATTTAACAGTCACCAGCCACATAATTCTATTTAAATTTGAAGTAACTAAACTTAAACAAAGTTAAGAATGTAATTACTCAATCACACTAGCCACATTTCAAGTGCTCATAGTTGCACATGGCTAGTGGCTACCATATTAGAAAGTGGAGGTATAGAAATTTTTCACCATCACAGAAAGTTCTATTTGACAGCACTATTAGTGAAAGGAAAGGAAGATCCAAAATACAGATAGACACGAGGGACTGTTTATCCAAATGCAGATAGAAGAAGTTGTTATTTATGGTTGGAAACTGCTATAGACAGAATGATCATGTCCTCCCCAAATTTACATGTTGAAATCCTACCCTGCATTGTGAAGGTAGTAGGAGATGAGGCCTCTGGTAGGCCTCATCGTGAGGGCAGTCATCATGAATGGGATTAATACCCATATAAAAGACACCTGAGAGAGAGCTCCCTCGCTTCTTCAGCCATGTAAGGATGTTGCAAGAAGACAACAATCTAGGAACCAGGAAGCCAGTCTTTATCAGACATTGAGTCAGCTGGCTCCTTGATTTTGGACTTTGCAGCCTCCAGAATTGTGAGCAATACATTTCTGTTGTCTATAATCCACCCAGTCTATGCTATTTTGTTATAGCAACTCAAAACAAGATAGTAACTTTAAGTTACAAGAAAGTTGATGAATAGTAGTCCAGCATGGTTTACATGTACCATATGTTCCTTACAGGCAAATATTCAAATATCAGAATGAGCCCAATAATTCTACTAAGATTCATCAAGTGAATACTTGTTAATCAATTTTACATGCTTTTAAATCTGAGGTTTGAGGGTTATAGATAACTTAATGGAGGATTACTGTCATTTCTCTTTCACTAGAAGTACACAATTTTAAAGGAAAGGGAAAAAATAGAAAGTAAACCACTATATAAGTAAAAGGATGCCAAGTTATAATTTTTATTTTATTTTATTTCATTATGTTTAGTGTTGTGTTGAAGATAATGGGCCATTCTAGGGGTTTTAATCCTGCTTTATCCCTCAGTATCTAATTAGACTTGGACAAGTTAAATTTCCTCATTAGTAAAATGCAGATATTCTGTATCTTACAGGATTTCTAAGGTGAAATAGACAACACACATACACCTTTTAATAGAGGTTGGCAGTCAGTTATCGAAAAAACATAAGTTGTTTTTCTTATTATGTGTATCATCTTAGTAATAGTGAAGTAATATCATTAAGGATAAAAGATAAAGAACAAAAATGAATTTCTTAGGAAAAATTTAAAGTGAGACTTATCTGCTGACACCAGCAAGAAATGTAACATTAATAATAAAAGAAGAAATAGAAGAGGCCAGGACGTCTATCAATATGAAAGAATAAGCTCCTAATAAATTGTCCTTGCATATGACAACTATTAAAAAATCTATAGAACAAGCATACAAAGGCCCTAGTAAACGAACTAAAGTAGGCAGATTTTAGAGGAAAATTAAAACTTGGAGGAAGTATCTTGCATGTTATAATTTCCCTGTTTTTGCTGCTGTGACCTGAGGGCAGCTGTGGTTACCACAACAGCACAAGTTGGCTAAGACTCCACAGAAAACCTGCCAGAACAACAAGCGAATGGAGCCTGGAACAACCAGAGCCACCAGACACAGGAAAAGGGAGAGGCAACAAAGAGAAACCACAAATTCTGTGAATGAGTGTAAACATCTTTGGCTGACCTCTGAACCAAGAATCCATGGCGAAGCATAAAAACAATCTGAGCTGACATTTGTGAAGCACTACCAACCTCAATGGTGATGGAGTTTGCTTTATTTTGAGTTTAAGCAACTTAGCCTCTGCTAAAATGAGAGCACTAACATTATTTGGAAGAATACAGGAGAATCCAAGCCTCCGCAACATAACACAATATCCAAAATACGATGCAGTATTATTCAATTTATGAATTTCCAGAAAAATGTGACTTATTTGCATGGGAAACAAACAAAATGATAACCAATAGATGGTAGCTACTAGACAGTCTGAGATGTTAGAATTAGCAGAGAAGGACTTAAAGCTGCTACTAGAACTATGATCAGTAATGTAATGAAAAACATGTTTGTAATAAAAAAAAGAAAATTTCAGCAGAGTAATATAAAGTATTTTTAGATTAAAAAGCTGAAGTTTATGAAGAAACACATTCACTATATGGGCTTTGAAACAGATTGGGAATGACAGAAGAAAGGAGTCAGTGAACTTGAACATAGATCAATAGAATTTACCCAATTTGAAAAACAAAGAGAAAAGGTAAGGAAAAGGGAACAGAGTTCAGGAACTTGTGTAACACGGTAAAAAGGTCTTACATAATATAATTGAATTCCCAAAAAGAAAACAAATGAGAAAAACTAGCAGAAAATGATTTTAAGAAATAATGACTAGAAACTTTTTAATTTTGTAGAAGACATACACTTATAAGTTCAAGAAAATTAGCAAAATCTAAACTATATAAACAAAAAGATAACCATGCCTAGCCACATTGTATTCAAACTGTTAAAAAACAAAAATAAAGACAAAATCTTGACAGCACCCAAAGAAAGAGTCATATGGCCAAGGACTCTCATCAAAAATCCTGAAAGCCAGAAAACCCTGGAAAAAATTCTAAAGTTTAGAATGAAGGAAAAAAACTATGAAACCAGAACTTTACATCTAGCAAAAACTCCCTCAAAGAGGAAGGTGAAATAAAGGACTTTTTAAAATAAAGAAATGTACTTTCCTTATTCTAAAATAAGGAAATGTACTCCCATTGGAATCATACTACAAGAAAAGTTTAAGAAAACTATATAAACTCAAGAAAAATGATACCAGGGAGAAAGAACTTCAGAAATAAAACAAGAGTAACAAATGTTTAATGTTTTAATGACTATAAAAATCCATTTCCTCTTAACTTCTATAAAATATATAATCTGAATAAAGCACAATTTATAATATTGTTTAGTGTAGTTTCTAATCTATGGATAAATTATTATATCTAACAACAATAACATAAGAGACAGTAGAAAAGGAATAAATGCAAGTTTATAATTTTAACAAGTGGTATAACAATGATATAAAGCTCACTATGAAGCAGTAAGAATGTGTATTGTAATCCCTACAGCACTCACAAAAAAAATTCAAAAGGCACATCTAAAAAGCCAATAGGTATATTACATTCAGTGCTTTACAAAATCAAATAATAAAAAATGTGGGAAAGGAAAAACAGAGGAACCAAAATTAGAGGAAACAAACAAAACAATTTAGATAGAGCTATATCTAACCATATTAATAATGACATTAAATGCCAATGGACTAAACATGTTGAAACACAAAGATGTAGATAGCAAGAAAACAAACAACTCTATTTAAAATTGGGCCAGAGATCAAAACAAACATCTGACCAAAGAACGTATACAGATTAGAAGAATGAAAAGATAGTTAACTCATGTCATTAGAGAGTTGCAAATTAAAACAGTAAGACATCACTAAACACTTTTCATAATAGCTAAAATCTAAAGTGCTGAAAACACCAAATACTAGAGAGGACACAGATCAACAGGAAGTTGCATTCATTGCTGGGAGGGAATGCAAAATGATACATCAAATTTGGAATACATTTTGACAATTTCTTACAAAACTAAGTATACCCTAACCAAATAATCCAGCAATTGGGCTCCTTAGTATTTACCTAAGTGAACAGAAAATGTAGGTCTCCACAAAAACATGCATGTATGTGCTTAAAACAACTTAATTTATAATTACAAACACTTGGAGGTAACCAAGATATACTTCAATAGATGAATGGATAAACCGTGCCACATCCATACAATGGAATATTTGGCAATGCAAAGAAATGCACTATCAATCCAAGAAAAGACATGCAAAACCTCAAATGCATATTGCTAAGTGAATCTGAAAAGGCTACATACTGCATGATTACAACTATATGTCATTGTAGAAATGCAAAATTATGGAGATAGTACAGAGGTCAGTGGTTGCCAGGTTGGGGAAAAGAAAGGACAGAAGGATGTATAGGTAGAGCAGATAATATTTTTAAGACCCTAAAACTATTCCTTATGATATTGTAATGGTGAATGCATGTCATATTACATTTATCAAAACCCACAGAATATACAATATAAAGAGTGAACCCTAATGTAAACTATGGGTTTTAGTTAAATAATTTATCAATATTGGTTCATCAGTTTCAACAAATGTATCACAATAATGGAAGATGTTAAAAATAGGAAAATGGGGTGTAGGGGGAGAGGAGTGTAGGGGGTGAGATATGGACATTCTCTATATTTTTTGTTCCATTCTCTCTGTAAACCTAAAATGGCTTAACAATAACAACAAAAAGTCTAGTTTATTTTTTTAAAAAGTAAGTGAGAAAAGCATGATCTGTAGAGTCACAAACCTTGGGCTCTAATCTTCACTTCAGAGGTTACAAAAATGCATGAGTAAAGGGAAGTTACTACGGATCTGATTCTTCTTACAGAAGTTTTGGTTATTGTATAATGGATGTGTGCAACTTACTTTTCTTATTTATCTTAACCCTTGGCAACAGTTGACTTGTAGACCACTGGCTCCCTAAAACATCCTCGTTTGGCTTATCTGACACCATGCACTTGGTTACCCTTTGACATTCTTATCCCAAACTGAACTCATCTTGCTACTGGTAGTCCTCCCTTTTCCCAAAAGAAAATACTAATAGATACTAAATCTTCAGCTTCTCTGTCTCACTTACCTTGCATTTAGTGAGTTCTCAAATCTTGTTGATTATGCCTCTAAAGACTGCTCTAATAGCTTCCACTTTTCTCCAGCACCAGTGCCACAGCCTAATCTAAAAACTTGTCACTTCTGGCTTGGAGTAAGGGCAACAGCTCCCCAGTCAGCCTATCTCAAGCTTTATAACATTTTTTTCACTAATTCTGTAATCTTATCAGATGCAGTTTTTTCCAACTAAAATTCTTATTGTTGTACGTGGCTACTTAAAATCCTACAGTGGTTTCGTTTCTTTTGGCATCAAATTCAAACTTCTTAACAAGGCTTACGACAACCTTTATTAAACGTTTCCCAAACTATTTCCTCAGTCTTTGCATTCTTCTCTCTAGCGATAATGCACATTCTCCACTCATAACCAGCATTTCCCACCTAGGACCATTTGCCAAGAACATTCTTTATGGGCTCAGCCCTATTCATGCCTCTCATCCCTGCTAAAAAGTCACTTATCTAGGAAGCCTTTTCTTCTGACTACTGGTAAATTAGGATAGATGATGCTACTTGATCCCATTGTATTCTGTGAACAATTAACCCCATCTAATTTTTAGCATTTTTAAAAGTTGGTCCTCCCTAAACTATAAGCTTGATGAAGGCAAGGGCCATGTCTACATTTTGCTCACCCTAGCTTATCCCCAGAACCTAGCATTCATTTGCATATCACAGGTGAATAAGAAAAACAATATTTACTTCATATTGATAGTGTGAACATTAAATGTGATAATATAAAGAGAATTAGGCATATAGAAAGCATTTAGCAAATATTTCAATTCAATGGATGAATACAGGAGATAAAGTACCTATTCTGAAATCTTCCTTGTTTTATTCATATTTTATGCCCTCACAAAACAGAACAAACATCAGTAATTTTGAGTGGGTCATTAAGTGAGGAAAAAGGAAAAGAGCTGTATAACATGGCATAAATATCATATGAGAAATAGAAAAGAAAAATTTTCCTAATACAGATAATTAAACTAACAAAGAAACAAGATTTCACTTCATTTTTTTTTTTCTAAAAGCAGAAGATTGATTGATTTTTTAAAACTTTTCTTGGGGACAAATTCATCCTTAAGTAAAGTGCTCCATATTTCGAATCATAGAGTAAAATGTTTATTGTGATAACCTTAGAATAAAAATGCTGTAATAATAAAGGTAGGTAACTTGGGACACTACCACATCATCTGAGTGTCTGTTGCTACTGTGAAACAGAACATTTTACCCAAAGTCAGTTTGCCTAAAAATTAAATTAGTGAAGAATGAATGTCTCCATAAAATTCAACTTAATAAACTGTACTATCTAAAAGGTATTTGTTGTTCTAAGGACTTACAATAAATCACTTTACCTATGGCAGGAATTATTTTACTGAAATCCAAATAACCCATTAAAGAACTCAGACATTTTAGATGAAATTTTATAAATGAATTATTTACCTCTCCATAAATTTATAATTTTTATTAGACTCTCAAACAGAGTCTGTCATCTACACGTGATAAAACATTGGTTTGATCAAAGGCATCACTTTCCTTTCGATTTTTAATTTATAAAATACATCTGCAGCACTTGAAAATTGATCTATTTACCCTGCATACTTTGAGTATATCTTGCTAACTTATTCATTGGACACTTTATTTTTTAAGATTACTAGTATATAAAGTGAAACTGAATTGTAAAACTTAAAATAATACATGTAGATAGATTTGCCCAAAATTTATAAGCGATTGAGCAAACTAATCACAAACACTTATAAAATAAATAAAGAGTAAAAGAAGTCTTATGGCAATCTGGAGAACAAACCTGTCTTGAAAACATTCGAATGTATTGTTGTATAAACAATTCTTGCCAAATGTGATCCTTGCCCAGAGAACAATTTCTTCACAGATGGCCCTAGGAAGGCCTCACAGTAGATTGGACTCAAAAGCACCTTGAGGTCAGGGTCTATTTTGTTCATAATTAGAACATCCAGGTCTAATATGTAGACTGTTAAAAAGTATAAGGTTAGATTACATACACATATATCTGATAATATCAAAAACTGGAGGTAATTCTGATACAGAAGATTCATAGTATTTATCATCTATAACTAATTGACCTAACTTCATGACTGAATTAAGAAAATGATACATTTCATTGTGATTAATTGTAATTGATGTCTTTAGAGAAGTATGCTTCAAATTTGATATATACTTATTTTAAATACAAAAATAATTCAAAAGTGCTCTTAAATAAAAATACCTTAAAAGAAAATAGCCAAAATCACTAAAAAATTCTCCACCATTAAAATATGTGGCTGCATTTTACGATAGAATAGCTGGCTATCAGAAAGTAGAAAATCAGGCCAACTAGTTGTAGTCTAGTTAAACTATATTACTCACCCAAACCTATAGGCTCAACAGTGGCCTAGTCTTCATGAACAATCTACATCAAAGTCAAAAAAAAAAAAAAAATTAAAAGAAGACTTGGTCTAGCATTCTGGGCCTCAGCATTCAAACTTGTATGGCTGTAAATATAATTTTGTCCTCCTGCCAAGTTTCAGCAGAAGGGATTTAACAGTATATCTGGGACTGAAACATTACCTTGGGTTCTAGTTTTAGGAAAAAAAGTCCTTGCTTTTTCAATAATCTCTCAGGGACTGTAATTCTGCTTTTGATTCCCACTCTCGTGGCTGAAAATTTACCACTCCTTACAGATACTTAATGATAAAAACCTGCTTGCCTGTCGGAATCTGCATATATATTATCAAAATCTTACCAGAAATTTTGGGACTGAGCAGCAAGTCAACATAATTGCCAATTCAAAAGCCTACTTTTTGTCTTTCCTTATAGAGCAGCTAAACTCATTTTGTACTCTTTCTGAAAGCTGAAACACTGTATCGTTTACTAGTCCTTGGTCTGAGTTGGAGTAATTCATCCAGAACGGTACACTCCATAAATTGTATATTTTACTTACTTAAATCCTCTCCCAGGTTTTGAAGGAAACTTCCCTCAACACCAGATCCAATTCCAGATCTTAATCCTCTTGAATTTTCCCTGATCTAGTTACTCAATTTAACATAGTCACGACCACACTATCCAAAAACCTCTTGAAACTCACTGGTATACAAATGTCAAATGAATAGTAAAGTGATTCGTAAAGAGGTCAGGTTATCTTGACGGCGTGTAACTGAAGTCCAGGGATGTACATCTGTCAAAAATTTACCAAAAATTATTTCTGAGTGTACTAAAAACTCAGTTATATTAGGGATTTCAAGGTATCTTTTCAAGTTTAAAATTCTGTGATTTTTGAGAATGGTAAGAAAAATATTTTTGAAAACAAGTCACTAACCACTGGGTTGACTAAAGAGCTAAATAAAATTGCAAAATCTCCCAAAAGAATCTAAGGTACATTTCATTAGGGAATGACATAGTACAGATTATTATGTGCTTGTTTCAGTGCCTGAAGTGGATCTTCTTAAAACAAAACATACTTGAAAAAAACAGTGAAAAAGCTTCCACAGCAAACATTTTATTTCAGCTCTTTTCTCATGCTGTCTGAAGGGTACATGAAGGGAAATCACTGAGTGCTCAGTGATTGTTTGCTTTCTTTTCTAAGATACCATATGTTCAAAAATGCATGTAATAATCAAGAATAAATATGTCTTTGACATTTAAGAGGAAAGTCAGCAGCATGAGCCGGGAATAAAAACAATTTTTTTTTTTCTGAGAGTTACAACTTTAAAGCCTTGGGAGTCAAATACCTAAGATGCCTCAAAGTTTCTCCCCTCAGTGTGAATAAACATTAGACAGGTTTCCTCCTGACTGTAGGCCTCTGACCTCTCTTTACTTAGAACGTTTATTTTAGAAAATTTTCCATTATAAATTCTTTCTCTGCTCCTTTGGGATGTGAATCTTCTCTGTGCCACTTGCCAATGTTTCTCGAGGGCCTGGAGCCTCCCTCTGCCCTGATAATCTTAACTGTTATTTCACTAAGCAAATGGAAACAAGAAAAATCAACTTCCACAAGCTCTTTTCACTACATGGGGCCACAAACATACCTTCTATATATACTGTTTTCCCTTTTGTTAAAATGGACGAAAGTTTTACACCCTTATCCAAGAAAAACCTTCCACTCCTGCATAAGATCACATCCTATTATTTTCTTTCATGATCAATTTTGCCATCTTTGGTAGATATTTATCATATTTACTGGCCAAAATCTTTCCCACTAAAAAAAATAAGAAAAGGAAAAGAAGGAAACAAAGCTTGCATTGATCAAACATTACCCATCAGTTACTGCCTGATTTCATTGCACTCATGTACAGAAAACACTTTCAAAGTCCATAATTATTGTCTCCAATTCCTCTTTGCTATTAAATTTTAAACCTTTCTAATATAAAGATTTAAAGATATAAATTTCTCTTCAGATGCTGGTAAAGCTGCATTCCATACAATTTAATGCGTTGCATTTTCATCATAATTTTTCTTATTTTATCTTTTACCCATGGGTTACTTATGGATGTTTTGTTTTATTTCCAAATATTTGGGTATTTTTCAGCTGTGGTTTTATTATTGATGCCTCATTTAATTCAATTATAATCAGATAACATATTCTGTAGGTTTTAAATTCTCTGCTATATCTTTTCTGGTCCAGAATATGATGTATCTCTGTGAATGTTTCATGTGTACTTGAAAACTGGAATTCCATTTTTTAGTGTAATATTCCATATGTCAATTAGATCAAGCTGGTGATAGTGTGTTCAAGTTTGTTATTAATCTACTGATCCCCTGCATTTTTATACAGATTGCTAAGACAGAAGTGTTGAAAATTATAAGACTAACTGTAGCTTTTTACTCCTCCTTTCAGTTATGCCATTTTATACTTCATGTATATTGAGGGTTTTTTTTTATATGAAGCACACACACACATTTAGGAGTTTTTTTTTTTTTAATGCATTGATCCTTTACTCAATACAAAATATTCCTCTTCATCTTTGGTATGAGTTCTTGTCCATGATTCTTTGCTTCATATAGCCACTTCCACTTATATATGATTAGTATTTGTGCAGTGTATCATTTTCATCTTCTTATTTTTCTATTTATCCCATCTATTCTTTGTTCCCTTTTATTGCCGCCTTTTGCATTAAATATATTTATTGTTCCATTTAATCATACAGGTTTTCAAAATCTTTATTAACGGCCACCCTAAGGTTTACAACATACACCAGCATTTATTACACCCATCTTTCAAATAATACATAAAGAATCTCACTGCAGTATATTTTGTTTTTTTCAGTCATTATGCTAGAATGTCACTCATTTTACTTGTTATAAATCCCACAATAATTGTCATTATTTTTGTTTTAAACAGTAAATAATATTTTTAAAATTTCAAATTATATATATTTACCAACATATTTATCATTTCTGGCTTTCTGAATTTTTTCATGTGAATCCAGAGTGTCACAACACATCATTTCTATTTGCTAAAGAACTTTCTTCAACTTTTTTATAATGTAGGTCTATTGGCAGTATAAACCAAATTTCCTTATCTATTCATCTGTTAATGGACACTGTTTATTTTGATTTCTTGCCTATTGTGAATAATACTGCAATGAACATAGGAGTACAGACATCTCTTTCGCATGTTGATTTCAATGCCTTTGGATGTATAACAGGAAGTGGGATTTCTGAGTCATATGGCAATTCTATTTTAGGTTTTTGAAAAACCGCCATATTGTTTTTCATAGCTGCTTCACTATTTTATATATCCACAACCAGTGCACAAGGTTTTGAATTTCTCCACATCACCATCAACTCTTTTTATCTTGATTTTGATAATAACAATCCTAAGAGATATAAGGTGATATCTCTGCTGTTTTCGATTTGCATTTCCCTGATAATTAATGATGCTGATCATCTGTTCAAACGTGATACTTGTTGGCCACTTGTATGTCTTCTTTGGAGATATTTCCATTCAAGTCATTTGCCCATTTTTTAATCAGCTTATTTCCTTTCGTGTGTGTGTGTGTTTGGTTTTGTTTTTTGCTATTAAGCTATAGAAATTCCTTATATAGTTTTGAAATTAATCCCTTATTAGACATATGGTTTGCAAATATTTTCTCCCATTCTTCAGGTTGTCTTTTCACTTTGATTTTGTCCTTTGCTATGCATAAGTTTATTGCTTTTTTTTTTTAGTTTGATATAATACCACTTGTTTGTTTTAATAATGAGAACACATGGACACAGGAAGGGGAACATCACACACTGGGGCCTGTTGTGGGGTGAGGGCAGGTGGGAGGGATAGCATTAGGAGATATACCTAATGTTAAATGACAAGTTAATAGGCACAGCACACAAACATAGCACACATACACATATGTAACTAACCTGCACGTTGTGCACATGTACCCTAAAACTTAAAGTATAATAAAAATAAATAAATAAATAAAATTATACAGATCTCTAGCTCACCCTGCAGCACAAACGAAAAATATCATTTTTATTACCATTAGTAGTAGTCGCTAACTTTCACTGGGTGCTTACTACGCAATAAAATCTGTGCTCAGTGCTTAAAAAAAAAAAAAAACTTGTCTATTTCTTATTTTGTTGCTTGTACCTTGGTGTTATAACCAAGAAATCAATGCCAAGACCAAAGTCAAGCTTTTCCTCTGTTTCAATTTTACCATTTCAGATCTAAGTTAAAGTCTTTAAGCTGATTTTTGTGTAGGATGTAAGATCCCAATGTCTTCTCTTTCTTTTCTTTCTTTTCCTTCCTTTCCTTCTTTCTTTCTTTTCTCCTTCTCTCCTTTCCTCCCTCTCTTCCTTCCTTTCCCTTACTCCCCTCCTTCTTTCCTTCCTTCCTCATTGCTCCCTCCCTCCCTCCCTTCCCACCTTCCTCCCTCCCTCCCTCCTCTATTCCCTCCTTCCTTCCTTCCTTCCTTCCTTCCTTCCTTCCTTCCTTCCTTCCTTCCTTCCTTCCTTCCTCCCTTCTTTCCTACCTCCCTTCCTTCCTTCTTTTTTTCCTTCTGTTGAAGAGACTATCCTTTCCACATTGTGTTTTCTTGACAACCTCGTCAAAGATCAGTTGACTATATGTGCATAGGTTTATTTTTAGGCTCTTTATTAGTCTATATGCGTGTATTTATGCTGGTACCATGTGGTTTTAATAACTATAGCTTTGAAATATATTTTTAAATCACAAAGTTTGATACCTCCTGCTTTCTTCTTTGTTCTTAGGATTGCTTTGGCTATTCTGGATCTTTTGTGGTGCTATAATAATTTCAGGATTGTTTTTAACTATTCCAGTTAAAAAAAAAAAAAAAAAAAAAAACGGCCAGTGAGATTCTGATGGAAATAGTGAACACAGGATGTCTTTCCATTTTCCATTTATTTATGTCTCCTTCAATTTCTTGTAACAATGTTTTGTAGTTTTCAGTGTACCAGTCTTTCACCTCCTTGATTAAGTTTAATTCTAAGTATTTTATTCTTTTTGAGGGCTATGGTAAAAGAGTTATTTTCTGAATTTCCTTTTCAAATGGTTCATTGTTAGTGCATAGGAATGCAAATACTTTTACTAAATTGATTTATTAGTTCTAACACTTTTTTCTGGAATCTTTATAGTTTTCTACATAAAATAGTTCTCCCTTATCCACAGGGGTGGGGGATATATTCCAAGACCTTCAGTGGATGCCTGAAATTGTGGATATTACCAATCCCTGTATATGCTATGTTTTTAACTATAGATATGCTCCTATGGAAAATTTTGTTACATGATTTTTCTGAGTATATTGAGATGGGAATATATTTTTAAGTTCTTTATTCTGCTAATGTGTTTATCACAGTTATTTATTTTAGCATGTTGAACCATTTTTGCATTCCAAGGATAAATTATACTTGATAATGATGTACGAGCTCTCTAATATGCTGTTGTGCTGATGTGTTCTATAAATAATGAGCTTAATGATTATCTTAGGTTAATCTTAAACAATTTTTAATTAGTGATTCAATTTACAATGCCTGCCTTTCCTAACATTTCATATGATCTCTCCCCAGTGTTCTCTTTTTAATAATTTTCACTAACATTGTACACATTTATTTAATGTCAATTCTTACTAGTACGTAAGATGGCACTTAGGACTTAGTGTCACTTCTACTAGTAGATAAGCTCCATGAGAATGGAAATGTTTTACTGTTTTGTTAATAACTGTGTGTTCAGCTGGTATGTCCATGTTTGGGGTACAGAATACTCAATAAATATTTTTTGAATGAATACAGGAAAAGAAAGAATCATTTTTAAAAATGGAAATAATGTTATACTAGGGTACTTTTCCTTCCTTGTATAAAATACTATGTGCAATTCGGAGTGGGTTGCAACAGATTACATCAGTTAGCCTCCTAGAAATTTGAAGCTAGATAGACTAAGGCCTGTAAACATATGACAAGACAATAGAATAGTGAGTGGTAAATAGAAGCTCTACAAATAACAGTTAGCAGCCCCCTACCCCCCAGCACACACAAATGTACAGTATGGTAATCAACACATAAAATATATAGCTGATTTTGGAAATTTTGAGTAAAGCAACACGAAAAAGGAAAAAGAAAATGTAATCAAATTGATCACTGGGTCTTCAATAAACAATATGTTCATAGTCATGCAATTCTAAAAGTTTATTGGGTTCGACACTTAATCAATAAATAATGGCAGACATCCTCATTTTGTTTAGAGAACAAAAGGTAAATAGTATCAGTCTTCAAATGCACAAATGTAACTTCAAAAATGAAAATTGGGAAATGTAAAATTGAGATTGAAAGCCAAAGGAAAAAAGAGGTCAGAAAATGTCATTTTCTTACAGTGCCAGGATATAAAATAGATTAATAATTTAATGGATACAAAGTTAATATATTCTTTTAAGGGATAAACTAGGATGGAAAGGAGTAGAACAGAAAGCTGATACCAGAAACCATGTATACATGTCATTATTATTATAATATTTAAACAGTAGTACCACTTTTATTTTCAAATGTGTATGCCATTTGAATAGTAAGCTAAGCTGTTATCAACATGGGGACAAGTTTGTTGTAAAGGCAGAGGTTTGGGATTTGGACTAAACTGGGTAAAATTTAGACTCTGTCACTCTCGGAAATCTGTTGAACATCTCTGAGACTTGGTTTTCTCATCTATGAACAAATTGTGGTTAATGACATAAAATGCACAAAATGCTTGATCACATGAAAGTGACTTATTAAATGTCAAATGTTTGGATCCTTTTTTTCCATTTTTTATTAATTGGACTTGAAGAAAAATGAGCTAAAATATGTATACCAATAGTAGAAATGTTGACTAAAACTACAATCCTAAAAAATTGCAAGATTTTTGCAGATAACTAGCATTATGATATTACAAATCTTCAAATGTTACCATCGTATAAAAAAAATTCTGGGCATCTTCTTTAAAAAGCGTATGTCATGTGCTTTATTGTTTTAAAATAACATTAATCTAGAATAGTCAGAAAGCATTTTGATCACAATGAAATTACACTTAATAATTTTCCTAAATAATTTTGGCCATTCACAGAAAAAAGTGCTATGGCACTTTCAAATTCATGATTACCTACTGTTTTTCTAATAAAGAATACAAAATTTTATATAGACACACATTTATTTTTTGTAAAATATTGCTAATTCCACAGGAGAGTATTTGTAATGCTTATTAATTTTGCATTTTAATGTTATTCAGAAATGCCCCCCTCCAATCAGAAAAATATACACAGACCAATTCTAGGATTGTCAGTGTTTGCCTAGTTATTACATTGTCATTAAGACAACAAAATAACTTATTCAGTTAATTTTATAAATTCAGCAATAATAATTCAATATGTACTTTTAACAAATAGTGTGCAATCAATGTTTTTCAAAAGCTGTACCATACCAAGGAACATCATATATATAAAAAAAAGTTTCATAATGCATCAGATTGATTTAGAACAATATTGAGGAAAATCACTTCAAAGTTATGCCTAATATTAACAATTCAATTATACAGATTTTAAAAATATATTTTCACACGTAACAGATTATTCTAATTCAAAATACTATAAAAAACTACATTATACTCTGTACATTACAATTCTAAGACTTGCAGTATTTTTTAATAGTCAGAAAATACTGCAAGATTAATCAATTAAAAGTAATTTTTGGAAATGCTCTATCCAGAAATAACCATTTTAAAATTTATTCTAAATATGTCTTCCTTAAGAAATCATAAGCATTTCACTAATTAATTTCACATTGTTATTCTTGGAATTGAGGCTATGGGAAGAAAAAGAATTTTGTTTAATCTTATCAACCTAACAAATATTTCTCCAAGATTCCATGTAATTGACCTGATATTTTGTATTACTTTTTCAAACGAAGTAAAAGTTTTTGTTGTTGTTGTTGTTTGTTGTTGTTCTACTTAACTGTCTTGATAAAATGTAAAATATGCCTGCTTATTCTCACTACTTACCAGTGGTTTAAATACAATTTTGAACCATGTTGAAGAGTATGTAGCCTAGGAATTAGCTTTGATTGTTATACCTTGTAAGATGGAAAGAGAATTTCCCCCATGTAATTCTCCATGATTTTTCCATATGGTTCAACTATTTAGTGTGAGTGAGTTTAAGAAAAGGGACATCTGACAGTCTTTAGACAAGTTGGAGTATTTTACATCATGTAAGAACATACCATGATTCCAGGTCTTCTGGCCCTCCCAAGACACTGGCTGTGTACTGGAAGCACATAAAATGACAGTGACACTGGCTTGATCATATTAAGGGCAAATGTCAAAACAGTTCATTTTCTTCCAAATTAATATCCAAGAAAAGTTTACTGCATGTGAAATGATTAAATTGTAGCAGGACTGTTTAATCACAAAGGAGGAATTGCTTATTCTCTTCAAGAACAACTTACTTGGGGAGAGGCAACTAAAAGAAATGATCTGGACCAAGCTCTCATGTATTCACCATACAGTCCCTACAAAATGATACAAACAAAACAAGCAGACCTCGACATTTTGAAAACTGGAGAAAACATGCATTTATTAACTTTTGGGGAATCAAAGAGCAAAGATTTCTACTATCCTGATTGAGTTTACATCAAATGCTGGAGGAGGAGGAGTGTCCTTTGAGAGAACTGTTTAATCAACCTCTGTGTAAGACATAATGTAGTGTTTGCATCAGCAACTATGCCAGATCCTTCCTAAGAAACAATATATTACATGGGAGAATGTTAATTACCAAGCAACGTGGTGTCCTGTATGCTAACATTGTTAGCTATTTAGCATAATGCATAATTTGTCTACATCTTTATTTGAATCATTGTACTCACCTATATATAAATATATATATATATAAATAAATGGTTTAAAAAAGAGGTGAATGATACAGCCTATTGTTATGTCCGGATAAGAGCATATTAGGAATAGTCTGCTTTCTATTTTATAACCAAGTCCCTCAAAGTTTCTGTCTCTCCAAGGGCTGTAGACACTTCCATGAGTCCCTGTACATCCAAACATAAAACAATTAAAAGAGATTCCAGTCTTTGCCAAAGGAGCAGAGATACTGTACCACTCATGAACATGAGTTTTTCTTCCTTACCCTTTCTATCAAGACCTAAAACTCCACCCAGTTACCAGGACTCAATGACACTCTTGTTGTCCCTTTCTTCAAGATGTCCCAATTCTGACACTGACTTCCCTGCTAGGTTTTTAAGAATTTACTTGCTTTCCTTATATAATAGTGCCCCCATCCACAGTTTTGCCTTCCCACAGTTTCAGTTACCCAAGATTAACTTTGACCCAATAATATTAAAAGGAAAATTCTAGAAAAAAACAATTTATAAGTTTTAAGTTATATGCCATTCTAAGTAGCATAAAATCTCACTCCATCCCACCCTGTCCCACCCAGGACATGAATTATCCTTTTGTCCAGTATATTCACACTATATATGCTTCCCATCCATTAGTCACTTAGTAGCTGTCTCAGTTATCACATTGGCTCTTGAAGTATTGCAGTGCTTGTGTTCAAGTGGCCCTTATTTTACTTAGTGGCCCAAAGTGCAAGAGTAGCAATGCTGCCAATTTGGATATGCCAAAAAGAAGGCATCAAGTGCCTCCTTGAAGTGAAAAGATGAAAGTTCTCAAGTTAATAAGGAAAGAAAAATATCTTAGCTGAGGTTGCCAAGATCTATAGTAAGACCGAATACTCTATCCATGAAATTGTGAAGAAGAAAAAAGAAATTAGTGCATAGTATATATAGGGTTTGGTACTATCGGCAATTATAGGCATCAGCTGGGGATGTTGGAAAGTATTCCCCGTGGATAAGGGGGATACTACTGTACCTATTGACCCCTTGCTACTCTACCAAACTTTTCACGGCTATATATGCTACTTGTTTCACTAAACAGTTTTTCCAACTGTTTTTCCAACAGCTGTTGAGTTCTACCTGTTTTATGAAGCTTCACTTGGCATGCCTTATTTCTTCTCCTGATTCATAAGTAAAAGTAAGACAGAATAATTTAATCAGAAGTTTAGATGAAAGTTGAATTAAAAAATATATAAGTATCCATCCCCTCAATCATTTATCCTTTGTGTTACACATAATCCAATTATACTCTTAGTTATTTTTAAATGTACAATTGAGTTATTATTGACTATAGTCACTCTGTTGTGCTATGAAATAGTAGGTCTTATTCATTCTATTTTATTTTGTACCCATTAACCATCCCAATCTCCCCGTCACCACTCCCCCACTACCCTTCCCAGCCTCTGGTTACCATCCTTCTACTCTCTATGTCCATTAGTTCAATTGCTTTGATTTTTAGACCCCATGCAATGTTTGCCTTCCTGTGTCTGACTTATTTCACTTAACGTAAGTAAATGCATCTATTACATACCCACAGAAATTTTTTTTAAAACAATATGATCTATAGCAGAGGTCAGCAAACTATGAGGGCCTGGAGACCAAATCCAGCCTGCCACTTTTTCTTGTAAATAAATTTTTATTGAAAGACAAAAAGTACATATATAAAAAACACAGGCAGTTCAACTGCAAATTTACCCATGTTTATACTGACATCTCAAGGGTTATGTGAAGCTGACATGACAAGAAACCTGCTTACCTCCTCACAACTAATGGCACATTTTTCAAATCAATGATTTTTTCCTAGACCAAGACATATTCTAACTCACACTTAATTAAAAATGCTATCAAACCTATACATGTACATAGTCCAAAAAGACAAGTTCCATAACATATAAGTGCAGCCTTCTCTCTCCTTCCTACTCTCACACATATTTCCACTCCGCAGAGGCAGTCCCTTTACAGCCCTAAAACTGGGTATTCTCTTAACCTCCTTCCATATTTCTAACTATGATTTTATTACTATTTCCTGCTTTTCAATTTAAATTATAATCTACTAGCTTTCTATTATGGAACAAAAGAGTATAACTTTCTTCTCATCCCTCATTCTGAATTTCCCTTTTCCCATCCTTTGAATATACAAGTCATGATTCACTTAGCGATGGGGATATATTCTGAGAAATCCATCATTAGACGATTTTGTCATTGGGCATAGACTGTACTTACACAAACCTAAATGGTACAGCCTAGTATGTACTAGGCTATAGGGTATAACCTATTGATCTTAGTCGACATCATCACAAACACATAAGCTCTGCACTGCTAAGTTACAACAGCTATGATGTCACTAGGCAATAGGAATTTTTCAGCTCCATTATAATCCTATGGGACGACCATTGTATATTCAGTGTGTCACTGAAATGTTATGTGGTGCATGACTGTAGTTCGATAATTTTTGTTAAATCAATCTTCAGTGTTCACATTATTATGGCTGTTTTTCATAGAACAGCATGTTGAGTGCTATAATTATATTTCCAATCTTGAATGATCTGTTTTCCGTTCTAATTGTCTCTTTTGACATTTGTTAGTTTTCTAACCACTCATTGCTAATTCAGAATCTGTCTGCTTGGGCTACCATAAAAAAATACCCCAGATTTGGCTGGGCACGGTGGCTCACACCTGTAATCCCAGCGCTTTGGGAGGCCAAGGCGGGCAGATCACCTGTGGTCGGAAGTTCAAGACCAGCCTGACCAACATGGAGAAACTCCATCTCTACTAAAAACACAAAAAATAAAAATAAATAGACAACAAACAAATAAATAAACAAATAAATAATTAGCCAGGCATGGTACCCAGAAGGCGGAGGTTGCAGTGAGCTGAGATTGTGTCATTCAACTCCAGCCGGGGCAAGAAAAGCAAAACTCAAGTCTCAAGAACAACAACAACAACAACAAAAACAACTCAGGTTTGATGACTTAAACAGAAGACATTTATTTTCTCACAGTTCTGGCAACTGGAATTTCTAGGACAAGGTCCCAGCAGAGTTGGTTTCCTCTGAGGCCTGTGACATTGGCCTCTTTACCTGGTTACTTTATATGCACACCCACCCCTGGTATCTCTGTATATCCTATCATCTTATTCTCCTCTTACAAGGACATCAGCCATATTAGATTAGAGCCCACCCTAATGGCTTCATTTTAACTTAATTACCTATTTAAAAGCCCTATATCCAAATACAGTAAAATTGTGAAGAACTAGGAGTTAGGGCTCCAACAAGTGAAAATAAAAGGGGAGACAAAATGCAATCCAAAACCCCTGCCCAGAAGTGGAAAGCTCTTCTCAATACACTCAACCACATCAGGTAACGCCAGCTTGGTCTCCTCCCCAGAGGTGGCCTTCCTGAAGTTCTCCACTCCTCACAATGGTCTGACTGCTGGCACTGAGAGCCTGCTGTTTAGGGTCCATTCCATTCTCTCCTCTGTGCTGGATCCCCTGAGGCTACTTCTCCTTCACTCACTCCTTGTTTTTGGTAAACACATCTTCCAGCAGCTTCCAGAGAGTTGTGCATTCTTTAAAATCTTTAGTTTATATAAATAACTTCTTTCTACTTTCTTTTTTTTAATTTTTAATTTTTTTTATTTATTTTATTATTATTATACTTTAAGTTTTAGGGTACATGTGCACAATGTGCAGGTTAGTTACATATGTATACATGTGCCATGCTGGTGTGCTGCACCCATTAACTCATCATTTAGCATTAGGTATATCTCCTAATGCTATCCCTCCCCCCTCCCCCCTCCCCCCACCCCACAACAGTCCCCAGAATGTGATGTTCCCCTTCCTGTGTCCATGTGTTCTCATTGCTCAATTCTCACCTATGAGTAAGAACATGCGGTGTTTGGTTTTTTGTCCTTGCGATAGTTTGCTGAGAATGATGGTTTCCAGCTGCATCCATGTCCCTACAAAGGACATGAACTCATCATTCTTTATGGTTGCATAGTATTCCATGGTGTATATGTGCCACATTTTCTTAATCCAGTCTATCATTGTTGGACATTTGGGTTGGTTCCAAGGACATTTGGGTTGGTTCTACTTTCTTACTAGACCAAACTTTTGCCAGGATACAAAATTCTAAGTGAAAAAATATTTCCCTTCAGAATTTTGAAAGCATTGTCCCACTGTCTTCTGCCATTACTGATGAGACATCTGAAGACATTCCAATTTTCCACCCTTAGTTTTGAATATTTTCTTCTTTTTCTCCTATTGTTCCTCTTCCTCATATGCCTTTTCCTTTTTCCTTTGGCTTCTTCTTTTGTTTCCTTCTCCCTGACCAGCACAGATCTTTTCTAGTCCTTATTGTATAATGAGTGGGCCCTCTCAATTTGACAATTTTTGTGTGGAAAATTTGGGCGTATTATGTCTTTCATAATATTCTACCCTAGTGTTTTATAAAATCCCTTTCTTAAATTCCTACTATATTGATATTGCTTCTCTCTAACTACCATAATTTTCTCAACTTTTTAATTCTTCTTTTACACTATTTGGTTTTATTGTTCATTTTATTATTCTTCATTCTTCAATGTTCTTAGGTTTACCTTCTAGGCTTTTTATTAAATTATTCATTTGTTATGCTAGATTTAATTTCCAGGAGCTCTTTCAGGTTCACTGAGTGTCTTGTTTTGTTTTGTGATCTAGTCTACTATTCTTATTTTATGTATGTACCATATTCTCATGTTACTAGGAATATTTATTAAATATATACTTTAAGATTGATTTCTATTTCCAGAACTATATGGTATTGTTTGATTCCTCTGAGTTTCTCTTTTTGTGTATGGTTTTTGTTTGTTTGTTTGCTTATTCCTTCTTGTTCTTGTTAGAAATGTCCTCAAATCCCTATGTCTGCTGTCTGGTGTCTGAATACAAGCAGGAGTTAAGCACTCAAAAGAGGTTAGGAGTTGAGTGGAGGCAGAGAGCTTTTCTCACATAGATTTCATTTTAGAGTGATCAATGTTTAATATTGCACTGGGGAACACCAGGTTTCATATCTCTGCACACACAGACACACAGACACACACAGGCACACACACTTTTGATTGAATGATATAATGCATTTTATCTTGTGTTGAACCATTTCCCATGAGGAAACTCCTCCAATCTTGTGTCAATGTCAATAGAGATATGGACCAGGCTGTAATGCTTCTCAGAGTCATTTGGGAAAATCATATCACGTTCAGTGATATGATTACTCTTAATTCCCTTAATTTTAGCATGGTGCCTAGACTCTTAACTGTAGCTGGTGTTTCTGAGTAGAGTATCCCTGGATCAAATTCTCCAAATAGCAAACTCTTTTACCAGGATTAGGAAAGTAACCAGCAATGGATATGTACAGGGGTTCAAAGAACCTACTTTTCTTATAGACTTCTAACCAGTATTCATGTATTTAGTCATACATATAACCCTACATTCAGAGACATCTGGTACCTCTATTTTCTGAGACTGTTGAGGTTCGGTTGCAAAACGCAGCTTGCTTCTAATTTGTTTCCTGTCTCAACTTAAATTTTAACTTCCTTCACTGTTGACACTCATCTATCTGCTTTGTAGCTTGCAAAATTATTATTAATATAAAATTAGTATTGTCTCATCTACCAAATCTGTTGTCCCTATAGGTATAAATCTTCTTACTCATTTCTTCCAATTTAGTAGTGTCAGGAAAAAAAAGAGAATGCATTTGATTAACTAAAACCTTCCAAATTCACATTACAAAGGGTACTCTAGAAGGTATTATGTATTTATTTCCTAATGCTTACACCTCTTTTGCTACACAAAGATAGTACACATACTGAAAAACTGAAAGTAATTTAAAGCCAAATTACCACTCGAGGGGGCACAACACTCACAATTACATAAGTCAACCAAATATAGAAACACTTGATTATCTTCAGTTCAAATTCATTTCTTCAATAAACATGTTTGGAGTACCTACTATGTTGAACCAATTAAGAAACGATTAAAGTAGTGCTTAAATGAACTGATGAATCAGTCTGATCTGAATTAAGGTAGTAATTGTGAAGAAAGTGGGGAGCAGATACTTTTTCTCATATATATATTTCAAAAAATATTTTAAAAGTTTTCCAATCATTTTTTGGTCTACACTCTTCTGTTAGTTTCCTAGGGCTGCCAAACAAAGTACCACAACCTGAATGGCTTAAACAACAGAATGTTATTGTCTCACAGTTCTACAGACTGGAATTCGGAAATCAAGTTGTTGGCAGGGTTGGATCTTCCTGAGAGCTGTGAGGGAAGGATCTGTTCCAGACCTCTCTCCTTGGCATGTATATTGCCGTCTTCATGTTTACATGGTGTTTTCCCTGTATACGTGTCTGCCTCCAAATTTTCTCTTTTTATAAGGACACTGGTCATATTGGATTAGCGCCTACCCTAATGGTCTCATTATAAATTTATTACTTCTTTCAACACCTTATCACCACATAAGTTCACATGCTGAGGTACTAAGGGTTGGGACTTCAACGCAGGAATTTTGTAGGCCCACAATTCAGCTAATAGCAGCCCACTCCAAATGAAAGATGAGAAAATCAGTTTAAACATTTTAGAAATGGATAAGTAGTTTAGGTAAATTAGAGTGAGGACAACACAGAGCCTGCCCATTCAGGACTTACAGTCCTAGATTAATGTAAAAGAGTATGCCTATTAAGTGCTCCAGAAGAGAATAAAACGTATACCTGAAAGATCTATGCACAGTTTGCCTTTTCCCATTCTCTATAGAAACCACCAATTGTTCTCATTTGTCCACACATTGCAGATAATGGCTAGAGATGGAGTCATTGGCTTAGAAACACAGGAGGTAGTAGAATTTACTGAACATAAAATAATGAAGCACTTAAAAAAATTATAAAATAAAAAATTTTAAATATAATTTATACCATTATTTGCTTTATACAATTTAATTTAAAGTTTGATAGAACTGTGGACCTAAAAAATGCATCATAAATATCATATAAGCCAAAGGTTACCAAACTGAAATGTGTTTCAGAATTACCTGTGGAGCTTTTAAAAATACAGAGATTGTTGATTACCACCCCAAATATCTTGAATAGAAGGTTCTCAAATGCATAGTTTTGAGAAACTCTCCAATTGGTTCTAATGCCTGATCCATCTGCTTTGTCTTAAGGTTGAAAAAATTGAGGCCACTTTAACAAAACTACATATCATAAGACATACTTAATAAAAAATGTTCCAGTTCTGTTTATATATGATTCATTTTGATCAACAGATTATGAGAATATTCATAGAAACTATTTGAAAAACACTTTTGTTAATACAATCAATGATACAACTGTTCTTATGGAAAAGATAGCTCAGTAATATTTGTTTCCTTTTAGTAAAACTTTAAGGTCACCAATACTTAATGCTGGCGAATTTTTAAAAACTCAAATTAAAAAAAATCTTCTAAAATGGAAAGCACAACTTACTAAAAAAGATTTTAGAAACTTACAGATGATGTCCTATCCACTTCACAACGGCTACTGAGAATAAAACAGGCCTCAGCGTCATCCATCCTAAATACAGATGGAAAAACAAAATAATCACACACTGAAATATCTACAGGTTTTCTGAAAAATAGAATTTCAGTCTTGAGTCCATATATTGCACAAAATGTACATGTAGACCATGTATATCCTTAAGCTTAAATGAAAGTTGAATTTCTAGCAGATCATGACTATATCTGATTTTGAACAAAAAAAAATTTGCTATTGGGTTGTCTATTATAACTTAATGTTTTATGACAAAAGTTAATAAAAGCCAAATGTTATTTCTTTGTATGATTAAATATATTTTATATGCATGCTTTGAGTAAATTAAGGGGCTATATTGGTCTTTATTTTATGATTAATAGTATTTTAACTGTAATGTCTGAATCAAACTAAGAGGGGTGGAATACAGCTCCTCTGTATTCATAAGTAAAACTCTAGTTTGTATTTATACTTCCTGGAGATCATTCATCATCTTTTTCCAAGCCCCTTCCCCTCATACTAGGGTTCAATATTTCTTAAGTTTAGTGATAAAGACACAGTATATTTTAGTGTTTGATACATGATGTTCTAAGAGCACAAGAATGTTTATTTTCAAAATGAGGAATCATTTATCTCTGTGGTTCTCTGTGATAAAGTAAATATTTTCCAAAAAAAAAAATGGTTTCTATGGGGAGGAAATATAAAAGTCCTTGAAATAAGACCAAACCAAACAGTTCTGGGAAAATGTTGCACCATGGTTATTAAGATAATATGAGTGTTGGATAACTTTCTTTAAACACCATTTTCAACTAAACAATTCAAAACTCATGTAACTAACCTATGAAACTTGTTTGGAGAATCCTACTCCATGCTCTATGCATGAGGAATTGCACTGAAAAATGTATTAGTTTATATTAAATCCCAAATATTTTATAGGAAGCTAAGATTGGAAATGAACATAAAAATGGATACTGCGTCACTCTAACTTGTTTTTTTAAATAGCTTTTAGAGTATGACCAGATAGCTACCTCTCTCTCTCCTTCATTCCCTTCCCTTTTCTTTTATCACATGGAGGAATTCTTCTTGTAAATATGGTCGCTTTTACCAAGACATCATTTTAAGACTATTGGTAATAAATTAGTTACATTAATCCTAAATAGTATATAGCTTAGATACTAATAGCTAATACCAATAACTCAGATAAATTTGTTAGATGGAAAGAAGCCTCCATGTATTACACAAATTCATATTGAACATAATATGAATGTTATTCATGTTTATTGTGTGAAGAACTTAACTATCATACAATAAATTAAGAATATTGATTATCTACACCAATGAATACAATGATCTAGATTACAGTAGTATCTAAGCATCTATTTCTCTAGCACACCCAAATAATGAGTATAGATAGCAAACAGTAAACACCTAAAGCCAGGGTTTACCTGAGGTGCTGGGAAAATCTGATGACTTAAAGAACTGTCACATGTACAATGACCACAAATATAAAGTATTTAATCCACCAAAAAGATGAAAATACTCACAAAGAAATGTAATTTTCCAATTAGATAACACTCATTATATCCTGCTAGTTTCTCGTGCTGTTTTTTTTTCAGAAGTTGAATCATTGAAAAAAAACTCCATTAAATCGACTTTATTATATATAAATCAAAGGTAACATCAGAGTTCCTGACTAGGTATCTAGTCATCATTTGAAGGATTATGCAGCACAAAGGAGTCCAGAAGTCTGTTCCACAAAACAGTTGACTTTTCTTCTGTTCTTTTCCAACACCCACTAGACAGACACACACACACACATACACACACACTTGCACACACAGTGAAGACAGGCACAAATACACACCCGCTCATGCACACTCAGGTTATCCAGGAAAGAAAAAAAAAAGTATAAAGCACTTATGCTATTCAATTCAGTGGGAGACTTTTAAATCTAGAAGAGTATGCAGGACAACTCAAGGGTAAACATGAAGATATGTTTAAAACTTTAAAAACAGCAGAAAATATTGAGCAAAACCACTTTTGTTGAAGATACCTTCTGGCATCTGAAACTAAGGAGACTGTTTTGCAGAAACTCTGTTTCTGTGGTGTCCACGCTATGCTCAATAATACTCTCACTCTACTCATATGATACAACTTGGTAACTTGTGACAAATGTTTAAGACTATGTCACCTTTAAGACAAATTGCCTGGTACATGCACAAAAAGAAGAGGGTAGCTGAGGGTAGCTAAGTAAGTCCTGTCACCTTTCTGATTCCTCTAGTCCATGGCAACCATTTTTTCTCTGACCCCAGGCAACACAAGTGCTATGTGTCCAATACATAGTGCAAGCTCTTTAAAATGTAAACCCTAACTCACACTGCACTGGTATGTCACACCATATTTAGCCCACAATTTTTATATGTGGGATAAAAACAGTATTCGGGGATTTGGAGACTACTCTAACAGTGAGTCTGGATACCTCAGTGAATCTCTGACAGCTTAAGATAATTATTCTGGGCCACTTTTTTCATTGTGCTGTGTGGTCACAGTCTTCTGAACAGTTTTGCCTTGAGATGAGGCTGAAAAAGAGGAGTAAACACACTGATTTTATGATATATTTTTGACCTTTTAGTTTGGCCAGCAGAGGGACTAAGGCAAGAGTCTATACTCAAACATACTTTAACACATCTTGCAACACTGAAAATTGCTAAAATTTGGAGGAAAGAGAAAATATTAAGTCACTCAAAACTGTAAGCTGCAAGATGAAAGGCAGGGATACCTACTTTGCTCTCAATAGGTCTTGATCTTTAAGGGCTGAACCTTGAAGGTAGATAACTCGTTGGGACCACATTGGAATCTGCAGTACCCTTCGAACCTGTACATCCATTTCAGTAGGACACAAAATCACCACATAATAATCCTATTCAAAACAAAATGGGCAATGGAATAGAAACAAAAATGTTTTATGTTACACTACATAGAAAAATAAAATATCTAAGAAAAATTTGAAATATGATAAAACTGAAATGAACTTTTGCTAATAAAATTTCACATTTAAAACCTGGACATATATTAAATAGCAATTACACTATAATAAATACAACTGGGACATACACAAATCTCATAAATCAATAAATTCATCTCAACTTATTTCAGTCTTACTAAGACCATAAGGGAAGGTAATCAGTGGTTATACCTGGCACACACTTTCAGCTTGTGAAGGTTTTAGTTTTATCTACAGACTGATCCTAAAATATACATTGAACACCAGGCAGAAGCATTTAAGTATCAATTCATACTTCATTACTTTTAGGATCAAAATTGTGATAGCGATTTATATCATTTAGCTATATAATTATGAAACAATAATTTTGAACAGTTTCTGATGAATATTTGAATGAATAAGGATCCATAAAAACACTGAAAATACTGACAAAGTAAATTAAATGAACATGATATCAAAATATTACAAAATATATGGTCCTTTGGAGAAAATTACATCTGAGTGGTGAAACAGTTTAAACCAATGATTTATAGAAATTAAAATTCTCTGGTAAACATTCACCATTTTACTGCTGTAAAATATATCTACTAGGAATTTCTGGAGTTTAAATAATTCTCTACATTGATACTAGATAAAGTTAATGACTGTATGATATGGTTTGGATTTGCGTCCCTGTCCAAACCTCATGTTAAATTATAATTCCAAATGTTAAGAGAGGGGCCTGATGGGAGATGACTGAATCACGGTGGCAGATTTCCCCCTTGCTGTTCTCCTGATAGTGAGTATGTATCACCACCCTCTTCCTCCTGCTCTGGCCATGTGAAGACACACCTGCTTCCCTTTCGCATTACACGTGACCATAAGTTTCCTTAGGCCTCCCCAGACATGTTTCCAGTATAGCCTGTGGAATCGTAAGCCAATTAAATCTCTTTTCTTTATACATTATCCTCTCTCAGGTAATTCTTTATAGCAGTGTGAGAGCAGGCTAATACACCATGGGATCAAAATTTTCCCACAAATGGATTTCCTTTATGAGTTATGATAAGTAAGCTTGAAATTAATTAAATATAAATAATTAAAAAAACAAGTATGGAGTTGCTATTAAAAATGCAAGTTAACATATGAAAACAAAAGAATAAGAACCAAATGATTCTGCCATTTAAGATAGAACAAAATGATTCTATCATTTAAGAATCAATTATAAATTAGGTGTTTTAAAACACAAAAATATAGTATTTATAAAGGTCTACAAAATATTCACAAATCAATATTTCTATGTTTTGTAAGGAAAGGATAATTAGAAATACTAAGCATTGTCTTGAAGTCTGGAGTTATTCTACTTCTTGACAAAACTTTGTTGAGTAAATACAAGACCTTCAACAGACTAAGTGCAGTAAGCAGGAAAGGAGATTAATGCCATGGCCCGTAGCAGAAAGTGGAAATATTCAAGAATTTTATCTGCATAGACAGAAAGAAAAGTTTCTTCTTAATTCATATTCTCAATTCAGCTAGTTATTGTCCAATTTTTGGTCATGTATTGCTATACATATAGGATATATTTATACTTCAGGAAACAAAAGAAAAAAATGAAAGTCCCAGACTTCCACATTTCCATTAGCAATCCTTGATAAAATTCTGCAGTATTTTAACTGAGCAGATGATATTGAAATGGTTTCTTTCTTGTTTTATTATATTTTATCTTAAAATTCACTGTTCCATAAAAATATCATTTATGCTCTACCCAAGGGAGAAAAAGCAATCTTTTAATTCAAAGAAAAATTTTCTTGTAGCATTAACATTATTCCATCTGTCTTTCAGCGTAGATACAGAAGGAAACTTAAAATACTGAGTATTCCTCCAGCATTTTTTTTCTATGTTCCTGGTTATATTTGTGGTTCTTCATTTACTCCTTCTATATTTGGTTGTATAAATAAAAATCCTCCACAAAGCAGGCTGCACCATCAGTTAATTGACTTTGACAATATGTTAGTAGGTATGATCCAGTATAGCACATAATATAAGCCAAATGTACCTGGAGCCTAGGATGAGCATAGAATTCATTTAAAAAATCCATAAGTAAATCAATCTTCAGTGAGCTGACACACAGGACGACATGCTTTTCAGTTTGAGCTCTATGTCGACTATAGTTTCCTCCTGACTTTTGTCTCTCCATCCACAAATAAGCCAGCTGTTCAAACTGTAATATATTTTCCACATGTGAATGAAAAACACAGTAAGGAAATAAATAAATCAATGCAATACATCTATTGTTTATTAGGTATTTTCAATTTCCTAGATGGAACTCATTGAGATTCTAATTGTCAGTATTCCCCTTCAACGACAGACTTTTCATATAATTTCTACAGAGGCTGCAAATGTCTCCCAGGGGCTTCGGGTCTCTAAGGAAACATATTAACATGATTTTGCTATCACATAATAACAGGCCACTAAGAGGTTTGTACCTCTGCTTTATGTCCAGTAGAGCTGAGTGAAAGAGAAAAGCCTCATTGCTATTTTCCCACATTCTCTGTCAAATTCTAACCATATCTCATGCAATAGGAGTTACTCTTACCATAACACACAAGGCCACATTCTAGCTGTACAGTAGCCATTAACGGAGGAAAGTGAAAGGTGCAAGGGAGGGTATGTCAGGAAGAAAGACATGCATGAATTTATCGGAGCAGGAAGGCCATTTTTGCAGGTATTCTATTCAGATACATTGCGGCCAAAGTTTTGCAATGGAATATGCAAGTTTGATTTGCATTTCCCTATAGCCTGCTTCTGATCTGCCCACACATGGGCAGCCAGGGCTTATTATAGGAAAGAGTTAGAGATTGCATCTACTTATCTTTAATTCCATTTATATATCCATCCCTTTGCAACCTCCCTACTCACTCCCCAAAGTGCCACATAATATTTACATACCATGTTCAGACTTTTTTTTTTTTTTTTGTAGAGATGGGGTTTTACCTTATAGCCCAAGCTCATCTTCAACTCCTTGGCTCAAGCCATCCACCTGCCTCAGCCTCCCAAAATACTGGTATTATAGGCATGAGCCCTGCACCTGGCCCAGATTTTATTTGACAAACATAAGTAATAGATTTTTCTTCATTGCAGTGTATGACTTTGTGGTTTATTTTGAAGAACCAAGAGAAATCAACCCTTCACAAATTTATTTCTTTGATCTATCATCCTATAATTAAAAACTATGTTATTCTATATTTAATATAATTAAGTACCCTATACTAAAAAAAATCTTGAATGATTGAAATAAGATGAGTGCTGTCAGTCATGACTGGAAGGAAAAAAAAGCAACTCGGTGTTTCTAATAAAATGTAAAATGACATTTCTGCAGTAATTTATGTAATTGATTAAATGTAATGATAGTATGTGTTAGTAAATTAGTGTTAGATAAATAAGCCACTTTCCATTTCTTATTAAATGTGGAGGATTCAATTTCATGTCTCTGTACATTTCTATGCAATATAAGATGGTTTTGTTTACCTGTATGGGTAGAACCACAAGAGCAACACAAATCATAGCAACTACAAAAAGCTTGGAGGACCATGTTTCAGGAGTGACATCCCCGAAGCCCACAGTAGAAAACGTCACAATGCAGAAATAAAGGGAGTCAAAGAGATTCAGCTTCTTTCCTATTCGTTCCAGATGTTGGATCCCACAAATGCTAAAGAAACAAATATGCATTACAATTAAATCTTTCAAACTGGACACATAATTTCTCATCATTATTCTTTTGAAAGCCAAAGCACATTTCATAAAGCCATTTAATAGTCCCTCTTATATTTTACAATATATTTTTCTAGGAAAGATATAATTAGTAAGTTCTTGTCCTACATTGACCAGACATGATCTTATTTTGATTAATAGACAAAAGTGGTAGCTAAAATATCACACAGTATATTTGAGTAACATGCAAAATGAACAGATAATTTCATGGGTGATACACATAGACACTGAATGAACATCAACACAAGAAATCGCTACCTCTAATCCCTACCAAAATACCAAGTCTTTTCTTTTTCTTTTTTTTTATAATTTTTTTGAGACTCTTTTTCTTTTTTTATAATTTAGGAAGAAGAGAAAGACAGTAAAAGGCTTGAGGAGTTAACAATTGCCAAATGCTATGGTTTGAATGCTGTCCCCTCCAAAACTCATGTTAAAATTTAATTGCCATTGTACCACACTAAAAGGTGAGACCATTAAGAGGTGTTTAGGTCATAAGGGCTCCACCAACATGAATGAACTAATGTTGGTATCCTGGGAATGGGCTCCCTCACAAGATCGATCTCTCTCTCTCTCTCTCTCTCTCTCTCTTTCTCTCTCTCTTTCTCTCTCTCTTTCTCTCTCTCTGTCTCATGTGTGCTTTCTCTCTCTTTGCCTTTCTACAATGTTATGAGATAGCAAGAAGGCCCTCACCAGTTGCCAGCACCTTGATCTTGGATTCCCAGCCTCCAAACGCAATATAAGCCGATACGCTTCCATTTATTATAAATTACCCAGTTTCAGGTATTATTTTATGGCAGCACAAAATGGACTAAGACACAAAACAATTCTTAAAACAAGTCCTTAAATGAATCAATCATTTGTGCAAAGCTATTGATGAGGTGACAGTAAGAGAGCAGCGTAAAAGTTGTTAGATGTCCTCAAATTAGAAATGTGTTAAAATCACATTAGAAATAATGCTGCTATTAACAACAACAAAAAAAAGCAAAGTGAGACTATGAATAATAAAATGTGTTTTGCAATGTTGGAGGAAGATGTAAGATTTGCAACACAGCAATCAGTGTATAATTGCTATGGTTTGAATGCTTGTGTCCCCTCCAAAATTCATGTTGAAACTTAAATTCAGAATGCAACATTATTCAGAGGTGGGCTTTAGGAGGTGATTAAATCTGGAGCTCTCAAGAATGGAATTAGCAATCTTATAAAAGTGTTGGAGGGAACCAGCTAGCCCTCTTTTTGCTCTTCTGCCTTCTGCCATGTGAAGACACGCCACAATGCGTCATCTTGGTGAGAGAGAAGGCTCTCACCAGATACCAAATCTGTGAGCCCTTGATCATGAACTCCCCTTCTTCTAGAACTGTGAGAAATATGTTTCTGTTCATAAATTACCCAGTCTCAAGTATTTTGTTACAGCAGCACAAATGAACTAACACAGAAATTGACACTGAGAAATAGGGTGTTGCTATAACAAATACCTAAAAATGTGGAAGCAGCTTTGGAATTGGGTAATGGGTAGAGGTGGGAAAAGTTTTAGGGTACATGCCAGAAAAAAGCCTAGATTTTCAGTGTTTAAGGGCAATTTTGGTGAAGGCTCAGAAGAAGAGGAGAGTAGAGAGAGCCTAACTCTTCTTATAGATTATTTAAACAGTCATGACCAGAATATTGGGGGAAATACCGACGGTAACGGCCTTTCTGATGAGTTCTTAGACAGAAATGAAGACTATCTAATTGGAAACTGGAGGAAAAGGCATCCTTATTACAAAGTGGTAAAACTTGGTAATTATGTCTGTGTCCAAATATTTTTGTGGAAGGCACAATTTAAAGGTGGTGAACTAGAATACGTAGCAGAAGAAATCTCTAAGCAAAGTGTTCGAGGCGATGTATTGTGTTTCTTGACTGCTTTTAGTAAAATGTCAGAAGAGAGAAATGGATTAAAAATGCAATTTATAATCAAAAAGGAAGCAAAACCTAAAAATTTGGAAAATACCCAGCCAGGTCAGATTGTAAATAAAAATTGTGCTCCAGAGAAAACACCAACAGTTTGTCCAAGCAACTATGTGATAAGGAGACTCTTGTAAGATAAAAGGAAGCCAGGTGGTCTTCATCAAGACAATGGAAGAATAATCCCAAAGGCATTTTGGAGCTCTTCCAGACTGTCACCCTCATCACAGGACCAGAGTGTGAAAGGTTTGAGGGCAGAATAGTTTCAACGGAGGAAACCAGGGCACGTTTGGGGCCTCAAGAGTCAGCTTTCTTCATTCTGGTGCAGTGCTCTTTGGCTACCCCAAGTGCTGGTCAAGCAGGTGCAGGAGTGACTCAGGATGCTGCTATGGAAGTCAGAGGTGGTAAACCTTGGTGGCATCCATGTGGTGCCAATTTTGCAGGTGCGCAAAGAGCACAAGCTGTGAAGGCATGGTGACCTTTCCTCTAGATTTCAAAGGATTCCTTGGAGAGCCTTGGGGCCAAGAAAGAGAACTACCACCGGGGTATGGCAGCACAGAGTCCCCAACTAGAGCAATGCCTGGTGGAGCCATCCCTGAAACCCCAGAGCTGTAGTCAGCAGCATGAAATGCCAGTGTGGGAGAGCTGGAGATGCTAGACCCCAACTCCGTAAACGCTGCTGTGTGGTCTTTGCCAAACAAAGCTTAGAAGATGGGGCTTCCCATGGCCTGGTAGGGGCCGACTCCTCCCCAGTGTGACCAGAAGTCAAGACATGGAGTCAAAAAGTATTCTCAAACCTCAGGATTTAATGTTTTTTCCTTGTTGGATTTCCAACTTAATTGGGACCTATTACCCATTTCTTCTTGCCTATTTCTCCCCTTTGGAATAAGAATATCTATCCCATGCCTGTCTCACCATTGTATTTTGGAAGCACAAAACTTGTTTAATTTCACAGGCTCACAGCTGAAGAGTAATTTGCCTCAGGGTGAATCATGCCTTGAGTCTCACCCATATCTAATTTAGGTGATATTTAGATGAGACTTTGGACTTAGAGTTGGTGTTGGAACAACTTAAGACTTTAGGGGCTACTGGGATGAAATAAAATGTATTTTGTATGTGAGCAGGACATGCATTTTGATGGGCCAGGAGCAGAAGGCTATGGTGTGAATGTGTCCCCTCCAAAATTCACACTGACACTTAAATCCCACAAGGCAACATTATTAAGAAGTGGGACCTTTAGGAGGTGATAAGTCATGAGGGTAGAGCACTCATGAATAGAATTAGCAACCTTATAAAATTGTGGGTGAGAACCAGCTGGGCTGTTTTTGCCCTTCTGCCTTGGGAGGATGCAATAGTAAAGCCCCATCTTGAAAGCAGAGAGAAGGCACTCAACAGATGTTAAATTTCCAGCATCTTGATCTTGGCCTTCACAGCCTTCAGGATTGTGAAAAAGGAATTTCTATTGTTTATATATTACCCAGCCTCAGGAATTTTGTTATAGCAGCACAGACTAATATAATCATGGAATACTACTCAGTAAATAAATAAATAAATAAAAATTAAAAGAAGCCAAGTTCTGGATAAACAGCAAAAACATGTTGAGTGAAAGAAGTCAGATATAAAAGACCACATGTTGTATGATTCTGTTTATATGAAATATCCAGAGAAGAGCCAGCAAATTAGTGGTTGCCTGGGACTGATGATGGGAATGTGGTGGTGAAAATGTTCTGAAACTAAATTGAGGTGATGGTATATATCTCTTTATGTATATAACTTTGAATATACATGAGAAAATTATTGAATTTACACTTAAAATGAGTAAATTTTATGACACATATATTATGTCCCCATAAAGCTATTTTAAAAATCAGTGTATATTTGTGAATACTCACTATGGCTTCTGGGCACAAGAAGCACATGGCTCAATTATGACAACCATGAAGAAATAAATATTCAATGTTTACTTTCCAGAAGTTCCTTTTCCGGCCTTTTAAGATAATCTCCTTATTTGTCTAAGTTATGTAGCATACATATTCTATTGTCTTTATGTATATATATATATATTGGTACAGTCAAGAATAAGCTTATGAATGGTTAGGTAGCTGGGTAGGTACACAGGTAGAGGTATCAAGAGACAGAAGAGAGAAAGGAAGATACATGTCATCATTATAATTGTTTACAACTGTTGTGTGTGTTTATTTGCTTTTTTCCTTTTTCTTTTTTCACTTCAGGTCTCCAAAATGGCCCAGCAAAATCGCCCTCGTTTTATGCTTACAAATTTTGTGTGAGCTGCCAGACTGTAAACATACTTAAACCAATGAGTTGATTCATAACAGTTTATTGGCTCAGCTGCCCCTATGGAATATTGCCAAACTAATTACGAGAATATTCAAATGTAGTCTAGTATTACCAAAAATGGAATTGTATAACACTTCTGTGAAGTCAAGTTTTAAAATTTTATTTAAAATAACATATGTTTGAGAGTGTAAACAATTTTTGCTTAACTTCTTTATACTTCACTAGAGAACAGAGAAGAAAGATAACATATATTTTTAATGATTCAAATATTGAGTGCTTGCTTTTGCTTGAGTCTGCATTAAAAGCCGATCTCTGATTATAGTTAAAATGTATATTTCTTAATTCAAATATATATTTTCTAGACCTAAACTACCAAAAAAGTCTCCTACTGTGCTTCCAGGTCTTTTGTTTGTCCTTTTAACATAATGTACTCATAAGGGCAGTATTCATATTCTTTAAACACAGCTCAACCTCAGGTTCGAAAAGCTGCGGGATTCTCACTGTTTAAAGAAACCTCTATAACCTGTAGTTTGATAGATTATTATAATAGCTGCCAACAAATGAAGTCTTCATATGTTCTACAAACCCTTCTTTTGCAATATAATATTCCTGTACCACCCATCAAGATATGAAGTCTATGTCTTCAGGTCCTTCAATCTGAACTGGACTAATGACTTGCTTTGACCAATAAATATGACAAAAGTGACATTATGTGGTTGCAGATGCTAAGCCTTAAGAGACATTGCAGCTCTTTTTTCTCATTTACTTGATACCCTGAGACCACCACACTGTGAAGATGGTGGTACAGTCTACTAGAGGATGAGAGGCCATGTGAAAGAGAACTAAGATGTCCTACTTGGTTCTCTTCCAATTGCCAGACATAATAGTAGGGCCATCTTACATCCTCCATTTCTCCTCAGGCCATTACTGAAGTTGAAAGAGTAATTACAGGTAAGACTGGAAGAAAATCTGCCCTGGAAATCAACCACAGAATTTTGAGAAATAACCAACTGGCTATTTTAAGCCACTAAGTTTAGGGGTGTTTTGCTATTTAGCAATAGATACTTATGTGTGTGTGTGTATGTATATATATATATATATATATATATATATATATATATATATATGAATATGGACTACAGCATCTGGATCTCATTTGTTTCTTTCTTAAACTTTTGTCTCATTTATCTCACCTTCACTATTTGGACTGTTTACTTAACATAATATCATTTGAAATAGTCAAGTACTAAAAGCAAGTAAAATAGGCTTTACTTTTCCTAGTAACTAGTATTTATAACTCCAGCCTTTGTTTCAGGTAGTAATATTTAAATATAATAAATGAAAAATTGGGGAATTTGAAATGCATTTGATTTACTTATTGAAATTCATTCTACATAAATAATGTACAAGTAAATAATAAACTAAAAACTTGTCTTTTATAAAACAGATTGCATATTCCAATATAAGATATATTTATTTTAGTCACATTTCATTCTGAAATGTCTATGTCAATAACGTATTTCAAAAGTTTTTATGATTAACTTTGCTACCATGTTGACGTACAAATCAAATGCTTGATTCATAATCCGATTATGTCACAGTGAATACTGCATGCTCTAATACAAAGTTCAGTCAATCAGTTTAGTACATACTAAAGCATTCGGACAACTGTCTAGGCTATGTTTTATGGAAGAAACAAATTACTCAATATTAGAGACAGAATTGCCTGTAATAGGTATACAATCTGGACTCCATTGTCACTTTCACATTAAGTTTTACAACTACTTCCCTTTTTATTATCTTGTTTTTATGTAAAAAGTCACCTCCTCAAAGAGTTGAAATTGTTTAGAGGGGAATTTTGCAGTAATTTGCACTAGCTTATCACATCCTAAAGGTAGAATGTTCACACTGTTTAAGAAAAAACTGTCTTCAAGCCTCATAAAATCCTAAAAAATTCATTTAAAAAGTATTTTTAAAATTACTACTTCCGAGTTTTTATTTTACAAAATGATACTAAGACATGGAGAAGTTTGATTTAAAAACAGAGAATAGACTATTCTGATTCACATTATATAGTCATAGCATCATTTTCTGATACCCATTATAGAGTACCTATATACAACATGTGGAAAACATTGTTTAATTGCATATTCTTTTGGTTACTGGCAACACAACTGGAGAGGTTTCAAAGATAATAAATATAAAGACTTATTTTACTGCTCTGTGGTAATTATTCAAGTAAAATATATCTTTATATATAAACTATCTCTTCAAAAAGTAATTCAGCTAATTGTAGGAAGGAAGAGAAGAAAGTGTGCCTTCAGGACAGGTAGATACACAGACAGTTGATTGTTACCTATATGTTATATAAGAATTAAGGCAAAGACAGCTTTAGAACTGGTAACATACTGGATTTGCCTTATGCACAAACATTAATATTACACAAATACATATTAGTTATTTTACTTAGATCTGTGAATCTTAAAACATGCTACGTAAAGATTTGAAGCAATACAGTGATAATCAGGCATTATAATATAGTTATCTTGTTTCATTCACACATGTCTTTGGAGCTATTATTAAATGAAAACTGTCTCCTCTCTTTCATCAAAATTAATGAATTTTGGTGAGTTCTTATTTTGTGTCTGTACCCAGAAATAATTTTAATGATAGGCAGAGATTTTCTGATAAATTAAATACAAAATGTACTCAAATACAGCACATTCATAAGCATAATATTCTATTTTGCCTTATCATAAAAGAAATGCATCTTTTCAGTCAGTTACAACCAAGTTAAACAATTTAAATTATATATTACATTAAAAGTGGCAAAAGAATTTAATAATGTCTCATTACAGCATAAATAACCATAGTTGGTGGATTTTAGTAAACATTTTGGTATGTTTACATTTTCTAGTAATCAAATTTAATATTGTTTTGTGACTGGGAAATATACATATATTTATATACATAAATATATATCATATATAAATATATATTTATATACATAAATATATATCTATATATAAATATATATTTATATATATTTATATATATTTATTTTAGATTGCAATAAATTTTTTAATTTAAAATGTTTAGGCAGGGGATATATGATAATAAACAAAATGTGTGTTACAATTAGGTAACTACCAAAACCAAGTATTTTAAGAAAGCTTATATATATATATATTTATATATTTTTTATAAATATTTATTATATATATAAAATATATATAATATATATAAATATATTTATATATTTATATACATAAACATATTTTTATTTATTTTTATTAATATATTTTTATTTATATATATTTTTATTTATATATATACACAAATTTTATATATATATATAAGTTTTCTTAAAATACTCGGTTTTGGTAGTTACCTAATTGTAACACACATTTTGTTTATTATCCTATATCCCCCGCCTAAACATTTTAAATTAAAAATTTTTTTGCTATCTAAAATATAAAAAAGAAATCAATGTCACACCATGTTCTATTTATAATTTTTGCTTAGTTAATACATATCAAAGTTACTCCAATTCATTTATAGTCATTTACTTTCAAATGAAAAATTGCAAATGAATATCTTTTTAGTATAATTTCTCCATTGCAAAAATACCTATAAATTTTAAATAATAATAAAATCATTTATGTACACTAACAGGTGCTATAAAATTTTACTTAAGTATTTTGTAATGGAAAAAAGCTACCTAACATTATAAAAGTTAGTCACATTTATTCATACAAATAAATTTATTAATGTTTTACTAGCCAAGCATTGTACTGGATGTTACAGATGCAGGTATCAATAGGACAAAGGTCTTTCACCCAGTCTGGTAAAAAAAGAGCCTCTAGAATCTAAAGTGAATGATTATGACCTCACTTTACTATTACTAATAATATCATAAATTAATAAATATTTTTTATTTGCTGAGTGCTAACCTAGGTAAGTTACTCAAACTTCATGCTCCTCAAATGAAAAGCAAATATATTAATAATAATATTAACTTCCCATTGGCTATAATGAGAAATAAATGAGCTAATGCTCTGTGAAATGTCTGGGATAGAATAAGGTTCAGTGAATTCAGTAGTAATTTTGTTATTTATTTATAGCCCCAGAATGAGAGAAATAGAATAATAAAAATGAATCAAATATATACACAAAAGTCTCATAAAGCTTTTGTTTCTATTTTACAAAAAAATAAAATATTACTGCTAACGATAGAGTCAGGGATTATAGAGAGAGAAAGTGGTGATAAGAACATAGTGTTTATCCCTCTTTCCTAAGGATTCACTAACAAGTTTATTAGCAGCAGACACCATCCAGGGATTAATGAGTAGCTATAATCTTGTCCTTTCTCAATGCTGCAAGTCCCAAGGGTTATGGAAGTGGAAATATGGGCGATCATAGAAGGCTCCAAAAAAAGAAGAGTTAGGCAATTTGCAAAGTAAACCCATAATCTTTAACTATTTGCAAAGAATAGTCATGTTGAGATTAGTTGACCTTTGGAGGGTTGACTGCCATCATTTACAGAAACTGACAACGAATTCTTGGAAAAGCAGTCAGGGAAAAAAGATTAAGCACTATTTCAGTGCCAGTATGTCAACATCAGGCTAGTGACTTGTTTTAAAGGATTACTTATCACTGAGATTAATTGAATAAAAGGATTTCATTTGTGATTATATAAAAGACAGTGTATCTGTATATCCTATATGTATATATTTATACAATTCACTAAGTTATGTAACTAATATCATGATATGTTAACATTTAAGACCTAAATTTTAAAATAGTAATATTTTGAAAAAAAATCCAATAGAATTTTCTCTTTTTATATTACTTAAAACATATATTCATACTCACTATTAAGATTTAAATGGATATTTAATTTTAAATGACTTAAGGATTTTATATTTTGTGAATGTTAAGTATACCTATTTTTTTAAAGTTTATGCACTTTAGGAAGCAGATAAATCTCGCCATTCACATATTTATCTTTTTGCATAACTGTGGTCAATATTCACAATATTGAGCTTAAACTGGACTTGGGCTTTCAAAACTAATTCACATAGTAATTTCTGCCTTACCGTGATTTAGTTTTATATGAATGTCCACTTTGGTTAATATCTGTTTTAAAGAACACTGCCGCAGAATAAAAATCCTTTAAGAATTGTTATAGGCTGGTATTCTAGTATTTTTTTCTAAAATTCAGGTAAATACGTGTTTAAATTATGAATACTATAGAACAAAATGACAAATGGCTAAATTTGTCCTTAAACACTTTTTCAGAACTTGATTACAACCAATGTACAACAGAAAATACAGAAATTTCCTGGGGAATTTCACATACTTTAATAATTCCAGAATTATATGAATAGAAGATTGAATACATGACTAGAACCATGTGAAACAAATATGCCCCTTGACAAGTATATTGTTTTATGTGGTTTTCAACAAATAGTTATTGATTTTCCAAATACAACCTACAGATAGTAGGGGATAAAGGCAATGGTTAATAATGACATAAAGTAAGAAATACTACAGAAAATTTTGCAGGTAGAAGGTAGGAAAATATTTCCCTTTTGGGCATGCTGAATTTAACATTCCTATTAGATATCCTCCATCCATTTGGATTTTGTATTTTATTAATATATACCTGTAGCAAGCCATTTCTTACACTCCTTGGTTTACATCCTACTTGAACTTGTTTACAGTTCTAATCTTTTCAGTTCCAAAACAATAGTAATATGGACTTGTTATTAAAAGATATATAATAACACATGGACACTGGGAGGGGAACATCACACACCAAGGCCTGTCGGTGGGTGTGGGTCAAGGGGAGGGAGCGCATTACGACAAATACCTAATGCATACGGGGCTTAAAACCTAGATGATGGGTTGATAGGTGCAGCAAACCACCATGGCACATGTATACCTATGTAACAAACCTGCACATTCTGCACATGTATCCCAGAATGTAAAGTAAAATAAACTAAAGACATTCAATAAGGATACAAAGAAAGTCTTATATTATCCTACCCCTGTCTACCCTTGAGGTAATGTTTAGTGTCTTTTTATTTGTTTAATATTTTGTTTGGTTTTAATTTTTAATTTAAATGCACTTATGATTTTATCCTGGCAATTTATTACCACAGGATTTTTAAACCCATCATTTTAAAGTGAACTTTGTCTTCAGTTCTGTATTTCATTGTATGTATATGTTCCTTGAAAATCCAATTTGGCAGTAAATATTAAGCAGATACAAGATTCTGCAGTCAAATACATTTGGCAATTCTGGCTTAGGCATAGTTTTTTATCAAATGACATTTCACTTTTTTTATTGCACTAATATTTATTGTGTATCTCTGAGAATTGATTAATTTTAAAGGATTTACCAAACATATCTGCCAAATATTTTGGTTTATACAGAATATTTCAAAGAGTTAGGGTTTCGTGGAATAAACCTTGAGAATGTGAGCCTATAATTTGTGCTTTGTCTTAGTAATTAAGAATCACAGTTTACCTTAATCATAAAATGACTTGGGTAACTTTTATCTTTGTCTATGATGTGGATTACACAGCCCTGGAGTAACTGTTCCATAAAGGAATTTAATAATGAAACTGTCAGTTCCTATTTTTTTTTGTTTTTTCATGGATATCAAAATATATAACTTAAAATACAACATTTAAAAAATTCTCCATCTCTACCCTTCATCTCAATTTGATTCTACTTAAAAACCCATAAGTTTGCATTTTGGCATGACCTACCATTCCTTCCACAGATCCAAAAAAATCAATATGCCTCACTAAGCATCTCTTTTACTGAGTTCCTACAAATCTGAACCTTGAGAACTCCTGACAAAGTACGGTCTATACATACAGACCCACAGCAGCCAAACAAAGCACTAGATAAGCACAGAAGCTCCCTCATCCTGCTCAGAAAGAAGCTGGGAGAAGACAGATTTCTTTCCTAAGTACTGCAATTATTTTGAAATGTGGCTCACCAAATTGAGCATGCCATATGGAAAGGAAGACTCAAAACTGTAACTCATTAAAAAAATTGACATTCCACCTTTTTGTTAACTGAAACCGTGTTAAATCTTATTAAGAATAATTTTAGTTAAAGAAACTATTTAAACACCTATGAAACATCTTAACCACATTAACTGAAAAGTATTAGGCCCCATTTTGCAGTATCTAGATTCATGGCATATATCATAGCTGGCCTTTCATTTCAGATTACCCTTAAAAATAAAAAATATATATATATTTAAAAAGTATTCACTTCTTAAGTCTCATTTTAACAAAATATTCTCCATTTTGAATAGCTATCTTAATTTATATATTTTAAAATCTACTTTTTTTTTTTTCCTTTTTTTCTTTCACCTAATGAAAGAAGAATCACCAAGGTGTGAGACAGAAATTATCTAAGGCTGTACCAAACAGAGTGCTAAGTGTTCTTTCTTATATTAAATATTTCAATATTGTCCACATTGTCCATTGCCAGTCCTATAGAATATACTTCTTTAAACAAAATTATGTTAAATTGCTATTTATTACATTTTATCTTCTTTCATCATTAATGATTTAAAAAAATAAAAGCATCTGCTAAACAATCTTTGTAGAGTTTTTATAGACTCAGCCTGTGGGTTATTACTATTATGTATACAAATGAAAGTGGGAGGGTTCTGTTATTAGTAGGAAAGATGGAGCTTTTAATCATGTAGTGTGTTGTTCTGTTGAATCCTTAGGTCATGTGCTGTACAAAGTATCTATTCATATCCATTCATAAACATTTATTAAGAAATACATACTGTGCTTAATGTAAAATGTATTTCCCACTGTGAATTGTGAAGGAAGTAGACAAATAAAGAGACAAAACAATGGAATAAGAAGGATGATTAAAGTAGATCAAACCAGGTGAAAATAAGGAGACAAAAGCACTATGGTCAAAGGCAATCGCATAGTACAGTCAATAATCAAGAAAAATCATCACTTTCGTCTGGAAACTCCAATTCTATGAAACTCCAACATTAAGCAGTTAAACGCTTATTGGGAAAAAGAACAGTTCTGCTGGATCACCGACGGAAAAGCTATTATAAAATTATTTTCACGTTTTTAGAACAAAATCACATAAGACAGTAAATAAAGGCAACCTGGTACTTAATCACTTTACCTTTCTACTAATAAATGAGAACACTTTCAATTTGTTACTTCTTGCTTCTTGGAAAACTTATAGGATTTTCTTCTCCTGAAAAATGTGAAAAAGTTTTGTTCTCCATTCACCTATTTATTGAGTACTATTAAGTGTCAGGCACAGTACTTAGTTTTGGCAAAGACACTGGTATGTAAAAACCAGCATGACTGCTTCCTTGATGGAACTTAGAGTTTAGTGGAAGAGATAGAAAATAATAGCTAATGTACATGTATACAACTACAGAAAGAAGAGGCCCCAGAGTTATGACTTCCGTTCATAGTGGAATTTGACCTAAGCAGGTGGTTCGGACTTCAATGCAAGAGTCATGCTTAAAATAAAAATGATGTCAAGCTTTCAGCCTTTATTCGGTAGAGAAGGTTAAGCATTCTAGGTAGAAGGGAGGTTAGCATGATGGAGGCAGTAAAAACAAAACAACAACAACAGGACTCTGAAGCAGAGAAAAAATAAATAAAAATGTGAGATGAGAATAAAAACATAGGGAGAATAGTGTTCATGTAAGAAATTCAGAACAAATTAACACGCTTTGCCTATACAACAAGACACGTGGAATATTTTAACAAGTATTAAGTATATGGTAACACAATCATATTTGTCTATCACAAAGGTCATTTTGTTGTCATGAGATGAATGGTTTGGAATAGAGCCAGAGGGAATATAGGTAAGCCACACATACATATATAGCTCTTGCTATAAAGAGGTTATGATCATTTAGATAAATAAGGTGGTGACTAAGAAGTACAGAAGTGGATAGATTTGCAGGGTGTTTAGGAGGTAAAATCTATGGGATTTGTTGATTGTGTATTCTGTAACAAAGCAGGAAGTGTTAAGAATGCCTCCTACGTATCTGGATTGCTCAAAAGAATGAGCAGTAATTGCTATCTCAGAGATGGGGACATTTTGGGAAGAAATACAAATTTTATTTTGGACATATTTAGTTTGAGGAATCTAAGAGGAAATGGAACAAAAACAGTTGCATTTAAACGTTGTAATGAAAGCCATAGTAACTGACCTAAGACTATTTATTTGGTCATCATTTTCAAGTTATTTTGGGGGCATATTTGTAACCACAAATGTAAAGAGGAAAAGCTGAGGCCTCAGCTTGATTCTCCTTGCCCTCCACAGCCTTGCAGCTAAACATTATACATTGAGAGCAAAATCTTAGATGAAACTCCATCACATAAAATAGTTATTAATCCCTATTTTGTAAGATCAAACAGGTTTACATATTGACAAATACATGGGAACAAACACATGGGAAAAAACAGTTCATACCACAAAAGTATGAAAATGTACTAAAGGCAGGTTCAATAACCAGCTTGTGGAATCAGGTGACTGAAGTTGCTGTTAAATGGAAACAGGTTTGAAAAGGTTCCCTAAAGCGTTAAGCTACTGTGCTCTCCGTGTTCTTATAATCCAATCCCACAAGGGCAGAGGCAAACAAACAATATTTTCTTGCCAACCTCATGTCTTGAAAGATATTTCTAATTCATCTTATGTTAATTTGAAAGGATTTGGGCACAGAACTATTGACACTTGAAACTGGCAATAGTTGGTACCGGTTCCTGATTAGAGTTCTTCACAAGCTGATTAGCCATCCCTAGACATTAATTTGCATGGACACATATCATAACACACTACCCATACTGCTATATTTATAGAATTACAGATAATATAACTAAAATGTAAGATATATTCCCAAAAGAAAAATATAAGAAGAAATGATAAAATTAAAAAAGGGCCTAGAAATGATCCCTGAGGAACTACATCATTTAATGGTGGCTTACAGAAGAAATGAGCTTGCAAAAAACATAAGAGAGAGAGAGAGTATGTGTGTGTGTGTGTATACCTATGGAGTGTATGTGTGGGTCTACAGGTATGTATCACATGACCACATGCATGTTCATAGCCTCCATGCACATGTAAATATTTCTTCATATAAACTTTTCTGACTTTAATATTAGAAAGAACTTACACTGGTTTTCTGAAGCTCACTGTGATATCAGAAATCCGTTTCTAAATATACCTTTACTCCCTTCCCAGTAATACAATAATACAAAAGGTCAATCGTTCTAAGAATTATGTTTCCCTTTTTCCTTTTTTTAAGGCTTAACTTTCAAAAACAAGCAAGCATAATGCCTATTCTGCTTTCCTTTGAATTTATATTTCGTCGTCCTCTCATCAGTTTACCTTAAAAAAAGGGAATTCTTGATAGGAAAAGTTTCAACATCGTGACCAGTTAAAAACAAATTCTACTGGTTATAAAGAAGATTTAATAAAATTTTTCATCAAAAAGTCAACTGTAAAATGCATTACTCTGGTGCAGTATGATCATAAACAAAAGCATTTCGAGTAGGGCAAATGTGAATAGATGAGGCCAGTGAAGAAAGCAGGGACAAATTATAAATTATTTCATATACAACACTAAGATATTTGCATTACCCTGAAGACTCTAACAGCACAAATGAAGAATTTTAAGCAAGAGAATGAAATCATTTGGGAAGTGTTTGAGGTCATCAGTAAATCAATATCTACTGATATTGTGAGTGGTTCCTACTGCCCCAAGCAGCAAATATATTTACACTAAACTATTAGTCTCAGGCTGAAAATCACTTTAATACTGCCCATGAAAATCACCCAAGTGAATTTATAGCTCTAACCAGAGCAAATAATAGATACAGAAATGCTACTAAATTCAGTCTAAAAGGATTTTCTAAGTTGTGAGCCCTTTATTCTCTACAACCTACTTTTCTTTTTGCTTAAATTTATTTTACTTATCTCATTCAGCCCTTAAAAGTAAAGTGTATATCCAAGAAATAATATAGAAATATTAGCTTACACACTATTTCCATTATATGTTTAAAGATATGTTCACAGATTTGATAAAAATAAAATAATATATGTATACATCCCATCTTCTTTACTATCAAGAAGTTAGTAAGATTAACACTCAATTTAAATGTCCTTGCACATGTGAAATATGAAATAGGACCAAATAAATATCAGCTAATTTAAACGATTTGTACACATTTATTGCATTTCCAAAAGAATATCTTGCTAGCTGCTGCCAGATAACAAGACCAAATAGTCTCTAGTCAACATTTTCTGGAAATTAAATGAGGCACAAAATAAGCTTTGTTTTATTCTATCAGAAATGGTCCAAATGTAACCATTAAAAATAAAAGAGAAAGTACAGCTTAACATGTCTCTTCACATTGTAAGCAATGAGAATTACTCTCACAATAAGACTGACTCTTATTTTTATGTAACTACTTATTTGAATTCAATTCTTAAAGTGTAATATTAAAATATCATGTTCATCAACAGAGAAACTTTGTCATAATGATAGCCCTTTCAGTTTCATAATAAGCTCTGCTTAAAATCAACTGAAAAATTTCTCCCTTCTAAGAGATGGTTAATGAACTTATATCCATTTCATGGACTATAATATTCATAGATAATTCTGTAATATACAAACATAACCATATGTGAGTAACAACACTGTTGAAAGGAAGCTGAGCAGTCCATGAGCATTCAACTAACCTTTCTGTCAATGGTACATTTAATTGCTTATAAGCTAGTATCAAATACATCAGTATCTTTACAGAATGGCCTCTTAGACCAAAAAAAAAAAATTACTGCAAATTACAACTGTTTTCCTGATCAATGATATTTGTTCAAAGAGCAGTGTCAGAAGGTCAATGACACATTCTAAACTAAAGAAAGTTACTGGAAAACATAGTCTGTGTTAGCATTAACCTAACGGACATTGCTCTTATGACTTTAATTTTTAGAAAATTTGTCAGAGACTTAGCATATCAGATTCTTTAAACTCAAGGAGATTAAGGTAGGCAATAATATTGCAATTAAGATGCTACCATTCAATAAAAGCTTCTACTCTGTATTTTTTTCAAAACACATGACAAAAAAATTAAGCAAAAGATAGATTTCTTTAAATCCAACATGTACAATAAATATACTATTCTCTATACTTTTTCACTCCATGAGACGCATTCAACTAAAAATAACATTTAACGGTCATTATTCTAATTGTCTTTATCTTCATTCTTAGCAATTATCAATGTCATAGAATAACAAACCCATGATGACACTGATGAAAAGTATGGAGCAAGCTGTGGAACCACAGCTTACTGGTTGGGAATAACTGATTGATCTAGTCCAACTCGTTTCTCTAAAGAAGCAGCATCTTAGGGCAGTAAGGGTAAAAATCTTGACCAAGATTCACTCTACTCATAGGAGGTAGCCCTAGAAATACAATAAAGCTTTTCATCAATTACCCCCAACTTTGTGGAAGTTAAATAAGCCTTCTCTGTGAAATCTTTGAAATTAGACATATCTTCATTTTTGAGATATATCAATTAGGAAGAGAGCCAGTTACCTACAAGTACTTTGTTTATTCAGGGGCTGTATTCTAAGTCCACATTTAAAACCTAGTGAACTAAACCAGTAATAGTTATTAAGCTACTAATTAACTAAGACAAATGTTCCAAATAAGATGAAATTTAACTAAGCTATACTGTCTTTCCTAAGTGAAAAATTTGTCTACTGTGTCTTCCTTCCACTTATGTAATGTAAAAGAACTCACTTAATATCACTCTTTTTACTACCACCTGTCTTTACCCATTAGAAATGTAGATCTATAAAGTTTTGATCCCTGTTTTAAATATTTGTTGCAAGGTTCAAAACATGGCTAGTATGAAAAGAATAATATAGTTCATTAATTGGCCTTCATTGTTAATCGCTTTGGATGAAATTGAACTTAAAGTAAAATCACTGTTTCACTGTTTCATTTTTTCTTTCTCTTTCTTTCCATCTTCAATGAAATATTTTGCCTCAAATGTATGATAAAAACTCAGTTTCATTTCCAGAACATATTTTATGTTATCAAAAGAAAAAAACTGTGATACAAGCAAATGATCGAAAATAATGGAAAACATGTATTACAGAGCAGTTGGTGGTAGATGGTGTAGCAATATTTTTAAGACCCTGAACTGAGTTGTCAAGAAAGATTTCTTTAAGTATTTGACATATAAGCCAAGACCTAAAGGAGGCCGAAAGCTAAGTAAAGAACATACAAGGAATCAGAAACATTTAGTTCAAAACCCACACGTCAGGAATCATCATAACATCATCAAGGAACAAAAAGAAAGCTGTGGTGAGGAAGCCTATTGAAGGAGAGAAAGTACGATGTAAGTTGGGGTCAGAGAGATAAGCATTATAAGGGAGCAATTATGTTGAAGACAGACCAGATCATCCAGGCAAGAGATAATGGAGCATAAAAGGAGTAGTGACAGTGCAGAGCTGGATGTAAAGATTTGGGAGGTAGAGCCAATAGGGCTTATCAATGGATTGAATACTCAGTGTGAAGAAAGGGGAGGAGTCCAGATATGCCAAGTTTTTTTCACTTCTTTTAAGGGATAGGGTGAATAGTGGAGTAACTGACAGAGAAGATAGACGAAAAAAGTTGTCTGGAAAGACAGAAGAATTAACAACGTTTTTTTGGACTGCTGCAGTTATCAGCTTCTAGATGATCTTGAAATCCGTCTACCTCTATGAGCATCTAGGCAGATAGAGAAGTCAGGCCACCGAGAGCAGGAAGAGCCTTGAAAACTTTCTCTCTAACTCTTACCAAAGGTCTGGAAAGAGAATGATATTAGGAAAAGTTAAATGAAAGTGTAAATTATTCTTCCACTGCTCTATGTTTTCTAATGGATCTCCTAGGATAAAGTTGAATCTTGGAAAACACCATAATTTTCACCACAACATGTCATCCCCTGAAAAAAGAATTGCTTTCAAACTACTGATAAGGCTTCAATGCATGAAAAAGAAGGCAGAGCATGGTCAGAGAAACCCAGACTCATTTCTGATGTCCAACTTACTTAAAAACTCACTTAACTCCCTCTGACCTTATTTGTCTCATCTATAGACAAGAGATAATAAGTATCTCAGTGTCTTAGAGCTATTACTGGAATTAAAAGAGATAATGCAAGCAAAACTCTAAGGCAATAGGCAGGGAGCCAATGCTATTTGCACATTATAAAAATTTTTATAAAAAATATATTGTATTATTATATATAACATTTCTGTATTATTTTGCCTACATAATGAAATTCCTGACTTCTGCAAGAGGGAAAATATTAATTTCATTGAGAAACGTGTGTTTTGTTTTTCTCTAACTATGTATTTACTCTCTCTAATGAGAGCTAAGTAAAATTGCATTACCTGCCCTCTACTGTGTGGCCTGGAAGCTTTTTATAATGTTTATACAATGTTTATACTTAATCCCGACTCTGTTGACTTATAGTTTTTTCTGTTTCTGTTATAATAATCCAATTTCATGTCTACTTTAAAAGCTGTCTCAAATCCTATTGTTGAAGTTTATATAATATTCTTCTTTCTCCGTTTGACAAATGAGTAGATTGAGGCTCAGGAAGCCTGTTATTCAACTAAAGTCACACAGCAAGAAAGAGGTACACCAAGATATCTTCAAATCTAATGACTTTTTTTGTTTTGTTTTCTACCTAACGACACTCTAGATAGCTGTATATAAATATGCCTCTGTGAAAAATAAAACCTAAGAAGAACAATCATTTTTTTAAACTAAAAATATTTCCCCTAAATTGTGGCAATAAAAATACTACTTCATGTTTGAATAGCACTTTATAAATTACACAATGCTTTTATATAAATGAGCTGGATCTTTGCAGTTATTCAGCACTGGGCCCTGTTTGAATTTATAATCATAAAATGGGAAAAATTTAGAGAAAGGCAAACAAACAAACAAACAAAAATCCTGGGGAGAACAGTTAAAGCATTTGGGGAATATTTGGCTTGTAGAAAAGAAGACCGAGTACTCTCAATTGTCAATATTAAAGATAATTATAAAGCAGAGAATTGAAAGTGGTTTTCCACCTTCACAGTAGGCACACTAGAGGGAACAAGCTCATATGAAATTCTAATGAGATATTTAGAACATCCTAAAATCAATGTGCTAGCAAACCAGGAACCTAAAAATAAATACCCAAAACTTATACATAAAGACCTAACAAAGACCTATAATAAATGTAATTCAATGGGCTAACAGACAGGCTCTGTAAAAAGAATATTAAGTGTCCCAATGAACCTGGATTATTAGGGAAAATCAGAAATACTCTATATAATATTTGCAAAGCAAGATGTTAGTGGAAGATAATGTAACCCTGGTATATTAACCTGGGTAGGAGATATCATCAGTTTAAGCAATGCATGTAGAAAAAGAAGACATTGCTAAAATAAGTATCTCAACACACTCTGAATCAAAATACTTTAAAATATCCTGGGAAAGATCATGGACAAGAAAAAGGTTATTTCATCATATATGATGAAATAATTTAGACAATGTACTAATAGGAAATCATGAGAAGAAAAGCAATGAATCACAATCTTCATTATAAGGACTCTATACTCAGTTGAAATGTAAAAATATCTGCACAATTTCAGGAGGTGGGTAATAGAAAAGGCACTAATAAAGAAAAAAGAATAAAAAATGAAGAATTTTAAAAGAAAAATTGACTTTATGATGTTTTAAAAAGATGTATGAATTCAGCATAAGTTTGGTTGCTTGAGGGTAGGAAAATGCTTTTATAATAACAAAAATGTACTATAAAAGCTCTGACGTTGACTATGGTTTAAAATAGACAACCATCTGGGTAGGATGGTATAGAAAGGGCTGTGTTTGAAGAAGTGGAAAATAAAAAAATATTCTCAAATCCATTTTAGTAATATGGTTCTTTATAAAAATCTTCTGCTACAATTATATTTTTATCAAATTCTCATTGCATTTTCACTCATTTTTGCTTTGTATATTTAATGGCCAAGTGTTTTAGATACCATAGGTGAAGACCCTATCTACTAACACATTGTGTCTTTCATCCCTATATAATGCCTCCCACTGCCCGGTAAAGGTTTTTGTTTTGTTTTACTTTTAATCAGAGATTCCACTTTGTCATTGCCTAGGTACTCTCTTCTAATCCTGTGATTTTAGTGATCATTCATATGTTGATGATTACCAAATTTACACATTAATCCTAATCCCTCTACTGAACTCCAGGATCCTATAGCTAAATGGCTATTTAACATCTCCCCTTGTATTTCTAAAAGTTATGTAGAATATAATGAACTCCTTATTTCCATTCCTTTCCAGATTCCTTTCCAGATTTTCTTATCCTTGTATGTATGTGGCACCATCATTCACAGTTTTCCAGATTACAAACCTCAAAGTTATTCTTTTTTTTGTCCTCACACCTTATATCTAGTTTGTAATCAAAAGTGTGTCACTTCTGTCTTTAAAGCAGATTGCAAATCCAATCACTGCCTACTTCCTTGCTACCATTCTAGGTCAAGATTTCATAACCTCTTTCCTGGAGTCCCACAGTAACCTCCCAGCCAGTATTTCTGCTACTGCTCTTGTCTCCCCACAGCCTGTTCTCCATATAGTATCCACAGCATTTTTATTAAAACGTCTATCTGAGTACGTTCTTCAAATAAGTAAATAAAGCTTCTGTCCCAGAGCTCTGCACTGACTCCTCCTCTGCCTAGCACACTTTAACTAGACATATGCATGGTTTATTTGAATACTTCATTTATTTCCCTATTCAAATTCTACTTCTGTAGAGAGCAATTCCCTGAACACCCTACCTAAAAAAGGAGCCCATCTGCCTCCATCCTCGCCACAGATTTATTTTCTCATTTTTTTATTAGCTGACATTATATAATGTCAGCTAATGATTATTGTCATTATCCCTAAGTTAAAAAAGATTTTGATCATTTTAATTACTGCTCCAGCTCTAGCAACCTAAAAGAAATTCAAAATTACGCTTACTGAATTAATAAATATTCGCATTGTTAGTGCTATATCCCTCTTAATCCCTCTTTCTTTTTTTTTTTTTTTTTTTTTTTTTTCCTTTTTCTTTTTTTTTGAGACTCCATCTCACTCTGTTGCCCAGGCTGGAGTACAGACACAATCTCAGCTCACTGCAACCTGTGAATCCCAGGTTCAGGCAATTCTTATGCCCCAGCCTCCCGAGTAGCTGGAACTACAGACGTGCGCTACCACACCCAACACATTTTTTTTTTTTTTTTTTTTTTTTTGGATTTTAGTAGGATGGAGTTTTACCAAGTTACCCAGGCTGGTCTCAAATTCCTGAGTTCTGCTTGCCTTGACCTCCCAAAGTGCTAGGATTACAGGCATGAGCCACCGTGCCAGGCCAGTCCTCTTTCTTTTCATTTGCACTTTTTTGTTATCCCTTTGTAAAGTTTCCTTACCACCTTAAATATACTAAAATATACTTCTTATAAGGAACATTAATATACTTCTTATAAGGAGCATTAATTTTTTTACTCAATAAGACACTCTCTTTTCTTCAATAGAAAAATTTAGTTCCTTCATGTTTAGGGGAATGAAGGAACTAATCTGTATTTGTTATTTAAATATCATTTGTGTTTACTGTTTTTTCTTTTACTTTGTTGTTACTCATTTTTCCCCTCTTTTGGGGAGACTGACCAAAGAGATATGGTCCTTTCTGTACCATACATTATAAATATTCCCAAATAAAATTTTGGAATGCTATTACACTTTTCCTAGCTTTCCTTCTCCCCTCTCCTAGGTTTGCTCAGATAATTTAGTTCTTTTTTTCAAGACAGTTATTAGAATCGGGTAATAGACAAGTATTCCCACACAGTATTTGTATTATCTGATAAAACAATATCCTCTTAAGTTTAAATTCACACAGACTTAAGAGATCCCTCTATAACTTCCCTTGCTTTCTATAAAGATGCTTGTATGACCTTGAGTTGTACAAGTGCACGACTAAAGTCATGCCTTCTATCTGCAAGGTTTTTAAAAGGCACGTAAAGCTTTTCATGTTTCCAGTAATATCACTAATCCCAGCTACTATCACATTACCACTTCATTGCTATAAGCTGCCTTTGAATGAATCCAAAGAAACTCTGAGAACTAATAACCCACCTTTATATGAAATATATTGATGATTATTGCCATATGCCTCTCATTTTCTTTAGTCACCATCAAAGTCTAAAATTACAGATTATAACCCAGATCATTATCCCTATTCTATAGCTCACTAAGCTCCCTATTTCACTAACTCTCCTATATGGTCTCAGTCTCCATTCATGTAGATGACTCCCTCAACAACCTGTGTACAGGCAATCTTGTATATGCACTCAGCTCCATATCAGCTTTTTACGGCTCAGCTATGTTTTGGAAACTATGTCTGCAAACTGAAATTTCCTGTCTGTCTTGTCATTTGACTTCAGGTTAGATTCTGTCAGCACAGAGGCACTATTGGCAGACTGGAATACAGAAGGAAGAGTGTTAGTCTGGATTCTCCATAGAAATAGAACCAATATGTTATATAAATAGATGGTATTATAAGGAATTGACTCACTAAACTATGAAGGCTGATGGTGTGAGAGACCCAGGGAAAGCCAGTGTTGAAGTCTGAAGTCAGTTAGTGGAGGGTCTGGGGAGGGTGGGTTTTTAAAATTATATTTATACCTTCAACTGATGAGGTCCACCCACATTATGGAGGGCAGTCTGCCTTACTCTACTAATTAAAATGTTAGTCTCATCAAACTCACCCTAACAGAAACACTCAGAATGTTTCAACAACTATCTGGGAACCCTGTCGCCCAGTGAGGCTGACATAAAACTAATGATCACAGTAAATGAGAAGCTGTTTTTGCCTGTTATTTTTGTTTTGTTCTGTTTTTGGTTTATTTTTGTTTTTCAGTTTGTGTTATTGTTTTTGTTGTTTTATCTTTTTTTGGCCTTTTAAGTAACAGCACCAATAGCTGGTGTGTGTGGAAGCCTGGCTTTTGTGGAGTGTGTCAGCAGAAGGCACGCCAGAGACTGCAGTAGAACGATATTCTTAGGATCTGACTCCAATCACAGTAGTGGATTTTCCATAGCCTCAACACTACGGCACTTGAGGACTTTGGCTCAGGTGGTCGCAGCAACATTGAGGGATGCTTTTTGACTCCTTGGATCTCCAAAGTCAGTGATTGTGTGGCTTGTAAATTCTTGTAAGGCAGCGCCATGATACTGACAACTTCATCATTTTACTTTAATTCCTCCAGTTCAGAAGTGGAAAATTCTCATATTCTTATTTTTGTTCCTTGAGTACTTCTATAATGTTGCCACCAGTTCCCCCTTCCAATAGACAGTAATTTTTGTTTTCTTGACTGGATACTGACTGAAACAGTCTGACTTCTCAGATTGTTGTTTTAATGTTTTCACATTAATCTTTCCTTCCTCCACTTCTTGGTCACTCAACCTCTATAGTCATATCTTAGATCATGCCACATCCAATGGGGGGATAATTCACGTGTCACCACAAATGTTACTCCTTAGAGCCTTCTTTCACCAAACTATCTGAAATTTACCTCCCTATCTTTCCCTATAGTTTTTATCGGTACTCAACATAGAAAAGATAAACATTTATTATTCATCTCCCATCTGTGCCCACCCCCAAATGTAATATAAGCTATCTGAAAGCATTATCTTTCTCTACTTGCTCATTTCTCTATCTTTAGCCCCCTAGAAGTTCTGAAATGGATTTAGTTTCTCAATAAATATTGATTAAATGAATGCATTGCATAATTCACAGCCAATTGCATATTTTGTCATCTTTCCATTTTTTTTATTATTCTTCCCTGTGTATTTTTCTCAGATGGAATGTGTACTCTTTTAATCCTTATATTTCCTGAAATAATTTTCTTACACCTAGAGAAGTGGGTATAGGATTCTTGATTTCAGGCTTTTCTCTCTGATGTCTATACATATTTTTCAACCATCTTGGAATTTCCAGTATAGCAGATACAACGATTGTTGCAAATGCATTAATTTTATTTTTTATATAATTTAAACTATTATTTTAGGTACTGAGGGTACATGTGCAGATTTATGACATAGATATAGTGCATGATGCTAAGGTTTGGGGTACAAATGATCCCATCATCCAGATAGTGAGCATAGTATCTAACAGGTAGTTTTTCAGCCCTTGCCCTCCTTCCCCTCTTTCTCCTCTAGCAGTCCCCAGTGCTTATTGTTGTCATCTTTATGTATCCAGTGTTTACCTCTCACTTACAAGTGAGAATATGCAGTATTTAGTTTTCTGTTCCTGCATTAATTCACTTAGGATGATGGCCTTCAGCTGCATCTGTGTTGCTGCAAAAGACATGACTGTGTAGTATTTCATGGTGTATCTGTACCATATTTTCTTTATCCAATCTACCACAGATGGGCACCCATCTGTGCCCATTTTGTAGAATGATTTATTTTCTCTTGAGTATATACCCAGTAATGGAATTGCTGGGTTGAATTATTTTCCATGAAAACTGTACTAGTTGTTGATTGCTGCAGGAAAAAAAAATTACCACAAACAGCATTTAAAAAATTTACCACAAATAGCATTTAAATAACACAAATTCATTTTCTCACAATTCTAGAGTCCAGAAGTCTAGGTAGGCTCAGCCGGTTTCTTCTCTATGAGTTTCCCAAGGCAGAAATCAAGGTGTTGACCAGCCCAGGCTCACTACTAGAAGCTCTAGGGGAGAATCTGCTTCCAAGTCCACTCATGTTGTATGCAGTTCAGTTCCATGTGATTGTTGGACTAAAGTACTGTTTCCTCCCTGGCTCTTGACCAGGAGTCAATTTCACCTTCTAGTGGACTCTTGCATTCCCTGGCATGTGGTCTTCTTCAGCTTCAAAGCTGGAAATGGCTGGTCCTTCCCATACTTCATCTCTCTTTCCCTTCTGTCTCATCTCTCCTTATAGTGCATTTATTTGACGCCAGCCCCACAGTTTTCTTCTTGTAAGAGCTCATATGATTTCAGACTAGGTCACCTGGATAACCCAGGATAATCTCCCCTAATTACATCTTTGAAGTCCCTTTTACCATCTAATGTAACATATTCACAAGTTACAGAGATTAGAACATGGACATCTTTGAAGGCCAAGCTGCCTACCTTTTGTAAATAGGCAGTACATAATTTATAAGTCAATTGGTCATTAATCTTTTGTTTTCCTACCGGAAGCTTGAACAAGTTTTTCTTTGTCTTTGGAGTGAAGTAATTTTAGCACTATATGCTGAGATGGTGGTTTTTTTCTAATATTTTAATCTCTAGACTCACATCTTTCCTCAAAACAGCATACCTTCTTTTCCTATTATTTGTTTATTATCTTTCTTCTATCTTTTGTTTTTCTCTCTTATGAACATCTATAGTATTGATTAGTTATTCCACATATATCTTCAAAGTCCATTCCATAGTGTGTTCTATTTCCATGAGCAAGTCTATTTAATTAGAGACCTATCTAGATTATTATTTGTTTTTCCCTTCTTTTATTATTGGCCCTCTTAGATGATTATTTTCTTTTATCTGCTTGTTGAGCAAGTGGTGGCAATTCTCAGGAAAGCAGAGGCGTCTTTGCTCCTGGGGGCCAGCAGTACACTGGCTGTGAAAACCTGGCTGAGGCACCAGCAAGAAACCTTTCTGACCCTGTTCTCAAATTTCCCACTTTCAGTAGATGGAGAGGCCTCAGCCAAGCTCTTTAGTTCATCCTTAACTCTTTGGAGCCCAGGCAGATTGGTAAAATTCACTCCAGCCGATGTCCACCTACACTGGATCTCCAAGTTTAAACAATTATCTGGTTCCGATTCATTCAGTCCTCACTCTAGTAACTTTATTCTAGTCTCAGGCTCTCCAGTTTCCCCAATGGCAAAAAATATCCCAACTGCTTCCTTCTTGGCACTTTTCTTGCCTGCCTCAGGAGGCATGAACAGGTAGAAGCTGATATTGGAAGTGGAGGAGGAAAAGGATGTCTTAAGCAGACTTCCTCCGGGAGTCTTTCTTGCACTTTGCCAAGTTTTCATGTTTTTTTCTACTACACTTTAAGTAGGGCACTCCTTTTTTTTTAAGTATGTTTAAAGATCCATTTTGTCTCCATTATTGATTTACTGACAAAATCCTTTTGTTTTATTTTGTTTTATTGCATTTGTAATGATTGCTTCCAGAATTTAACGTTATGTATAGTATAAAAATTAAAACAATACAATTCTATTTGCTCCATTCTGTCCTTTGTGCTACCATTATATTTTACTTCTATATATGTCTTATTTCTTTGATTAACAAAATGTACCTTTCTTGACTGCTTCCAGATTTTGTCTTCTCATTTTTAGGTGTCAAAGTGCCCTTAACAATTCCTAAGTTTTAAGATCTTATTTATGCCCCATTGGGTCTTCTGGTTATTTGTTAATAGGGGAGTAAAGTAATAGATGCAATTAAATTGTGCATTATCTGAAGTCCATTTTGACTTTGTTCATACCACTAGTGTTATACATGATTTTCCCAAAACATCATAAGATTCTTAAGATCAGGTACTAACCAAGTTCATCTCTGTAAGCATAATTATAATCTGATCTATACCAAGCATTTAATAGACATCAATAAATGACACAGGCATATCAGAAATATATTCTAGAAAAGTTACCTAAAAGCCCTGGAGACAGTAGGCATGATATAGTTAAACCAAAGAATACATATTAGTGTATGAATGTGGATGTTAATGCATAAAGGTACAACGGTTGGTCTTAATACAAGTTTCCTGAGAGGAATTCTTTGTATTTTCCAGTCAAAACAATTTAATTCTCAACTGAGATCCCAATCAAAAAGTGAGCTATTTTCCAAACAAAATAATTTTTTACACCCAAACTTTGTATTCCATATTTATTCAACACACATTATTATGTACTTTCTCAAGGCTGTCTGAAGATAAAACTGATTTAAAAGGAGTAGACAATTTAGAAAATAACAGTGGAGTCCATTTTCAGGCAAGCATAGCCCTCTTACCCACAAAAAAACACTGTTCTCACACTAAAAATTAAATAATAATAATAATAATTTATTGGTTCATATAATGAATTGTGTTCTCTAGTACTTACTTTTTATATATTAACTCAGTCTTTTCACAACAATTCTATACAATATTATTATCTACATATTATGGATAGTAAACTGAACTTAGAGCAGTTAAATGACATGAAGTTATACTTACTGAATTGATTAATGAAAAAGGCATAATATGAGCCCTGGACTGCGTGGTTCCAGAGTTTTGTTATGCTTACCATTATTCCAAATGGCAAGCACATCTTAAAGCTTACCAAAAAAAAAAAAAGCAACTCCCTGAAGTCACTCTGGTGTGACAACAACTATCATTAAGAGAGTAATTAAGGAAGTTAATAAGAGGTGAAAGAAAATAAGGTAAATGTATTAAGAACAACCTAGATAGCACGCACTTGGTAAATGGAAAGGGTTCAGCACAAACTAAAATAGAATGGAGGCCATTTATTATTGATCGTTAAGCTATCTATTTTTAGTCAAGGCTTCTTACCTATCTTCCATAAGAAGGAGTCAACAGTTAACTTAGTGAACAGCCTGCCCTGACCTAGAAGAGATTGCACTCAATTGCTGCTTGAGAGTACAGGTGAGAGAGCCCCCACCAGTTAAGTCATGGCCTCAAAATGCACCATTCACAACAATGATAGATTTGAGCTCTTTGCAGTGATAAAAACCAGAATTAGAAGATAAGGCTCTGGGAAGAGGAACGTTTGAGTTATTAAAGGCAAAGCTCCCAGTGCAGATAACGCACGAGACTAAAAACATCCAGAATGAGACATACAATTTTACATTTCATCTCAGCCCCAACCTGCAACTGGGTCAAACCTACCTGCTACAATGTCATATATAATTTTGTTAATATATACAAAATAAATATATAGGTGTATAATATTCTCATTCCTGAATGGGTGACTGCTTAATTAAAAAGCAATATTAAAAAACAAAATAATATAAAACAAAAATTATATTACGTAAGAATATATTTCAAATATAAAAGAATTTAAATAAATTATGTTTTGTAAGACTTCAATATTAATTATTTCTTTTATAAAAATGCATTTTATTTTAGAAAATATTTCAAGATAATCTCATGAAGAATGTTGGATTTGAGTTAAGAATATACTGTGGAGTTTGCTTCTTTACAAAACATTCTTAAGTGTTATCTTTGACACAAACCCATACAAAATAATTTTGTTGTTACGTAATTCTAAAACAAAATTTAATTAGGAAGTTGAATACAAACTCTTATGTTACCCTCTCAAAATACCTAAAAGTCATAATTAATCTACTTACTTAAAGAGGTCCTGTATATCATTACAAAGGCACATTAACTGCAAATTATTTATTCTGTGCTTCTTAAAATGCGCTTCTTTTAAAATGTTAACTATACATTTGGCAGTACAAATTTTTCAAGCTTTGGCATGTTTTATAAGGAAAACATTAATTTGAATGAAAGGAAATATTGAGACTGCAAACTTTTCTACCACCTGGTAAATGTCAATTTGTACAACAAAATATTATCAGAGAAAAAAAGTCACATGGCAGGAATAAATAATGCTTAATATCCCATATACTCCCTATGAATCTCATTGCTGTGCACAGTTACTGGAAAAACTTAATTAGCAATGGCATTCTGTGCTGAAATCATCTAACACTTTCATCCATTCCTGTAATTCAAACATTAGCATTCAAATCAGCCCTCAACTTGCACTTTGGTATTTATTCAGTGAATACCAATTAAATTGTCCCAAATAATCATTTTCATTTCCCGTAGATTGTATACCTAATATCTAAGAGTCCCATGAAACATACGATCATTTGAGATGTTGGGATTCTACATTTTCTAGGGGATTTTTTTTTTGAGGTAATGATAAAACCAGTCTTTCTATTGTCAAAAGAAATGTCTCACTCTCTTGAGCACTGTCTTTGTGTCTATGCAAAAAACATTAGTAAATCATGTCATTAGCCATAAATTTGGGGTCAATATACTTTGCCATTTAATAATTTATAAAAGGTGACCATGCCCTATCCTGTGCCCTAATGTACAAACATGGATTTTCTTTATTTCAAAATAATGGAAAATTAACAGATTTTCAGGAGAGGATCAGGATTCAGGTCAGACAAAAGTAAAATAGAAATTTCAAGAAAAAAAATCAAAGAAAGAAATAGAAAAAAAAAGTTAAACATCCTAAACAATAATGGGAAGAGAAAAACATGATGGCACTTATGATAATGCTCTGAGTATTTAACCAGTTTGTTTGTATGCTCCATGCAGTTGCTAGTTCTGTAACCATGGCACTAGCTCAAACTGGGCCTGCTCTGTTGATAAAATGTCAAGTTATCATTTAGGTATAACAGAGCCAAAAACTGTAAGTCATAGTCAGGGCATGTGCCCTAGAAAAAGCTTTGACCTCTAACAACATCCTGAACCAAAAGACTGGGACAAAATTAGAATCTGAATGCTGAAAACTTTCAGAAGTGAGGGATTCCTTCACTTGGAAGATGCACGGCTAAACTTTGCCTCAACGTAGCTTACTGTAAATGACCACATTTGAAGTCCTCTAATCAAACTCTGTCAAGTAAACATTCCTAAATCCTTTATCTTGCCCTCTAACCCCTTAAAACTTGCTTCAGGTCCCAAATCAGGGAAACTGATTTGAACCTCTCTCTTTGATGGCCAATTTTTCAATAAAGCCTTCTTTTCTCAAAAGCCAGTGCCATAGTTATTGTCTTCTCTGTGCATCGGGCAGCAAGCCCATTTTCTTTCTAACAGTTTCAGTAATTTTATTACATTGTTCTGCTCTCACAAATTCTAAAAAAAAGCAAAAAAGGGAAAATGTTCAAGGCATAAATTTGGGGGTTATATGGAGACAAAATTGGCCAAAATTTGGTTTATCATTTCTATAAGGTATGTGCGTGTAATTTACAAAAATTATATCCAAGGGTATTTTTTTAAATTAAAAAGTTGCAAAAGTTTTACTACTCAGTCATATCTTTTTGCCAGAAGCCATTTTCACAGATTTACACTCTGGCTTATAACTGTAAAAGTCCTTCTTATGACCTCACACAAAACTTAACTGAAAATAAGAGTTTTAAAATAGTGTTCTTAAAATACATGGTTTGAAATGCTTAACTTATAATATATTTAAGTATCTCCACTTGATAAGGGTATTGTTATTCCAGAATGCTATTTTCTATCAATTGCAAATATTAGTTAAACATCTAGTATTATCCAACTACCATAAGAGATGCTGGGCATAAAATGGTAAGAAAGGCAAATTGAGTCTTTGCGCTCATGAATTATAAAAGTCTAGAAGAAACACTGATAATTAAAGAATCATTATATATTTCACAGGTTTTAGAATGTTGAAGAAGCATAAACCTTGACCATATTCCATAATTTAGACAGACTACAAGAAAGTGTCATAGAGAAGCTACAATCAAAAAGTTGAGACTTGAATGATGAGTAGGAGAAAGTGGGGAAGTAGAACTTAATATGAGACTCATTTGAATAAGGATCAAATTAATTATGCAGATTATATTGAATATTACATATAATTATATTTTGCATTTTGTATTAAATTTTATTTCCTCCTTTTACATTTCTCACTTTTTGTGACTTCGTCTTATTTTGTTTTCAAAAATTATACATAGCCATTATGAAAATTTAAACCATAGCAGGAAGAATAAGGAAGAAAGTTGTTAGTCAATTGCCAGATCTTCAGACAAAAGCACTTTCAGTAATTCATTTACAATGTAAGAAAAACTAATGTGAAAAAAAACAAAAAACTAGGAACCAAATATGACAGTGGCAATTAACACCATTAGACCATGTTGTAATTCTTCATCCAAACTACAGTACTTATCTTCTCACTGTCCACTTCCCAAGTAGCTATTTGCCGTTAGACTTTAACCAGTAAATAGAGTTCAAGAACTTAAGCATCCAGTGTTTAAATAGGTTTTAATCGATGCATAGGAACATTCCAAGTACTTTTGAATTAAGCATGTTAATCATGTTTAACATGATCATATTTTTAAACAATAAATGAGTTTATTTTGTCTTGAAATAAGACTGAGAAGGTGAATTGATTCAATTATTATTATGACATTGAACTAAAACAGGAAATTATAACATTGAACTAAAACAGGAAATCAGTTAACATAATATAGTTTCTTATGTTAGAAACCCATGAAATAATATGAAAATATATAAACACATGTAAATTTAAAAATATTAAAGTTTGAAGTAAAGTAGTTGCAAAATAAATCTATCTGTAAAATTAGAAACACCAAATTCATTATAAATGATAGTGCTTATTATTGGTTAGAATATGTTGATAATTAAGCTAAAGTCATGCATTTAATTCCCGGATGCTCCAGTTTACTCTGCTTTGTTTTAGAGACGCAGAATGAATCACAATTCCCAGCTGTCTTGGAAGTGTGTATTATTGATGAAGAGGGGTACACTGCCAATATGTGGACAGATTAGTCCAATTCCATTACAATGACCGAAAAAACAATTCTGAGCACATTTCCCATAGAGAGTGGGTCAGCACAGCAGCTTAATTTTTATTTCAGTTTGGCACTAAACATGTGTCTCTTGCAGACAGATGCATATTGATAGTTCTTTGTAATGGTGAAGGGAAAATCTTTTTAAAAAACCATGTAACAGCTTTCTAAAACAGGTAATTTTAAGACTGTAAGATTCCTGAACAATATAGCCAATTTATCCAAATCTTTCAGGCTCAAATTACAATGTACATATTACAAGTTCTGATTTAGTAATGTTAATTTCTGACATGTCCTATGGTTCAATATTCAGAAAGTGGTAAAATAAATGATGGAATCTATTCATATGAGAAATATTTCTCAATAGTCCAAAAAATAGTTCACTTTTATCTTTACAGAACAGTTACTTCCCTCTCTGTGGCCTAAAATTATTCCCCTATTTACCATGCCCCTGGTTTTTATCTGTCATGTTACACTAAGATCAAATTTTAAAAGTACTCTGAATGAAGTAAAACTGGAGCCATGGGCATGTCGCAATGCTGTGTGTCATTGAAAGCATTAAATGTACCAAGAGAGCGATGCTACCATTATCTTTAACTTGGTGGAGATAATGAGAGACTCAAGTATTAGAAATAGGTATGAAATACTGAAAACTTGAATACAGTGGTGAAAGATGTTTTCTTATATTTTCTGTTAATATATTTTAGGCACAGTGGTTCCCTCTTATAGTTTTATTAAAAGGATACTATGTTTAGATATTTTTAAGTAATTTAGTTTTTGTGGACTCACATGAGAATTTAATCATCTTTTATAAAGAAGGCATTTGAAATGGAAAAAAAAAACTAAAACTTTTGAGGTGTTAACATTATTTGCCATGCTATTTGCTTAACACTTTATATCTAATTTAATCCTCACTTCAAAATAACCTTATAGAGTGATTAATATCCTCATTTAATGATGTGTAAAAAAGTTGTTCAAGGGCTCTAAACTAGGATAACCCTAGGTTTTAAACAACTAATGTACATGTGGACTTTTATCACTTAGTACCAAGAGACTTCTTTTTATTCCAGTCTCCAGTTGTTTTTTCTTTTTTGTGTGATAGTATGATATTCAGCTGGATATACTACTACCCAGCTAGACAATGTTTTTGCAGGCCCCCTTTCAGCCATGTGTGGATATATAACCAAATTCTAGCCTAAAGTACAACTTGTGTCTTATTTTTCTAACTACAGGCTGGACTTAGGACGTACTTGCAAGAACAGGGCAGCCATCTTGAACCATAGACAGAAACCATGTTTTGAAAAATGGAAGGAACAAGATATAAGGAAAATTATTCCCCAGCAGTATCAAGCTGGGGAAACAGTCTTAGACAGACTACCTAGACATTTCTATTTGTTTAAGTTGCTGTATTTTTGTGGATATTTCTATTTTACATTGTGTATGGTGTAACACTTTGTTAAAACAGCCTGCATGACATACTATGACTAAGATATAACTAATATATAACATTGTTTATATGTTTCTTGGTAATTAGACCTTTGATGTTGAACTTGAATGAAACTTATTCGATTTTATGATGATGATCATAAGTTATGAAGACAGTTTGCTTGTAATGCAGAGAAGAATACACAAAGAAATCAAACCTGTTTATCCATTTGAGTTATTATAATTTAAGAATATATTATGATACATGTGATTAAACAATAAAATTGTATGTAGTTAAACTTAATGTTATGTAATTATTGCACATTAAGGGACATATCCACTACTGGTGACAGTTGTAATATTAGATAACATCTCAAAACCACTACTCGGTTATTTAAAACTAAAACACACACACAAGACACACACAAAACAACAAAACAATAACTATTATACCAAATAAAACAATGAAATAGAAATAATTTCAATAATGAATACATTATATAGTGGAAATTTCATATAAATAATGAATAACCCTTTCTCTAGCAATGCTGCATCCTTTCGCATAAGAAAATGGTGAAATTTGTCTAGGTGCCACCTATACTACCCAAAAAATAGAAGTACTAGGCAGAAAGTAGGAGTGCATAGAAAGCCAACTACAGATGAAGATTTATTGTGATGAAGATGCCTCCAGAACAAAAGTACTGCTAAATGTCATCATGTAAAAATAACGTGTCCTTTTTCTCACACTAACATCTCAATTATCCTTTGTCTAAATTTACTTTAAGAGACTCCCACATTATATTTAGTAATCATTAATTTTAGTATTTGTAATTTTCCAACAATTGAAAAATTATCGTATGCATACCATACATACATAATTTTTTTAAAAATTTTAAGTACTTTCCCTTAAGTTAGATGAGAAAACACTCCTAAGTTGCCCAAATAATGTTATTATATTGAAATCCAGAATTTTTAGTGACTTTAGAAGGGAAATAATTGCAATGAGTGTTTCATATTAATGCAGTTAGATAATTGCTAGGTGAATCATAAAGACAGTTTGCGAAAGGTAAAAAGACACTAGGCGATAAGATGGCTATATCGATCTTAGAGGTTATTTTATATTTAAAAGCATTAAGTATGCTAAAATAGGTCTACTGTTTTTAAATGATAAAAGTATGCAATAAAACATATTTGAAAACCATTTCGTAGAGTTACTAACCACATACTATTGATACAAAAACTTGTCATACCTATGTATCTATATTTACATGCATACATGTATAGCCATATTTATACCTAGCTCAGTTGTACTAGTGTATGTGTGCATTTTTCCTTTTTTAGTACTTCCTAATTAGCTTTTTCTCTTTCTCAATAGGGTCAGACCCAGGTCACAGCACAATTACACATATCTAAGATTCCTGCAACAAAAACATATTATTCTACCTCATTTTTTGATGTTCACATTTTTTCTCTCATTAAGGATCTGAATGAATCCATATGTCCGGTGTCATATTTCATGTTGGATTACTCTATAATTGTCAAAGTGTGACCTTCCAGAAAGGGAAATTACTGTTTTTATAATAAAGCATATTTTATATGTTTTTATAATGAAGTGCCAGGTCTTGCCTTGCACTGTCCATAAATCTGCCCTGGCTTTCTGCCTGACTGCACACTAAGAATCATGCACAGAAAGCAGAGGCAGAAGCAGTGATTGGTAAGGACAGTTTTCTCAACAGTGTTTCTGCTTTGAAGAATGTAGAAAGATGAGGGCACTTCTGTAACAGTAGTTTGAAGGAAAAATTCTTGTTTGACAACTATGGGATGCAATATAAATTCTCATAGTTTGGCTGTTTACAGCAGTTGGTAAAATGCCAGAGTTGCAGTATATATCAATAGCAAATGATGTATGTGCTTTATTATTTTTTAAGACTGAAGAAAGAGTGTTACTTTTTCTTCTGTAGGCGATCTGTTACATTTTTTGGTGAATATTTGTTTATTTATTTATTGACAACTATTAATGAAAGTTATTTATAATATGGTTTCCTTTAGAAATTATAATTAAATGAAACATAACACAAATTCTGATATGTACAATCTTACCAGGTGAAGATAAGGCATAGTAATGTAGATATTAAAATCAAAACTTGATTAAACATTGCAGACTGTGTACGCTGAATGGCTCTGTGTAGATCATTCTAAAATAATACAGAAAAAAAGTTGTAAATTTTGATAAATACTAAATATGCATGAGTTTCATTACATTTATTAGCATACATTTCATGTCAACTCTCCTGTACACATACATACATATGTAAATACATGTATTTCAAATGGAAATATAAGCATATTTCCATTTTTGCCTAGATCTGATTGTAACTTACTAAAGCTTGCATAGTTCAAAGATATTGCTGTAGGAAGACTACCAAAGCACTAAATTTCAGTTTACTTGCATTACAGACATCTGAACAGGTGTTGCACTTACTCCCCCAAACCCCTACATGTTAAGCATGAACTTTTATGGAAAATCCTAATTTCAAAAGATCAGAAAATAGTATGTTTAATTAAGGAAGAGGGAATAGATGAGTGAAATTACAAACAAAGCTCATTATCAGGAAAATTAACATCAATTAGCCCAGACAGTTTATTTTGAAAAGAAAAAAAAATAAAATAGCCAATAAACAATTTTTTTCTAAGTTTAATTTCTTATAAAAGATATTATGGCAATGAGCCATTATTTGTGTACCACTCATTTTGTCCACCACTCATTTAACCAGAACTGTTATGAAGACAAATAACTAAGTTGACTGATTTGGATTTCATCTCTCACCCTTTAGTCTCTAATGGCAGAGGTATTAATGAACAGAAAAGCAAATACAAGTTTAGCATCTGGCGAAAAGAGATATGGAAATAAAATGGAAAATGAATCATAAATTAATATTGCAAAACAGGCTTTGTTACTGTCAATATTTGTTTAATGTATCCTGTCTTGTTTGAGTTATTTTTTTCCAACAACTAATAACACAGAAATTAACAAATAAGTTTATTTTTTTCTGGTGTATTTTTATTCATTAGCAATTTAGGCAATCTATATTTAGTCAAACAGTATTTCATCAGGGCAATTAAGACAGCCCAATGTTTCTGCAAGTCATTTCACAGGCCACACTCTCCCACCCTTTGGCAATGTATTTTCATAAGACTCCAGTGGTTACTCGATATAAATGTTTAGAAACATTCATCTAGTTGTGAATACTAAAACGTTATCCAAATATTCCTTTAGGCCAAAACTTTAGTCATAATGTCATTTTAAAACCCATTTAAATGGAAAATAACTTTGCCTCCAAACAAGTATAATTTTCAATGCAGTAAAATTAATAATATTGAGCCCTTACTTTGTTGTGCCAGATAAAATACTATACATACATATTATGCATATGTATCTGTGTACATTTTGTATATATGTATGTATATATAATTTCATTTGATTATCATAGCAAACTTGTAGGTGCTTTTCTTTGCAGATGAAGATAATAGCAGAGAAGTTAGATCATTTGCCCATCACATTGTTCAGTATATAGTGAACATGTATTAACATTTGTGGTATGAATGACTCAATGGAAATGCCTTACAGCTAGCTTTGAAGTACTAAAGCCTGTGGTAAAAATGTTTGGGGTTTGGGTCATAGTTATAAACCATGCCACCAAGCAGGGTCAGCCTTGGGTATAATGCAACTGGGGCACAGCTCTGAGTTCTCCATCTTTTATTCTACCTCTTGCTTCCTTTTCTCCTAATATCCCACTCACAACCCCGCTCAAGCAAATCCAGAAGGATGACTCTAAATGAGGGGCTTCTGGCTCCCACATAGAATCTTAGGAAACCCCACAGATGTTCACTGCATATGAGACTACCTACAATTAAGAGCAGTTTGACTAAATCACTTACTTGAGCCCTCAAAAGCCAGGAGTCCCATTATGCATCAACAAACTGCCTTGGGAGGGAAGGATATTTGTACTCTGAAGATTGGCTAAGTGGTTGAACCAGTCCAAAAACCAATAAGGTTTTTAGTGACATTGAGAAATTCTGAACCATTTTTCTTTACCAGTCATAGGACCCTACAAAGGTAGTAACTTGGCAATATGGACATTTTACAAGTTTTCATTCTGAGTAAGATACAGCAGACTGGTCATTTAAGGTCTGTTAACTTTCAAATTTACACTATGCATCACTTTAACTATTTAACAGTATTTTACCACAATGACTCATTAAAAAAACATTTAAATGAAACAATTTACTATGACCTAAATTAATTTAAAAGATGTTTAAAAATGAAACATTTGGAAATTTAATTACAGCTTAATTAATTCCAATAGTATGAGTTAAACGTTATGGGAGAATGCAGAATTAGAAAGTTCAAGACTAGATCCCAAATTCTCTCTCTCTGTTTAATCTAAACATTGAAAATAAGAAATGGTTTAAAAATATTTTCATATTTGCACTTTAATTCTATACTTACAATCATATTTTCCAAGGCATGTTTGGCAAGCCAACAGTTCAGAAAGACTGGGACAAATAGATTCCTTAAGGAAGGCCAGAATATCTGGAAAACAAAACAAAACAAAACTAGACTTTTATCTCAAAGCAATAAACCATACCCAGTATACTAAAAAGAAATGGAAAAAAAGCTGTTAAAGAAAGTATAATAATTTAAAATATGACAAATAATGTAAACTCACTCTTAATAAAATGTAAGGAATTGATATGTTCTTTCATTCATTGTCTAAATCTTTCTTAGGGAAATTATTGCAGAAGCAAAAAGAAAATAATAATCTTTCACCAGATGGCAGATATCTATGCTAATTATATCATTGAATCTTTTAGTGTGATGGTTTGTAATAGACATTGACTTCCTTTTCTCTGTAACTTGAGGTATTAAGTAGGAACAAAGAGGAAAGGTACTCTCTTTTTTCATAATATTGCCTCTTACTCTCTTTATGTTAAACCACTTTAAGCGACATTGCGGAGCTATGTTCAATTAGAATTATATTTAGTTAACCTGTCATTTAATCTAGTTCCAGTTGCTTCTCTAGATAAATCACTCAAATTAAAATAATTATCAGAACAGAGCGACAGCTCCAAGTAATATCTACTTATTTTCAAAATCCTCCAAATAAAATTCAAATGAAGTAATACAAAGGATAATCCCAACAGACATTATTATAACTTTATTAAATTGCGATTAAAATATAGTTTTGCAAAAGGAAAGTGCTGAGTAACATATTTATGGGACTGTAGTTGAATAGGATCATCATGGAACTGATAACACAGAGCAGTTTGAAAAGAAGCAAAATGTTGGGTGCCTGACTTTTGACAATCTCCTTACTAAAAACAGAACTAGACTTAATAAATCTTGTGGTTAAACCACAGATAGATATTTTCAACGTATGAAAAACTTTTGTAAATATGTTTCCAATTGGCTTATTTTTTTAAAAAAAATCCACAATATAAACAATAAGTGGATAAGTAATTTCTAGTAATTTTAAACAACAATGACATTTGTCAAATGGCATCCCCAGAACATATATCTCTTTAAAATATTTTACTCTGCTATTGTATGAAATCATTAGTTTCCATTTAGTTACACAACACGATCCAACCAATTTTATCTTGTTGCTTAGTATCATGATTCTAACCAAAGTCTAAATCCATTTATCTTAGCTACCATATTATTTAACAGTATCTAGGTTTAAATATTTTACTTAAGTCTAATTACAAAAGTGTTTTTTTAAGGTTCTTTTAGGACTTACTGAGATAATGAAGGGAACTGCATTAATTATTTCCAAGATGAAGGGTATTCGTAAAATCTGTTCCCAGATGTTTCCCTTCCAAGAAAGAATGAATAAAAACGAAAGTCAATTATACTGCCTCCTATTAAAGGGGGAAAAAGACAGCACTTAGAATTTCTCTAGCAATAAGGATGCTTCCATTAACAGAATACTGAATATTATATAGAGATGTAGCAATGACTTTTAGAGATTATTTTTCTTAGGGTAATTGTGCTCTCTCAATTTTGTAAGTTTAAGAAGTAAAACAAATGTTTGTAGAAACCAGGAATATTGCACATAACATTTTTTATCAAGTAATATGTCATGGAAGAAAAGTACTAGTAAAAATAAAACACATTAACAAAACCTACAGTCAATTAAAAAGTGACAATTTGAAGTTTTACTTACTATAATAATGATATTCACTAACCATCAAGTATATTAGTTTGTGAAACGTACCCTTGTTAACAATCATTGGTATTAAAATTGTTTTCACTTTAATACAATTTAAAGAAAGGACTTTTTCAATCATCTAGACTCTAATCTCCCTACCCTCATAATACAAACATATTAAACAGGACTGAGTACATAATTTGCAGGACCCAGTGCAAAATGAAAAATATGAGGCCTCCTAATAAGACATTAACAATTTCAAGAAGGTAACATTAGAACATTCAACTAATCACGAGGACCTTCTGGTTGTGGAACCTTGTGCTGACCCTGATATTATGCACAGAATACGTGTCCATGAAGCTGACCCTAACATTAAGAGGTCACCACTGAAACTTTCTTGATTGGTGTCTGACGATAATGAGCACAGACTTTCCTAAAGCAGTTTATTCTTCTATGAAGAGATCTATGTATTAGAAAGGCAATTTGAAATCTGCTATACTGTAATCTCCAATTATCCATTATAACACTGACTATAAAATTGGGACTCTTTCTTAATTTTCCTTAAGGCCCCAAAGGTTTAAAAACTGCACTGATGGAATATACTTGCACATCCCAAAGGAAAGTTGTAGAGCAGCTATTGTCTCCATATACTAAGAAATTAAGTAATAGGTTTTGTGAGCATAGTTTATCACCCTCATCCAGGCTACATAAAAACAGTAAAGGAGTGGGAAGTTAGAAGAAAGGGAAGCAGTGAAAATGCCTCCTTATAGAGATGTTACAGGTGCTGTGGTGCATCTCATCACCTCAAGTTAAGTGAAAAGGGCTCCAGGGAACCAAACCACTTAACTTGGCTCCAACATGGAGACTGCATTTGGCTACTGCCCAGAACTTTTTAAACTGAAGAGATCAAAGAAAAAAAGGATGACTGGATAATAACAGGACACAATCCCTCCTATTTTAAGGCAAAAGTGCCTATTTTCTGGGAACCAGATATAAACCCTAAAGAATGGAACCTATGGTCATTTAAAAATGGTTTACACTCAGTAAGACTGTGTAGCTGAAGGTGAAATGGGACTTCAACAGATGGTGGGCCTGAGAAGCCCAAGGTCTGTGTCAGAGCCCTAGTCTGTAGCCTGACACACTGAGGCCTCCAGGAAATTCAAAGGCTCCAGATAGGCCACAAAAGCTTTACATGGGAGAAAGGGCCAGAGCTTGTGTCTGCCATGAGGAACAACCAAACACCAGACAATAACTGTGCCAGTCAGGCAACTTCAACCCAGAAACTGACTGCACTTCATTCCCTGTTCTTCCTCAGCCTTAAAGGGCATCAAATAAGAGAGGAAGTAGAAACATCAGATAGGCCTCCCATGATAATTCCCTGTGCCATGTAGGTCTGAGTTGAGGATAGGGAGAAGCCATCTTAAAGGAGAATTTTAAATTTTTGCATATATTGACCCTAATTTCTTTCTTTCTTTTTTTTTTTTTTTTTTTTTGAGACAGAGTCTCGCTCTGTCACCCAGGCTGGAGTGCAGTGGCACAATCTCGGCTCACTGCAAGCTCCGCCTCCCTGGGTTCATGCCATTCTCCTGCCTCAGCCTCCCAAGTAGCTGGGACTGCAGGCACCCACCACCACGCCCGGCTAATCTTTTTTTTATTCTTTTTTTAATTTTTTTTTTGTATTTTTACTAAAGACGGGGTTTCACCGTGTTAGCCAGGATGGTCCCGATCTCCTAACCTCGTGATCCGCCCGCCTCGGCCTCCCAAAGTGCTGGGATTACAGGCATGAGCCATTGCGCCCGGCCCCTAATTTCTTAAATACTAAACTGTGATTTGCCGTATGAATGAAAAGACCAGAAAAGCTATAGAACCTCTCTGAGATGTCATCTGATTAGCATGGATGAGACAGAGGATGCACGGTTTTGAAGAAGTGTAGAAAGAGTGGTCTTTTCCTACTACCACTGAATCAGGACTATTTAACAAAAGAGTTATAACTAGTCATAGTTATGCCATGTTTTTTTTTAATTGTGCAGGTGAATAATATCATTTCTTTCATCAGTTTTTACACGGCATCATTTCCAGAATGTTATCCTTTGCCTTTCTCTTCCACTATTGTATTTTCACTTTTCATTTTACATTTTTTTTTGGTATCAATGATTGTCCACAAGAAGAGATTGATCTGAGTAGCAAGAAAGGAGGGTTATGGGACCAGTTGCTGCTAGTGATATGAAAGGCTATTTCTGTTAATGCCCAGCAAAATTCGTATGAACTGTGGCAGATTGTATAATTTAGTTCATGTAAACAAAAACCTTTTATCTCTCTTATGTCTCTCTTCTCTTCATTTCCATTTATAACACATTAGCCTTTTATGATTTTTATTTAATTATCTGTCTAGGTTGGGTTTGTTTCCGATTTTTCTTCCACATTAAAGCCAGAAGAATCTTTCTAAAATGCCAAATTCCCATTGCCAACATAATAAAATCCAAACTCATCACTGTATTATATGAAATTTCACAGTTTGAACTCTGGCTACTAGCTTGGCTTGTAATTTTGATATTTCTATTCCTATCCTGAACTCAACCAAAGATTAATCCACACTGAATTTTATATCCATCTCTGAACAAGCTAGGCTACTTTATGCTTGTAGACTTTTGCCCACATCTGTCCCTCTGGCTGGAATATTACACCTCCACACCTTCAATACTAATCTCCTTGGCAAGCACTTGTAACATTTCAGTGAACTAATTTTTTAAAATGCTTGTTGGGGCTCAATTAATATCACGAATGAGTAAATGATACTCCCAGCTATTTCATACACACTCTTCCCCTTCTGTGATATAGTTATTTTATTTTTGGAGCTTAAATATTTACATTTCTTTCCATTGGATCCAAATGATCTCATTTGAAAGAATGATATTGTTTAAAACCTTTATACTTAAAGTAATCATGTAGAAATGATTAAACTTGTAACTGCTGAGCCAATTGAAATTTTCTGGAGGAAAGGATTCAAGAGTTCTTGTTTCTATACCCATGTTAAGTAATTTCATCCATGTTTCAGCTTCAACTTATAATAAGCTAATGACTAATAATCACTAATAAGCTAATGACTTCCAATATTGTATCAATAGCTCGAACCAATATTTTATCTCTTGAGATTCTGACTCAGATCAACTGCTTAATCCACTGATTCACATCAGCGCCTCTAAAGCACTTTATATATAGTATGTCTAAAGCAAAACTTATGATTTGTTCCCTGACTTATCTCCCAGTAACACAAACCAAAAATCTTGGAGAAACTTTTTACATTTTCCTTTCACACTATACTATACTTATAATTATACTATAATTTATCAATAAGACCTACTAATTTGTAAATAGATCTTGAGATTTTCTAGTTTTTATTTCAGCTCATTTCTCACTTTTTGACTTGTTAAGCCTAGTTAGCCACCATCCCATCATTCTTGCCCCATTCCAATTCACCTACTGCACTATTACCAATCCCCTGCACCTTTACGCCAGACCAGGCCTACTCTTCAGAACTATTCAGATACTTACAAAACAAAGACAAAAATGTGATTATATCATGCAAGGCACTATTTCATTTGTCTCTTGTTGACTTCTCCAACCTTATTTTAAAGATCATTCCTTCCATGGACGGAATATATAAAGTATATTCACTGCTTAGAACATGCCTTAAGTATACTTTTGCATATAACTCTTAAAGAGGCTTGGAAAAGCTTTACCTTTCTTTACAACTTCACTTTGCCAAGTTAACTCATACCTGCCTTTCAGCTCTCAACCGAAATCTGGGTTTTTAGAGACTTTCCTTGCCCCTTCATCATATACCCTCTAGGCAGGATCTGACCCCCACATTAGGCTTCTTGATTCTCCATCAATTTCTTTCACATTTTTTTCCAGTTTGTATTTATATACTTAAGACATTACAACACTTTAAACTCTGTGAGGTCAAGATCAGGACCAGTGTATTTCAGGATTGCATGCTCTACTCCTAGCGCAGTGCTTGACAGTCTGAATCTCCTAAATAAAAACTGTTGGTACATTACGTCAACCATGGATTGTTGACTCACACCACATGTATGCATATATGTGTATGTTTGTGTGAGTTTTGTGACACATGAATGAACTTCCCACAGAGGACTAATTTTCATGGTCTAAAATTGTACAGTGGGGCAATGTATTTATTGCTAAAAATAAATGCGTCTCTTTTCAGTTATATGCATTGAGTTTAATTCTAAGATTTCAGGTTGTCTTCTAAACTATGAGATACATCCATAAATTATCTTTCTTAAAAATAGCTAATGAAACATAAATATAGAAAGGATCCACAAGTTTCATTGGCCAAAAAGGAGTCCCAATAAGCATAAATCACAAAAACCTAAGGATAAATGCTAGTATGGTGAAAAAAAGTATGCTTTCATACAATGTCACTATGTAAGAAAACTAAGAAATAAAATTGAAAGGCAAGCACAATGCCTTTCAAAATTGTATTAAATACATTTTTCATTTAATCTTATTTTCATGAAGGAGATAAAAAGCATTATTCTTCTTCCAAAAAGTAACTTCTTTAGTTTCTAAGTAGTAGCTGTATCTCAGTGGCCAGTCCTCTCTATGTTCCTTTTATTATTGACAGAATTCAATAAAATATAAAGAAATCTCAATCCAATTAGTCTACATTTAGCACGGACACATCATTTTTAACCAATAATAATGCAGAAAAATATGCGATTTTCTAAAATGCATCGCACTTTTATTTTTATCATAAAGAAACATGGAACCTTGGAACTACTATCTGTGCAACCCTAAAGAGCACTTTAAAAATTATATTAGTTATAGCAGTTCATTTGTTGCAAGCCCCAATTCAGCCAAGGAACATTTTGTAAATACTTTTTGTTCTTAAATGTTAAGAATACCTGTATTTTAAAATATTTAATAAAAGGTTTGGTAATTTGTCTTCTTTGGATGAATTTAAAATAGTGTCGTAACGCTATGGCAGTCTTTGTATTTCTACATATAAACCCAACAATATTTAGATTTACCATTTTCAGAACAAGATAAGCAGAATCAACAGTATCTGGTATTCAGGAGTCCTGGACTAAATTCTTTGTTCTTTTCCAGAAATAAACCAGTGTGGTGTTAAACTTTCAAAATTGTTGCTTTTTGTAATGTGATTATGGAAAAAAAGAATTGCACATTTAACAAAAGGGTTCTAGGTATGATGAATTTTTGTGTGTGGAGGTTTGGAAATTGTGCCAGAGTTTGTTTTTGTTTCCTTTTGATTTAACGAATGTGTGTGCATAAATAGAACTTTATTTTGAAAGCAGTTGATAAAGAATTAGAGGGTATTTATGATGACAAAAGAATAAGAACTTTAGTGTTGGGTGATTACCATGTTTGTTTTGCCAACTAGCTATAAACATGAATGGAATGATGATTTAAGCACAGACCTGCACTTCTGTATGACAGAAGACAAAATAAGTTCATGTCATGGATGCTAATTCATTATCTGCTAAACTCAACATGTACTTTAATAGTTCTAGGTAATTTCGCTTTAAGTTGGTCTGGTTTTCAAAACCTACAGTCTCAATGAAAGTTTAAACTATTTTAGTAGCTAATGATTTAGTTATGCTTATTTTAGAATGTCTAATTTCAAGAATTATAAAGTGCTTGCATAATGCTGTATTAAATGTATTTTTAAATATTTAATGTATACACATATAAGCATACATATCTATCCATAAATATACATATGTAAACAAATACAAGAAAGTTATATATGGATTTGCTATTAATATTACTATTTCAGAATTATAAGTATCAAAGAATAATATCAGCAGTGGAAACAATTGCTGGTGCAATACAATATCCATTTCTGTGTGTCTGTATATTACTTTTCTTTAAAAAATCTAACTTAGCCAGGCATGGTGGCTCATGCCTATAATCCCAGCACTTCGGGAGGCTGAGGAGGCAGGCAGATCACTTGAGCCAAGGAGTTCCAAACCAGCCTAAGCAACATAGCAAAACCCCATCTCTTAAAAAAAGATACAAATATTAGCCGGGTGTGGTGGTGCACACCTGCAGTCCCAAGCCACTTAGGAGGGTGAGGCGAGCGGATCTATACCTCCTAGGAGGTAGAGACAATCACGCCACTGCACTCCAGCCTGAGCAACAGAGTGAGAACCTTGTCTCAAAAAAAAAAAATCTAACTTGAAGGAAGGAGTATGTTTTAAATTCTGCTACCAAACATGCTTTATTTAGAGACCATAAATGACTACCAATTACTTGATTTACCCATTCTAAAAAAATTATCAAACACTCTGTTGAAGGGACCAAAGAGATTCACAGATTGGACTATATTGATGAGAGGAAAAAGAAGATAATTAACAGCAACCTATCCTTCTACTGTCACATAACTCCTATTTATCCTATCTGTTTTCTCTGTAACACACTGGACTTAACTGCTGTCTACATTTCCTCCATCGAAGCCATTAATGTTTATGAGGGTTGAAATGGAAATATTATATATCATCTAGCTCTGCATGCTAGGTCTTACAATTTTCTGCTCTAATTTTATAAATTATAAGCAATAATTGATTATAAATGTCATCATCATATGATTGCAATAAAAATTATCTTGAATCAATATGTGTTTTTAAATGGCTTTTAAAATTAGTGCTAAGAGTTCTATTAGCAAAACACCAATCTTAATTTCATATTACATTTTAGCCAGAAGTTGGAGCAAATACATCTTCAAATGCAGATTAATATTTTGGCCATGTTACAGTTTTGTATATATTCCTGTGCTAGTGGAAGGGATAGGATTAATTTACCCCAAAACACACATGCCTAAATTTTAAGCATACCATTATTTATATATTACATTCAACATTTATCATATATATGTATGCATGTATATTAATGAACATTAAAGATAAGAACTGGGATATTAATTTATTTGATTTTTTATTTTGTTTTATTTTTCTAGTTACCCAATATCCAGATTTGTCAATCAGGACATATTTATAGTGCACCTATTTTGACAAGGAGATATACTAATACACCCTTAAAAGACCCTTCTTCATTATCTTCATCTATATTGCTTATTATTGATTTAGTACTTTCTAGGTAATTTAGGGATGTGTGGCTCCCATGTGAAAGCTCTTTCATTTCTCTTCTCTAGCTCTAATTTACTTATTGATCCACGACTTTCCACCTTCTGCACTCCCAAAAGACAATGGAGACTTTCCAAAACTAATCATTAAACCTCAGGTTTCTATTCCAGCTTACTTACTTCTTACTTATTATAAACTTTCCTATAATATTTCACTCCTGCCTTGTACTTTCTCTCTTTTTTAAACAATGAAGATTTTTTTTTATCATGAAGCAGTCATCCTTGCTTCATCCTACTGCTTTGAGTAAGCACCTGCCCCAGTCAAACAACATTCTCCATTTAACAATTTTGACACTCAATTGTATTCCATTATAACTGACCTATTGTAGGCAAATAGCAAATGACCTCCTAATTTGTAAACTCAATAGCCTTTTCTCAAGTTTCTTATACTTGACATAGCAAATGTGCTTTTATATGATACTTTTTGTTCCTCAGATATTTCTAACATCCTATGTCTTCTCATAAATTTTAATCAATCCACCTATATTTTTTAAAGCTGTCATTCTTTTCTTTCTATACTTTCTTATTCATCAATCTGACATTCTTAGAAATTAGTGTTTTTTTTAAGATGGCAATAATGAGAATTAAAAAAGAAAAAAAAAGTGAGCCTGAAAAAAGGGTGAGTTTGTAAAAACTTCTTGCTCTAAATTTAGAACTAAATAATAGTCTGAAGAATGTTATCTTCAAAACTCTTGTTTTAAAAAGTGAGAGAGGGACAGATGCAGTGGCTCATGCCTGTAACCCAAGCCCTTTGGGAGGCTGAGGTTGGAGGATCACCTGACCCAAGGAGTTTGAGATCAGCCTGGGCAACATGGCAAAATCCTGTCTCTACAAAAAAATACAAAAAAAATTAGCCAGGTGGCAGTGTGCACGTATAGTCTCAGCTAGTCAAGAGAGTAGGGAGAATTGCTTGAACCCAGGCGGAGTTGAAGCTGCAGTGAGCCATAATCATGCTACTGCTCTCCAGCCTGGGTGACAGTGTGAGACCCTTTCCCCTCCCCCTCCAAAAAAAAAGTGAGAAAGAAATTGATGTGCTAGATATGAGTTCCCCAAAAACATAACCTTGAGTACACTTGATAGAGTAGATGAAAAGGCTATTAACAAAAATTAGTAATGATTATGACAACCACTCCAATGACTTTCTATCTTTTCTAACTTCTCTGTCTTCCCTGATTGTTCTATTATTCCTCCAAAACCCTGAATTTAAGCATCTCCATCAACATAAGCCTTAGTTTCCACCCTGGTGATTAACCCATGCATGATAGATTCTCATGGCTTCCTTTACTATCAGGTCTTAATAGTGAAAATGACTGTCAAGTCTTAATAAATCTCCCTCTCAAAAGTTCCAGATTCTCATTCTCAATTGCATACCTTATTTATCTGTGTGTTCACCAGTACCTGAAATTCATCACCTCCAAAACTAATTCCATTATTTAATCTATGTGGATCCCAATATGACTTCTTTCTTGGTACGATTGTTTCTTAGTCTTACTGCAGTATTTCCAGTCCTTCAAACTTAGAAGCTATTAGAATGCTATGAATTTCCTTCTCTTCGCCTATCTCAACCCATCAGTTGATTTCTTTAGCTTCTACCTTCATAATTAATCTTTCATTAAAACTGGTAAATCTTTTCATCCAGCCAAAATCTTACTGTCAGTTTTCCTTTCATACTGCAACACATCTTAACTGAGCACATGAACTTCACCATAATGTCTATTTGACCTGAGCTGCATAGAGATTCTGAACTAATATTCCTAAAACTGAATTTCAATTACAGAATCTTGTGTTAGTCATCTTCCATCAACTTAAAAATATATGCTGCTATACAATGCCCCCATGTTCTAGACAAATATATTTATTATTCCTCCAATTTTACATGCAAAGTCCTTCCTTTATGCCTTTGCTAATTTTATCAATCTCTATTGTGCTGTCTTTTCATCTTGCCTTATTGAAATCACTATGGTTCAAGTACTACTGTTTCCTTTTCATTCCATGATATGAGCTCTCTCTATAAAACCCCACAGTACTTTCTTAGACCTCACTGGAATTACCCATTATATGCTGCTTGTATTATTATTATCTGTATGATGCTCTGCTGTAACCTCCCCTTTCTTGACTGTAAACTCATTGAAAAAAGAATCATGTGAACTACAGAGCTCTCCATTAAATAGGAGCTCAATAAATACTTGTTAAATCATGTTAGCCAAACAAAGCTTTATCAAAAAATAAGATAATTTATTAAAATAATTCCTAAGAGACATGTTTTTGCTTTCTCAATATTTTGTGTACAAATCAGAAAAAAACAATGTTGAATACAATAAAGTTGAACCATTCCATTTGCTTGTCTCACTATATGCATGCATATAATGGGTAAGTAAACCCATAGGAACTAGCAAAGCATTTGTAAGTCATCAAGGAAAACATTACCGTATTCATACAGCTTTTTATCAGCTACTGGAGCGGCTCAAAACAAAGTGGCTCAAGAAGAGTCAGCCTTACCTTCCAGTGCGAACTATAAATAGAGGAATACTGAGTAAATACTACAGATGTGTTCTATCAGCGGGAAACTGCTAATTAAAATAACTTACCTTATAACTAAGATAACCAAGTAATATTGTTTCAAACAGACTTATCAATGCCACTGAAACCTGAAAGATAAATTGTAACTTAATGAGAAAACGCAATACAATTAAATTATATATATTCTTGGCTATACTACTAACTTTATTTAAATATATGTGCATGTATACATATATGGGTGTATAATAGGACTTATTAGGCGGTACTTTAACTTCTATACACAGATGACAGGCTGCTGGCCAGAGTTTGCTGTCTCCTGTACTACATCTTAGTTTTCATACATTCTAATACTCCTTAGTAAACCATTTTTAGTTATTATTCAAAATGTAAAGGTGGTATTAAAATAGGCTGGCTGCAGTTTACATGATATATAAAGAACAGGCTCTTTTATGGGTGTGTTTCGTTTTAAAATTTTTTTTAAATAGAAATGGGGTTTTGCAATGTTGTCCAGGCTGGTCTCAAGCCCCGGGGCTCAAGCAATCCACCCTACTCAGCATTCCTAAGTGCTGGGATTACAGGCGTGAGCCACCGTACCCAGCTATGTGTGTGTGTTTCTAATACATAAAATCACATGTGACTGTCCACCACAGATAACCACTCTATCCCAGAAGCATGACCATCTGTACCAAAATCAGTATTTCTCTTCAGAAAATACAGAAAATGAAATAACACACACTTCAAGTTTAATAGTATATTCAATCTTATCACCCATGTGAAACAAAATAAAAAGGCTACATCTTTGAGTACTAAATAAAATAGACCATACCACCACTTCAAAATACTTTCAGATTTTATTTGAATGAATTTCATAACCAATTCCCCTTGTGCAGATAGAAGTGTTAGTACTATCTTCCTACGTATCCTTTTATCTTTTTCTATATTCTCTATTGTATACACCATCTCTAGTGTTAACTACCAAAAATATATTACTGTGCCACAAAAAGTAACTAGAAAAAATAATAAAATTATTCTGTGTTAAATACTCTACAACCTTAGGATAGATAAATAGAATCAAATAAGCAAATATAAACAAAAAGTGTCTCAGGTAAATATATATGTTTATAGATTTTTGAGGTTTAAGACTATTCGAATGAGAACGGCAGATACCCTGGAGATTACATTTTTTCTTCTGTTGGGATAAAAATCTTTGAATTTAAAAGAATATTAAAACAGGAGAACAATAAGAAAACAGATAAAATGCATAACAGTGTAAGTAAAATATGTTCAGAAGTATGTGCAGTAGCCAGGCATTATTATGATAGAAAACGCAAATCTCTTTCATTTTCTCCATAAATCCTCTAAATCATAATTACTCATGCTTTTTTTGTAGAAGTACATAGCATTAGATGATCTCTAGAGCATTTTTAACATTTTACTCAAAGTGCTATTTAAAAATGAACATCGGCCAGGCGCAGTAGTTCACGTCTGTAATCCCAGCACTTTGGGAGGCCGAGGTGGGCGGATCACGAGGTCAGGAGATCGAGACCATCCTGGCTAACACGGTGAAACCCCGTCTCTACTAAAAATACAAAAAAAGTAGCCGGGCGTGGTGGCGGGCGCCTGTAGTCCCAGCTACTCCGGAGGCTGAGGCAGGAGAATGGCGTGAACCCAGGAGGCGGAGCTTGCAGTGAGCCGAGATCGCACCACTGCACTCCAGCCTGGGCGACAGAGAGAGACTTCGTCTCAAAAAAAAAAAAAAAAAAAAAAAAAAAAAAGAGCATCGTTAGTATTTTCAAATATCACTGTTTTAAAAAGCAATTTGAATAGATCAAAATATATTTGAAGATAATATATGGCTATTCATAAAACAATTTATTTTAAATGTGCACTTAATTGAAGGATAGCTCAGAGATTAAAATACTACATTTTAATGAACATTTCAATATTTTCAGTGTTATTTATGAATTAATATGATATTGCAACAAAAGTCAGAGTAAGGAAATGTAAAAAACAACTTGACTTTAACAAAACTTAAAACACCCAGGCATAGTAAAAACTTGATTTCATGGTTATGATCACAATGCACACATACTTAAAGTAATTCATTATCACATACAAATATACAGACTTCACAATCATCGTGACTTTGAAAGACATGTGGAATGAGTGTAGAATGAAAGATATTGAAGACTTGGAAGAGTGAGAAGGGAGGAAGAGGGTGGATGATGAGAAATTGCCTGGTAAGTGTAACATACATTATTTGAGTGATGGATATAGTGAAAAGCTGGACTTTACCACTACTCAAAATAGCTAAGTAATAACATTGCACTTGTACCCCATAAATGTATACAACTTTATGAATAAATAAATAAACTAGTTTAAAGATTGCTCCTAAGCAGTGAGTCTTAAAGTCTTTCTCTTTCCTCCAGACTCAAGTGTCTTCCAATCTCCAATTCTTTCTGATGTTGGTGATTCTATTCTTCCGATTAATTTGTAATTTTTAAAAGCAACAGAAAATAAAAAGGATCTGTAGGAAGTAAACAGAAGTAGAGGCGATAGAAACTTACAAAAAGTTCACTGGGCATGAAATTCAGTAGGAAACAAAACAAAACAAAGAAGTAACGGAGACTCTAGGGAACACCTCAACAATATAAATCAGACATCTTGTGCTCTGTCATATTTTCTTAGCCTTTCTTAAAGACTCCTTTTATGCTATGGCATACTTTTGGTTTTATTTACATGATTAATTGCTTAGGAACTAAGCTCTTACTATTGGTGATATGAGTCATTGTTTCATTTGTTCATTCATTAAATAATTATTTATTGATATTCTACCATATTCCAGACACTAAGAATACAAGGTAAAAAGCAAACACAGTTATAGGCTTTGAGTAACCTTAAAGGAATCATATAACAGGAATACTTAATGTAGTTTGGGAAAACTTGTGGAGCCTTAAAGCAGTAGTATACTTTGGTTTTCTCCAAACTCTCACAACCTCTTTAAAATCTAATTCTGATCACGACGAAATCCTCAAGAGGTAGAATGCAGGGCTCAGACAAACAAGAAAAAAGAAATGAAAATGTTAGTCCAAGATGTGCATGAAGATTAATCAGGCAGAAAGACAAACTCATTTTGAACATCAAAAGCTCTCCAATAGTACTTCTCTGTGAAATGTGAATAAACCCAGAGATATAGGGATAAAACAAAATTGTACATAACCTGTAAGCCCCACAAAGGTAGACTTCTGTTCACCCAAAAGATATGAGACCTATAAAAAGAATAATAATAAGTTAGTTTTTTAAAATATGAAAAATCTATTCACTTTTAAAATTCAGTTAAAGTTGGAAATATTAAAATATGCTAGCATAAAAAGACAAAATATCAAAATCAACATTTGAAAAAACGTTGTTGCCTTAGTTTTCTTTTTGCTAATATTCATTTCTATTCCGATAAAAACTTTTTGAATTTCACTTTTTGTCATTGTTAATAAATTAAAATATGTGACATTATTTAAAGAATGATATGGCAGGGCAGAATAACCTTAAACCCTTTACTGGATAATTCTACACCGAAAAGTCATTTAATAGTCTTCTACAAACTCTAAGATATTCTTATTTGTAACAGGACATATATATGTCCTGTATAAATACAACAGTATAAATAACCAGAAAAAAATCAGTAACAGAGTATACAACACAGTTATATTTCAGACTTGAAGTTTTATAAAATATTTAACATACCATGGAAAACAGTATGACTGGGGTTAACATATTGGGCAAGACAAGGAGTAATCATCTTTATTCCCTAAAAATGATATATTTTCTGATGATAAAAAGGCTTATGCTCTGGAAAGAACATCATAACACTTATTATCCCTCTAATTCTAATTTTCCACAATTTATAACCTAGCTGTGTCTACATCATTTAGTACACAGTTGATTCCAATGGGAGTTACTTACAGCAATATACCCTATTCAGGAAAAGATAAAAATAATTACATTTTCCTGAAGAGAGGCAGGTGAATGGTAGTTTTTCGCATTTAAGTAAACGGTGCCAAATCTCATTTTATTTGGCTACTCAAAACTTGAGCATCCTTTTAGATACTTTCTTCTCCTGCATCTGTAAATACTAAATTCACTAGCCATCAAACCTTTTCAGTCATTACAACAAAATATCTGCAGAATTCATCTGCTTCTTTTCGTCTCTACTACCACAATCACCTTATTCTAAGCCACCATTTTTCACAATTGGATGCTTGCAAAAACCTACCAGTGGGAACACTGCACCTTCTTTTGCCTTCTACCATTTTTCTCCAAGTCGCAAATACACTGATTCTTTCAAAATGCGTTTTAGATCACATTACCCTATTCCCTATTGTGTATTGCCTTTGCACTTCCGTTAGAATAAAGTTCAAAACAGTTGACATGGCATTCTTAGACTTATTCAAGTGGACTCATTCCTTCCTTCTACAAGCTCTTTTTACATTCTGTCCTCTCATCCTAGAAGTCTCAGCTCAACCCTCTGTGTTTCAGGGAAACCCTCTCTGAGGATTCCACTTGATCAACTTTGTCAACTAATCCCTTGGGCCACGTCACCCATCACACCTTTCCTGCCACTCATCTCAGTGGAAACTTTATATTTATTTGTATATGTGTTTCTTTAATGGCTGTATCCTTGCAATTACAAGTTCCATAAGATAAAATAACTATCTAATTTACTCACCATTATAAACCCAATGCCTTGCTAAGTACCTGCATATATTAAACTAGGTAACCAATGATCAATGATAAATGGTGCCAATTAAGTCAAAGGTATAACTTATGGATTCATTATCACTGTCTTTTCTAAAGTGTTTATATTTTTATATTCTGAGTAACATTTGAGAAATCAGACCACAACAAGGTGTGTCAGAGTGAAGAGGGATAGATGCCCAGTTTTGTAAGTGGAAAACTATGTGCCACAAAAGTTACTATATTGTCAAGTAGGTAGCAATCTCTGGAAAAAATTATAAAATAAGTTGCTGAACAGAAGTGCGTATTTTCAAAGAAAATTGGTAATTAACATAGACTTATTAAAATCTGCTTGACTTTCATAATCGCCATTCTGACTGGCATGAGATGGTATCTCACTGTGATTTTGATTTGCATTTTTCCATTGATCAGTGATGTTGAGCTTTTTTTCAATATGTTCATTGGCTGTGTAAATGTCTTTTTTTTTGAGAATTGTATGTTCATAAACTTTGCCCAGTTTTTGATGGGGTTGTTTTTTTCATGTAAATTTGTTTTAGTTCCTTGTAAATTATGGATATTAGACCTTTGTCAGATGGGTAGATTGAAAAAATTTCCTCCCATTCTGTAGGTTGCCTGATATTCACTCTGATTATAGTTTCTTTTGATGTGCACAAGCTCTTTAGTTTAATAAGATCCTGTTTGTCAATTTTGGCTTTTGTTGCAATTGCTTTTGGCATTTTTGTCATGAAGTCTTTGCCCATGCCTATCTCCTGAATGGTATTGCCTTGGTTTTCTTCTAGGGCTTTTCTGGTTTTGGGTTTTACATTTAAGTCTTTAACCCATCTTGAGTTAATTTTTGTATAAGGTATAAGGAAGGGGTCCAGTTTCAGTTTTCTGCATATGGCTAGCCAGTTTTCCCAGCACCATTTATTGAATAGGAGATCCTTTTTAAAAAGTCAAGAAACAATAGATGCTGGAGAATTAGGAACGCTTTTACACTGTTGGTGAGAATGTAAATTAGTTCAACCATTGTCAAAAACAGTACGGCGATTCCTCAAGGAGCTAGAACCAGAAATACCATTTGACCCAGCAATCCCATTACTGGGTATATAACCAAAGGAGTATAAATCATTCTACTCTAAAGACACAAGCACACTTATATTTATTGCAGCACTATTTAAAATGGCAAAGTCATGGAACCAACCAGAATGCCTATCAATGATAGACTGGATAAAAAAATGTGGTACATACACATCATGGAATATTATGCAGTCATAAAAAGGAATGAGATCAGGTCCTTTTTAGGGACATGGATGAAGGTGGAAGGCATCATCCTCAGCAAACTAACATAGGAACAGAAAACCAAACACCACATATTCTCACTCATCGGTAGACATTGAACAATGAGATCACATGGACACAGGGAGGGGAACAACACATACCAAGGCCTGTTGGGGATTGGGGGGCGAGGGGAAGGAAAATGGACAAAAATAATAATAAAGTTAGTTTAAGACTTTTACACTGCCAGTATAGCAGATTTGGTGAAATTAATACTTTCCTAAAGGGTCCAAAAGAAATAATTTTCTAATGTGTATATCTGAAATTTGTAATACAATCAACTTCGTATTTTTAAAATTCCAAAAGAAATCTGCTTACGTCAAACTAATGGCATTTTCTTTGGTCTGTGATATTGGTAGGCAATTGAAATGTCATAAAGAATTTAAATAAGAGTTTTAAAAAAGACATACTTATTTCCCAGTCTAGACTATGTCTTGTGAAATAGGCTTCAGAATCCATAAAAAAAAAAGTCCTACAAATCTCATATATAAATTTCAAAGAGATCTCCAATGGAAAGACATACTTTTACCAGTTTCCTTAACATTAAGTTGGATAAATACATAGAAGGAAATGTATATATTTTGGTAAAAACTAGTGTTCAAACCCTCCTTCATAAAATGAATTTATCATAAAAAAAAAGAATGTGGGATCTAATCTGCACATTCGTAGATAACCTCCAAAATGAGGAGTGAAACCAAAGCTGACAGCCAAATTATAATTTCAAATGAAAATTTAATCTCATTGATAAAAAAAACACTAGGAGGAAAGAAAACATGCACAATAATATTTATTTCAGTATTATTTACAGCAGGAGAGTAACTGGAATCTACCTGAATACCTAATAAGAAGAGAATTTAAGTAGCAGATGCATCATCATCAAGTAAAACAACAAAAACATTACAAATGAGGAAAAAGTCATTAAAATATTACTTTAGGTCATACCAGTATGTATATGTTATCTATATGTCTGTGTATAGAGAGAATTTGTAAATGGAGTCTTTAAAAATGCTAAAAGTATTTATTCTAGGTGTTGTGATCTCAGATAATTTTTACTTCCTTGCCATATATATCTATATTGTAATATGCATGAAACATTTTTAAATAATAAACAAATTTCCCTTTCCAAAATATAAAAAATTAAATAAAAAAATGCAAAGCAAAACCCAAATATATATCATTTAGTTATTCTGAATTAGACTGTCCTGTTGATAAAATTCATGTATGAAGCATTATTGTGAAAACTAAAGGAACCATACCAAACAATAGAAGGAAAAGCAAAAGTTAAATATAGGAACTTAGTAATGTGGCCTCAGCCACTTTTCCCAGAACACTTATGAACTGTCTTAAAAGTAGGAAAATAGAGGGTAAAAGTGTGAGAACAGCTTTGGCAGAGGAGGTGGGAGTCAGGAGGTGAATACATTTAGCAGAAGAACAAAGCATTTGAAAGTAATAGGGTTAACATGCAGGACATAATTCATATGAAAGGATATGTTGCTCACAAACCCAAGATGAACTCAAAGACTGGTAGCTCTAAAAAAAAACCCTAATATAAGCTTGTAATGTATTAACAAATAATAAATAAAACAGGAGGGTAAATTATACAACCCCCCTGACCATAATATACACTAAAATCTGAATACTAGATATGATACTAAGCCCACATTTCAAGACGAACATAAAATATTTAATACACATCCAAAAACTAGGTGACCAAAATATGAAAGCATATGAGTCTTGCCAATATGTTAGAAAGACTTTTCGGTATTTGAATCCTTTCAAAATATTGGAAACATTTAATCCCAGGTTAGACAACCAACTATCAAGGATGTTACGGAGAAGACTGATAACTAACTCTTTGAAAGAATGGACATTAAGGGCCCTTCCACCAGACAACGTTAGCTGTCACAGAGTTGGCTCTTTAATTAACATTCATTCTCCCCCTTCCACGGCATAGAGTCGAGTGCAAAAAAGTCACTCTTCAGTCAACTACATTTCTCAGTCTTTGTGTCAAGGTATGATGATATAACTGGTTCTCATGTGAGACCTGAGTATGAAGTACAAGCAAAAGTGATGTTTGTCATTTGTTGGCCAATAATTTTTAAAAACATATATGCCTTCTCCAAGCTCTCTTTCTCTTTCTGAAATCAGGATGCAAAGATTCCGGTCTTAGGACAACACATAATCACAAAATGCAGTGGGCTTGTACATATAGTACCTACCATGTTATGGAGTGTGTGTGTGTGTGTGTGTGTGTGTATGTATGTGTCTGTGTCTGTGTGTGTATGTTTGTGTATGTGAATCATTATATGGAGAAAAGGTTCACAATGACCAGAAACACCAGTATTAGACTCCAGTAAACAAAAAAATGCTTTTAAATTTTTGAGATTTGTTAGAGAACTTAGTCCTACTTCAATCTAAAAAATAATCAATATACAAAAAAGAAGAAAAGGTCTGCATTAAAATACTCATTCCTATTGATCATCAAATATTTAAGAGCTATTGTAAAAATTCTGTTTTCTTCCTTTAATAGTTGTTACCCTGAGGAAGAAATCGTATTTAAAATTTGAATTTCACTTAAACACACCATTTGCTATATTAGGCATTGATTTTAAATGGAATCCAAATACCATAAAATAGAAGCATGTTCATGTGCTTCTTACCTGTGTCTCTATCACTTGATGTTAAAAACTAATAATCATTTGAACAATTTTTAAAGTAGATGCAGATGCATGAGTTTGGACACAGTGATGAACTGTAAGCATCAGCAGGCAATGAGTTAATGCTGATGGCTCATCTTTCAGTGTAATTTATAAACTACATGCTTCAGGTGTGCTTCCTTTCCTAACATCTTTAAATCATTTACTACACATTATCTGTACATCACAGTTTACCATTCACACATGGTATATTAACAGTAAAATTCTTTTCATATTATTCAGTTTTCCCATATTATAATGTTTTCGTATCAGTTTTGATTCCTGAAAGGGATTTAAAAATAAAGCAAAGCAGCACAAAATATCTGCAGACTTATCATGTCAGAAGCTCTAATTAAATAAATCTCTTTGCTTAATTAGCCTCATTATTTTAAAATAGAGCCTGCACCCATAAAGGCGACTTCTGTTTTTCATTAACCAATACTGCACTAACCATGGGAGCTAAACAGAACATTGTATTCAAAATGGAACCATAAATATTTTTTAATTACTGTAATCTGATTTTTCAAATGTATATCCTCTACAATTATGGCCAAACATTCTTAGTGATATTACATAGAAGTTAATTGTAGGAAACTTTGTTCCTCTTAATGTTTTCAAATAATATAATTTTACTCTGCTAACACCCACCAAATGCCCTTTTACCCTTAGAAGGATTCCATCATGCTTCATTTTATGATTTTCAGGTCCCACTAGTGTACTTTTTATTTATAAATCACCACATTTTAAAAATAATGCTGATATGATTGTAGAATAATTTGTTACATGAACCATTTTAATAACACTGACATCTCCAGGCAGTAGTCCTCAATCATTTTTATTGTGCAACACACTATCAATAAAATTGCTGAGCATCATTTCATTAATTCAGCAGCATTCACTGACCTACCAAGTCCTATGCTTAGTGTGAGAGCTATGGAGGAAAACACAGCATGGTTCTTGCCCTTGGTGAGCATATAGAAAGGACTGATAAGTGAATGGTAAAATCAAGGGCAATGCTTTGGCTGTTGTGAGAGAAGTATGTGGGAGAGCACCCAGAAGATACTCCTAAGCCAGAGTGGAACTGGGCTACAAGGCACAATACCCATAAGGATTTTAGATTAACTGTTATCCATAAAGTTGTTTTCCTGAAGGTCCTGGAGTCCAGAAGCAAGTCAAAAAAGTGTGGGTTGTGAGGAGCAGGAAACTTAATTTCCCAGAAGAGGGAGAAGAATGTTAAAAGCCCCAGAGGAAGGGAGATCAAAGGTGCATAAGCTACTTCAAGCAGTTCAGCATAGCTGGAGTAGGGGGCTGATGAGGTAGAGTAGGCAAAAGTTAGATTACTAAGGAACTTCTTTTACTCATGTATCCATTCATTCATTTAACAAATAACTATTGTTTGCCACTTTGTGCCAGGCTCTGGGGATTCAGGCAAAGATCCTTGCTGTCATGGAATATCCTCTCTAGTATTCATGGAATACCACAGAAAACAAAATAAATGACTAAAATTAGGTAGAATATGTAAAAGAGAAACAGTCTCTAGAGAAAAAAAAAGAAAAAGAAGAAAACTATTAAGGGAGTCTTATGAGGAGATTACAATGTTAAATAGGAAGCTTCATATTATCTTTTGGGAGTATCTGAAAATCAAGAACAAAATTGCATTCGGGTCTTTAAAGAGACTTACCCATTTTAAAACAAAAACTACTTAATGCACTTTGGCTAGCAATAAAATTTTATGCCTAACAGTCCAATATTAGCATCAGACAAACAGAAAAATAATAAAAGATACTTACAAAGAACCTACAAGAATTATGTAGTGCCTGTAAATCGATCAATTTTATTTGTGACAAACACCTAAAATACCCTTAAAAATTAAGCTCTACACAACATGCTTTAAATTTAAAATGTGATACAACTCAAAATAATCAAAATAATATTGTTGAAGGTCAGAAAAAGGTACCTTACCATTCATTTCCTTGTGAAGGGTTTTCTAGTAGTACTCGGATTATGTATAATAAGCAGCTTAGTAATTTGAGAGAAAAATTGAACAGGCGTATCCTTAGACCTTTAAACAAATGATAAAAGTTTGATTTTCATCTGAACTTAGTTCACAAAAGACTAAAAAGAATTGTCAAAAATATCAAATTTAAATACAGCACTTAAATTGTATTTAGAAGCTGCACTACTATAATTGTCTAAACTCTCTGAAGTTCTTGGTGGCTGAATTTTAATTACCTGAATATTGAAACAAAAAGTGAGTTTGACAGAATACTTGAACTGCAAATGAGAGTGCATATTTTATAAAAAGACTAAATCTAGATTTGAACATTCAGAAGCCACAAAATTTGTGTCCAATCGAGGTTGATTAAAGTATGTTTATATGTTTAAGCATTTTATACATCCATAAATTTTGGGATAAACTTTGGCTAGAAAATCTAGCTGCTTACAAATTCACAAGCCAAGTTATAAAACTTATACCTTCACAGAATCTTGTAGATTTGATTATAAAGAAATTAATTATATTTGTATAGTTCTATGTTGTATATTTAATATTAACTATATAATTATAATACATTCCAATTATATAATTATATATATTATTTATTCATTATATAATAATATATATTATATAAGTATAGAGAAATCTTAATAGCATACACTGAGAAACACACACACGATCAATCTCTCCATTTCTCTCACATACACACACATACGTTTAAAGTTCAATAAATTAAATTCTATTTTTAACTATTTAAAATACCCATGGAATCTTAAACTTTTGTGGGAATTAAAACTGCCATGTATGTATCTTCTAAACTGTGTGGGTCACAATTATGCAGCCTGTAATATTCAATGATGATGAAGAGTATTTAAGATTAAGCACAATATGCATAAAGTCTGATTAATATGAGCATTATCTTTCCTGTAATTACTTTACGATATCTGATTCATGCATTATGAATAAAATTTTGATAAAGGCCTTCCTATAATTATTACTTAATAAAATCTAGAAATGAAATGTCACTTTTTTTGTCCTACTCTGCTGTTGTGAGTGTACTTGTGGTAACAGTTCTTACCAGTAAAAAGGTCGATGCTTATCATTTGTGAAATTTTTCCAAGGTTTTCCAATTAAAATGCTGAATACATTTTATGGGTTCACTTCCTTAAAAAATCTTTCAAATTATTAAAGAAATTATGCTGGTTTTATAGAAATGGGCCTCCTCAAATAACTGCTTAGTTGCAGCTGACTATGGGTGAAGTATTCAAACAATGCATCCACCTTTTTTGGCCTGGAAAGATAGGACTGTTAGTACTGAAATAAGGGAAACTATTCAGATGATGTGACCCCTTTAGGTAATATCTATTTATGGGGCTTCCTTGGATATTCTGAACAACCATGTTAGAAAAACATTAGTTGCTAACAGTCTTAACCTTGAGGCCAGCCTGTCATTAAGACTATCTGAGCAGTATGACTTAAATATTGAAATATTCCATATCATCAGTATTTGGACAACTTCCCACAAGTCAAGCTTCTCTCTTTGAATCCTACCTACAGAGGCACAACTTAATTTTGACAAGAGGATTTGGAGGTTAAAATTCACAGAGCTTAATGTCTACACCAACTAATGCAGGCCTCTCCATTCCCTGTGACATTGTAAGCAATGACCATAAAAAAAATTGCATATTGGTTTATTACATATGGCTTTTTAAACATATATGGCATTGTGGGAAGCAACAAGCATCAGCGGCACTCCTAACCTTGAATAGGCTCAGGAGGACAGTTACTATGCCAATTTTGTATTCTTGAAGTTCTACTTTGTTACTTTCTTACATTTGTCTGATGATAGGAATCACTGGGATGTTAAACTCTGAGATCTACCCTACACTTCCTGGCTCAAAATCTCTAGGCTAAGAAAGATAGGAATCTGTATATTTCAGTGCAACCTAGATGTTTCTTATTATTTGGAATGATTAGGAAATATTAAACGTTCCCTTCCCTAAATCAGACAATTGTTTCCCATTGTGGTCTGTCAGAGCTTTTTGAAAATACGATATTTAGAGTTAAAATGGAAGGACCCTCATTTAAATTATTTTCCTCAATGTTTATACTAATCCAGATAGTCCACTCAGAAGTCTACTTATTAACATGGAATTTGGAGAATTGAAGATGTTCAAGAAGCATTAATATCACTATATGTAGTGCCTATACTTTTCTAAAATGTTACCACCTGCTGGAAAAAATAACCAATTTTATTCCTCTACCACCTGCTGGAAAAAATAACCAATTTTATTCCTCTATCTAAAAAGTATTTTGCAAAAGATCACACAGTTGAAATATTTTGAAGTAAATATATGTACGAACAGAGGGGAATGAAATGAATAACTTACTTGATCTCTGGTTTTTTATGAAAAATAATTTTAGTCTTTCTTTAAATGTATTTTCATTCATATAGAATTCAACTTGTACCCTGCAAACAGAAAATAAAAACATGTAAATGTATGCAAGCAACCATATCTTTATTTTCATGAAGATCAACAAATATAAATTGATCTGTAGTTCTCTAACTTAAAGAATAATACATTTTTGAAATAAATTATTTGATTTAATGCATTATGTATTTTAGTAAATTCCCTGCCATGGAAAATGAGAACTGAGTAAAGTACTGATTTAGAGAGAAGCAATTATTTTCTACTTTTAAAGATAGAATCATTTTAAATATTATACATAGTCAATTCAATTATTTGTATTAATGAATATAATGAGTGGCATGGATTATTCAAAACAGCAATAATGCAAAAGTCTTTAATATGTGTGTTTGAAATGGGTTTGAATCAGTGCTTTCCCCATTTTTTTCCCTGCTGTAAGAATTAACTGACGTTTGAAAAATTCAGTCTGGGCACCACCGTGCCAGATCTACTTATTCAGAATTTTAAAGGGCAGGGCCTAATAATCAATTCTTCACTACACCTATAGCCTATTTAGGACACCACACTCTGTAACACTTTACCTTCCTACTTATGGATCAACCAAGAAGTAGCAGTGGCAAATAGAACTGTTAAGGTTACCACAGATAGATTATAAAGCAAACAACTCAATTAATAGACTACATATTGTATATTTGATCCACTATACAATAATATCAACAGTCTAAAATAATAGCAGTACTTTAATAAATACTCTAAATTCTAGCAAACAGTCTCCCTTTGATAAGGCACAATTAATATTTTCAAAATACTAAGTGAAAAGAGAAATCTTGTTCAGTGCAAGGTAACTTGTAAATAATACTCAATTTCCTTAATCAGTCTCAAATATATTCATTATGAGTTAGAATTTCAAAAACAGCTAAGAATGGATTTTAATGTTTACGCAAAAACAAATATTTAATTTCATTTTTCCTAATATGGTAACATTTTGAAAATGTAATTCATGTAAGCCAGATAAGGTTTGGGGGTCTTTTTTTTGGGGGGGAGATTTTTGGTTTTGTTTTTTTTGCAAGAGTAGATACCTTAGAGAAAACTAGGAGAAAAAAAAAACAACTGACATTACAAAGCTGCTCATGCATTTGAGAAATAGTTCACTACTATATTATCTCATAAACCCTCTACTACCCTGTTTATTCAAGGAAAACCATGAATAGTTTTAAAGCAGTTTATTGTGTCACAAAAGCAACAGGGCATTTTTTTTAATTTTATTATACTTTAAGTTCTGAGATACATGTGCAGAACGTGCAGGTTTGTTACATGGGTATACACATGCCATGTGTATGGTTTGCTGCATCCATCAATCTGTCATCTACATTAGGTATTTCTCCTAATGCTATCCCTTCCCCAGGCCCCATTGTGTGATGTTACCCTCAACAGGGCATTTTTAAAATTAATTACGAATCAAGCTGTATGTGTTGTATCTTCTAAAATACTTGAATGTTCTTTTATATCTTCTCTCTAAAGAATATATTTCTATTTTTATTTCCTCGTTATCATATTCTGACTTACTTTGTTTTTTCTTCACCTTATATATTAAATGAAATTGTTTTAAAGTAAGCAAGATTCTCTTTAGTTAATACCTTCTCCAGACTAGAAGTTGGAAAAGTTCTCTAGAAGTTCTAAAGAAGCCACTAAAATGGCAATGATATCTTTTAGCAGAACATTTCCATCTGTATGCCCATGCACATGTGCACACCCTACACATCTACGTACATATACATACTACAAAAGTCCATGCACACACATACAGAAACAAAACTTCATCGGTGTCTTGGAAATGCATTATTGGACGTGTTTCCCTTGTTTATCAAATGAAAAGTCAGTTCATTTTAAATATAGTAACTGTAAATAGTGAGATAAAGCTAAACTAGTTGAAATTTGTTATGGCTACATAAACAAATTTGAGAGGACAATACGGCTATTACACAAATAATTCAGCAAAGGCCATGCAGATTTGCTTCCTAGAATTACCAAATTTATAAGAATGAGTCCATTTTTCAGATAATATTGGAGTTCAGTACTGGGTATGTAACAGAGGAGCCTTTTTTTGTTGTTTTTTGGTGACGGAGTCTGGCTCTGTCGCCCAGGCTGGAGTGCAGTGGCGCGATCTCAGCTCACTGCAAGCTCCACCTCCCGGGTTCACGCCATTCTTCTCCTCAGCCTCTCCAGTAGCCGGGACTACAGGCGCCAGCCACCATGCCGTGTTAGTCAGGATGGTCTCAATTTCCTGACCTCGTGATCCGCCCACCTCAGCCTCCCAAAGTGCCGGGATTACAGGCGCAGAGGAGCATTTTTTAACTGAAATGAGATCATCTAAAGCCTTAACAAAAATAATGAGGAATCTGGAAAACATACCACATATGGAAAAGGTAGGCGAAACTAGAAAGAATTCGTAATTATGAAGAGTTAGGAGTCACCGTTGTCTTTAAATATTTCAGTTACCAACATTATTAAAATGGAATGACACATAATGTGATTCTCTATTAAATAGAATATTAGATAAATGCACGAATTACGAATGAGAATTATCCAACTTTGAAATGGCCATCAATGTGGAGAGCTCTCCAATACCTATAAATGTGCCAAAGGCTGGACAACAGCATGCGAGCCACTGGCTTTTTTTTTTTTCCTGAGAGCAAAGGCAATTTTGCATGGTGTGAAGTCTCTCATTAAATAATTTCCTAATCCCAATCTAATTATCAAATTATGTGAAGTAAAACTCTTAATGAATCTGGCGATCTCTCTGAGTCAATATAATCATTGAGAAACATGGATTATATTAAAACATGAAATTATACAACTTTTATTTAAAGCCAAAATGCAAGCAAAATGTTTTTTGATACATGACTTATACTGGGCACAGAAAATGTCCTTTAGGCTTACTGGTTACAGTATAAAGTAGAGCTTTTTTTTTTTTAATTTGATTTAATGATAACTCTTTCTAGCAGCAAGGCATGTTAGTGACAGCGTGTACTTTTGAGACCTTCCTCAGCACCAGTTTTTTAGCACCCAGGTATTTAGTTCAGAGTTTAGTGGTTACCCTTCCCAAAGTTTTTCATGATTTAACTTATTTTAAATATAATCTCACCGCTTCCTTTTTCAAGTTTAAACTGGTTTCATCTCCTCCCTCCATTCCTTCCTCCCTCCTTTCCTTCCTTTAATCTTGCCTCCCTCTCTTCCTTCTTTTCTTCTGACCTCCCTACCTCCATCTAACTTTATCTGAATTTACTTACATCTAGTAGACTATGTTAGTGTAATCTTTCGTGTACTCTTACACTAAGTTAGTGTACTCTTTCTGGACCTTCCCCAGAACCACAGAGTTTTGATTTATGGCAAATCTGCTCTCATCACTTTTTAAGATGTCATTTTTGTCAAAGGCTTATACAAAAGTTAAAATTTAAAGTAATTTTGTTACATTTATTCAAATACCATAATAGCAATTTTATTTGATTTAAAAAGATACTGGAATTCCAATCATTATTAGGTGGTACCTTCTATTGAAATATGTTCTTGCTATTTAATAGTTATTTTTATGTTGATCAACAACATTTTATTTGGGTAAATGTTATATATTCTTTGTGACACTTATTTCTGGCTATTTTATAATTTTGGTTGCCTTTTAAATTGTTTTATTCCAATCTTTAACTTTTTGGTTTTGATATTGGAAATAGCTGCCATGTTGACCTCTCTTACATGTGATTTTTTTTTCACATTTATTACTTGGGTTTGCTAGACAGACAGTTATGGACATGTTCTTTAATATTTCTACAGTAAGACCTCACTTAATGTCATCCATAGCTTCTTTGCGACTTTAAGAGAAATGATAGATAGGCCAGGCACGGTGGCTCACACCTGTAATCCCAGCAATTTGGGAGGCCGAGGCGGGTGGATCACGAGGTCAGGAGATCGAGACCATCCTGGCTAACATGGTGAAACCCCAGCTCTACTAAAATACAAAAAATTAGCCGGGCATGGTGGTGGGCACCTGCAGTCCCAGCTACTCTGGAGGCTGCGGAAGGAGAATGGCGTGAACCTGAGAGGCAGAGGTTGCAGTGAGCCGAGATCGTGCCACTGCACTCCAGCCTGGGCGACAGAGCAAGACTCTGTCTCAAAAAAAAAAAAAAAAGAAATGATAGATAACAAATCCAATTTCACCATAGGCTAATTGATGTAAACAAGAGTTAGGTTTCTACTGGCCACAAAAATGTCACCAAACTTCTAAATAAAAACCAAAATACTTTTGATATTAAATGTCGAAATAAATATGAGCTATACATACATTCAAGAAAGATTAGTGAAAACAAGCAAGGTTATTTACCCACTTGTTCCAGTTCAGGGTGGTAGGTGGCCAGAGCCCATCCTAGCAGCTCAAGGGGCCAGGCAGGATCCCACCTGGACGGGACGCCATCACATTGCAAGACACACTCAAACATCAATACTCATGCTACGATCATTTAGACACACGAATTCACCTAACTTGCACGTTTGGCATATGGGAGGAAACTGCAGTAACTGAAGAAAACCCACGCAGACATGGACAGAATGTGCAAACTGCACACAGACAGTCACCCCAATCAGCAATAGATTTTTTTTCTCAACAATATTATAACAAAACAATGTTGAATGAAATGGCATTATTTAAGGAACTACTGCATTTACATTTCATTGTTTATGCCTTACTACATTGACTAGCACTTTTGGGGGGAAAAAAGTCAAATAATTGTGTTGTCCCTTTCTTATAAGAGGATGCCTCTAGTGTTTTAGCAGCAATTAATTACACTTGGCCCTTTGTATCCATTAAGTTCCACATCTATGTATTCAACTAGTTGCAGATAGGAAATATTTGGGAAGAACAAAAAACAACATCTGTACTAAACATGTACAGACTTGTTTTTCTTGTCATTATTCCCTAGACAATACAATATAACAGCTATTTACATAACTTTCATGTTTTATTAGGTATTTAGTAGTACTTAGGTACTACTAAGTGCTATTTCCCTCCTAATTTTCCTAATGATACAGATCTGTTTTTCTTGTCATTATTCTTTAGGCAATACAGTATACCAACTATTTACATAACTTTTATATTTTATTAGGTATTATAAGTAATCTAGAGATAATGTAAAGTATAATGGAGGCTGTACATAGATTATTATGCAAATCTTATGCCATTTTATATGAGGCACTTGAGCATTGTGGATTTTGGTATCCACAGAAGTCCTGGAACCAATCCCCATGATTACTGAGGAACAATTGTATTTTGTTGATATTGGGATTGCTTAAATATTTACACTTTACTAAAAATTATATCAGTAATGGATGGGTATTGATTGTTATTAAAAAAAACCTATATCGAACCTATCAAGTTAATAGTATATTGTTCCTTTTCATGTACTGATTTGGTGAATTACTTCAACAGTTTTCCTATGATGCAATTGTTTTTGTCTATCCTGGAATAAGTTGTCTTTGTGACGGTAAACTATTCAGGTAATTTACTGTTGGATTCATTTTCCTATACTTTTTCAGGAGTTTTTCTTCTACAGTAATAATGATGTGATGTCTTTTTTAGATTATTCTAGTATCTTCGAATATGAATTGAACAACTCCAGATTTTTCTATGGTCTGAAACAATTTAGATACTGCAGAGATGTTTTTTGCAACTGTCATCAATTTTTCCTAATGATATCAACTACCTTAATGTTGATTTTAATTTGATACTTTTTTTTCATTTTCCTTTTATTCTTTTGTTCTGGTACTTGAGTTCAATGTAAAATTTACCCGGAATCTTGTTAAAATGCAATTTTCCTGATTCACTCTTAAAATTCTTATTCAATAAATTTAAATCAGGCCTCGTCATTTTAATAACAGGAAAAATAATTCTGATCCAGGCTGTCAATGCACCATTCTTTCAGAAACACTAGTTTGCTTTTTTCTAGTGCCAGTGCCTTGATACCTATTTAGGATATCAAACTTTTGTGGATAGTCTCTTTTAAATCTTACAGTAGACATAGATCACTATCAGAGGAAGGTTCTTCCTCTGTGTCTACTTCTTACTACCAAGTGCTTTTTCCCTCCCTCTTTCTTCTAATTCTGCAATATTGGTCATGGAGTCCATATATAAGATTTTTATTACTGTACTCATCTCAAACAAGGGATTATCTGCCTGGACCTTCTGGTCTCAGCAGGCAGATTCAATGGATGCACAGAAGTCTTGTCCTCTATTTATTTGATGTTCATTGTCCTTTGGAAAATGTACATCTGAATGGTGAGTTAATATACATAGCTCCCAGTACAACTTGCATTTCTAAGAACTTTTCAGCTGGAGTTATTTCTGTGCTTCTAGATTGTGGCATCCTGCTAATTCCGTGTTTGGTGATCTGACTTTGATCAGTAAGGAGAAAGCATACTGCCAAGGTTATCTCACTCTGTTTTCACTACTAACAAAAATAAAAATTATACCTTTCCAAATGTATCACATTATTCTCAGTTTACTCCTATTTTTTCTAAGGTCATTGTGATGGAATGAATTATGTCCCCCTAAAAGAAAAAGTCCTAGCTCTCATGACCTCAGAATTCAAACTTATTTGGGAATGAGGTCATTGCAGATATAATTAGTTAAATTAATATGAGGGTATACTATAATAGGGTGAGCCCTTAATCAAATATGACAGATGTCTTTATAAGAAAAGAAAAATTTGCACACAGACACATATGCAGAAGGAAGATGGTCATATGAAGACAAAGGCAGAGATTGAGTTATACTTTCAAAACTCAAGGAACACCTGGGACTACTAGAACCTGGAAAAGACAAGGAAAGATCCTCTCCTAGAGCATTAGTAAAGCGCAAGGCCCTGCCTACACCCTATGTTCAAATTTCTGGCCTCCATTACTGTCAGTCAATAAACTTCTATTGTTTTCAAGCACCAAGTTTGTGGTGCTTCATTGTGGCAGTCCTAAATACAGTCTTTTTCTATAATGGTGACAACACCAGTTCTCAGTCATACCACGTTCATTCATTAGAATGTAAACTCCATAAGGGCAAGGGCCATATTGAGTTTTGTCCATGCTTATATCATGAGCATCCCACATATTAGTTAGGACCTACTGGACATTAAAGATTAAGAGATAAATTCCTGAATGAAGGCATAATGTGGTAGCCAATTTTTTCTTTGGTACAAACCATGAGGACTCTGAACTAATAGTATGGTAGGAGAGATAAAATCATCTTACTTTTCTTCCTTATGTTATAACATCTGAGGATGCAAAACTCGGGTTTATGGTGAGGTGAATCCTTGGAAATTCTTTCTTATTCCAACTTAATCTACCTTATGATTAATGTCATTTCCCCACAGATTTTGTAAATAGGTTATGAATTTAGATTTTATTTATTTGTACCTTTAGCTGTCTATGATTTTAATAAATGTTTATAAAGTATACTATTATTAATTTATTTGATTTTTACTTGAGTAACATAGATATCAACTTTATAGAAAAAGAAACTTTGGGCCAGAAGTGGTGGCTCATGTCTGTAATCCCAGCACTTTGGAAGGCCGAGGCAGGTGGATCACCTGAGGTCAGGAGTTCTAGACCAGCCTGGCTAAAATGGTGAAACCCCATCTCTACTAAAAATACAAAAATTAGCTGGGTGTGCTGGTGCATGCCTGTAATCCCAGCTACTTGGGAGACAGAGGCAGAAGAATCACTTGAACTTGGGAGGTGGAGATTGCAGTGAGCTGAGATTGCACAACTGCACTCCAGCCTGGGTGATAGAGTGAGACTCCATCAAAAAAAAGGGAGGAAAGAAGGAATAAAGGAAGAAAGGAAGGAAGGGAGGGAGGGAAGGAGGGGGAGAGAGAGAGAGAGAGACGGAGAGAGAGAGAGAGAGAAAGAAAGAAAAAGGAAGGAAGGAAGGAAGGAAGGAAGGGAGGGAGGGAGGGAGGGAGGGAGGGAGGGAGGGAGGGAGGGAAAGAAAGAAAAAGAAACGTTCATTCAAATAATTTTAGTGACTGGCCCAAATTCATACAGCTAGGATGGGGACAGAGTTGGAACATTGGTCTTTCTATTCTTTTTCTTGCTTCTTGCCTTCTTAGCAAGTTGAGAATTTATTGGTAGTAGGAGAATTCTAGAACATTTGTAAAATATTATAAAAGAACATTGTAAATAACAGATCCACCCACAAATAGTGGGCTATCCCCATAAATAGTGGGACATGTTTGTTAAGGTCTGCCCTGTGATTATTGACTCTAAACCAGATTCCTATCCATTTCCAAATATTCATACTTAGTTTCTGATAACCAACAAATGAAGGCTTGTCAAACACAACAAAAACACACATAGACAAATAGGAATTAATTAAACGAAAACTCTTCTGTACACCAAAGGAAACAAACAGAGTAAATAGACAATATACAGAATGCCAGAAAATATTTGCAAACTATGCATCCAACAAAGGGCTAATATCCAGAATCTACAATGAACTCAAACAACTCAACAAGAAAAAAATATAAACTCCTTAAAAAGTGTGCAAAGGATATGAACAGACATTTTTCAAAAGAAGGCATACAAATGTATGCAGCCACAAACATATGCCACCATGCTCAACAATGCTAATCATCAGAGAAATGCAAATTAAAATCACAATGAGATACCACCTTATACCAGTAAGAATGGCTACTATAAAAAGTCAAAAAACAACAGATGTTGGAAAGTTTGCAGAGAAAACGGTGCACTTATACACCACTGGGAGGAATGTAAGTTAGTACAATCTCTATGGTAAACAGTATGGAGATTTTGCAAAGAACTGAAAATCAAACTACCATTCAATTCAGCAATCCAACTTCTGGGTATGTACCCAAAGGGAAAGAAGTCATTTATTATATCAAAAAGATACAAGTACTTGTATTTTTATTGCAGCACTACTACCAATAGCAAAGATATGGAATGAACTTAAGTGTATACTTAATGGATGACTGGATAAAGAAAATGTGGGGTAGATATAGATACACACACAAACACACATACACACACAATGGAATACTGTTTGGGTATAAAAAAAGAAAAATAATGAAATAATATCTTTTTCAGCAACATGAATGGAACTGTAGGCCATTATTCTAAGCAAAATAACCTAGAAACAGAAAGTCATATATTGCATATCCTCACTTATAAGTGGGAGCTAAACAATGGGTACACATGGACATACAGAATGAAAAACAAGAAATCGAAGACTTCAAAAGGTGGGCAGGTGGGATGGAGGTAAGGATTGAAACATTATCTAATGGGTACAATGTTCACTATTCAGATGATGGGCACACAAAAAGCTCAGATTTCACTACAACACAATATACCCATTCAAGAAAACTACACTTGTTCCTCTTAAATCTATAAAAATAAAAGTAAATTAAAAATAAAAAAGAAGGCTTGTAAAAAATAAACAAGTAAGCCTCCTATCCATTTTTCATTTTAAAAAGGTAGTTTTGGGCCGGGAGCGATGGCTCATGCTTGTAATCCCAGCACTTTGGGAGGCCAAGGCAGGCACATTGCCTGAGCTCAGGAGTTTGAGACCAGCCTGGGCAACACGGTGAAACCTCATCTCTACTAAAATACAAAAAACTAGCGGGGCATGGCGGCGGGTGCCTGTAGTCCCAGACTCAGGAAGCAGAGGCAGGAGAATTGCTTGAACCCTGGAGTCAGAGGTTGCAGTGAGTTGAGATCGTGCCACTGCACTACAGCCCAGGTGACAGAGCAAGACTCCATCTCAAAAATAAATTAAAAAAAAGATAGTTCAGGCTCAAGTGCTTCCAATGAGTTTCCACCTGGTTTCCAACCTCTACTCTATGTACACAGAGAAACGCAATTTAAATGTTGTGCAATTTTTCCTAAGATATTTCCTAACTTCTTTTTGCCATCTAAGTCTTTTCATAATTACTCAAGCCTAACATACTCAACACCTTTAGTCAGTAACATTGCATAATGAAGGAAAGATTAATTTTGATGACATTTAGTAGCATTGTCTGCATTTTTAAAATACAATTCAAAATAATGTCAGTTTTGGAAAGGGAACTGAGCTACTCACACACATAGAGACACGTATATGCACATATATGCATGTGTTTATATATGTTACATATACATATACAATGTCATGTGGTGTAATGGTAATGAGGAAATAAAATGGGATAAATAACAACTATCAATTTCTTTTGTTAGAAATATTATGAATAGCCCCTCAATAACTGCATTGACTCTCCTTATCAGCCCTTAGTAATCACAACCTGCAGGTAACTGGAAATAGTCTTGTGGTTTCCATGGTAAAACACATTATGAAATCAGCCAAGAGTACTTTTCTATTAAAGTACTCTTTAACGCAAAAAAGTATTTCTTTTCAGTTAGAAAACTCACATCCTTATGTTCAATGTTCATTTGCTGGGCCAACTCTCTGTACTTCCCCATTTTATTTAAAATAATTAAATCCAAGCAACCCCAATTTGATTTAAATGTAAGCATGAGAACCAAAATAAAAAGAAATATAGAATAATTATAAAGGTATATTTTGTCATTCGTAAATTGCAAAGAGATTCCCCCTCTTCATGCCCCCTGCCCAACTGTATGAGGTGGGCAGGCCTGAGCCAAGCCATTAAAAAGAGAAAAGAAAAGAAAGAAAAAACATGCAAAGAATAAAGCGTTTATTCATTTTTATACTATTAAATGTGTAATAAAGAGCAGAAAAATATACAGAATTTAGGCCTGTAATAAATTATCTTTGGTAAGGATTATGTATCCTTACCACTACCACCTCAGAAAAGAAAAGAAAAAAAAAAGAGCAGATGCTCCTAAATTATTTCCACGTTTTTCTTCTTACCCCACCTCCACTCCTTCCCATTATTTATAAACACACAAAAGGCCTCAAAGGTAATATAATTACGTACCTAAGTACATATACATATGTAAACAAACATACACATGTGTATGATTACATACATTATAGATATATAAAGCTGTTCATCACAAAACTATTTATAAGCTTATAATATGACTACAGGCACCTGCAACCCCACCATAAACCTAATAGCTTGCCAATCAAAACTCTTCATAACTACAACACATAAACCCTCTTCTCCTTTTCTCTATACATAAGAGTATAGAAAATACCATGTAATCTCTAACTCAAATGGGAATATTTCACTAGTCATTGTAAAATCTCGAAGGAAAATATAAAGATGCTCTGACAGTCTAGGATTACCAGGAATGGCACAGTTAAATATTATAACAAAGTCCAATATGGGGAGAAATATATGTGTTTGTGGAGAGGGAACCAATAGGTCTCAAAGAGTTGGGCTATGTTCAACAGATGAGAGTTATTTGTATGAAACTGGAAGTTACATGAACACACTAACATGCAGTGAAGGAAGCACTTTCTTTTTTTTAACTTAACACTTCCCACCAAAAACATACGATTTTAAATCAACCCTCCAAATCGTCTCTTCCATTTTGCACTTAACTGGAAGAAGTCACAATTCAGTAATGGGCACAGCTCACTGGAACACATGTATGTCTTTAAGATTTCTCTTAGTATGTAATGCACTTGCTTAAGTTACGACTTTTAATAGGCAAATTGTATAGCGTGGAATACATTTAAAGTCAAGGTGACACAATTTGAAGGAAGAAGGGAAAATGGTCACTAATATAATTTCACTTAATACAAACTTACGACAATACAAATGGGTTTTTTTAATTATTATTATACTTTAAGTTTTAGGGTACATGTGCACAATGTGCAGGTTAGTTACATATGTATACATGTGACATGCTGGTGTGCTGCACCCATTAACGCGTCATCTAGCATTAGGTATATCTCCTAATGCTATCCCTCCCCCCTCCCCCCATCCCACAACAGTCCCCAGAGTGTGATGTTCCCCTTCCTGTGTCCATGTGTTCTCATTGTTCAATTCCCACCTATGAGTGAGAACATGCGGTGTTTGGTTTTTTGTCCTTGTGATAGTTTACTGAGAATCATGATTTCCAATTTCATCCATGTCCCTACAAAGGACATGAACTCTTCCTTTTTTATGGCTGCATAGTATTCCATGGTGTATATGTGCCACATTTTCTTAATCCAGTCTATCATTGTTGGACATTTGGCTTGGTTCCAAGTCTTTGCTATTGTGAATAGTGCTGCAATAAACATACATGTGCATGTCTCTTTATAGCAGCATGATTTATAGTCCTTTGGGTATATACCCAGTAATGAGATGGCTGGGTCAAATGGTATTTCTAGTTCTAGATCCCTGAGGAATCGCCACACTGACTTCCACAATGGTTGAACTAGTTTATAGTCCCACCAACAGTGTAAAAGTGTTCCTACTTCTCCACATCCTCTCCAGCACCTGTTGTTTCTTGACTTTTTAACGATTGCCATTCTAACTGGTGTGAGATGGTATCTCATTGTGGTTTTGATTTGCATTTCTCTGATGGCCAGTGATGGTGAGCATTTTTTTATGTGTTTTTTGGCTGCATAAATGTCTTCTTTTGAGAAGCATCTGTTCATGTCCTTTGCCCACTTTTTGATGGGGTTGTTTGTTTTTTTCTTGTAAATTGTTTGAGTTCATTGTAGATTCTGGATATTAGCCTTTTGTCAGATAAGTAGGTTGTGAAAATTTTCTCCCATTTTGTAGGTTGCCTGTTCACTCTGATGGTAGTTTCTTTTGCTGTGCAGAAGCTCTTTAGGTTAATTAGATCCCATTTGTCAATTTTGGCTTTTGTTGCCATTGCTTTTGGTGTTGTAGACATGAAGTCCTTGCTCCTGCCTATGTCCTGAATGGTAATGCCTAGGTTTTCTTCTAGGGTTTTTATGGTTTTAGGTCTAACGTTTAAGTCTTTAATCCAGCTTGAATTAATTTTTGTATAAGGTGTAAGGAAGGGATCCAGTTTCAGCTTTCTACATATGGCTAACCAGTTTTCCCGGCACCATTTATTAAATAGGGAATCCTTTCCCCATTGCTTGTTTTCTCAGGTTTGTCAAAGATCAGATAGTTGTAGATATGAGGCATTATTTCTGAGGGCTCTGTTCTGTTCCATTGATCTATATCTCTGTTTTGGTACCAGTACCATGCTGTTTTGGTTACTGTAGCCTTGTAGTATAGTTTGAAGTCAGGTAGTGTGATGCCTCCAGCTTTGTTCTTTTGGCTTAGGATTGACTTGGTGATGCGGGCTCTTTTTTGGTACCATATGAATTTTAAGGTAGTTTCTTCCAATTCTGTGAAGAAAGTCATTGGTAGCTTGATGGGGATGGCATTGAATCTATAAATTACCTTGGGCAGTATGGACATTTTCACGATATTGATTCTTCCTACCCATGAGCATGGAATGTTCTTCCATTTCTTTGTATCCTCTTTTATTTCATTGAGCAGTGGTTTGTAGTTCTCCTTGAAGAGGTCCTTCACGTCCCTTGTAAGTTGGATTCCTAGGTATTTTATTCTCTTTGAAGCAATTGTGAATGGGAGTTCACTCATGATTGGTTCTCTGTTTGTCTGTTATTGGTGTATAAGAATGCTTGTGATTTTTGTACGTTGATTTTGTATCCTGAGACTTTGCTGAAGTTGCTTATCAGCTTAAGGAGATTTTGGGCTGAGACAATGGGGTTTTCTAGATATACAATCATGTCATCTGCAAACAGGGACAATTTGACTTCCTCTTTTCCTAATTGCAAATGGGTTTTCTAGGGAAATATGTTGCGGAAAATATGTTTCCACACATTCGTATGTGAATTTGTTTATTCTGTAGTATAGTGTAAGAGCTAAAGAAGATGAGCATGAGCTTCGTATATGCATTTGATTACCAGGTCTGATAACTATTCTCTGTAAAATGCAGGTATTACTTCCATTTCACAGGATTGCTATAGAAATTTTAAAAACATAGCATATATGTAAAATATGCAACAAAGCAATGACAACTCATAACTTTTATAGTGTGTTGATAATACAAAACGTTCCTAAAATAAACGTATAATTGGAAAAACAAAAACTGTGGTTCATCTATTTCAATTTGATATGGTTGTTTCCTACAATAATCATTTACTTGGGAAAAATAAGCATATAATACAATAAAGAACTTCCTTATTTACTTCAGAAAATGCCTACAGATCAATTTATTGGAGACAATAATTAATCTGCTCACCTGGGCAAACAGATCACTTATCAAACAGTAGCTTACTCATTAAGACTTGCTTCAAAGCCCTCACTTTGTCAAGAACTTTTACCATTCTAAATCAGTTTTCCACCTTTAAAGATCTGCCTAATACCACAAGAGCCTTGATCCTAGAGCCTAATAAATAACTCAATTACAACATCACTCTCCTGAAATACTGTTAAAGCTTACTCACTAAGTGAAGACAGTTTGAGCAAACATAATTTAATTCATTAACAGGCTTTCTAGTGATATTTCAATTATTTGTTGTTTATGGTATAAAGGGAGCTTTCCCACACCTGCTGTTCCATAATGTAATTATTTTTAGTCAAAGTAGATGAGGCCTATGTCATCATTTTTAATGACTGCATATCATTTCTCTATAATAATATTCACCATTTAATCACAAATCCCCTACTAATGGATCCTTAAGTTTTATTTGGTCTCATAAATAATGATTAAAACATCTATATTTTACAAAAAAGAGATGAGTAAATAATAAATTTATTTTCTATAATTTTATTAGAAAATGTGAAATCTAAATGTTATTTTTAAATATATGCATATGTCAAAGAATACATCAGTAATATAAAAAACTGGTGATTATATTCTCCCAATTTTAAATAAGCCTCTTTGATGAAACCATCTCAATACAATTTCCCTAAGCTATCTAAGAAATTGATAATGATATAGTTAAAATTTGAAAATGTTACACTTGAGAAAAATTCACCATCAGTTCTATCAGAAAAATTATCCAGAACTTGAAAGTAGATGAAGGCAATTACGAGGTGCTCTTTCAATGCAGTGCTGGACGTGGCTTTCTATTTTCTGTGGTATTTTACAAATGTGAAGGAAAAGACATTAATGTATAGAGTTTTGTCTAATAGGCATCCAAAGGATTTCTGCCTAATTTAAAAAGATAATTTCAAAGGTTGTGGTTTATGGGCCAGTAGAACTAGGGGTTGGTGTGGGGTGGCGACTGTATTTGTGGAAGTGCAGGTGGAGGGGTAACTCAGCAATTTTATTCTATCATTGCCTAGAATTACTTAGCTTAACAAAAGCTCCTGGACCAGTTTTAATGCATTACTGTTTCCCTCATTAATTAATGAGGTGTATAAAATTTCTGACATGTTCTCATGTTATATTTATATAAAGGATATGTTTTTAACCTTTTGAAAATTATGCTATAACAGCCCTTCCTCAAATTAGTAAGAATTTCTTACTAACGGTCAATATAATTTAAGTTGATGTAACTGCTTTGGAAAACAAATGTTATTTATAATATGATAAAATAATCTATAGATTCCATAAGCTTCCAGTCAAAACTACATAGACTATTTTGAGGAATTTGATAATCTGATTCTATAATGAGTAAAAGATCAAACTATACAGGATGTTTGAGAAGAAGAATAAAGAGTAGAGGTTTTCTCTACTTGATATTAAGACTTATTAGGATGGTGCAGTAATTAAGGCATTATGGAAGCTGTACAGAGAAGGATAAATTGATTCGTGAAATTTAAAAAGATTCAATAAATTGACTCATGCATATAATAAGTATTAATACATAACAGAGGTGGTATGGCTGAACAGTAGTAAAAAAGAAGCAGCATTAAATAAATGAATCTTTTTAAATGGTTCCCTAAGTAGCAAAAAAAAAAAAAAAAAAAAAAAAGTAAAGAAAGAAACAGAAAAGAAATTGGATCTCTATCTCACAGTATATAGATTAAATCACCTCCTGAAATATTAAAAAATTTTAACCTTTTATGAAAAAATAATGGTTAATATTTTTGACCTTTGAACAGTGAAAGTATACTTTAGAAACAAAACAAAAACAAAAACATAAAGTATGTATAAAATTTCTGCCCTAGGAAGATAAGAGTATAAACCAAGAAATAACTTCACTAATGGGCTCAGAAAATTCTATAAGCTCAAATTTATAAAAGGCATTAATTATTTGAAGTCTTAAAGAAAGTGAAATAAGTTCATAATTGGGAGAAGATATTTGAATAAAATATCTGGTAAAGATTTAAAATTAAGAATACAAAAAGAAGTATTAACAAATTATTAAGAACAAACATGTAACCAAAAGGTGCCAACTAGCATTTCACAGAAGAGAAACAATATTGGCTAATAAACTTAGTGAGAAATGTTAAACCTCATTAGCACTCAGGAAATATACATAAGACTACAGTGAAGTAACATTTTATATCCATTTAATTGGAAAAATCAAAAGGTTTAATAAAGCCAAATGTTGCAGATATGTGAATCAAAGATTTCCTTATTATCAGTGGAGTCAGCTGCTGCAATCATTTTTGTAAACAATTTGGCATTGTCTAGTCAAATTAGATATTTATGTATTTACAACCCAGCAACTCCATGCCTAGATAAATGCATTAGAGAAACTTAAACATTTGCACTGGGATGCATGTACAAGAAGGTTCAAAGGACCGGGCACAGTTGCTAATGCCTGTAATCCCAACATTTTAAGAGGTTGAGGCGGGCAGATCACCTGAGGTCAGCAGTTCGAGAGCAGCCTGCCCAATATGGTGAAACCCCGTCTCTACTAAAAATACAAAAATTAACTGGGCTTGGTGGCGTGTGCCTGTAATCCTAGCTACTCGGGAGGCTGAGGCAGGAGAATCGCTTGAACCCAAGAAGCGGAAGTTGCAGTGAGCCGAGATAGTGCCACTGCCCTCCAGCCGGGGCAAAAAAAAAGCGAAACTCCGAAAAAAAAAAAAAAAAGGTTCAAGGAAGCACTGTTCATGAGAGCAAATTTAAATATGAAACAGACGAAGCTTAAATATCCACTGACAGGGATAACTTGTGGCATATTAATACAATGGAAAATTGCAGTCAAAGTTCATAATCTATGGTTATATGCAATAATATGAATAAATCTTAGTTACCTAACGTTGAATAAAAGATGCAAGCCTAAGACTATATGTCAGTGATCAGTTTTATAAAGTTCAAAAAAACTTTAAAAATTAAACAATAACTTATTTACAGATGCATACATATCTGTTAAGCTATACTTTTTAAAGCAAAAGTATGAAAAGCCAAAACAAGGATAGAAATTATTTCTGTGAGGAAGACCAGAGAAGACAGTATAGCAGTCCAGAGTTAGACTTCATTTATTTATAAGGTATTGGTTCTTCAAGTGTCATAGGTGTCTGTATATTTTTAATAAGTTAATTAATTAAGTAATGAAGTAATAAATGAATGAAATAAATTAAAGTCTATCCATATGACAATGATGAGAGTGTGCCACAAACTAAGAATTGCAACTAAACTAAATCTGAACTTCTGGAGATTAATAGCAATTGTAAATGTATTTATTAAAAATGGGCAGGAGGACTCCATAGGACTATCTTGAGAAGAAATGTCCATGTTCTGCCAATAAGTAAATTAATCAAATGTTTAGCGCTAGTAGGAATTTGACAGGGAACCATATAGAATATGATTGGCAAGGTTGGATGAGAAGACACATGGAAGATATTTTCTTATTTAAGCAACAGCAAGAATAAAGAGAAAAATATGTAAATATATGTATATATAGTACACTCAGGGAAGTAAAAGGAATTAAAATGGCTAGAACAAAGGGAGCAAGTCAGATAAATGCAAGATATGAATGTAGGAAGTTAAAAAGAAGCCCATGTAAGTTAAAAGAACTTGAATAGAAGCTAAGAAATATATTAATAAATAGTGACAATAACTTATCAAGAGGAACTATTTACTAATAAACCCTGGGCACTATGCAGAGCACATAGCCATAATCCCCACCTCCATTATACAGATTAGGGGACTGAGGCATTTGCCCAAAGTTGTACAAATCATAAACAATGAAACTGCTCCAGGCAGTCTAAGCCTGGAGCCCACACAATTTACCCTAACTTATATTATACACATCAAATTTACTTTATATTTGTTATTACATATTTTTTCTGATTATAACACACACTTAAACAGATTATAAAATGTATTACCATAGCTAAACAGACATTTTAGAAACTTTCTGGATACAATTTATTTACACAAGAAACAATGGTTAACAATTTAAGTTTCAATTAATTTAGTAGTTAAATATTATTTCATAAGACTTTATCATGTGTTAAGTATCATAGAAGTGGGTGTGATCGACATGGAAATGTGGCACCCAGATTCTCCTTCATCAGTAACAGCTGGATATTCTCCAGCTGCCAGCTGCTTCAATGTCTGCCTTAGCTGCAAATAGCCACCTTGTGTGAGGTCACACCTCTCCCAGGACAGCCTACAACACAAAGTTTGTATCAGTGTCCACTTCTAGAGAATCCAACCAGAGGCATTAGCAATTACCTTTTATTAGATGCCTATTAATTTCATAGTAACTCTACCTGATCCAAAACCAAGCAACTAGCTATGGTTAAACTGGCAAATATAGAGGAAATTGTTTTACCACAAACAAAGTTTTAAAAGTAATTCAAGATTCTGCATCTGGCAATATAGTAGACCAGATGTCCCATGAAACTCTTCCCCCCACCCTAAAGGAAGCACCTAAAAAAAGTTGAATAAATTATTACACATACGTAAACACACACAACACACACACACACACACACACACACACACACACACACACAACTTTTTAAAACATGCATGGCTTAGCAAAAAAGTAAGGGAAGTCCTTAGAAGCCAGAAAAGAAAATAAGAATCCAGAGAAATAAGCTATCACTGAAGCTACTGTTCACCCCGGTGCTATCTGTCAATTTTTGCTGATAAGGAATTTCTGTTTTGACAGGCCAGAAACCTTCCAAAGAAATCTCCTACAAAAAGCTCCAAAGAAATTCCCCACAGAAATCTGCCACAAAAACCAGGGTCCCTAAAGGCAACATCATCATTGCATGAACTAAGAAAATTCTTTCTTACAGCAGAAATAGATGTTACAGGCACTTAGCTGTCTTGTCATAGTTCGGAGCGGTATGGAAGGGGAGACAGAGAGACATAATGAGACTTATAATTAGTTTGCTAGGGCTGCTATAGCAAAATAACATAGATTCTGGGAGCTTAAAGGTAAATGTATTTTCTCATTTTTCTGGAGGCCAGAACTCCAAATCAAGGTGCAGTAGGGCTGATTTTTCTTGAGGCACCTCTCCTTGGTCTGCAGATGTCTGGTTACTCACTGTGTCCTCATATCATCTTTCCTCTGTGCATACGGGTCCCTGACATCTCTATATGTGTTCAAAATTACTCTTCTTACAAGAACACAAGTCAGATTGGAATAAGGTCCACCCTAACAACCTCATATTAACATAATCACCTCTTTTAAGACCCTCTCTCTAAATACAGTCACATTCGGAGGTACTAGGGGTAAGTGCTTCAACATATAAATGTCAGCGGGTGGAGAGAGACACCATTCAGGATACAACACTTGTTAGCAACAGGTCTGAAATCACTGACTAATTTCTCATCTCTTATACTTTCTTTAACCAATTCCACCTCTCCACCTAATCAGCAATTTTTCAAGGTCACTAGTGACCTCTACACATAGCAAAATGCAGATATCGGTTATCAGTGCTCATCGTACTTATTCTATCAGCATTAGGCACAGTTGATCATTTCATCATGTTTGAATCACCTTCTTTACTTGACTTCCAGGAAACTCCAGAGACTCCATTTTCTTGATTTTCTTCCTACCTTCCAGGGTACTCCTTCTGAGTAACCTCAGCTGGCTCTTTCTGCTCTACTCTTAAAATAGTCCTCTTTTGTAGCAACACTCAAAATGTAACCCAAGTATATGTCCAGGATTGCCAAATTTATATTTCCAGCTCAATCCATTTCCCCAAACTCATATATTAATTAAGCTGTCTACTCAATATTTCTACTTGGATCTCTATCAGACATCTGCAACCCAGCATATCGAAACTTAAATTCCTTGTTCTCTTCCCTGAAACCTCCTTTCCATGTTAGCTGATGTCAAATCTATTCTTCTCATGGTTCAGCCAAAATCATGTTGTTATACCTGAATCCTCTTTTAACTTGAGTGCATATTAATATTATTGTTTAAAGTTCTTCAAGTAGTAAAAATGTTTTACCAGAATAAGAGAGAAAAAAGAAAAAAATGCTTGCAATGAACATGTTCAGTTGACACTAGCAATAGTGACCTAAGATATTTAAACTTGACTTCAAATTAAAATTTATTTTCAACCAAGATGCAGTGAAACAAATCAAAACAAAACTTTAAGTAAAAAAATGGAAATATTGAACCCAAACTGAACTCCATCCATTTATCAATCTACAAAAATAGCAACAAAGTATTTCACATCATTGAAAGTACTGTGATGTGCAGTCTTCTATTCTAAGGCATGACCTTTAATTAGATATTACTGCAAAAACTGCCAGATTGGATCCCTAGGGTGAGTGATGTATAGTGACACAGAAGGAAGTATTGGAAAGGAAATAAACACCCACTCTCTTCTTCCCATCACCTTATCGTGTCTGAAAAAGGAGGTACTCTGATCTACCTGCTAATTTCCCCATGCCTATCCTTTCTTCTCCCAATTAATTCTAATTATGGCATTCAGGATTCCATAAAAATTTAGAATTAGTTTTAAGTCACAGTAAAGTTTGTCATCACAGAGCTTCTTAAAGTTCGATTAAACCTCAAGCTCCACTGACGAGATACTTAGAAGTTTTTGCTTATAACTGTATGCTCAGCACCTAATTCAAAGTGAATGCTCACTAATATATACTGAATTAAAAGTTACTCTGCAGTGGTTACTTCTAACACCCTGTTAGCATCCAAAGTTGACAACTATCAGCATGCAGAGGTTGGCAATCTGTGGATTCTGCCATCTGGCATCTATGCTGAGAAACAGAAACTCCCAAATAACCTTGCTCCAAAAAGGAACACATTTGTTAATTTTAAAATGCATGCTTCTGATTTGCTGGGGATAATATGAATAATCTAGCACACTATGATATCGCTTTATTTCCTCAACCAGACTTAATTATCGTACAATTTTTCAACAAGAATATTCATTTGGACTTTTAAGAAAAAAATGAACAACTCTTACGTTAACTAAGCTCTCTTTTGCCTTGCCTCCAGGCCTTGTCCTTCTTCCTTCAGCTCTCACTTTCTATGCTTCCTGAACCTTCTTCCTCCCTAGTCTTAGTGAAGTGACACACATGTGTTCTTGCTCAGTACCCTCTACTCCTTTCACAATAGTACTTATTATAATGTGTTGAAACTGTTTTTTAATGATCTATATCCTCCAAATGGACCTTAGAGACCAAACAACTGGTTCTACATAGAACACAGAGGTATGAAAAGAGGAAATAAAAGTAAATTCTAAAAATATTTCTGTACATTGATATTTTGTATATTTCCATGTTGAAGGTGTATACTCTCTTAGAGCAAAGTAGAAGCCTCTACGCTTAGTGCTTTGCAAGAATAATGAACACAAATAGACTGAAATAGGAAGCTACCAGATGGAATGCATCATTAATAACATCTAAATATGAGCCTCATCAAGAGTTGATTTGAGGGCATGTTTCTTGCTATGTGTCCCTCCAAAGCTGCCAGTAATGGCTTTACTTAGATCTAAAATTGTGAGGGCAGGAATTATTTCTATTTTGTTCATTTTGCTCGTGTTTTCAGAACCCAACACAGGGCCAGATACACATATTAAGTACTCAATACATTTGCTGAGTGTTGAATGAATTTTGCTATATAAAAGTTTGCTGTTTCCTCTTGTTCTTATTTACATTTTTATCTGTAAAAATCATGTTGACAATTATAAATATCTTCTGACCATTTTTTTCTAATTTTCAGTCATCCCTTCTTTTTATGTACTAATATTGGGGCTGATTTGGAATCCCCACCCAGCAATCTTCTTCAGCCTTCCCCTCAGTAGTCCACCAAATGAATCAGTAGTAGTATCACTATGTTCTTCTATGTGGGGAAAACACCACTGAAAAACATTTTTCTTACTGATACTTTCAGAATAGCTAATGTACTTCACAAAAATTACAGTTAAAATGCTGGAAAAATGTGTACTATGTGAACACTTACTTAAACATTTAAATAAATATGTGTTGTATTTACCTATAAACTTACATATTTAAATGTGTTGCATTTGTATTTACATATGTGCAGTATTTATATACCAATGTACATACTTAAATCACCAGTATATTGCTTTTCTATATCTACATAAAAATATAAGATAGTTGATTTATTTCTATTTTTTGATGCTTTTCATATACTTATTAATGAATCATTAAAACCATAACTTTATTAATTCTGCTAAATGTGTCTTTTAGAATCGCGAAACTATTTGTACCTTAACATGGAGGTACCTCTCAGACCAAGCAAGTCTGAATTTTAGATCATTAATTTTTAGAGAGAAACAGAAATAATTACAGCTCATTTCAAATAACAAATGAAACAAACCCACAACAGATGAGTTCTAGACATTCTAGACATTCAGCCTCTTGACATAATCCATGTCTCTAATTTAGGAAAATTGTAAAATATGTTCTAAAATACCAAAAGGATATCTGGGAAACTTTTAGGTCCTGGCTCACTATGATTTCCGATAATGATGGAAAAGGACTATGAGGATTCTGTTGTAAGCGATTTCCAGCATTTCTGTGATAAGGATAACTTCACCAGCAGCCATGGTTATGGGAATAACTACAGCATGGTCCCATCCATGACCCTGAGGCTTGCAAATAGAACTGAGAAGACTGCCACCTTGCATTGTTACCATTATCAATAAGTCTTTCAACTCCAGATATAAGACTATCAGGTTTCCATTAACAGTCATTGCACTATATAAAATAGATGATAAACTGTGAAGACTATTAATAGCATGCAAACTTGCTTACAACCTTAGTACTTATGAAAATATGCATATTTCATTTGTACTTTCATAAAAATTAGCAAGCATTGACTTAACATTAACAAGGAAGATGTGTTCTTTAGAACTAGGAAAAAGTTGATATGAAATTAAAGCCTAACTGTAGAAGAACTTTGTGAAAATAACTGAGAATTATTGTAAAGCAATTTTACTTTAACAATAGATTACATTTACCTCATTAAAAAACAACGACAACAATAAGAGTAAGATCCTGACTAGAAGCAGCTACTGTGTGCCACTCTTATGGAGAAAAGTGAAGGGGCAAGTAAATACAGCACCTTGAACTAAACATCCAGGTACATGCATTGGGATCCATCAAGAAAACAACTCAACCCAAGGAGATTAGAGAAAAGCAAGACAGGATGACTGCCCACCCTGGAGCAACACAGAGCCAGTGTAGCCTCCCCAACCCAGGGAAGTGGTGAGTAAGTGAGTGAGTGACCCCAGGGACCCATGCTTCTCCCACAGATTTTTGCAACCCTTAGATCAGGAGATCCCCTGGTGAACTCCTACACCAGGGCCTTTAGTCTGGCATGCAGAGCATCTGGTCAGGCACATGCGAAGCCCCAGGAGCATTAGATACCCAGACTTCCCAGCAAAGGCAGCTGCAACTCCAGCAAGGTGGGAGGTCAGACCTGCGTACATACCCTGGGAAAGGAGCTAAATCCAGGGGCTGAGCAGCATTGGTCTGCAGGCCCTGCTTTCATGGCACCTCCCAGGATAAGACCCACTGGCTTGGAACTCCAGCCAGTCATGAGTAGCATTGTCACACCACCTTGAGATGGAGCTCCCAGAGGGAGGGGCAGGCCACCATCTTTGCTGTTTTATAACCTTAATCATTGTTGCCTTAGGGCTCTGGGGAATCAGGGGCAATTAGGGACTGCGGTGGTCCCCCAGCACAGCACAGCAGCTCTACAAAGAGGCAGCTAGACTGCTTTTTCACACGAGTCCCTGATCCCATTTTTCTTCCCTGGGCGGAATCTCTCCATCAAGATCTACAACACCCCTGCTGGTGTTTTCCAGCTGGCAGCAGTCCCAAACCTCCCAGGGACTGAGCTCCCAGAGGGTGGGGTGTACTACTATCTTTGCTATTTTGCCACCTTAGCCATTCTTGCCTTTGGGCTTTGGAATGCCTGAGGGGCCTGTGGGCTGGAGCAGACCACAACACAGCAGAGCTGCTCTATGAAAAAGCAGGCTGACTGCCTTTTAATGTAGGTCCCTGATCTTATCCTCCTTACTGGGTGGGACCTGTCAAGCAGGGTACCTAGCCACCCCTGTCAGTGTGTTCGGGCTGGCAACAGGGACAGAGCTTTTCAGGGACAGATCTTCCAGAGAGATCTGCAGGCTGCCATCTTTGCTGTTTTGCAGTCTTCACTGTTGATACCTTCAGGTACTGAAAAATCCAAGGTGACTAGAGACTAGAGCAGACCCCCAGCATACTACAGCACCCTTATGGAAAAGTAGCCAGACTGTTTGTTATGTGGGTCCCTGATCTCATACTTCCTCATTGGGTGGGTCCTCCCAGCCTGAGTCTCCAACCACCCCCCAGCTGGGACTATGGAGCCAGTAGCAGCTCTACAACTCCTGGGAGAGAGCTCCCAATGGGAGTGGGGATTGCCGTATTTGCTTACAGCCTTCATGCTTGCTGTCTCCACACTCTGGGGAGTCCACGGCAACCAGAGGCTGGTCCAGACCCCCAGAACAGAGCACCCACCTCACAGAAAAGTGGTCAGACGGTATTCCATGCAGGTCCCAGTACTCTCTTCTCCCTACTGGGCAGGGTCACCTGACATATGACTCCAGTAATACCATGCTGCCCCCACTTTACCACTTTAATCAGAGGGAGCCCAGCAGTTAAAGCAATATCCACACACAGAGATGAGAAAGAACCAATGCAAGAACTTGAGCAACTCAAGTGGGCAGAGTGTCTTATCTCCTCCAAACAGCTGCACTAGTCTCTGACAAGGGTTCTTAACCAGCCTTAATTGGTTGAAATGACAGAAATAGAATTCAGAATATGGATAAGAATGAAGATCACCAAGATGCAGGAGAACAGCAAAGTGCAATCCAAGGAAACTAAGAATCAATAAAATGACAAGGAGGTGACAGATGAAATAGCCAGTGTAAGAGAGAACCTAACTGATCTGAAAAGGCCGAAAAACACACTACAAGAAATTCACAATGCAATCGCAAGTATTAACAGCAGAGTAGAACAAGCTGAGGAAAGAATCTTAGAACTTGAAGAGTGTCTCTCTGAAATAAGACACTCAGACAAAAATAAAGAAAAAAAGAATACAAAGAAATAAAACCTCCAAGAAATATGGGATTATGTAAAGAGGCTAAATAGATGAGTCACTGGCATCCCTGAAAGGGACAGGAGAAAGCAAACAACTTGGAAAACATATTTCAGGATACTGTCCATGAAAAGTTTCCTACCTTGCTACAGAGGCTAACAGTCAAATTCAGGAAATACAGAGAACCCCTGCAAGATTAAACACAAGCAGATTATCCCTAAGACACATAATCATCAGATTTTCCAAGGTCAAAATGAAAGAATATTAAAGGCAGCTAGAGAGAAAGGGCAGGTCACATACATAGGAAACCCCATGAGGCTAACAGTGGACCTCTCTGCAGAAACCCTACTAACCAGCAGGCATTGGCAGCTTGCATTCAACATTCTTAAAGAAATAAAAAATCTTCAATCAAGATTTTTATATCCAGAGAAACTAAGCTTTCTCAGAAAAGAAGAAATATGATCCTTTCCAGATCAAATGCTAAGGGAGTTTGTTACCATCAAGCCCACCTTAGAATAGACATCGAAAGAAGCACTAAATTTGGAAAGCCAAAACCATTACCAGCTAATAAAAACAAAGCTAAGTACGTAGACCAGTGAAACTACAAAACAACCACACAAAAAAGCCAGCATAATAACTGGTTAAAAACACATGAGAGGATCAAATCCACATGTATCAATACTAATCCTGAATGGAAACAGGCTAAATCTCACCATTTAAAAAGTACAAAGTGGCAAGCTGGATTTAAAAAAAAAAAAAAAAAAGCAAGATCCAATGGTATGCTGTCATCAGGAGACCCATCTCATATGCAATGACACTGATAGGATCAAAATACAGGGATGGAGGAAAAATATATCAAGCAAATAGAAATCAGAAAAAAGCAGAGGTTGCAATGCTAATTTCAGATAAAACAGATTTTAAACTAACAAACAACAAAAATGATGGAAAAAAAAGCACATTACATAATGGTAAAGGGTTCAATTCAAGAAGAAGACCTAACTATCCTAAATACATATGCAACCAACACAGGAGCAACCAGGTTTATAAAGCAAGTTCTTAAACTTACAAAGAAACCTACAAAGAAACTTAGACTTCCACAAAATAATAGCGGGAGACATCAACACTCCAATGACAGTCTTAGAGAGATCAGTGAGGAAGAAAATTAACAAGGACATTCAGGACCTGAACTCAACATTGGACCATATGGGTATGATAGACCTCTACAGAACTCTCTACCCAAAAACAACAGAGTATACATTCTTCTCATTGCCACAAGGCACATAGGTTAAAATTGACCATACAATCCAACATAAAAAAATCCTCAGCAAATCCAAAAGAACCAAAATCATACCAAACACACTCTCAGAACACAGCACAATAAAAATTAAAATCAAGAATAAAGAAAAAAATCACTCAAAGCCATGCAATTACATGGAAATTAAATAACCTGCTCCTCAATGACTTTGGAGTAAACAATGAAATTAAGGCAGAAATCAGGAAGTTTTTTGAAACTCGTGAGAACAAAGATACAACATATCAGAATCTCTGAGACACAGCTAAGGCAGTGTTAAGAGGGAAATTTATAGCATTAAACGCTGATATCAAAAGTTAGAAAGATCTCAAATTAACACCTTAACATCACAACTAGAAAAACTAGAGCAGCAAAAGCAAACCAAACCCAAAGCTAGCAGAAGACAAGAAGTAATCAAAATCAGAGCTGAACTGAAAGAGATTGAGACAAGAAAAACAAATAAAAAAATCACTGAATCTGGGGGTTAATTTTTTTAAAAAAATAATAAGTTAGATAGGCTAATACCTAGACTAATATAGAAAAGAAATAAGATCCAAATAAGCACAATCAGAAACAACAAAGGAGATATTACCACTGTCCCCACAGAAATACAAATAACCATCAGAGACTACTACGAACACCTCTATGCACACAAACTAGAAAACCTAGATGAGATGGATAAATTCCTGAACACATACACCCTCCCAAGACTGAACCAGGAAGAAATTGATTCCCTGAACAGACCAAAAATGAGCTCTGAAATTAAATCAGTAATAAATAGCATACCAATACACAAAAAAAGCCCAAGACCAGAAAGATTCACAGCTGAATTCTACCAGATGTACAAGGAAGATCTAGTACCATTCCTATTGAAACTATTCCAAAAAATTGAAGAGAAGTGATTCTTCCTTAGCTCATTCTATGAGGCCAGGATCATAGAAACGATACTAAAACCTGGCAGAGGCACAACAACAACAGCAAAAAGAAAACTTCAGGCCAATATCCTCAATGAACATGTATGCAAAAATTGTCAACAAAATACTGGCAAACCAAATCCAGCAGCATATCAATAAGCTAATCCACCACAATCAAGCAGGCTTTATCCCTGGGATTCAAGGTTGGTTTAACGTATGTAAATCAATAAATGTCATACATCACATAAACAGAACTAAAGATAAAAACCACATGATCATCTCAATAGATGCAGAAAAGGCTTTTGATAAAATTCAACATCCCTTGATTTTAAAAACTCTCAGAAACCAGGTATTGAAAAACCATATCACAAAATAATAAGAGCTATATATGACAAGCTCACAGCCAATATCATACTGAATAGGCAAAAGCTAGAAGCATTATACTTGAAAATTGGCACAAGAGAAAGATGTCCTCTCTCACCACTCCTATTTAACATAATATTGAAAGTCCTGGCCAGAGCAATCAGGCCCAAGAAAGAAATAAAGGGCATCTAAATAGGAAGACAGGAAGTCAAACTATCCCTGTTTGTAGATGACATGATTCTCTATCTAAAAAACTCCACAGTCTCAACCCAAAGCATGGTACTGGCATGAAAACAGACACACAGACCAATGAAACATGGTAGAGAACCCAGAAATAATGGTGAACACCTACAACCATCTGATCTTTGACAAAGCTGACAAAAGCATGCAATGGGGAAAGGACTCCCTATTCAATAAATGGCACTGGAATAACTGGCTAGCCATATGCAGAAGATTGAAACTGGACACATTTCTTACACCATATGCAAAAATCAACTCAAGATGGATCAAAGAGTTAAATGTAAAACCCAAAACTATAAAAGCCCTGAAAGACAACCTAGGTAATACCATTTAGGACATAGGAATGGGCAAAGATTTCATGACAAAGACACCAAAAGCAATCACAACAAAAGCAAAAATTGACAAATTGGATCTAATTAAACTTAAGAGCTTCTGCTCAGCAAAATAAACTATCAACAGAGTAAACAGACATTCTACAGAATGGGAGAAAATATTTGCTAACTATACATCTGAAAAAGTCTAATATCTATAGGGAATGTAATAAATTTACTAGAAAAAAGAAAACAAGTAGCCCCATTAAAAAGTGGGCAAATGACATAAACATCAACTTTTCAAAAGAAGATATACATGCAACCAACAATCATATAAAAAATAGCTCAACATCACTGATCATTAGAGAAAAGCAAATCAAAACCACAATGATATACCATCTCACACCAGTAAGAATGGCTATTATTTTTAAGAAGTCAAAAAATAACAGATGCTGGTGAGGTTGTGGAGAAAAGAGAACGCTTATACATTGATGGTGGGAGTGTAAGTTAGTTTAACCATTGTGGAAAGCAGTTTGTTGATTCCTCAAAGAGCTAAAAACAGTACCACCATTTGACCCAACAATCCCATTACTGGGTGTATACCCTAAAAGAATATAAATCATTCTACCATGGAGATACATGCACCCACATATTCTTTGCAGCAATATTCACAATAGCAAAGGCATGGAATCAACATAAATGTCCATCAATGGTAGACTGAAAAAAGAAAATGTGGTATATATACACCATGGAATACTACTCAGCCATAAAAAAGAATGAGATGATGTCCTTTGGAGGAACATGAATGGAGCTGGACGGCATCATCCTTAGCAAACCAACATAGAAACAGAATACCAAAAACCATATGTTCTCACAAGTGGGAGCTAAATGATGAGAACACATGGACACAAAGAGGGAAACAATAGACACTAGGGCCTACTTGAAGGTGAAGGTTGGGAGGAGGGAGAGGATCAGAAAAAACAACTATTGGGTACTAGCCTTAGTACCTGGGTGACAAAATAATCTGTACAACAAACCCCTATGACACAAGTTTACCTATATAACAAAGTGAACATGTACCCCTGAACCTAAAATAAAAGTTTTTAAAAAGCACATTAAATTATAAAATAAAGATGAATGTCAGGAATTCATAAATAGATTCATAAGTAATTAATTAATTAAATTCCAGTAGTACTTGTAGTTTTGTCTAACAATACACCACAGAATATAATAATCACTGTAACTTATATTTAAACAATGTGCTTATGCAGAAAGAGTCAGTATACTGGGAAACTCCATTCCAAACCTGCTTTCATTTTCTGCATGCATATTTACAAATTTTGTCTTTTTGTATCCTAGATTGCTTGTAAACTTCTTTATGTTAACAAAAATTAAAGATTAATTGAGATGAATTTAGTTTAGGTGTCCATAAATGAGCTATAGGCCAAATACAAACTAGATAGAAGTGATGGAAGATAATACATATGTGAAAAGTATTACTACTAGAGGTACCAGCAGTTTTTGATGAAGAACAGATGTACATTTACCAAAATGATGTTCTAATACAAATAGTAAAATCTGTGGAAAATAAGTCATTAAACCTTACATTTTTATGCTTCAACTCTTAAAATAATTTTCAGATGCCTGAACTGTTTTATTCATTGGGTTTAATATGACTTCATACTCCTTAGTTTGCAATTGAGAAAAATAAGCTACTCATACTAGTGAGAGGTGAAGCCAGCGGGACTTCCTGGGTCGAGTGGGGACTTAGAGAACTTTTCTGTCTAGCTAGAGGACTGTAAACGCACCAATCAGTGCTCTGTGTCTAGCTAAAGGATTGTGAATGCACCAGTCAGCACTCTGTAAAAACGCAGCAATCAGCACTATGTGTCTAGCTAAAGGATTGTAAATGCACCAATCAGCACTCTGTAAAAAACGCACTAATCAGCATGTTGTGTCTAGGTAAAGGATTGTAAATGCACCAATCAGCACTCTGTAAAATGGACCAATCAGCACTCTGTAAAATGGACCAATCAGTGCTCTGTAAAATGCACCAATCAGCAGGATGTGGGCAGGGACAAATAAAGGAATAAAAGCTGGCCACCCAAGCCAGTGTGGCAACCCACTTGGGTCCCCTTCCATGCTGTGAAAGTTTTGTTCTTTTGCTCTTCACAATAAACCTTGCCGCTGCTCACTCTTTGGGTCCACACTACCTTTTTGAGCTGTAACACTGCGAAGGCCTGCAGCTTCACTCCTGAAGTCAGCAAGACCACGAAACCACCAGGAGGAACAAACAACTCTGGACGCACCACCTTTAAGAGCTATAACACACACTGCAAAGGTCTGTGGCTTCACTCCTGAAGTTAGCAAGACCACGAACCCACCGGAAGGAAGAAACTCCAGACACATCTGAACATCTGAAGGAACAAACTCAGGACACACCATCTTTAAGAACGGTAACACTCACCATGAGGGTCTGTGGCTTCATTCTTGAAGTCAGCAAGACCAAGAACCCACTGGAAGGAACCAATTCCGGACACACTAGCTTAAATTAAGAAGGAATTTAAAGCCTCTCAAAAATGAAAAGTGTAGACTGGTGACACCTACAGACATGGATTGAAGCAGGAGCCCATCTATTCACCGCTACTTTATTTTTCTCCATCTCCAGTTACAATTCCCTTGGTTCATTCAGAAGCAGATTTTCCTTCATGGTGGCAAGATGTCTGCAACTGCTCCAGAAATTGTATTTATTCTTGTTGAGTCCAGAAAGAAAGAGAGTCTAGACCAGAATTTCAAGAAAAACTTCTATTGGGTCTCAAAGCATCTGATAGAGCCATGCATCTACCTTTAAATTAAAAACTGAGGTCAGAGGATATAAAGTTCCTTAACTGACTTAGCCTGGTAACGTTTGTGAAAATAAGCGATTCAAATTAAAGCTGTTGGAACTTTCAATTATTTTGAGTCTTAAAGAAAATGTGATTGTTTCTCTAATTATAGATTAACTTTTTCCTTACCTACTTTGTTTTGTAAAATGTTGCAAAAGATTAAATGACACCAGAGATAAGCTCTCTTCCCTCTTACTTGTTGACCCTCATTATAGGTTAACTTCCTCCTTTTTTCTCTTGCACCTGACACAGATCAGATAGCACAAAGACTCTATGATTATCAAGTTGCTCAAGATGAACTGTTAAGTATACCTTTCCCAAAAACGAACAAGCTGTAACTAATCAAATTGTAATTCATAAACCAGCTTTATATGAAAATGTTGTAATCCTACTAAATTTCTTTGTTTCTACCTATAAAGGTAAAATCCTAGTTCTCCACTTCAGAACACTGACCCCATTCATTTGGAGTCTGTGTTTCCTGGGCAGCCATCCTTAAATTTCACACTTGAGTAAATTCTTTAGAACTGGATTCTGATCATTTTGATTATTTCAGGTTCACACATTCTTATTGGGAGTTTGAATGAGAATGGGGTGGAGAAGGGTACAAAGGTCCACGGACTGAGAATAAGGGGGGAAAAAAAGTGGTTTTCCAGAGAGGAATCAGGAATTGTTACCAAAAATGAGACAATGGATGTCCAGTGGTATAAAATAACATGTCCACTAAAGAGGATGGCAAGTAAATAATTATCACTAATGCCATATTACATAATAATTTTCCATATTTCACTAAATACAATGAGTGAGGTTATCAACATCATGCTGTATCATTTAATGTCCATGTTTCAAATGTAAATACAAGACATATTACATAATACGATGTAAAACAGTGAAGTTCACACTAAAGTCATATATAATAAGATATATTTTGTGTTAAGGAAAATCTTCATTTTCCTATATCCCGGATATCATTATCAAAAAATAATATTGATAGTGGTGTTATTAAATGTAATATTTGGGTTATCTACCTATTGTAGTCCCAAGCTATCAAATTTTCATTTTACTTCTATTTCTAGCAACAAATAGGAAAGTCAATCAATTTAGATCTAATTTATGTTCCATAAACTGTCTTCTAGCTTAAAAAATATTAATTTAATAAATCACTAGGTTTTGACTTTTATAAATACAATGAGTATTATAGAATCTTCAATTTCTCATCTATTTTATATTGCTATGGTTGAAGTAGAGAAAAGGAAGAAATCTGGTGATTTGTTGTATTTTGGAGATCTTTGCAAAGAACAAGTCAAATTTGACTTTGAGATTCTAGCTCAAGCATCAGATTAGATGTCAATGTCATTTACAAGGATAGCTAATATCACAAAAAAAGTAGCTATTCAGTGGTTTTTGATTGTCGAAGAAAGTGAGGGAACAGGTAGAAAACGACCACAATGGTAGTATTTTCACAGTTATTTGTAGATTTACGTAAAGCAAATAAAAAAAAAAATCAGTTGTCTGCACAGCAAATTCCCAGATGGAGTTGACCCAGGCCATGCTCTGCCTTCTCGTTTCAGCTCTCATACTGTAAACAAGTGTCTTTTTCATGGTCTTAACAGTGACACTTTTTTTTGTATTTTTATGCTTTTTGTTCGTAATTTCCCTGTTTAATAGCTCTTACATGTAACGTTGAGTTTCTGCTACTGTTACTAAGTGCAAGAAGGCTGTGATATACCTTACAGAGAAATATATGTGTTAGATGAGCTTTCTTCAATCATGAGTTATAGGGCTGCTGTCTGTGAGTTCAATGTTCATCCAGATAATCACCAATCTGTATATGGGCCTGCTCTAGAAAGTGCTAAACTAACATTTATTGTGCATAATGAGGCTATAGAAAAGATGGGAAGGTAGCTAAATTTGTGAATTCATGAGGTGATAACTGATTTTAAAACAACAAAAAAAGCACAGTAGGCAGTACTGTTACGAGGCTGAAAGCCAAAAAAGTTTACATTACTGTTTACAGCCATGTTGGCCAGAATCAAGAAGTGTGAAAACTTTCTTAGCTAGCGTTTTATTATAATGAAATACTGTACATATTTAATTATGTAATATAAATATACATTTTAAAAGGTGTCTTTAAACAGACATATACATAAAACAAGGTTATGTATTGAACACTTGACAAAAAATGTGACCAAAGGTTTAGAAGTAGTAGTTTAGTATTCACTAATGCAGAGTTGATGGCAACTTTATAGAACATAAATAGCACAAATAATGAGAACTGACTCTGTGTGTGTGTGTGTGTGTGTGTGTGTGTGTGTGTGTGTGTGAATCAGCACACTGAGGGGTACGCAAAAAAGTGCTAGACACAGTCCCTGACTTTGTGTTAACATTTGAGGAACAGACAAGAATGCATTGGATCATCCAAATAAAACTACAAGGTAGGGTCTTAAGGCTCAGTGTGAGTGAAACTTTACACATATAATTACATAAAAAATGTTCATGTATAATTTATATATGCTATGATATATATAAACATACATACAATTTCAATGCTTATATTTTATAAATTATAATATATAAATCATATAAAATATAAATGCACACATACACAGTCCATTCAAATGTTATATGTTACATTATTGTATACATAAATTATACATATATAATTTACATACATACAGTATTACTCGCTCTGAGTCTTAGAACCTTACCATGTAGGTTTTTTGTTTGGTTTTTTTTTTTGAGATGGAGTCTTGCTTTGTCGCCAGGCTGGAGTGCAGTGGCACGATCTCGGCTCACTACAACCTCCGCCTCCCAGGTTCAAGCGATTCTCCTCCTCAGCCTCCCAAGTAGCTGGGATTACAGGCACGCGCTGCCACACCCAGCTAATTTTTGTATTTTTAGTAGAGATGGGGTTTCACCATGTTGGCCAGGATGGTCTCAATCTCCTCACCTCGTGATCTGCCCACCTCGGCCTCCTAAAGTGCTGGGATTACAGGCGTGATCCACTGCGCCCGGCCACTATGTAGTTTTTTTTGGATAAGCCAATGTGTTCTTGTCTGTTCCTTAAATGTTAACAACACAAAGTCAGGGACTGTGTCTAGCACTTTTTTGCATACTCCTCAGTGTGTTTATTCTGTAACAGTGGTCCCTAACCCCCATGCCTCAGACTAGTACCAGTCTGTGACCTGTTAGGCCCACAGCAGGAGTTGAACAAGCATTACCACCTGAGCTCCACCTCCTGCAGCGACATTAGTTTCTCACAGGATCGCAAACTCTATTGTGAACTGTGCATGTAAGGGATCTATGTGGTGTGCTCCTTATGAGAATCTAACTAACGTCTGATGATCTGAAGTAGAACAGTTTCATGCCAAAACTGTGCCCCCACTGGTCTATGGGAAAACTGTCTTCCAAGGAACCAGTCACTGGTGCCAAAAAGGTTGGGGACCACTGTTCTATAGGATATCTCAAATCTTCTTGTAGAAGAAGCAAAAGAGCGTTTGAAATGGCAAGTTATCTCTTTTATTCATTTTAATGTAAAAAGATGTACCTCATAGAACTTATGAGAGCTATTAATAAGCTTCAGTAACTTGTCTTCTGTTTGTCCAATATAAGGTATTAGTAACACAAAGGTTGAAGCACAGACATAAAAATGCATCATACTAACATGAAGTTAGGTTAAATTACCTGAAATATGTTCAAAAGTATTCACGTGTGAGTAATGACAGTTTATTAGCAAAACAGGGTAACGTAAAATGAATGATATTAATAATCTAACAAATTTTTTGAAAATGAGGCCATTATCTTTACAGTTTCAAGTACTTTAAAAGCTGCTTAAATTTCTTTCATGGGGAACAATATTAATAGGAAACCATTATTCTGCTTGTGAATCAGCATGTGCTCTTGAAAGTTGCATATATTTCTAGCATATGAAGGATATATGCTTAATTACTCAGAAACTTTCATTTCAATAAAAATATGAAGTTACCATTTGAAAAGTTCCAATTTGTTTAAATAATTTAATGTGAAGCAAACTTGCTGGTGCACAAGAAGGAACATAATTCCTATGAACGGAGGTACACCCCTTTCACACACAGTGACAGAGCAAGAATTGAACATAGGTCTGGTCTTGTATCATGGCTCCTGCTAATGTACCAAATTTCTTCTGCCATTTTCCTTAATCCTAAATTGTCAACTTTCTAGCCTCAAATTGCTTTCAGTTAACTATCTCTAATAAGCATTTTTGATAAAACAGAATAATGGTCAGTAATGGAATGACAGCTATGTCACCAATCTAACAATCTCCACAATCAGTGCTATAGAACAATGACCCATGTCTATTACACAAGCTTCCAGATCACAAATTAAAACCTTACGTTTTTTCTGTCAAAACATCCGGTTTCATTTTCCATTTTCTAATTTGTTTACTTCACTCATGCTGTGATCATTGGCAATCCACAGAAAGATGAATCATTTTGATTTTATATGAGCATTCTCAAGAAAGTTAGAATCAGATGTAGAATTATTGTGAACAAATACTTTACTCTCAATATTACAAATCTGGGTAGCCCCAACTATTTACACAGATTGAGAAATGGTCTTTTGATACACTAGTTTTATTATTCTATGTTTTCCTCTGAAAAACAGAAAATTCTATGTTGCCATTTCCATTGAAAAAATAAATTATGTGATTCCTTTCCTCACTTCTCTTAGAATTGTTCGAGCTAGAATCAAGTAGAAATGGCATGAACTAACTTCTTATTTTCCGATGATATCTAAGCCAAAGAAGGTGTTATTGACTAAACGGCTATTAAGAAATGAAATAAATCTTTACTCATGGGTTCGTACCCATTTACTTTAGCATGGTCCATTTTAAAAAGAAGCCTTTTAGTTTTAAGTGTTGATCGTAAAAAAACAGAATCATTAATGGAGTAGAGATTTCCTTCTTGCTGGCTTATGACTGTGAGTAATAAAAATTGGTTAACACTTCCCTCGCTCGTTAGGTAGAATTATTCCCTTGATTGGTGACATCAATGTATTTGTAACAACCCCATCTGCAATGCTGGCAGCCTAGCCTAAAATGTACTGATAAAAGAAACAGAAGCAGGCATTTTGAGAGAAAGCTATTCTAATCATTCAAGGGTAAAGTCAGACATGATACGATTGTGCATTAGATTGCCCCATGCCTTTCATGCTTATGATTATGCTATACATATTTAACTCCTGAATATGAATCTTAAAATAAATAATGTGACTGAATAACTTTTTAGAAAAAATGTTGATTGTAACATATTCAAAATATCTTCAATTTAAATAGCAATGATAGAGAAAAGATTTTATATCAAATGAGAGCAATGTAACGGCTTAAAGTCAGTGTATAATATGTGTACTCAACTTTGCAAAGTAACTTAAAAATAAATGCGAAACTGAATATTACTAATGCTTAAGAGAGTTTTCCGAAATGTGTGTCTCTTGTTGATCATTAAAAGAAATATATTTAAACCATGTAATGTAAGTTCATTGAAACTACAGATTATGAAAAGTACTCTATTTTGGATGAATAAATAAGAGCAAATAATTATAGCCTTATCCATGTCAGCAAAAACATCCAAACATTGTTTTCATCATTTCGACCCCTTGATGTTACAGCTTACCCTACAGTACCTTTTTCTTGAATCAGATATTGACGGTTGAAGTCGTGGAAAAGGTACAAATGTGGATCCGCAAGGAACTAGCTGTGGAGACATTATGATCTTCTGCTCAGATACTTGTTCAAGAGAAAGAAATTTATTTACAGCCACAAACTCCTTTCATCCAGTAGCATGATCAAAGAAATGGAGGCTTGTGTTTTTATCATTATTTTTTAAGGATTTTATAGGATGTAAACATTTCAGCTTCAGCAGCTGATTCTAATTTCTTTAATGGTATCTTTGATTCAGCATTGCTTGGCAGACTATTAAGGAAATGTTGATGATGCAGGAAGACCAGTGTACTGGTTAACATGATTATTTTACAGAACACTGTGCATTCATTAATAGCAAATAAATTGTCATAATATTCCTCTCGGCTTCTTTCTAAAAATCTTTTACATTTATTTGGTCTCAAGATGTTTGGTGCTCAAAATATAGAACATACCACTTGTTTCAGAAAATATAACCTATGATCTTTACTCTGGTAAACAAAATCAGATGTTAATTTTAACATCCATTTCCCATGAAATGGTGATCATGTCTACCAAACACACAGGCCTGATGACTCAGAAAAATATGCAGCAATCATATTTCATACTAGCAAGGGGTATGAAATGTCAAATTTCAAGAAGACACTATTTTTTGACACACATCATACAAAATGACTGATACATTTAGAAACACAATAAATATAAAGTTTATTGTGGCCATAACAGGAATGGCAGAATGCACAAAGAAAATATATATATGTATAAATTCATTAAAATGTAGCAATATAGAAAATGTACAAATCCCATTAAAAGGCAAACAAAATGTTAGGAGGAGATTTAAAATTTAGATGATGACAATTTTGCAAAGTAGAATATAAATATTTTTTGAAGTCTTAATCATGAGAGACCTGTTTTGATTGAAAAATCAAAGCAATAAAAGACAATTAGTTAAATATTTTAACTAACTGTTCAGTAAAAGACATTTAGTTAAATATTTTTGGTATATCAACAGTATGAAATAGTATTGTAATCACAAATAATGATAGATGGCTATTCATAAAGTACTATTAAGTGGAAAACCGATATATAAACAAACAAAAAATAGGTTACCAAAAACCATTGTGATTTGATCCTGTTTAGGTAAAGCATATACATGTAAATATAGAAAAAATGGTAAATATTATACACTAAGTTATTAGCATTGCTGAAATTATGTTGTGTTTTTTGAAGTTTCTAGTAATTGTCACTAATCAGTATTTTCCATTTTCTTATACTGATCACATACTGCATATGTAATATAAATACAGTGCTAACAAAATAAGAAACATCGTTTACACTTAATAACATCTCTATCACAAGATTTAACCATGATTTTACTTCCTAAAATGTTTATCCCTTCAAAACCACTTTTTGAATGCTATATATGAAGATTCAAATAGCTGCTCTCTGATGACATTAGCTCATTTAACAATAGGCCATAGTGGGAATCACATCATATCATTTTCCTAACTACTATTTAATTATTACTTTGGCCCCTGACAACTTCCCAGAATTATTTGTTAGTTTCCGATAAAACTTAGAAGGATGAATCAGAAGCCAAAGATTTACTGTAAATAGTAATTTTACACAACATAAGTTCTTGAACTTATCACTGCCCGGAGATGAACAACCATGTCCTCTAATATTCTCATAACTTTTATTCTGCTGAGAAGTCTATGGGGAGTTGCTTTTCCCATTTCTTCAAGTGTAGGCTTTGCCATCTACAGCTTTGGAGACATTTTCTTCAACTCAACTGAGCTAGACCCATCCATGTCTTCTTGCCTCATCAGTGAAAATACATTCTTGCCATTCTCATAGCAGAATCCCCTCACAGACTTCCAAAAGGACAAGTTACCACCTGAGTATTATAACATCAAGAAAAGTGGCATGGAATAAAAGAAGACGAACTTTGTAGCCACACTGACTTACATTTAAATCCAGCTATGGGCTGGCTTGCAAGAGGACTTAGAATGCACCACGTTAACTGTTCTGCGACTCTATTTCCTCGAGGTAAAATGGAGGTAACGGCTCCTACTTTCTATTATTAATGAGAATAAAATAAGAATGTATAGGAAATACTTAATATAGAACTCACGGGTCAAAGCTTCTCCATATTTTGGTCTCACATCTTTATGGTATTCTTTTGATAACCATTATTATCATACAAACACAAATAATTTTAAACAAATCACCCCAAAACAGACTTTCAGTAAGGATACACGATATTATTGCTGAGAAATGTAGATTTGTGATAAGTTTGCTGAAATAAGAGCTCAGTGATTATTTCAGCAGAATCTCTAGTCAGTCTGTGCTAGAGTCTCTCCATGAAGTAATTAGAGATGTATTTATTTCAGCAATTTAATGTAATTACACTAAAATGTCTGCTGGTAAAAGTGAAGAACTGACGACTGAAGCAGCATTTCCTAGCATGTGGAAGTTACAGAAAGTGGTAATTCTGAGTATCTCGGTATTCTAAATAGGTTTATCTGTGAGTCAGCTCTCTTACTCCCATTATCTATAGCTACCAAAACACACAAATTTGTAGTTTAGTTTCCTTTGCTCAATAGTATAGTAAAGTGTTGGGTTTTTTTTTAGCAACAAAGTCTTTATTTTATCAGTCTTTTTCCATCTTAGGAAAGAGATGCCTTATCACATGTTCATATTTATTTATTTCACAAAGAATAAAATAAGGATCAACAGAAATAATACTCTGATTTAAAACATAAGTCCATGAGACATCTTTTCAAAGCATCAGTTTGGCATAACAGTACATGCTGCCAGGAACAATTCATTCTGATTCTGAATAGTTCGTAAACACCAGCACTAGCCAAGCAAAAAACAGGGAAAAAGTAGGTGATATTTACAATTTCCATGTAATTTATTTGGACCTGATTTTGAGTTTCCAGAACTAACATCAATAGAAGCATTCAACAGCTAAGTTCATTTTTAACCTAATATCCTGGAACTCTAACATTTCCAAGCTCCCACTTGGGACATGAGTCTTATTAACAGGAAAGGGAAAAAAAAATCTATATAAACAAGAGAAAAGTTACATATAATCCTTGAGATTATGTGTTTCTTACTCCAGCCTTGAATTTTCACACCTAGTTTAATTCTATGTATATTATATTTATTAAATAAAATAAAATGAAAATAAAAGAGAATAGAAAAATTGTGACTTTACTGCAATCTCCAGTAATGTATCACCAGGAATGAACTCTAGCGTGTTTAATGATTCTCTGTTGCTGAGCCAAAATAAGTGACTTCTGCTCTCTATGTGATCTTTTCCACATGTGAAAGGATGCCTAATTGATAATGTTCTACTTTATTAATATACTTTGATTAATAATCAAGCTCATAATCTCTTTTTATAAACCAAGGCCTAAACCATACAACCTATAATGTAAGGCACTGCAATGAAACAAAGGAGCTCGGGCTGCTAACTTCTCCATATCATCTTGGGAATATAATTTCCACTCATGTAAATCTGGAGCATTCAAAATGTACCCCTTCTAAAGAAAAGCAGCAGCAATTCAAAACCAAAGAAAATTCTCAAATAATCAGCACATGCAGAGATCTCTATCTGGCCAAATCTAATTTTACTCATTTTGTGGGCAACCAAGGATAATATAAACGATGTATGAAATAAAATGTGCATTTTTACTTTAGTGATCAAGGTGATTATTAAGAATATCATAATTCAACATAGGTATTACTTGCACCTACTAATATCTTTTAAAGCACAGGCTTCCTAGTGATTCTGACAGAATGACTAAGAGAAAGCTATTGATGTAGTGAAGCTCTCTTCCAATATGCAATAATTATTGGCCTTCTTAGGACTGCATATGTAAGAAGAAAATTATCCCTTACAAAAGGGGTAATTACAATTACAAAAGGAGATCCTTTTTCTTATTTCTCTGTGGAGAGGTCTATATGTCTCATAATGATGAGGATCATTTAAAAAGACAAATCTGATGATTCCAGAGAAGCAACTATAAATATGAACTAGTCGTACTGGCATTAACTGGCAGCACTCTTACAAACCAAAATGCATTTGGAAACTTCAAGTTCCTCAATCTTCTGGAGTCCTTAGTCTCCCAAGAGATATGAACTAGCTTTCTGTCATGTTAGATTTGAGGAAATTTGACTAGCTTTCTCCTAGGTTAGAAATCGAGGGATTCTTTACATAATCCATGTGGAAAAATAATCCTCAGCTTGGGTGCAGAAGTATTTATTTATTCACTCAATAATTCTTATGTCTTCTATTGTGGTTGGCATCATATATAAAGCTAGGAACAGAAAATAGGTTTTGTTTTCATAGAGCTCTTACCATAGCCAGAAGAAGCAGAAAATAAATTTAAAAAAAATAAATGTTTACTTACACATTGGAATAAGTGCTCTGAATGGAAAATCCATGACACTAAAGAATGGGTATGTTGAGTGGGTGATAGGTAACTAGGGCCCCTCCACTAGTACCATAAAGCCTGGGCTGAGGGGCTTCTCTTCTTGTAGATGGTCAGCTCCAAAGGTAATCTGATTAATTTAAAATTGGCTTTTATTCACAATTTGAAGATAATGCATGATACCTGTCATCAGGGTCCAGTATTCTTGCATTCAGTGCACAAAAACTTGGAAGGTAATAGATTGGTGGGGAAAAAAAAAAGGAAGAATCTTTTTTACCTAAGATATATTAATGCACTACCTCGGAAACCACATATTCAAAGACTGTTCCCATATCTCATGGTTATCCATATTTTAATGTTGAATGCATTTGAAAAATAACTATTTTCAGTATATTTATGCTTTGAGAGAAAATCTTAAATAGCAGTATTGTTCCATGGAGTAAACTGATTTCCTACTAGACTCTGTGGAAAATTGTTTCTGCATTGAAACTACACAATGGGCCAGGTGCATTACCTTAAACTTGCTCATTTTGAAACCTTACTCCAGGCAATAAATACATACAAGCCACAAAATTATTATTAACATAGTATTTGCTAGAGTTGGGGAGACTAATTACTTGAGCTGAAACAGAAATGCTTATGTCTTGAAATTATTCTCAGATGAAGAATAAGAAGAAAACAGGAAGTCCAAGAAAGCTGTCGTGAACTAATTTAGCATTAAGTGGAACAAACGTATTAAAAGAAGGCATTCATCTTTAGACTTTAAAATCATAAAAGAACAGAAAAAAAGGAAGCCTGCTTCTTAAAAATTTGATTAAAAGGTAAAACCAAGAAATAAAGTAAATTCAAAAACTGTGAAAACAGAATTTATATATTTTTGATATACATTAGATAGATCGTAAAATCCACCCAAGAAAAAGCAGGTCACTTTGTGGAACTTCGTGGAAATGACCCAACTTCACTGATACCTTTCTGCTGAATCATCTGAATGAAAGGAAACAAAAACAGAAGAATTCTCAGCATCCTCAATTCTAGAAGAGAATTCTAATATAATTTTCCTAGTAGAGACTAGCCACAGCCTGGACTGCATAATAACTACCCTTCAAAATCACCCACTTCCGTTTTCTTTACTTACTTAGCTCCATGTTATCAAGGTATAATTCTGATTATAATTTCCCTTTTCATGCATATTATTTAATGTGAACAAAGTCACTACCCTAACATTAAGGTTTGTTTCTCAGTCATACTTTAATTTGCTAAGTATGGGTCAGTTCCTCTGAAATTACACAACTCTGGATGTTCTCACAAAATCAGAGTCCCAACATTCTAGGAGGAGTGTAAGACTGTACCATGGCCCTCATCAAGTAAGGCCATTATGATGTATTCACCATGTGGTCAACACCATCTCATTTTGTCTTTGATTTGGCTTTATTGTTAAAATGTCAAAGAATTAAATTTCAATTGTTCAGCTGTTACACATTGTAAAAGTGTTTGTCATAAGCAATATTCATTTAAAGATAGTATCAGTAACACATTGGAAATTGGAGAGCCAAGATGCCTGGATCTGCTAATGATAATTCCAATTAATAATGACAATTGAAAATCACTCTAACAAATATTTGAGAAAACATAGTAAAATGTATTCTAGTTTAGGCTGTTTAAAAAGTTTCTCTAAAACATTTTTTAGAATAATGCTTATTTTCTTTGCACATTTTTATAACCTTGGTTTTACCAAGGTTATAAAATGACTATATGAAATGTCAGGTTGTTAGGTGCTAAATGAGGTCTGAGGAGAGTTGGTGGGGTGGTGGGTAGCTAGTAAAACACTTGAGGAATCATAGACAGTTTCATCACAGCTTTTTCTCTCTGAGCATGAGCCGGCCTGTACGCAATCTGTGGGTGCAAGCCACAAGCCATATGTACAGTGTCAGCATGGTAATTACATCTTTTACAGACAATAGTGGCTTCCAGCCAAGCATGAGCTCACATGGGTGATCATCTAATGTGCCACACATGGCATTGGATACATATCATGCAGAGTTGTGTGCCTGCACTCCAAACCTGCTGAGTCACACTGTGTCAGAAAGCCGCCTTGGCCTGCTCCTGACTAAAGTGAAACCATCTCCCTTACACTCCACCCCCTAAGCTGAGGGCATCCTCCAGGCAGGGACACATGCCCACAAGGTGGAACCCTGGATCCAGAGGCCACAGCAGTAATAAAGGGAGCAAAAACTCCAGGTTATGGCAGGCAACCACTCCACATGACATTACCACAAGGCTGCTTTATACATTAAGTCAGGTTTCTATTTCCCTATCTTTACAGGCATTGGGCCAGGCAATAACAGGTTACTATTCAGCCCCATACCTGGTGGAGAAAGACATCTTTCCTACCATATGTCTTGCCATATGGCCTGGCCCCACATGGGCCGGTGACCAAGTAGTCACTTTTGTAACTTATAGGCAGTTAACCACAAGGTTAAGCCTCGATAAACTGCCCAGCTAACAGTGCAGATTATCATAGGTGTCACTTTCTTAGTGATCACCATTCATATTGCTTTGAGTTCAGCCCATTGAGCACACTGTCCACTTCCAGTTTCAAACAATATGGTGTCAGTACTAGGTGGGACTGCAACAGTGGTCCAGACAGCAGTAGCAGCTCAGCTAGACCCATGTCTAGGGGTGCCTCAGGCCCCATGGCCTTATCTTGCATTAGGACTACAGGTTCCAAGATCTCTTGCAACTCTGCTGCTAAGGGGCTTATACTCAGCATACTCCACTGGTCTAAGTTGGTGCCCCACTTTGCTAAAGTGGATGTCTATGCCATTCCAGTCTGGGGGGTTGTTACCCATGAAAGCACCCATCTCGCCACTGGGTAAGTCATCCATACGACAACTGCAGCCTATCCTGTCACACTCTCACTAACCTGAAGGGCAGCATATGCAGTTACTAGCTGCTTTCCCAGTCCGAGGGACTGTTATCCATGAATACACCCATCCCACTATTGAGTAATTCATTGCATGATGACTGTAGCCCATCCTGCCACACTCTCATGAGCCTGAAGGGCAGCATATGCAGTTACTAACTCCTTCTATATCAATGAATTCTATAGCTCAGCTTCTTTCCATAGTTGGGACCAATAGCCTACTGGTATTCCCAGGTGCTCCATGCACTGCCGTAGGCCTCAGCCAAAACTACCTGTGGATACATGCACATCCAGTTCAAATGGGCTCCCCTGGTTAATTTTCCATAGGGGTTGTGCCTGCTGAATAGCCCACTTGGCTGCTAGAAAGGTTGTCTCAGCCTCATCATCTTAATTCTAGGCAAGGGGAGCATTGCCACTTCAAAATCTACAAGAGAATCAGTGGCTAACATAATATCATTAACAAGACCACAACATACGGTGAGGCTATGCATATAGACCTGTGGCAACACTGTGAAAGTCCATTGTCTCTCTCTCATGAAGGCAAACTGTTCCTTGCTTTCTGGAAAAGAATGCATTAGTCATGTCCACTACATAGTGGTACTGTCCCAGTTCTCTTAAGCAGTGTATCAAGTCCGTAATAGACGGCACAGCTGCCAAGCCATGTAAAATACCCACCCCCAGAATGTATCTGCACTATTATCTACCAGTGCCAGCACTCGTGGTATGTTGGTGGTGGACCAGTGGATTGTAAACCTCACATGGGACCTCCAGTTGTGGTGTCTCCCCACGCCAGGAACCTTGGCCAGTTCCTTCATCAAACAGAAAAGGCTTTACACCCCTACCTGGTTGCAGCACATAGCCTTTGAGCTGAAGTGGCCAGGCAGGACTGGGTCATGCAGCAATGTCCTTCCCCGACTTGGGCATTTTCTAGAATTGCTGCTCCGGAGACAACTGTCTCCACAAAGTTAAGAGTACTTCATTGGGCTGCTTATTGATTGTCTCTCAGTCCGAAATCAAATGTATCCATATCTGTGAGTGTGTCACTCGTTGGGGCATTCTTATCTCTCGTGGGGGCGGGGGAGCCTGCAATTGGAGCACCTTCCCCTTCTTTACGGTGTGAACCCAGGTCTGCATTCACAGCAGCCTGTAGTTCCTTTTCCAAGTTCTGTAGCTGGGCCTCCAGGTGCCCTGCCTGCACCTGAAGGTCCCCATTCATGGCAGCTTCTAACTCCTTTCCTGAGCTGTGTAGCCAGGTTTCCAGGTGCCCCACCTGCTCCTGAAGGGCCCTAAACTCTGCTGGATCTCTCAGGGACTGGGTGTGTACTTCTCCTAGTGCAGTTAAAAACGCCCATCCAACTCTGCCAGCAAAGACTCATTCCTTCTCGGTGTTCTGTGTTTCCAGCTGCTTCACTGCCTCCTCCATGCAAATGGAGGACCCATCTACTGCCACCCAGGTTCCCACCGAAGGCCACCGGAGCAATATAGCTGCCACCAGGCACCACTACCCATGTTGTGGCTACATGGTAAACCTGAAATCAGCATGGACCAAAGGCTCACCCAGCTGGGGATCCTCTTCATGAAATTAATTGTTAGGTTCTAACTGAGGTCTAAGGGGAGTCGGTGAAGTGGTGGGTAGCTGGAAAAACATTCGAAGAATCATAGACAGTTTTGACATAGCTTTTACTCTCTCTGTGTGTGAAAGCCAGCCTGGATGCAAGTCGTGGGTGTGAGCCACAAGCTGTATGTACAGCATTAGCAGTGTAATTATACTTTTTACAGACAATAGTGGCTATGAATCAAGCATGAGCTCAGGTGGGTGATCACCTAATGCGCCTAACGTGGTGTGGTTATATAATGTGCCTCATGTAGCATGGTTACATAATGTGTGGAGTTGTGTGCCTGCGCTCCAAAACTGCTGAGTCAGGCTGCACTGGAAAGCCACTTCAGCCTACTCCTGACTAAAGCATAGCCACCTCCCTTACACAGGTCATACTGAAATTCTGTTTTACTAAATTATAACTCAATTTTCCATGGATGATCTGACTCTCTCACACTAATTATTCTTAAAATGTTCTAACTTCTGCTTATTATCCTAGCACCACTCAATTGAAAATTAACTTTGAAATGTGCTAAGAAGATTAGAGCTTAAGAAATGAAATATTCACTTCCATGAAATGTATCCTTTTTTGAATTTTTTAAAAATAACATTACCCTCCTCTTTTTTGTTATGTTATGGTTTTATATTTTGTCTAAACAATGGCATTTCATGCAGTTTAATCAAGTGTTATTAAATACCTTCTCGAAGACAGAAATCAGAAATGAACACAAAAAATAAAAAATGAATACATTTTAATGAAATTATTCATGATAAACTAAGTTCTTTCTGTTTTAAAAGTAAATGAGTACTATTTTACTTAAATTTACATAAGAATATAAGAAAATATTTTTCTTTTGGAAAACAAAGCATACAGATGGATGCCATACGTTAACTAATTCAATAAATATTTGAGTACTTCATGTGTGTTCGCATTGCATGGGCTGCTGGGAATACAGTGCCCTCACAGGCTTTCTTAAATCATTATTATGTATACATTAAGTGAGATTATGGGTATATTTCAATCAGTTTATGATGTTTGAGTATAGATTCCCAACATTTCTATAAATTTCCTAATATTAGTATATTACACTTTATGCACAATTTTAAAAATAAGCCCAAATAATGTTTTTAACAATGATAATGTTTCCAAGTTAGGAGAGCATCATCCCACATGTTGCCAGCTGTTTTCAATTTAATGGTATACAGTATTCAGTTTTTATTTCAATTAAACTACTAGTCTAAAAAAGTGGCATTTCCCTCACTTAACTTGACAGTCATTAAATAATAATTGCAACTCTTATCAATCTCATAAAATGCAATGACATGATCTCAATATTAGATTTTGCTTTAAATTTTGGAAACAGATATGAAATAATTTTCTCTGATGTCTAAAGGTAATTCAGCAAATCTTTTAGTTACTAGCCACTAAACAATAATTAAATATAATACATTTAAGTAAAAGTGTATTATATATATAAATTATATCTATTATATCAAAATGAGTGATGATATTAGTTACAGTGGCATGCTGTTAGTTGTTATTACTTTAACAACTCTGTTCAAAAAATTGGATAAATTTCTTATATACTCTGAAATAATTTATTGAAATAAATTAGTGTTATCCAACAAGGGTATGATCAAATTTGAAGAATTATAAAGTGAATTAAAATGCGTTGCCTTAGTTGAATTCCATTTTTAAGGGTAGCTCAATTTTCCATACTACCTACATTATGAATATAGTTCTATGCTGTTGTTGAGTAAAAGGATCACTCTTAGTAGTTTTTAAGTCCAGAAAAAAGAATATGCACTTTTACATGTTTTATAATCTCCAAATATGAACACTTCCTTCTTTCTCTAACCACTGTCAAAAATAATCTCTTAATACTGATGCATCATCAAATGTTCCGAAAATCCAAGAATTCCAAAGGAAATTGACTAAAATTGCAAAGTTAAAACTTAAATTATAAACATAACTTCAAATCAGGGACCATGTTTGGGGAAAAAAGAAACTAATCTGTATATCAAACTTTATTTGCCAATGTTCCAATCCAATTCTCCTCAAAAGGAAGCTAGATGGAGCAAAATCACTCAGCTGAAAATTATGCAATGCAAAATAAATATGAATTCAATTTTTCTGTTTGTGTCTTTGAGATTATAGCAGCACTGAATACCAACCAACCAAGAAACAACAACAAAACTTTAAACACATAAACATGAGCACAGTACTGTGCTAAAGTGAAAGTAGCATAATGTGGCTGAATCATAGTTGTTCAGTTCTACACAGAATCATAAAAACCTATGTATAAAAATTATATCCCAACTCTCAGCAAGTATGTAACCTTGAAAATATGTCTAATCCCCTCTCTTTCTCATTATTTCAGCTATGAAATAGAAATTAAAGATATCTATTTAGGCCAGGCGCTGTGGCTCACGCCTGTAATCCCAGCACTTTAGGAGGCCGAGAAGGGTGGATCATAAGGTCAGGAGATCGAGACCATCCTGGCTAACATGGTGAAACCCTGTCTCTACTAAAAATACAAAAAATTAGCCAGGCGTGGTGGCGGGCGCCTGTAGTCCCAGCTACTCGGGAGGCTGAGGTAGGAGAATGGAGTGAACCCGGGAGGTGGAGGTTGCAGTGAGCCGAGATCGCGCCACTGCACTCCAGCCTGGGTGACAGAGCGAGAGTCCGTCTCAAAATAAATAAATAAATAAATATATAAATAAATAAAAATCTATTTATATTCGTTCAGTAGGTGACTGTACTGAGATAAAAAAAGCATCTAATATCTAATTATCACTCCAAAATTATTATATCTCTTAGTTCCTAAGTAATAAATAGAATATACGAAACCAAAGAAGTCAGTAAATATGTTTTAAATCAATATGTTGAATACATTTGAAAAAAACAGAAATAAAATGAATTACATTATATAACCCAACAATATAACTTGCTACAGAGTGAGGTCAGGAAATCCAGGGACCTAATCCTGCCCATTGCCTCTTTTTTTACAACCTATAAACTAAGATATTTTTTTTCTATTTTTAAATGTCTCAAAACAAATATAATGAATAGGAATGTTTTATGGCATGTTAAAGTTACTTGAAAATCAAATGTCAGTGTCCATATACAAAGTCTTATTGGCGCACAAACATACTCATTGCATATTGTCAGAGAATGCTTTTAAGTTACAACAGCATAAATGAGTATATTTAATAAGAGACCTTATGGCCCCAGAGACTAAGATATTTACTATCTGGCATTTACACAGAAAAACTTTGCTGATCTTTTTTCTAACAAGCAGGATATTTTATATTCTACTAATGTGTTACACTTGAGTGTCACTTTTAAAAGACTCAGTTTTTGATTGCACAGGATTTATTATTAATTATCTGATAATAATTCTATACTATTAACCACTAGGACATGAGATATGCCATAAAGTTGGGAGAGATAATGTCCAATGCACCATTATATATTGATTAGTAATATATTTAAATATACCACCTATTCAATTATTAAATAAATATGTTTTTTGATATGAGGTAGTCAAACACTTTAAGAACAATTATTCCCTTTTCCAGATAAAATACAAGGTGTCTAGCACCTAAAAAATTAAATATACAACATAATTTACAAAATGAAATATACAAGAGCATTTATAATTTTAAAAATAATTATTTAAGAGATTTAGATAAAAGTTATATATAAAACATAATTTACAAAAGGAAGAGTTATATAACAATATTTATCATTTAAAAAACCATGATGTGAAAGGTTTAAATAACCAACTCATTTACACTAACCCAAAATCCGCCGAAAGTCTAGTAAGAGAATATAGTTTCTAAAATGAGCTTTTGTCTCATTAGAATTTGTTAATTACTTTTTAAGAACTGACCCAAATATGCATTACCTTTCCATAAACATAGTCAGAAAATTATATCAAGTCTTTTCAGGACAAGAATATGGGGCAACCTGGTGACACTGCATCTATGGACACAAAACGTCAGAGTGTATTAATTTGAAGTAAAAGCTTAAATATTTTTACAGAGCTCTGAATTTCCAAAAGATAGCTTACTGGATAAGGAGATGGAGTTATAAGTCTAGTATGTCTGAAAGTGGCTGGAGGAAAAGAGATCACAGGACAACTTTCTACAGTACACCTTTCTTGTATAATCCCCCTTCTGAGTTCATTCACCTGCTCATCCTCAAAGAACTAGGCATTAGGAGCACATAACTCACTGGAGAAATAATAATTAACATATAAATGGATTGGGGAGCTTGGGAGGTGTTTTTAGGTCCATTATTTCATTTTTCAACCAATCAATAAAAATACATAGATTTATTGAATGCCTATTAGGGGTAAGGTGCCAAACTTGACTATGGGAAAATGGCAATAAATAAGATACCTGCTCCTCCTCAGGAAGACAAGAAACAAGTGGTTCTGTTAAAGGATGATCAGTATTGAAGAACTGTCAGTCTATGTGTTATGAAATAAGAGTGAAGGAAATATAAAAAAGGAGGATTTAATTCAGTCAACTCTCTTACTGAGAAAATGACCAAGATACAGAATTCTGAAGGATACAAGTCAACTACAGAAAACGCTGGTGGAACATTAAGGAATAAAACACGTTCAGAGTAGTGTTAGCAACATAAATAAATATGGTGAGACATTTTATATAGTTATAAATTATGAATTATTTAGCAAATGTATAAGCAAAATATTAATTTAAAATATAGTTGTGGTAGTCTTGAAAGCTATTGAGCTATAATTCTTAAACAGAATTTACTAGAGTTAAGCTTTATGCATGAGAAATTTTGCTCATGATTTAATTTGTAGCTTTCAAACAATTAAATTTGATATGAAGATAATTATCCCATCTGTCTTTCAGCAATATCTTAGAGAATTAACATTTTAACACACTGCAGTTGTGAGGATTCTAAAATCAGAATACTAAAGTTTAATCTCAGTAAAATGTCTTGTGTACATCTCATGAAGTATTATTAATCTGAAGTCTCTTGCTATATAACAATAGAAACATAAATTTTGTCAGAGTGGGTAGCAATAAATCACAGTTACTTCCATCTTATTACTCTCAAATCTGTGAAAGTAGATGTAGAGGAAAAGAAAATCTTGGGAAATAAAATAAGTCCAGACAAAACCAAACTTAATTAAAAAGTCATAAAGTATAATCTGTAACTCTGATTTTTATCTTTGAAGAATCATACTGTGTTCGGAAAATGGATGTCCACGATAATTTTCTATAATTTTCTGGATGGTCCTTAATGAATAAGGTATGTAATATTTCATGTTTTAAAAATTAAACACATTACACACTTATCAGATGGCCAAAATAAAAAATAATGACAACCCTATATGCTGTGAGGATATAGAAAACCTGGATCCCTTATACATTGTTGATTAGAATGTAGGTGGTACAGCCACGCTGGAAAAAACAGTTTGTCTGCTTCTTAAATTAAAACATGGAACTGCCACATAATCCAGCAGTCGTACTCAGGCATTTATGCCACAGAAATATAATTGTGTATTTACACAAAAAACCTGCACATAAATGTTCATAGCAGCTTTGTAATAGCTCAAAACTGGAAACAGCCCAGGTTTGCTTCCGTGGGTGACTAGTTAAACTATAGTACATCTGCACCATGGGATACCACTCAGTGATAAAAAGGAACAAATCACTCACGCACAGCAACAACTGAAGTAACTCTCCAAAGCAACCTAAATATCCATGAAAGGTCACTATAACAATAAGTTATGGCATTCACATGCAAAAGATCACATCACAAATTTTAAAATCACAAGAAAACTTGATGCACTATTGTAGACATATCTCTATGACTTCCTGAAAAGTGAAAAAAGAAATATACAAAACAGACTATATAGCCACCATCATTTGTAAAAAGAAATATATATATTTAATTATAGATGTATAGAATATGTTTTGAGGCATATATTGGAAAAAGAAAACCCACCTAAATTGATGGTCTTTAGAAATGTAAACTGGAAGAAGCCAGAGATACAAACGAATGTTTACTCTATTCTTGTTTACACTAGTCTTAAAATTTTAAACCACATGACTGTATTACCTATTCAAAAATAAATATTTTTAAAATAATAATATATACTTCAACTTCTAATAATGCTCTTCTGAAAACAGGAGTTGTTTTACTCGTAAATGGGATTGCATTTAGAAGGATGAAAGGGCAATATGGGAAAATTTAGACTTGGAAACTGGAAACAAATTGATTTGAAATTGAGTTGCTGGATGTTAGAAATGCTTGGATGGTTTGGTGACTTTCTTTGGTATGATTCCATATTCTCACTAAGCAGGCTTTTCATCCTAATTTGTTTTCAGACATAAAGTTCACTGGAAAAAGAATGCCCTGAGCAGCACAAAGGCACATTGACGAGCTTGCACTTTCATGTCTTGTTATACATGATCACATTTGTTTTATAGTACAAATGATGTCTCCTGTGAGACTAAGCAATGTGATTTTACTCAGGATGTGAGCAGTTGAGAAAAACTTTGAAATAATGACTGCTTTCACAAAAATAAAAAGTTTGGATTTAAAACTAATGTTTATGAAATGTTTTTCTGGACAGGAAAAAAGGGGGAAAAAACATTAATCCTCATTCTTAGCAAAATATTTTTTAAAAATCCTAGCCCAGTGGACCTTTCAAAAGCTTAATATTTGGATAATACTCAATTTGATTCAAATATATTTATAGTTTCTTCATACATGCTAAAAGTTACTAGTGGAACCTCTCATAATTGCTATAAATTATGAGAGTTTCCCCACAGGTCTAATCCCGCCAACATTTTAAAATTGTCCAGGTTCAGATTTATATTTCCATAAGAGGTAAGCAGGATATAGTTATAACATAATTATAAAATTAAAAAGAGAATAAGGGAAGAATAAGACCACCTTTGTTTGCTTAGCTCCTTTCTTCATCACCACCATGAAGTAGATCACCAGTGTAGAGAAAAAGAGAAAGTGCATTCACAGGGACATACCAATAGTTTAGGGGAGACTGAGCAGAAGACATGACCTTGAGGAAACAGGATCAGGCTGGAGAGGTTGCTAAGCAAGTCCAAATAGGAACCTGCAAGCAAGTCCCCAAACAGTGCTCCACTTGGTCTTTTCCTTTAATAGATTTTTTGCCGTATAATTTATATAGCATACAATTTACCTATTGAAAGTGAATAATTCAATATGTTTCAGTGCATTAACAGAGTCATGCAATCATCACCAAAGCAAATTTTAGGATATTTTCAGCACCCCAAAAGAAATGGTGCACCCATTTGCCCAGTGAGCTCTCCATCCCACCCACCCCCCCAGCTCCAGCAACTATTAATATAATTTGTGTTTTCATAGATTAGCCTATTCTAAATATTTCATGTAAATGAAATTGTACAATATATTATCTTTTTATGTCTGACTCTTCTCATTGAGCCTAATGTTTTCAAACTTCATCCATATTGTACCTTGTATCATACTTGATTTATTTTTATTACTGAATAATATTCCTTTGTACGGATATACCACATTTCTACTTTTGGGCTATTATGGGTAACACTGCTGTAAATATTAACGTACAAGCCTTCTGTGAATGTATGTTTCCATTTCTCTTGAGTATATAACCAATAGTATTCTGGGCCATATAGTAAATCTATGTATAACCTTTGAGAATTGCCAGATCACTTTCCAAAGCAGCTTCATCAGTTTATATTTGCACCAAACAATTTTATGAGAGTTGTAACTTATTCAAATCCTCAACAACGTTTGTCTATTCCATCCCATGCTAAATATTATTCTTCTATTCTGTGAATTATCTTTATAATTTCTTGATGATGTACTTTGAAGCACAAAAGTTTTCAATTTTAAAGAAGCCAAATGTATCTATTTTTGTCTTTTGTCACGCATACATTTGGTGTTACATCATTTGTCTCTAGCACAGTGGAAACTATATATCTTCTGAAAGATGGAGTGTAATTAGCTACTCTTCTTATCTTTGCAGCATATGGGCCTCCTAGTGATAGCAGCCAGCAATTTGACATTTATATTATCAACAGATGGACACCTTCCCATAACACTGAGTGCTTTCTAAGTCACCTCTGCTTATACCCTGTGGCACCTGAGATCACAGCTCAGAACATGCCTTAGTCTTGTAAACAGAAGATTAGTGTTAATTCCTCAAAAGCAACAGTAGTATAAAAGGAAAAACCTAAGCATCAGATTCTAATGAGTGATGAAATCTCCCAGTTGTTACAAAACCTATTCTACTGTGGTGAAACAGAAGTCAAGAAAAAATCTACACACACAGATAAATAAACTTCCCTTAAAAAAAGAACAAGTAAAATCAGAAAGTCAAAAAAATCATTGAAGATATTATTGAAGAAAATTGGACTGAAATCAAGAAAACTTGAATCATCAGCAACTTAAGGCACAATGTACGTCATGGAACATTGATTGCAAAACTAACACATATTCTGGTAAAGGTACTAAACTGCATAGAAAAAGAATGTAATAAATATTTGGTAAGGTACAAGGACAGCATATGTAAATTAGAGTAATCTGAGATTTTTCCATGGAAAAAAAAATCAATGCCTGAAAATACAAGAATTATCTACAGGATTATGCAACATAGAGTAACAAAAGAGCTATATACCCATGGGATTTAGCCTTCTAGTAAAAAGACAACGTATTTTCATAAGCATGCAAGAAGTTAAAGAGTACTCATCACACTTCCTTGTGGAGAGAATAAAAATATGTAATTAAATATTTGAATTTAAGAAGTGTGTCAAAATTAAAAACTCAGGATGCTCAGGGTGGGAGATACTGTTGCTAAGTACTATTAGTGAGACAATTATACCCCTAAATAGGAATAAACTCAAACGACTTTTGAAATTATGATTTTGGAATCAAATGTGAATATTAAAAACCTTGCCATTATTTAAAAAAAAATTGGGAGGTGGAGGTGTGAGGCAGTGTGGACACTTACTTTCTCATCCTTCACTGGACAGACGATGGATGTCTAAAGTTGAAACATTTAATTTCACAATGTTCTCATTATAGATGACTTGTAAAATCTAATAGCTCTTCTTGTAAAGAAACATTTACTTCAAGTTCAACAATACTTTCAATTTCACTTAAGTTTGTTTCTATCAACTTAAATAATATCTTTCATTTTAAAAAATTTTGTATGGGATGATTTCATTTCAGTAAAATTCTTTCTTACCCTTTCACTGTCCATTCATCTGTCCATTCATCATCCATCCATTATATCTACATATAAATGTAGAAATGTCTAAAATTATCACATCAATAATATTTTTGAGTGAGTTTCCTTATTTATATTTTTCTGTATTTTTTATTTTTTAAATGGAAAATTTATAATTTGAAAAAAAGCAATACATCTTCTTTTAGAAAATTGTTAGTAAGAATCAATCATTTCATAAAATTATAGATTAGAAACAAACTCCAGTATGGTAACATCCAGAAAAAAACTATTTCAGATATAAATCAGCTAGGGATAGTCTAAAATGCAATTCTGATCTGGTACGTCTATAGTGGGCCCACAGATTTAGCATTTCAAAGTGTCTAAAGCCATATATTGAGTAATAGAAATTTTAAGAAATTTTATGGTGCTACTCATTAAATAAGTAGAACATTATAAGCATAAAATGATGATGTGAGGGAGAATTTAAGAAAATAATAATAACTAAAAAATAAAAATAGTAAAAAAAACATTTCTTTGTATTGTACTTCTGTGCTGAGTAGGTAAAGGGAGATCTGTTTTTATAGTTCTTTAAAGTATTCCTTTACCTGCTATATTCTGATAAAACAAAATTTCTCTTTGAATTTAACAAGTGAATCTTAAATCCAGAATCTACAATGAACTCAAACAAATTTACAAGAAAAAAACAAACAACCCCATCAAAAAGTGGGTGAAGGACATGAACAGACACTTCTCAAAAGAAGACTTTTATGCAGCCAAAAAACACATGAAAAAATGCTCATCACTGGCCATCAGAGAAATGCAAATCAAAACCACAATGAGATATCATCTCACACCAGTTAGAATGGCAATCATTAAAAAGTCAGGAAACAACAGGTGCTGGAGAGGATGTGGAGAAATAGGAACACTTTTACACTGTTGGTGGGACTGTAAACTAGTTCAACCATTGTGGAAGTCAGTGTGGCGATTCCTCAGGGATCTAGAACTAGAAATACCATTTGACCCAGCCATCCCATTACTGCATATATACCCAAAGGACTATAAATCATGCTGCTATAAAGACACATGCACACGTATGTTTATTGCAGCACTATTCACAATTGCAAACACTTGGAACCAACCCAAATGTCCAACAATGATAGACTGGATTAAGAAAATGTGGCACATATACACCATGGAATACTATGCAGCCATAAAAAATGAAGAGTTCACGTCCTTTGTAGGAACATGGATGAAATTGGAAATCATCATTTTCAGTAAACTATCGCAAGAACAAAAAACCAAACACCGCATAGTCTCACTCATAGGTGGGAATTGAACAATGAGAACACATGGACACAGGAAGGGGAACATCACACTCTGGGGACTGTTGTGGGGTGGGGGAGGGAGGAGGGATAGCATTGGGAGATATACCTAATGCTAGATGACGAGTTAGTGGGTGCAGCGCACCAGCATGGCACATGTATACATATGTAACTAACCTGCACATTGTGCACATGTACCCTAAAACTTAAAGTATGATAAAAAAAAGAAGTAAATCCAAAACTTTCTGTTACTCAATAAAATGTATAATTTTGGCAGTTTATTTTGTTCAATTTTTCTCTATTGTGACCCTGTTTTGTTTGTTTGTTTGTTTACACATGGACCCTAAGTATTCCAAAGTGAATTATGATGTGGGAAACTTCATATGGGAAAAGTAACACAGAATTATTTTACAGATAATAGGCCCCCCCACACTAGAGAGTGAGAAGAAGCTACAGAGTAAAAACACATATAATTTTATTATGTGTTATGTATTATGTTATTATGTATTTTGTTTTTTCATGTATGTGACACTCATAGTTTCACAAACATCTCTGTGATACATAGTATCACATTTCATCTCTGGTCGGCTTGTGACTTAAGTTAAATCCTTCCAAAATTCTAGTAATATACAGACAACCTAGAACAATGTTTCTCAACCAACATCAGAATCTGTTGGAGTGTTTATTAAACATGGACAAGAAATAACTCTGGGACCAGCCTTCAAAAGCGCATTTTCAGCAAGTAACCAAGGTGATTCTTATAATGCACACTAAATTTTATGAGCCATGTGGGTCTTTTATTCAGATATGTTTGAGTATTTCTTTTTTATTGCTAGCTGAAAGCAGTTTTCTTGAATAGAGTCTGAGTATAATGATGGAGGCTAAACTAAACAGCAAGCTATAAAACACACAACCTTTTGCAAGAAGGAAAGAGTTCAGTAGGAAATCTCATGGGCTCTAAGTTTCGGATGCCTTAAGCAGAAATAGGCTGAGAAAGAAACAGAGGCCTGAGTAGCAACGAAGTGGAGATGAGAAGGCCCCAAAGACAGACATCATGTACTTGACAAACGATTTAAGATCTATTCCTTTCTCTGGCCCCATATCAGAATGATATACCAGTTTACCAAACTTCTGATACACTTTAGCCCATCACTGGATAGTTAAAAAAATTTTTTGATACCTTACATTTTTTGAGTGTTCAATAGAAATCAAAAGCTTGTCTCCAATTCAATCCCACTCCCATATGCTTATTATCAGTTTAAAGGATAAAAAAGTATTGCTCAAATAGACCAAATTTCAAAATGTATGTGCACTTTCTCAGCATGAGTGAGAGAAAAAAAAATTTAAACCCAAAGATCCTGGCAAATTTATTTGAAAAATCAAACATTTGGATTGTCTAGATTCTTCTTAACTGTTTTGCTTCAAGCACCATGTGTAAGAAAATACACAGAATGAAGATTTCTTATTTTAACCAAGGCACATTTTATGATCACTCTGTCAGAAAAATGTAAATTTTTAGATTGCATTTAAGTAATATCTGTTGTATATGCTATTATAATAAATGATTATCACAATCAAGAAAATAGCTTTAGACTTGTAGTCTTTACTATGTCTCTTATGTTAACATACAGGAAACCATTTAGGATGTTAAACCTAAAGAATATTTTTATTTTATCCATGTACAAATGGCTTAAAAATAAGCACAGGACCACTTGCAGAGGTTCTAAAATAAATCAGCCAGCAGACACCAGAAAACTGCACATGCTCTGTTTCTTACTTCTGTTCCCTTTCTGCTCAATTATCATGGGAACCTCTGTTTCCACCAGGCAGATGCTTCTATTCTCTGAACCAAAGGCTATGGGGGCAGTAGAAGGGTAAAAAATGATACCAGGAAGCTCTGAGAGAGATTGCTAAGCAAATTCAGATGGATCCCATGGAAAATTTAAAGGCAATGTTGGGAGATTACATTCCTGAAAATTTTCTAAATACAGAAAAAACTTCACATTCATATATTTATGATTCATTATTTGAGATATTTGCAGAATTTGTGCCAGACTATGCTGTCTCAGTTCACAGTTCATAGTGCATGCTTTTACATCACTGCCTCTAGGGAAGTCAATGAAGGAAGGGAATAAATTCAACTTTGCCTCCAGGAGATGAGTGAAGCTCAGAAGTTCCCTGGACTTGGCTCCTCTATGCCTACCACTTTGAGATTGATGATGATTAACTCATGCTTAGATATCCTCTGGGATCATTAAATATGTCTTAAATCTGTGACTTCTGTTGAATTGTTTTCATCGGATTGTAACACAAAGGCACTAAGTAGTATAGCTGTATTTGTTTTGGTTTGAAGAACAAACATAAATTTTATATTTGGAATTGCTTGTGTGAAGAGTAGGGCTAGATGGAATAGAAGAACCAGTGGCAGGTAGATGTGGGGATTCTGAGGATGTTAAATCTGAGAGAACTTTTGTAAAGGGGGATTCTTTGGTGGAGAAAGAGAAATACCAAAATAAACTTTGATTACTTTGCTATTTCATTGAGATCTTGGTGACTGCAGTTTTTGTATGCTAGAGACACATGAGTAGGGTGATATACAATCAAAATGTGAATATCCTTAGATGCTACTTTCTTCTATTCCTTAGAGAGACATCTTCTAAATCATCCATGAAAGATGTGCATCTGGCACTTGCAGTGGGGGGTCAGTGATAGAGAATACATCTCATTAGGATAAAGTCCACTCTGAAATATGGAACGACTCTTTTTTTATGTGTTTTTCTGCAGTTTCTTACAACTTAGTGTTACTCTGAATCATGACCTGAAAAAAATGTTTCCTTTCTCAATTACATTCACTTACAGAATATCCACTGTGGGCTCATTTAGTTTTACCACACTCTCTACCCTTAAGTTTCCCCTTTTATAATGAAAAGAAACATTCACTCTTCCACCTGCCCTGGTTGGTATACTTGAATTGTTGTGCCTATAACTAAACACAAAATGTGAGATTTATTGTAAGGAGTATATAATGGAAAAGGAATCTGGTCACTATATTAAAAATAATGTGATTTTCTGATGTGTTAGAAATGTTTATAAATATAGTGAACCTCAAACTCTTGCCAGTTCTGTTCTCCCTCCTATTCTCTTCTTTCAAGTCATCACATAGTTACCTACAAAATTCCAACCCCTTTTCTTGAAACTAACTAAAATAAATAGAAAAAATGAGAAAAAAAGTAAATATTTTATGCCAATGGGAAATAATAAACAACAGTCTAATTATAAAATAACACTCTCCAATTCTCTTGATACATCAATTCTCTTGATACATGTGCCCATACCTACATTATTTTTGTTTTTAAAAAGAGGAATTACTGATTGTTTTATTTGTGAAATCATGAGTTTCTTCATTTTCTAGGAGTCTTTATAATAGTGCATGAAAACTAAAACATCCCTGTTTTACTTTTACCCTAGAATAATGTATCTGGCAAAAATATCCTTTAAGCATGCAGGAGAAATAAAGACCTTCCAGACAACCAAAAGCTGAGGGATTTCATTAACACCAGACCTCTCCTACAAGAAATGCTAAAGGGAGTTCTTCAGTCTGAAAGGAAAGGATGTTAATAAGCAAGAAAAGATCATCTGAAGGTATAAAACTCACTGGAAATAGTAAGTACACAGAAAACACAGAATAATGTTAAAATGTAATTGTGGTGTGTAACTATGCTTGACTTAGGCAGAAAGACTAATTGATGAACCAATCAAAAATAATAACTACAACTTTTGAAGACATAGTACAATAAGATGTAAAGAGAACAATAAAAAGGTAAAAAGCAGGGAAATATAGTTAAAGTGTAGAGTTTTTAATAGTTTTTTTCATGTGTCTTTGTTTATTCAATCAGTGTTAAGTTGTCAGCAGTTTAAAATATTGGGTTTAAGATAGCATTTGCAACCCTCTTGGTCACCTCAAATCAGAAAACATACAATGGATATGTGAAAAATAAAAGGCAGGAAATTAAAGCATACCATGAGAGAAAATCAACTTCACTAAAAGAAAGACAGGAAAAGAGAAGAAAGAAAAGAACACAAAACAACCATAAAACAAAGAACAAAATGGCAGGAATAACTCCCTACTTATCAATAATAACAAAATGTAAATGGACTAAACTCTCTGGTCAAAAGACACAGAGTGCCTGAATAGATGAAAAAACAAGACCCAATGATCTACTGCTTAAAAAAAATCACTTCCTCTATAATGAAAATAATAAGATAGAAAAATATATTCCATGTCAAGAGAAATCAAAAAAAGCAAAAGTAGCTATACTTATATGAGACAAAATAGATTTCAAGACAAAAACTATAAGAGAAAAAGAAGCTCATTACATAATGGGTCAATTTAGCAAGAAGATATAATGATTGTAAATATAATGCACCCAACACTGGAAAACCCCGATATGTAAGGCAAAATATTACTCCCAGAAAGAAAATCAATAAAGAAACATAGGACTTAATGTGCACCATAGAACAAATGAACATAATAGATAAGACACCAATATGTAAGGCAAAATATTACTAGAGCTAAAGGGAGGGACAGACCTCAATACACTAATAGCTGATTAAACACATCACTTTCAGCATAGGACAGACCTCCCAGAAAGAAAATCAATAAAGAAACATGAGACTTAATGTGCACTATAGAGCAAATGAACACAATAGATATTTACAGAACACTTCATCCAATGGCTGCACAATATGCATTCTTTTCCTCAGCACATCGGTCATTCTCAAGGATAGACCTTATGTCACAAAACAATTCTTAAAACATTAAAAAAAATGAAATAATATCACTCATTGAGTCTAACAAGGGAATAAAACTATAAATCAATAACAATAGCAATTATGAAAGGTGTAAAAACACATAGATATTAAGCAGTATGTGCATGAATGACCATGGGTCAATGAAGAAGTTAAGAGGAAATTGAAAAATTTCTTGAAACAAATGATAATGGAAGAACAACATACCAAAACCCATAGGATACAGCAAAAGCAGTACTAAGAGGTAAATTTATAGTTTTAAGTGCCTACTTCAAGAAACGTTAGAAATATTTATAAATGCAATGAATGTGAAACTCTTGCCAAACATCAAATAAATAACTTAATAATGCATCTTAAAGAGCTATAAAAACAAGAGCCAACCAAACCCCAAATTAGTAGACCATAAGAAATAATAAAGATCAGAGCAGAAATAAATGAATTTGAAATGAACAATACAAAAGATGAATGAATAAAACATTGGTTTCTTGAAAAAATAAACAAAATTGACAAGTGCCAAACCAACTAAGAAAAAAGAGAGAAAAACTAAATAAATCAAATCGGAGATGAAAAAGGAGATAGTACAACTGATACCACAGAAATTCAAAGGATCATTAGTGAGTACTATGATCAACTATATGTCAACAAGTTGGAAAATCTGGAGGAAATGGATAATTTCCTAGACACATAGGGAGTACCAAGATTGAACTGAGAAGAAATCCAAAACCTGAACAAACCAATAACAAGAAATAATATTGAAGCCATAATAACAAGAAAATCCTTTGACCCCATGGCTTCACTGCTGAATTCTACCAAACATTTAAAGAACTAATACCAATCCTACTCAAACTGCCCTGAAAAGTAGAGAGAAAGGAATACTTCCAATGTCATTCTACAAGACCAGTATTGCCCTGTTACCAAAACTGGACAAGAACCAACAAAAAAAGAAAACTACAGGCCAGTATCTCTGATGAATATTGATACAAAAATCCTACACAAAATACTAGCAAACCAAATTCAATATTATATTGAAAAGATCATTTATCATGACCAACTGGGATATATCCCAGGGATGAAAAGTTGGGTCAACATATGCAAATCAATCAATGCGATACATCATATCAACAGAAGGAAGAATAAAAAATATACGATTATTTAAATTGATACTGAAGTAGCACTGGATAAAGTTCAACATACCTTCATGATAAAAACTCTTAAAAAACTTGGGACACAGGGAACAAACTTCAACATAATAAAAGCTATATATGGCAGACTCACAGATAGTATCATACTGCATGGGAAAAAAACTGGCAACCTTTCCTCTAAGGTTTGGAGCATAACAAGAATGTCCACTTTCTCCACTGTTATTCACCATTGTAATGGAAGCACTAGCTACAGCAATCAGAAAGGAGAAAGAAATAAAGGGCATCCAAATTGGAAAGGAAGAAATCACATTATCCTTATTTGCAGATGATACTTATATTTAGAATAATATTACATTTGGAATAACCTAAAAGACTACACAGAAAACTATTAGAACTGTTAAGCAAATTCAGTAAAGTCGCAGGATACAAAATCAACATACAAAAATCAGTAGCATTTCTATATGCCAACAGTTAAAAATCTAAAAAAGAAATCAAAAAGCAATTCCATTTACAATAGTCACAAATATAATTCAATACATAGGAATTAATGTAACCAAAGAAGTGAAAGATGTCTATAATAAAAACTATAAAATACTAATGTAAGAAATTAAAGAGGACACGAAAATAATGAAAAAATTTTCCATGTTCACAGGTTGGAAGAATCAATATTGTTAAAATGTCCATACGACCCAAAGCAATCTACTTATTCAATGCCATCCCAATTAAAATACCAATGACATTCTTCACAGAAATAAAAAAATATATAAAATTTATATGGAATCACAAAACACCCAGATAGCAAAGGTTATCCTAAGCAAAAATAACAAACCTGAAAGAATCACATGACCTGATTCAAATTATACTGCAAAGCTGTAGTAACCAAAACAGCATGGTAGGTACTGGCATAAAAACAGACACACAGACCAATGGAAAACAATAAAGAACCCAAAAACAAATCCACATCCCTATGGTGATCTCATTTTTGACAAATGTGTCAAAACTATTCATTGGGGAAAGGACAGTCTCTTCTATAAATAGTGCTGGGAAAACTGGATATCCATATGCACAATATTGAAATTTGACCCCTATATCTCACCTTATACAAAAATCAAATCAAAATGAATTAAAGACTTAAATCTAAGACCTCAAGCTGTGAAACTACTACAAGAAAACACTGGGGAAACTCTCCAGAACATTGATCTGGGCAAAAATTTCTTGAGTAATAACCCACAAGCACAGGCAACCAAGCAAAAACGACAAATAAGATCACATCAAGTTAAAAACCTTCTGCTCTGCAAAAGAAGCAGTCAACAAAGTGAAGACACAACACACAGAATGGGAGAAAGTATTTCCAAATACCCATTTCACAAGAGATTAATAACCAAAATATAAAGAGGTCAAACAACTCTATAGGAAAACCATCTAATAATTCAATTAAAATTGGGTGAAAGATTTGAATACACGTTTTTCAAAAGAAAACATACGAATGGCAAACAGGTATATGAGAAGGAACTCAACATCATTGATCATCCGAAAAATGCAAATCAAAACTGTAATGAGATAACCTCTCACCCGAGTTAAAATGGCTTTTTTCCAAAAGTCAGCAATAACAAATGCTAGTGAGGATGTGAAGAATTGTTGGTGGGAATATAAATTAGCTCAACCAGTATAGAAAACAGTTTGGTAGTTCATCAGAAAACTAAAACTAGAGCAACCATACAGTCCAACAATCCCACTGCTGGGTATATACCCAAAAGAAAGGGAATCAGTATATTGGAGATATCTGCACTCTCTTGTTTGTTGCAGCACTGTTCACAATAGCCAAGATTTTGAAGCAACATAAGTGTCCGTCGACAGGTGAATGGGTAAAGAAAATGTGATACTTACACACAACAGAGTACTATTTAACCATAAAAAAGAATATGATTTTGTCATTTGCAACAACATGGATGGAACTGGAGGTCATTATGTTAAGTGAAATAAGCCAGGCACTGAAAGACAAACATTGCATGCTCTTATTTATTTGTGGGACCTGACAATCAAAGCAATTGAACTCATGGAGAAAAAGAATGGAAGGATGGTTACTGGATGCTGAGGTGAGGGGTATTGGGAGAGGAGGGTGGAAGTAGGGATGATTAATAAATACAAAAAATATAGAGTTAGGAAAAATGAATAAGACTTAGTATTTGACAGCACAAGAGGGGGTCTATAGTCAATAATAATTTAATCATATATTTTATAATCACAGTATAATTGAATTGTTCAGAACAAAAAGAATAAATGCTTGAGGGTATAGATACCCTATTTTCCATGATGTGATTATTATGCATCATGTACCTGTACGAAAATATCTCATATACCCCTGAAATATATACACCTACCATGTACCCGCAAAAGTTAGAAATTTGTTTTAATAAAACGTTCCTTGTTTTAGAATGACATAAAGGGATGGTACAAAATTCAACTTTTCTAGAATTCTCATAGTATTTGGATTTTTATCATAATTTTGAATGAGGATTTAAAAATCATAGCAAATGCCATCATATCATTTCTTGAGGAATCTAATGGTCTCAGTGAACACTGTAGCTTAGTCTTAATTAATAGTCAAGATGTCATTTTTCATGGCCCCTGCAAATATTCTCCTCATACAAAGTTCATGACTCAACAAGATCTCGTGTAGAAAAAAAAAATGGTGGGCTGACAATAGAATAATAGTCTGGCCCATCATGTACACAAGGTTTATTAATTAATAGCAATGTTATTCTATTTTACTTACCACTGAGCATCTAATCTCATCAAAGTGATAAGTATGCAAAAATAAAAGTATAGGATTATTAAAGAGGGTAAATTAAAAAAAACTTCAATTTTTTGAAGACTTGTTTGTGAATAAGCTCATGTAATTTCCATGATCAAGTAGGTCAATAAGCCAACTTTTCAGTTATTTACATCTTTTAAATTAAAAAGAAATTTACTATTTTAAGGTGCGTCTTTTGTTCCAAATGAAATCAAACTTCCTTATCAAAGAATGCCTTTCAGAAATACTAAGAAAAAGCAATGAGATCTCATTGTCCTTATGTAGCAAAATGTGAGAAGTTGCACAACCTGACAGAGAATGTTCTGTAATATTTTATCTCACTGTTGTCATCAAAATGTTACAAATTAGCATCATGCCAAAGTGGATGAGGTACACTTTCCAGAAAGCACTTTTTAATTGTAAGCCGATATTAAGATAGAGTGAATTATTGATTCTTATTACTAATTAGAAAATGACACAATATAATGAAACAAAAAAAATCTTCAGTAGAGGCAGCTTATACACTGTTGCAAAAATTGTGCATGTAACTCTCAAATGTCACATGAAAATATGCACATTCAAATCATAAATGGAAAGTAGAATCAAATAATTAAATCTAGAAAAATCTACATCATTAATAAGGTCATAAAGTAAGGATATATCTGACAATTTTATAATAATTTGAAAATCTAAAATAACGTGTGTGTGTGTGTGTGTGTGTGGTTTTTTGTTTCTTTTGTTGTTTTTGTTAATTTGGGGGGTGTTTTTTACTTGTTTTTGTTTTGGCTTGCAGCATTTGCAGGAAAATGGGAGGAATAATATTTTCACAACCAGTGCAACAAGGCAATTATTATGTAATTTACAAGAATGTCTAGTGTCTTCCGAAACCTGGCCAGTAATTTGCCAGGAAAACGAAACAAAAAGCAAATAGGCTGTGAGCTTAGGGTAAGAAGACAAAATGCTGACTTAAATAAGTTTATGACTCATCACTTATCCTTGCCTTTTCTAAGTGTTTTCCTGAAGGGATTCTATTTATTACTCTTTTTATAAAGTTGACACATCTTTTCTCAGAGTTAAAATATTTCTTATTGTTTTGCAGAAATGTAGTAAACCTGAAAAATACACATTAAATCAAATGTGTGAGCTTTTGAATTTTTATTATGTATAAAAATTTGATTATAAATCTTTAATTACATCACACAAGTTTATATAAACTTTTAAGAAAAGGTGTAATATCTTTGTAAACAAGTAATATCTTAATAAAACAAGTAATAGCATAAGAGGCACATTGATTTGAAATACAAATGAGGTATGCATAAGAAAGTCACACCTAAATTTGTTTTAAAAGGTATGTAAACAGTAGCTGTTTTACTTGGAAACAAAAAAAAAAATCACTGAATATAGTCCTATGTTGATCTCATTTAAAGCACAGCTTTTTAAGATCACTTGAAAACAACAGATCTTTTCCACAAGTGTTTCACATGTAATCTATTTACTTCAATAGAAGTCACAGTAAATAAATGGAATGCTCTTTCTCTTATTAATTTATATTTTTATTTTATTGCATATTTTATGCATAACCTGGCAGTAATTTAAAAAATAAAAAACACCATATTTCCCATGTTACAATGGGATACGTGGTATTTTATGCCTGCACAGAAACTCATCCCATGAATACATATATTTCATTAATTAATAGGCCATTCCTCCAATTTTGAATATTTCGATTGTTTCCAGTTTTATGCTGTTATAAATGAACTATGAATGTCATTTCAGATACGTTCTTAGGGTAGATTCCCAGAAGTGGAGTTACTTGGTCAAAGAGTAGAACATTTCAATGCTCTTGATAAATATTGACAAATCTTTTTGCAAAGGGTTGCACAAATTTACCTTCCCATTAGCAAAGTAAGAAAGTTTCTATTTTAGCAAAGTAAGAAAGTTTCTATTTTACTATATCCTCTTTCACACTAAACAGCTTAATTGTAAAAAGCACAACTAAATATGGCATTTCATTTTAATGTGCATTTCTCTGTTTTTTAGTGATGTAATCTTTCTGTGGTTAGAATATATTTCGATTGCATCTTTTCTTGATTTTCTAATTAGTTCTTTGCAAAATATTCTCTGAATTTTTTTATAATACAACAATCAATCCATTGTTGAATTTTCCCAGTGTATTATCCATCTTTTAATTTTCTATGTGTATGTATGTGTGTGCATACAGGACACGTTAAATAAGACATTTCATTCTTTTTCTTAGAAAGACTGCTTCTTCAGTCTTATTTGTAATCTTAGGAAGGTTTTCTCCATTCAGATGTTATTTGATAAATATTCTAAATATTCGATTAATTATTTTTCTTTTTAAATAATTTAATTTGCCGTATGTGATTCTTTTACATTCATTCATCTAAAAAGTTGAGTAAAATGCTTGCTTTGCATCCAGAGGAACTGCACTAAACTTGGCATAAAGCAATAGTGAACAAAACCTGATGCAGCCCCTGTGCTTGTGTAGCTTAAAATTTGCTGCAGGAGACAGCCCTTAATAAAAGGAATGTTATGCAAAAGACGACAAAACCTAAATTAGGTAAAGGGAACGGTGAAGCAGAAAAATAATCTTTCACTCAAACAATGTGGTATTAAAGAAATTAAAATGATTTTGGTGTTGTAAGGACAAATGCAAATTAAAAACAAGATGATTAATTTTCCATGTTGAAAATATGGAGACTTCTCTCTCCTCCTTTTTCTTAATTTACTTTTTAAAAATTAGAATTGTGAAGTACATCGTCTTCTCTTTGAAATGTATATAAGTCCTTTGGAAAGCTAAGTAGGCTTTTTGTCAGCTTTATGATCCATTAATATCTTTCTTAAGAACCTGAATGCCATCTCTTTGAAATATAAAGAACAAAAGGGGTAACATCCCTACCTATCTCACTCTCTGTGGGAAAACAGGAGCCTAACTTTAGTGGGCACCTTGTTCCAAGTGGCAAAATGACTTCCTGTAATAATGATATGATGTTTTTTCTTCCCCCCTCTGGATAAAAACAATTAGTCATCACACACGGTCACCCCAACTACCAGGTAAAGCTACTTGTGACAAATGGTGCTGCCTTGTCCTCTTCCTTGAGGACTGGTTATTGTGTATCTTTAAAACATTTATATAAAGTCCCGTACCTAGTTGGCTTCAGAATTTCCTTCCATCTTTGTAGTACCTTAATAGATTGCCTGTGATGTGTATCACATTCCAGTTTAATACTTATTCAGCAATGAAGGTTTCCTTTTTCTACTGCCTTTGTGGTGAGAATTTCTAGGTAGGAAGATTTTGTTTTTCCATGTGAAAAGAGGGGAAATATGCTTAGTTTTGTATTATAAAATAATATTTTAAGTGACCTAATGATGAATTACATATTTCAAAATTACTAAAAGAGTAGTTTTGAAATGTTCTTATAATTAAAAATGTATAGGCCATAATAGATATATTAATTAGCTTGATTTAATCATTCCACGACTTATACATATATCAGGGCATCACATTATATCCCATAAATATATATTATTACTATCTGTCAGTTAAGTTTAAAGAGAAAAAATGGTCAAAGTTTTAGGAAAAAAAAGATCTCTCTAACTGTAAAGGAGAAAAGAGATTAGAGGAATGGACTAGTCTTTCCTAACTAATAAAGGGTTCAGGTGAGAAATGGTAGGAATTTAGAATAGGGTGGGAGTGATAAAGAAGAGAAGTATATGTATTTATGATATCTCATATATAAGATCAATAGGATCTGGTGGTGCGTTGGATATCACAATGAGAGGCATAAAGATGACTCCTAAGTTGTTGATATTGTAAACCAAAAAGTATCTGAGACAAGTTTCAATCAATTTAGAAGTTTATTTTGCCAAGGTTAAAGAATGCTCACGTTGCAGTGAGCTGAGATCACACCACTGCACTCCAGCCTGGACACAGAGCGAGACTTCATCTCAAAAAAAAAAAAAAAAAAAAAAAAAGAAGAAGAAGAAAGAATAGAAGAACAGAAATGCTCGTTACACAGCCTCAGGAGATCCTGACAACACGTGTCCAAAGCGGTTGGGATACAGCTTGGTTTTATACATTTTAGGCAGACAAGAGATAAGATATTAATCAATACATGTAAGATGTACATTGACTCCCTTCAGAAAGGCAGAACAACTCCAGGGAGTAAAGGAGGAGTCTCCAGGTCATAGAGGGATTAAAAGATTTGGCAACTGGTTGAAAGAGTTTATCTAAAGACCTGGAATTCATAGAAGGGAGTGTCTGGGTTAAGATCGGGGATGAGGAGACCAAGGTTCTTAATATGCAGATGAGTCTTATCAAGCTTCAGAGAAAATAGATTGCAAATGTTTCTTATTGACTTGAAAAAGGTGCCAGGCCCTTAGTTAATTCTCTCCTGGATCAGGGAAAAGACCTGGAAAGGGAATGGAATTCTCAACAAAATGTAGATTTTTCCCACAAGAGACAGCTTTTCAGGGCCATTTCAAAATATGACAAAGAAATATATATTTTGGAATAAAATATTTTGATTTATTTCAGGACCTGCTATCTGTCATGACACTATACTAGTGTCAGGCTGGAATTTGGTACCTTATTGCTACAAAAAGTCTTAAGATCTCTGTTTTAATGTTAATGTTGGTCAGTTGTGCCTGCATTCAAAAGGAAGGAGGGTATGTTGAGGCATGTCTGTCCACCTCCTTACCATCATGGCCTGAACTAGTTTTGCAGGCTAACTTTGAAATGCTCTTGGCCAAGAGGAGGGGTCCATTCAGATGATTGGAGGACTTAGAATTTTATTTTTTAGTTTACAATAACATGGTAGATAGTATTCCAAGAAATTTGGACATGAAAGGAGCAGCAAATATGGGGGAGAGTCATGTGCTAGGTTTGAGAAATTTGAATACTGAATTTGAGGGAACTGGGGGAAAAAAACAAAAATAATAAATTGGTCATGATATCGTTGATTTTGAATTGATTACTACAGTAAGGTTCTGATTTCTTTCTTCTCTTTTTTTTTTTTCCTGAATTGCTAATTACTCCCAAGGCAATTCTATTTTAGCTCAATGTCTTTAACAATCAATGTCCGCTATTGACAAAAGTAAACAAGGAAACCAAACGAAATACCTGAATACCCAATAAAATACTATTTTCTTTCACACCAGATATTTTCTTTTCAATTTAGCTAAACTCTACCATCTAAATATAGTGCAGAATCTTTGCTTTAAACTCATCCTAGTTGTCCATTGACCTTCTGTGTAGAAAATTAACATAAAGGAGTAAATACTTTATTATTTAGAGGCTGTCCCAAAATTTGAGGTTTCTAACATCCAGGACTTGAGCACTACATGTAAGAATAGTAATTACTCTACGCCTTCAACCTTCAGTCTTTCCCCAAAATTGCCAAAAATGTAGGAACCTTACTCTAGGTCCTAATCACTAGCCTTGCCAGTTGCCAGGAGAGGAAATCAGGCCTTAGAAATACGAAAGAAAGACAGAGTATTTTTTTGTTGTTTTGGTTATTCTCTTTTAGGGGTTAGAATTTTTGTTCCAACACTTTTCTCCCATTCCTTTTCCAATCACTAGTAATGAAGAAATACCGTGACTGCTTTGGTATAATTTTCATGAGATGTTGGGGAGTGACTGTGTTATTAAAACCATCTGTTTGGGTTGCCACCTGGAAATGCAGTCTGTCATTTCAAAGAAGTGGTATTCATCGTTATCATTTTATCCCCAATAACAAAAAAAAAAAAGAAAAAAGAAAAAAAAAAAAACTTTTCAAACTTCCAAAAAACAGAAGAGCAAATACTTCTAAACTCATCTTATGAAACCAACATTACCTTCATACCAAAAATAGACAAAGAAACTACAAGAAAAGAAAATTTTAGCATAATATGTATGGTTAATATAAATCCTCAACAAAATACTAGCAAGCCAAATTCAATAGCACATTGATAAGACCATTTACCATAACCAAGCGGTATTTATCCATTTAACGCAACAATTATTCAACATATGCAAATCAAAAACTGTGATACATCACATCAACAAAATGAAAGACAAAATCATATGATTACCTCAATACATACAGAAAAAAATTTGAAAGAATTCAACATCCTTTCATAATAAAAGTATCAAGAAAGTACATGTAGAATAAACCTTAACACAATAAAGGCCATCTATTACAAGCCCACATCACACATCATGCTCAATGAGGCAAAGTTGAAAGTTTCTTGTCTCAAATCAGGAACAAAAAAGCAATGACCATTCTTGCCACTTAAATTCAGCATAGTACTGTAAGTTCTAGCCAAAGCAATTAGGCAAGAAAAAGAATTAAAGTCATCCATATTAGAAAGAAAGAAGTTAAACTGACTATGTTTGCAGAGAACATGATCTTATATATAGAAAATACAAAAGACCCCACCAAAAAACTTCTGAAAGAACTCAGAACTAATAAAGGACTTCAGTGGAGTTGCAGGATACAAAATCACATACTAAAATTAGTAGGATTTCTACACACTAACAAGAAACTATCTGAAAAAAAATTCTTAATCCTGTTTATAATAGCTATAAAAATACTTAGGAAAAAAATTAACCAAGGAAGTAAAAGACCTGTATCTTGCAAATTACAAAACACTGATGAAAGAAATTGAAGAAACAAATAAACAGAAAAATATTGCATGTTCATGGAATATAATAATTAATATTGCTAAAATGTCCACACTACCCAGTGATCTACAGATTCATTGATATCCATATTAAAATTCTAATGACATTATTCACAGAAATGGAAAAATCAATTCCAAAATTTGAATGAAGCCACAAAAGACCACAAAAAGTCAACTCAATCTTCAGCAAAAAGAAAAAAAGTCAAAGGAACCACACTATCTGGCTTCAAATATACCACAAAGCTATAGTAATCAAAACAGCATAGTACTGGTATAAAAACAGATACAAAGATCAATGGAACAGAATAGACAGCCTAGAAATAAATAGATACTTTAAAAGTCAATTGATTTTCAGCAAAGAAGACAAGGACACACAATGGAGAAAGGACAATCTCTTCAATAAATGGTGTTGGGACAACTTGCAGAACAGTGAATTGAATTCTTATACACAAAATTCAACACAGATTAACTAAAGACCTAAATACAGACCTGAAACTGTAAAAGTAATAGATGAAAACATAGGAGAAAAGCTCCATGGCCTTTGTTTGGGCAATAATTTTTTGGATATCACCCCTTATGCATAGGCAACAAAACCAAAAAATAATCAAATAGGGTTACATAAAACATCCCAGGAAAACAATCAACAGAGTGAAAGTAAAAGACAATCTACAGAATAGGAGAAAATATTTGCAAACCATATATCTGATAAAGGATTAACATACAAAATAAATAGAAAAAAAAACAAATCAATAGCAAAAAAAAAAAGCAATTTACAAATGGGTTTCTCAAAGAAAAACATATAAATGGCCAATAGATATATGAAAAAATCCTCAACATCACTAATCATTAGAGAAATGCAAATTAAAACCACAATGAGATATCACCTCATGCAGATTAGAATGGTTATTAGCAAAAAGACAAAAGATAAGTGTTGGCTAGAATGTGGAGAAAGGGGAATATCTGCATACTGTTGGTGGAAGTGTGAATTAGTAGAGCCATTATGGAAAACTATCTAGAGATACTTCAAAAAAATAAAAAAATAGAACTGCCGTGTCATCCCATTGCTGGGTATACATCCAAAGGAAAATAAAATAACGTGTTGAAAAAATACCTGCACTACTATGTTCATGTAGCATTATTCACAATAGCCAAGATATGGAATCCACCTAGGTGTCCACCAATGGATGAAAACTTTTTAAAATGTTGTATATATACAAATCATTATACATATATATATATATATATGTATATATGTTGTATATATTATCATCACTTAAAAAATGAAATACTATAATTTGGGACAACATGCATGAACCTAGAGGACATGATGTTAAGTGAAATAAGCCAAACACAGAAAGACAAATATTGCATGATCTCATTTATTATAAGTGGAATCTACAAAAGTTAAACCCATGGAAGTAGAGAATAGAATAGTGGTTACTAGAGGATGTGGGTGGGGAGGAGGCTGGAGAGATGTTGGTTAAATGATACAAAATTTATATTAGATATGAGGAATAAGTTCAAGAGATTTAATGTACAACACAGTAATTGTAGTTAATAACAATGTATTATATTCTTGAAAATCACTGAGAGTAGATTTTAAGCTTTCTCACTATAAAAATAAGTATCTGAGATGAGATTATATATGCTAATTAGCTGTATTTAGCAATTCTATAATGTATACATATTGTAAACGATAAATATATACAATTTTTATTTGTCAATTTTAAAAATGAATTTGTAAAAAAGAAATAAGCAGACAGTGAAGGAAAAGACTACTTGAGACAGGAGATCACTAAAGATCCTTTATTGCCAAGGAGAGTGAGACTATTTCTGGGTCAAATTTTATCAGATTCAAACAATGAAAAAATGACCTTCCTGGCAGGAAATTTGCTTATAAAAAGTAACAAAGCAGCAAAGGGCACAGTGACCTGAATAAAGCAGTTTGAGTGATTACATAGGCAATTTGGTGTCATAATTGGTGGTTTTTGAATGTTAAGTTGCAAAGTTTAGATTGTGTCTTTTCAGTCATGAAGAAGGAATGGGGATACACAATAAAAATTGTTTCAATAAGAAATGACATATTCAAAGATATGTTTATGAGTAGGAACATGGCAATTGTGTGCAAGATTAATCAAATGGGTTGGAAAAGGAAAGTAACATCTTGGGAGGCCCTCTCCATACGTCAGGTGTGAAGTAGTAAAAGGTAGATTAAGGTGGTGGGAGAGAGAATGGACAAAAAGGAAAATTTTATGAAAACTAAATGGAAGTTTACCCATAGTTTCACAATGAATAAACTGTTTTTATAGTTTTACCATGCTAGTACCAAGTAACAAAGTTATTTAAAGGACATTGCTTCAGAAATAAGAAGGAAATTTTGTATATCACCATAGCAAAATGTGGCAAATGAATGCCTTATAAAGATGTCAAGTTAATATGGGTACCTTCCAGGAGAAAAGTATAGAAGGCATATAAATAAATTATTAGATTTAGTACTTTATTCTATTACAAGATTGTTTTTTAAGCCAAGATAAAAATCTTGCTAGGTTTTCATTATATACTTCAAATGTTTCATATAATACCTTGCAAAATCAATCAACAAATACAAACAAGATCTATAAACTCAAATATGTACTAAAATGCATCAATAAATACACAAATAAATGCAAGAATCATATGACATCAGTTGAAAGTTATTATCTATATAGTTCTTAATCAAAAACTTTACTTGATGCATATTAATTACAAAATTAAATATGAATTCCTTAATTACCATGGTCCATTATAGAACAGTTCACTCTATATTTCAGCCATATCTCTCACTCCTCCTCTACTTGAACGTTAATGTTTTAAATAATCTACACTAGACTATGTAGCATTTCTTGAACACAACTCTCTTTCCTATGCCCTCTTCCATCTACTAGACCACTATGCTTTCTTCTCAGTGTAACCTCATCAAAATCTCCTTATCTGTCAAGGGCAAAGATCAAATGTCCACTCCTCCCTGAAGTCTAACCTTCTGATCACATTGCATTTAAGTCCCTGCATGATAAGGTTGAATAGCAAGTGCTGTTGTCAGCATAAATCTCGGATCTTCTATTTTTTCTTTCATAATTTTTAGAAACAGGATGGATAACTGATGGTTGGGATCCATCAGGAAGTACAAAAGATGAGGTCCAGAGAAGGCATATTATTCATTATCTGGAAGAATAGCTCTTACTTTTGTCATGAGCAATTCACATGGGACTATGTTCATTTAGATGTTGTTACAAGAACTTAAGGGAGTTCTTCTGTGTGATGGCTTCTGTCACATCCCTGAAGTGAAAAGTTAGATGTTCTGTGGAGAAAGAGATAAAGGTGGTGAAGGACGGCTGAGGAGAGAAGAGAGCATTTCAAAAGGGCTTATGTAGGAAATAGGATATGGAAAACAGCAGCAGAATTGCTGAACAGCATTTACATCTCTAACTATCCCTCAGTACTGGAACCTTTCTTTATCCAATACTTTGATTGCCTTCAGGATAACACTCTGCCTTTAGCATTAGGTTTCAATTTATGTGCTTGGGGTCTTTTTCACAATTCTTAGCAGCTCTAATATTGCAGCATAGAAGTCATCACCTCTAAGGAAGCAATGAAACAAAACCAAAAAATCCTAAGACTTGATCTCAACTGGGTTAAGTATCTTTTGTCTGCTCTCTCTTAATACCCAGTAAATCTCCATCTGCATTTACCACACATTAAAGTGTGTTATTTATGTCAACGGTCCCCAACCTTTTTGGCACCAGAGACTAGTTTCATGAAAGACAAATGGTGGTAGAGATGGTTTCGGGATGAAACTGTTCCACCCCAGATCATCAGGCATCAGATTCTCATAAGGAGCTCGCAACCTAGATCCCTTGTATGTGCAGTTCACATAGGGTTCGCCCTTCTATAAAAATCTAATGCCACATGGCCAGGACGGTGGCTCACATCTGTAATCCCAGCACTTTGGGAGGCCGAGGCGGGCGGATCACGAGATAAGGAGATCGAGCCCATCCTGGCTAACACGGTGAAACCCCGTCTCTACTAAACAAAATACAAAAAATTAGCCGGGTGTGGTGGCCGGCGCCTATAGTCCCAGCTACACGGAAGCCTGAGGCAGGAAAATGGAGTGAACCCGGGAAGCGGAGCTTGCAGTGAGCAGAGATCGCGCCACTGCACTCCAGCCTGGGCGACAGGGCTAGACTCCGTCTCAAAAAAAAAAAAAAAGAAAAGAAAAACACGCCACCACAGATCTGACAGGAGGCGGAGCTCAGGTGGTAATGCTCTTTTTCTGGCAACTCACCTCCTGCTGTGTGGCGCTGTTCCTAACAGGCCACAGACCAGTATTGGTCAGTGGTCCTGAGGCTGGGGACCCCTGGTTTATGTTAATAATGAGCTTTTTTTTTTTTTCTCTCCAGGTTCCAACATAATTGAAGCAAATAGTAAATACTGGTTGAATGCATGCCAGAAAGACACTATGCTTGGCACACAGAGAAAAAATTCATAGCTGTTGGTTCAAAGAACTCTGTACGGTAAAATCTATTGATGTGCTCTCTTGTGATAACTTTCTGTTCCTTTAAAGAAGCAATAATCCAGGACAATGGATGAGGCAGGAGTCACTCATCATTGCTGTGAGTGTGAATCATTGCTATTACAAATTTATTCCTAAAGGATTTCCATCCTTTTCTTGATATCTTAAATATCAATTTCTACTTTCTCCTACTTTTTCTAAGATTTTATTTTAATTTAGCCTCTTAATCTGTTGAAAAATTTTAAGTTAATTTGATTTTTATGTTGTTATATTTTTTAATTTATTTCTTTCAAGTTAATTGATTACTTCTAACTGCAAGTTCTAACTGCAAGTTAACTTCCTATCATTTCAGGATCATATTGTTTTAATAATTTCTAAATTTACTTTGAATAAAATATTTTTTAAAAAACACATTGTCTTTTTAAAATATGCCTTAATATTTGGCAGTGTCTGTTCCTATTTTTAAAAATGACCTCATATTCTCAACATTTATGTTTCAGATTAATTTGATAGTGTTATGTTGATTTTCAATAAAAAATATTTAACTTTTATTGGGATTGAAATAAAGCTGTGAATTTATCTGATATTTGGTCACAACATTAGGATAAAGCTATCATTTCATTTGTTTCAGTCTCTATTTGATATGTACCAGTTAAATTTTATAGATTTCTTCAGGATCATTTGGAACAACTTACTGCTATAGCTATTTATGGCAAAACAGTGCTGAGGGAGTTCAGACTTCTGGAGAGAGCTAAAAAAAACCCTCTGAATTCATTTTGTTAATGAAATTAATTCAAAAGGATAACAGGAAAGGCAGGGCTGAAGGAAGAGAATGGCAGCCCTCATACTGCAAGTCCCTATTCATACCTAAGCAACTGGGGTTTATGTTCGCCCAAATTGGCCAGATTGGAAAGAAAGCTAAAAGACTAAGATTACATATGCTGCTAGAAATTTCTATTAAAAATAAAGGCATGCTTTTGTTTTGATTATGAGGTAGATAAACAACTTCTAGGGGTGAAGAAAGGTGTAGAGATTGGGGGAAATTTTCAACCAAGTTAACCAAAGTCACTCAAGGGCTACAGGAAACTTCTGCTATGCTAAGAAGTTCTAACCAACAAAAAGCCTCCTGAGTCCAGGAAGCTTGAGCTAGAGTAAAAAAAAAAAAAAAAAAAAAAAAAAAAAAATTAAAGGCCTTTGAGTATGGAGGCTTTGTGTAATGATAGGCAAGGACATTTGAGACAACACTTCATTCCACTAAAAGCAACCAAAAACAGTAACAACAGCAAGAATAACCTGCTTTTTGGGTGAAATGCAGTAAGTATGAAATAATCCCAATTTGAGGAATTGTTGGAATTTGATATTCTTATTGTTTAATTTTTTTAAATTATGTGTTGGTAGATTTTCACAGTGCATTTGATTACATAATTTTAATTTTGCCTGAGTAAACCTGACTTTAAAACAATTGGAAAAAACTGTATCACAATATAAAGAAAAGAATCTGAAAATGTGCAAAGGAAGAGAGTTAGACATACTTGTGGGAACCTCATCCCAACACTTTCATATCACATATTGGTGTTATACTCTGACACAATACCAAGTAAACTGAAAAGCTTGAAACTATGAGTAGAGAATCCTACTCTAATCCTACTCAAAGTAGGATTCTCTAAACAAGAAATACTTTATACATGTTATAAACTGGCAGATGCAATGATACTCAAAGAGTCTACAGCAGATTAGGGTGCTATACAGAATATACAAGCCTTCATAAAAAGAACATAATGGGGATGCCTAGGATTCTCACTTCTTAGGTGAGTAACTACTGTCCTTTTCAGAAACAGCTAGATAGATTCTTACTTGCTACTGGATCTTGATGAAGATTAAAGGTCTGACCACAGAACACAGAGAGTTCATCTTAATAAACAATTAAAAAACAGTTGCCCATAACTAACTAGCTGCATCTGACCTATTCCACTAAAAAATCAAGTCTTTATTTCCTCTAACATAAGTGCCATTAAGGCACAAGTAAGTTACATGAACAGACAGCTCACTCTCCTGGCCTACTCCTACCACACTGTTCTAATATGTCCCATATGGCAGACTACCTATATTAGTTCATCTTCCCCTCCCCACTAAGAAGTAAGCCCCATAAAGGCAGAAATCTTTACTTATTTTGTATGACTTCAACACATTAAATAGTATCTCATAGTACCTGAGACATGCTCAACACATATTTGTTGAAATAATAGATGTTTTAAGAATAGATATTTTTGCAAAGATATGGATGGCATATTAGCATTAAACAGAAAATAGAGGAATAAGTTCAATTAGAAAAAAATGCTTAGGGGTCCATTTACAGTATCTGTTGGAAGAATTTAGGCAGCATGAGACAAGAACTGAAAAATTCCCCAAACTTTTCTGTGCCCAAGATATTCTAAAGGAGAAAGAATGAGAGAGGTAAGGCTATCTTCAGAAAACATCCCAGAATATAATAGCATTGAAATCCAACTGAAACAGAGAGCTGAAAGAAATGTGAGAATGAATATAAGAAGCCCTTTCATGTGCAATTTTTGATCTCCAAGGGACTGAAGTTAAGTTAGTTTGTCAATACAAGTCAAAATTGTTCTTAAAAGACATCTGGATTCCTGGTCATTAACCATATTGATTAGTTTACCTCTATTGTGGAACACTTGTCTATAAACAAGGTAATTGTGATCAACAGATCAATCATGCCCTAATGCATATCAAACTAGAGTCCAAATGGTACAAATTCAGGGGAAGATATAGGGCTTCTGAGATCTATGTTTCCAGAGATCCAGCAGATTCATTATTCCCCTAGACATGCAGAAATTCTTCCACAGAAAGGGTCAGCTCAGTAGAGAATGAGGTGTGTTCATGGAGAAGTGATGTGAGTTCTTGAGATTTCATGAAACAGAAATATCAGTTGTTTTATTTCAGCAGTAGAAATGGTATATATATTTGGTAATGTGCTTCCATTCTGAAAATATGACCTTGATTGTGCAGGTGTTAAAATCTGCTTAAAGGAGGTTTTAAAAGTAAGAAGCAGGACCTGAAAGGCAACCTCTCAATACCATGAAAGAAATGGTTCTATGTACACCTTTGTCCTCTTGTCTCACATAAGGCTCAGATTCTACTGAGAAATGCTCATGAGCACATGCTGTTCACCATTTCATCTCTTCCAAATGGTAGCAAACCTTGGCTATAAAATAAGAGAGTAAGGTAGTGACATATTCTGAGAATTCATCCAACCTTCTCACCAAAATTAAACCTTGCCAGTTCAAGTTTTGGATTCAATATGAAGATCCACTAGAGACCTGGAACTTCTCTCAGTATAGGGAAATCTCCACCTGGCATAAGATCCTCCAGCTCAAGAGTAGTAGCCTAAACTTGGGTAGTAGTAGATGTTGGTGTGATGACCTAGTCACTGTAAGTAGTGAGTGAGGATCTCGCTCAGCATCTAGGAAAGAAGGCAGACTTTGATAACAACACACAAAAAGGAAACTTAGATGTCTTAATCTTGGCTTTCTAGGAGATAAAGAGAGAGAGAGTGCAATGAAGTGAATCAGAGAAGGCTAAGGAAAAAGTATTCAAAAGAGAGAACTGCATACGTTTTGCCATTTTGTCAGCAATTCCTATTCACTATCACCACTTTGGGTGGGATTACTTGTAGGTCATCATTATCATGGAATGCAAAGGCTTTCTAAGGGTGATGGATACTATTATTGAAAAGTTGCTATATTTTATTGAGTACTATGATGCATTTAGATAGTAGGTTAATGTAGACTTTCAATAAAATCTGATGAAGAGGAGAACATTTACTGAGGAACTTTGTAGAATGAATTAACGCATAGGAACCAACAACAGAAGAGTTGCTGCAAAAGCTTTTATGGAGTAAGAATGTCTAACATATAATTTCCAGTTGTTTCTTGATGCATGATGACACTTACCTGCTTCTCAGAAAACTTTAATGAGTTCTACTCCATATACATGGAGAAGAAAATAGAAAGGGACTCTAGTGTCTCAGGTTTAAATAGATGCTAGGATAAAATAAGCTATTGTTAACCAAGGCAGGCCTTGTCTCTTCGGGATTTTAAAAAATTTGGATGGTTTTGAATTGGCACACAACAGATACTTGGCCATGTCTTTCCTAATGAGAGAGACAGAAAACATCTGCTTATCCTTCACAGAAATTTAGTGTATTATATTTAACTTCAAAGAATGGTCTTAACAATCTACACAGAAAAATATGAGAGTTATGGCTATTTTTAAGATTTAAGGATAAAATAAAAGCATACTAAAAAAGAGAGAATTGTGAGAGACACGTTTAAAATTCTGTGAAAGCACAAATATAACTCATAAAGATATTTGTGTGTGTGTGTGTTTATTCACTTCATGGCTTTCTTGATCTAAAATCAAGTGCACCTTCTGTGATGGGAATTTGCAGACACTGTTCTTTTGATATGCTTATTTATCCAGCACTACATTTAATTGCTGAATCATGTTTTTTTTTAAAGTTCATGATGGGAAGTCTTGATTTCTAATCACGCCAGGAGAAAATGATCTTAACAACTTTGATGAGCTACTCTGTAGAACTCAGTTAGATTGAAGATTTGTTACATGATCTTCATATTTTCTTTAAGCTGTTTTTCCAATATCCTTCAAAGTGTTTCAAACACTAAATAACTAATAAATAAAATATGAAAGAAGAGAAAGGAGGAAGAAAGAGACGGAAGGAGGAAGAGGAGGGAGAGAGAAAGAGGAGGGAAGGAAGGGAGCTGAATGAGCTACCTCAGAAAACTGGCTGAAATGTTCATGAGATTGAATAATTTTATTTTTCACAATATGCTTAATGGAAGAGATATAAAATGTTTTTTCCACATGGCAGTTATTTTATGTTTTTTTAACTTTATCTTGGTATGTTACTCTTGTTTACTTTCTCAGTCACTTAGAGGACTGCAAATAAGTTAATAGCATTAATTAACTTATAATAGTGTCAGATACTTAGTTTCTTGAAGGGGGAGAGAGAGAGAGAGAATGAGAGAGATTTCAAGGATATGGAAAAATCATCTAAGTATACAAAACCGGATGATAAAGGAACAATACAGTATAGTGGACCAAGGTCTGAATCTCAACTTCATCATAGTTACATGGTCTTAATTAAATCATTTACTTTTTCTGAGAATCAATTATTAATAATATTATTTATTCTGGAGAAAGGAGAAAATAATATCTAATTTTTGGGTAGGCTCTTATGAAGCATAAATAAGAGTAAATATGAAAAGCTTCCTGGTAATAAAAACCAACGAATGAAATTTTGTGTCTTATTGTATGTTAATCAACTTAAGAGTCTATCTTCATACCAAATAATCCATACATTTTTAAAGTGTTTTACTAATCATTTTCAGATACACTATCTAGTGTGACTATCACAGCAATCCTACAAGAGAGTGAAAGAGAGTGAAAGTTCTGTCTCATTTTAGAAAGGAATCACTTAGAGTCATAGCTGTTAAACAACTAACCAGGAAGTAGGTAGCAAGGGAAGACTAAAAAACTTGGAATCCAGGTTTGCTCTCATGCATTTCATTACTTTTTACACTTTACAACAAAATTCCTGTTCATTACAAACCTCAAGCAGAATACGTTAAATATTCCAAATTTCGAATTGTTTTTCTAAGGGAAATAATTTCTTGATGAGGCCTTTTCAATAATAACACAACTTGTTTACAGAGATCAAAAATATTTTATGATTTAAAGAGATACATTTATGTTTAAAATTGTTGAGAATCTAAAACTTTGGAGCTATTATAGATAAATTATATATATGATTTATGTACAATTTTACTTGCATTATTCTATTATGATTGAATATTACAATCTTAAAACATACATAAGAAGGGTTTTTTCTTTTTTCTTAAAAACTAATACAAGATAAAGCAGAGTTTTGAGTCTCTCTCTCTGTCTTTCCCAGATATTTCTCCCTGTTTTCAACAAGTAACATGGTGCCTTCAGTTCAAAGATTCCAGAAAGACTCATAATTAATTGAGTATATTATTTAGTAATTTATATACTAAATTTCATGGTGTCTATAATTAAGCAATTTTTTCAAAATTATAAAAGTATAAAGAAAGTATAAAGGGAGAGTTTTAGAAGTGAAAGTTTGCCATTTTCCCAAAGAAAGTAATGGGGTGAATGGTATGAATTAATTAATCATACAAGGTGAAATTTTCAAGATCTATGATCTGCATTGTTTTAACTCCCTAACAATGACTGACTGATCTCTATACACAATTATTGAACACTCTCTTAACTACCCCCTTTTAAATTTGGAATTCTTTGTATCTAGCATCATTCATTTGAATAATTCAATGGTATCTATATTATTTTTTTCATTACATTTAACATTTCTCTTTTGAGAAAATGGACATAATGACATACTACAGTTTTATGTTGAATGAGTCATAAGTAAAATGTCCATAGCGCTAAACTATGTCCCTTGACTCTAGCAGAGCTGTGAACCCACCTAACGTCTAATGGGAAAACATTTCAACCATTGTTCCAATTATAAGAGGTTTGTCAGTTCAGCTGACTTTTGTAATGTAGACATTCATCGTGCAAACCAACAGATTACTTGGACATATGAGAGATCTAACATATATTTACAATAATATAAATATAGATATAATAAATAATATATAGATTTGATATATTTATATATACATAAAATCTAAGAATCATTAGCTCGAACTGTCTTCTCAGTTTAAATTGAGGAAGAGGGCGGAATGCAGTGGTTCACACCTGTACTTGGGAGGCTAAGGCTGGCGGATCACCTGAGGTCAGGAATTCCAGACCAGCCTGGCCAACATGGTGAAACCCGGTCTCTACTAAAAATACAAAAATAAGCTGGGTGTGGAGGCGCATGCCTGTAATCCCAGCTACTTGGGAGGCTGAGACACAAGAATTGCTTTAACCTGGGAGGCAGAGGTTGCAGTGAGCCATGGTCATGCCACTGCACTCCAGCCCAGGCAACAGAGTGAGACCCTGTCTAAAAAAAAAAAAAAAAAATTGAAGAAGAGATCATAACTAACATCTAATGACTAATCTAATGACTATTTATAAAATACTAGGCAGTGTGTTAGGTTTTATATATATATATATATATGTGTGTGTGTGTGTGTGTATATATATATCCTTAAAGAATCCTAACATCGATGCTAAATAGGTATGATTATACTCATTTTACAATGGTAGGAATTAAAGCTCCCAAGATTAATTAACTCAAGGCTAGTAAACATAAAAAGAGTAATATAAACACAGATATATCAGAAACAAAAGCCAGTTTTTTTGTTCCATTACTACCATTGTATAAAGAGAAAACTGAGATCCAGAGAAATTAAACTAATTATCCAAAAAGACAAGCAGTATTGTCACTAGAATTTGAATAGATGTTTTTCTATTTGAATCTACTGTCTCCTGAAGGACCTAAAGTAGCTAGAAAAACATTCCACGCCAAACTTGTTGGGAATACCATAGCATACTTCAGAGTAAAGTAGATACTGTCCTACATAAATTATATAAAAATTTTGCACATTATTCTTAGTGTGTGATTTCTAAAAACAGCTGTAAGTTCTCTTAACTAAAGTATGAATAAACATATGTATTTCATAATTATAAAGTAAATGGAAAATATGGAAAATACTGCCAATATGTTCCTCAATATCTAGTATCATTTCTTCTCATCTGTACAAACTTATTCTTTTGAAATAATAGTATCTCTGGCTGTATTTAAATATGTATGTTTATAGTATGCAGTTAATTAAAGCTTTCTATGTCACTAGGCAGTGTTGGTTTTGAAGTTCATTTTTAAAGACCACTAAATGTGCATTCATAGAACAATCAATCCAATCAGTGATATTAATATTTCCTCTTCTATCTTGCCTATACTTATTTAAGTGATGAATTCAATTAAGTTAGTTAAATTCCTCTTTCCCAGCAAAACATTTTCTTGGAAAAGTGATCGATTTTTCCATATTTGCATAAACAATTCCCAAGTAAGAGCTTGTGATGATACATTGAATAGAAAATAAAATTTCAAAGAAATTTTGTTTTCTTTTTAATTATGCCAACAGATTACTATTACTTTATTAACTGTTTATGAAAATATGGTATTCTGTAAGAATGTACAATATAATCAGTTAAAAGCCAACATCTATCCTATAGCTTCTGCTGCTGGCAATGATAGAGTAATAGGTACCAGATTTACTACCCCATCCTACTCCACTCCCAAAACAACAACAACAACAAAAATGACAACATACGCACACACAAAAATATTTTAAGGTGATGAACATGAGACAACAAAGGATGGCAATTCCTGAGAAACGAGAAACAAATGAGGTGAACCTACAACTGCCTCAGTTTATTCTTACTGTTTTGAGAAAATTTCCCACAGTCAGGAAAAACAGATGAAGCCTGACAGACTGAATGGAGAAGGCACAGAGATGAGTGTCTGAAAAGACAAAAACAGCAAGCATTCACACAACACAGAATTAGGGAGAAGAAAGCGGCACAGATAATAGATTCCAGAGATCAGTAGATATTCTCCCTTAAGCACTCAGCTGACCCTTGATTAACATATGTATGTTAGGAAACTATTCAAGGCTGAGGAAAGAACCAATGGCAATGGTGCCTGGCCCTAACACAAATCCAGGAATTGTGCTTGAACTAACCTAGAAAACCTCAAGATTCCGAGAGCACTGGTTAGAGTCCTCACAAGGGTCTTGCCTCAGTGATGGGGAATAAGTCCTAGACTGAGCATTGCTCTGGTACTGCCTAACTTAAAAGCAAGACCTAAAAGGATCAAACTGTCTCCAAATATTCTAAAACAAAGCTCAAGAATATTTATGGAAATCCAAAATATCTGACAAAAAAGTAGAATTCATAATACTCTCAACCCAATAAAAATTATTAGAAATGCAAAGAAGCAAAAAAATATAATACACTAACATTTTAAACTCTTTCTCTGTTTCTCATGCATGTTATTTTAAAACGTGTAATTTTTTTTTTATTAGGAAAACCAGGCAATGAGAAATGAAATCTGCACTGCTTTTAGCACATTATGGGATTTTACTTAATGCTATACTTTCTGCTGTAGTAGCTCATTGATATAGTACAGTGCTCAAAGAAAAGTGCTATTGATATTTTTTAAGTATTTTCATTTGGAATCAAAATTAGGAAACCTGCAGTCTTACCACACTCCATAGTTAGGAAAAAAAACAATCCCAAACCTGCAGTCTTACCACACTCCATAGTTAGGAAAAAAAACAATCAGTTGTAACCGATCCAGAACGGACAGGATGTTAGATAGCACAGAAAGACAACAAGAAGCACCTCAGTACCTGGAAAGACAAGTCACTCAGGGAACTGGGAGCCTTGAACGCGGAGAAAGGATTGGTGCAAAAAATAGAATGGCTGCAAAGTCTCTTAGAACCAACACCTCCTTCTTCACCACACAGAATTATGCAAATATCACTCCCTGACCTCACAGAGCACTGGAGGATGAAACAGACTAGCTGTAGATCAGAGTGGGCCAGGAAGGAAAGAAATTAGGAAGGGGAGTTGGCACTTCCGCTTATGTTAAAGTCTACCTACTGCAGGGGCTATGTTAAAGTCCACACATTGCAACTTAACGTATGAAGAATTCTTTTACAATTAAGCCTCTAGAAGATAGAACATTAGAGAATTCAAATCTAGAGGGACTGACCAAAGAGACTAAAAATATTGGCATTCGGGATTTGGATGGGAGGAGAGGGAGTAACAAGGAAATAATCAGCTACCCCCCATGTCACCCACAGTAAAATCCTCAGGCAGCAAATCCTGTCGATTCATAAAGAGCTTCCAATTATTTTTTTGTATTAGAGTGAAATGAAATAGCATTCAATTAACATTTTTTAGAGTTTATTATAAAGACTTTATTTTTTAGACCACTTTTATGTTCACAGCAAAATGGAGAGGAAAGTACAGAGATTTTTCATATAATCCCTAGCTCTACACAAGTGTAGTTTCCCTCATTATCAGTATCCCTCTCCACGAAGGTACAGTTGTTATGACGGATGAGCCTACCTTGACACATCACAATCACCCAAAGCCCATAGTTTACATTAGGGTTCACTCGTGGTACTGCACAACGTATGGGTTTGGACAAAGGTACAATGACATGTTATCCATGTCATATAGATTATTTTCCTTTTTCCCCCATTTTGTATACACTATGCTTAGCAAAATAACGCAGGGACAGAAAACCAAATACAGCATGTCCTCACATAAAAGTGGGAGCTAAATGATGACAACAGATGGACACAAAGAAGGGAACAATAAACCCTGGGGCCTACTTGAGGATGGAGGGTCGGGGGAGAGACAGGATCAGAAAAAATAACCATTGAGTACTAGGCTTAGTACCTGCGTGATGAAATAATCTGTATGGCAAACTCCCATGACACAAGTTTACCTATGTGACAAACATGCACATGTACCCCTAAACCTAAAATAAAAGTGAAAAAAAAAGTAGAAATTCTTTTTTTTTGAGATGCAGTCTCACTTTGTCACCCAGGTTGGAGTGTAATGACACGATCTCGGCTCACTGCAACCTCCTCCTCCCGGGTTCAAGTGATTCTCCTGCCTCAGCCTCCCCATAGCTGAGATTACAAGCATGTGCCACCACACCTGGCTAATTTTTGTATTTATAGTAGAGAAGGGGTTTCAACATGTTGGCCAGGCTGGTCTGGAACTCCTGACCTCATGTGATCCACCCACCTCTCCCTCCAAAAGTGCGGCGATTATGAGCATGAGCCACCACACTCCTCCCAGTTAAATTTTTAAAAAGACCTACACTAAAGTACAGCATCATGAAATATCAGAAAAGTGGTGATACAGCTTTCATTGGTGATACAGCTTTCATTGGCTGGAAGCAAGTCTCATTCGAATGTTCATGGTCCTCTCAATAGAAACATGGAAAGATAAAAGAATGGAAAAATGGCTTCCACATTCTGACAGAAAATAATTTTCCAACCTAGAAATGTTTCCATTCATGTGGAAAGGTAGAATAAAAAGATTTTCAGACATGCACAAGCTCAAAACTTTTCCTCCTGAAACCATTTCTAGGGAAGCTTCTGGAAAATGTGCTTCACCAATACAAAAGAATAAACAAATCCAGCAAATAGGACACTCAAGTAAAGAAAGTGAAGAGCATTCCTAAGATAATGGATTTATTATGAATGGAAGTCCCAGCTCCAGAAATACTAAATGGAAGAAATAATAGAATGGAAGCCCCAGCTCAACAGAGAAAAAAGTGATAAACAATCCCACAGAAATGTGGGTACAGAATGAAGCTTGAAGATGGTTCAGTGGGAGGGGAGGGAGTTCCTGAGTAACTCCACAGAAGAGAACCACGGAGGATCTGAGAGTGTTTCTTTCCACAGCATAACCTGGACCTTCCCCACAGGTACACTGTCTGATGTGTTTGATTACCCTGAGAAAGGCTTTATAGTTCTACCACAGTGCTTGGTGAAACACTATCAATAGGTAACTAGAAAACTTAGCAGACAACAAAATGAAAATGTGTATATACTTAGAAACAAAGACAGTTGAATAAGAAAATGATAATCATAATACTCATTACTCAGTTCTGAGCAAAACTGAAATAGTCATATAATATGCATACATGGTATTGCTCTAAACAAAAATAATTACTGTATTGGAAGAATGGGGAGTGAGATGTGTGTTGTGATGGTATAGTTAGACTGCTAAATCCTTATATTTCATAGTAGGAAGTCAATGAATACTCCCTCAAATTGAGAAACTGTGAAACTGACTATAGAGAATAAAAGCAGGGAAAAACACTCAAAAGGCTTCAAAGTGTTTCTTTCTGAAAAGTACATCATGGAAAAGCTGACAAGGTGAAGGCAGGGGCCAGATGGTTTTTGTTATTGTTGTTTTACTTGTTCTTGTTTTCTTGTAAGCCTTCTAATAATAGCTGATTTTTGAGCTATGTACAATCATTATTTTGGCAAGAACATTTTTTAAAGAACAGGTAATTTCTTCTCAAGAAATCATCTTGACTATAGCTGCTACAGCTATTTACAAAACGTACAGTTTTTTTTTCAGAAAATTAAACATTGAAATATTAGTATATATGTGATATAGTCATTCTTTTAGCATTTTTACCTTTCTGTACCACATAGGCTTAGAATAAGATCACATAAATGCTAATCTGTGGCAAGAAAATATGGGTCAGATTGTAGTGTTTCGCTTTTTTTATTGTCATAGAAAAATTATTCTTACATGATACTTGAGGAGTAGGAAATATTTATTCTTAGAAGTTAATTTTGTAACCTCCAAATTCCATATGCCTATAAATATCTAGATCTGGACCAGTTTAGTAAAAAAAGTTCTATTTTTATATATGTGAAATACACATGTATATTCCAAACTAAGCAAAAATAAAACATTAAATTTAATAAAGGGTTTTACTTGCTCTTTACTGAAAATGAATGCCACCGGGTGAATATTGCCCCATTTTTTTCTGTCCCTTATTCCCTGAGGCTATTCCAAAATTTCAATATAATGAAGTTAACACAATACAAAGTCCTCTCAGTGGCCGACTCACTCTAGAGACATTCCACAAGTATCCTAAGGAGATGGGGGAAAGATGGAGGGGAAACTGTTATTAGTAAGAACATATTTTCTTTCATTTATTTATAAAAACTTTCCAAAAAGAGAAAGAAATCCCACTCAAGCATAAATTAACTTCAGTTCATTTTAAAAGTATTTACTAAAAGCTGTCATAAAAATATATCAAATTCACTTTCTTCCATTACTTATGTTTTGAAAACTAAGTCTTTCATTTTGTTGTTCTCCTATTTAAATTATAGTAGATGTGTACAACATGAATAGACAGATGACAGCTGGATAATAGGCATCACAAATGCCTCTATGTTCACATTTCAGGAAAATTATGTCTTTCATAAGAAAATTCTGTGGGAGAACCAATAATACTGCCAGTTCTTCAGGTAGACTTTAAAAAGTCTTATCATATATTTCAAAACCAACATGTATGTATTTAATATTTACTTATCAACTTCTCTCCATATGCCAGTACAACGCCAACTTTTTTAGGAAAATCAACAAAGACCCTCATCTCCACCTTCCCTTCCTACATCTTAGTATCCCCTTCCAGCAAGCCTAATGGCCAAGAAAAACAGGGTTCAAGTTCCTGGCTCTGCCATTTTCTAGCTTTGTAATCACCAACGGATTACTTAACTTCTCTATGCCTGTTTCTTCAGCTGTACAATGGGGATAATATTATGCTTTCTCGTTGGGCATGTAAAGTACTTGGAAGAATGCTAGTAAAAAGTAATGTTATATGCATGTTCTCTTAAGGAGCTAAAGATCCATGAATAGATTTCAACTTGACATGCGCAAAAAATGCAATGTCTAATTTGAGCACCTTTGGTATTTTTGATGAATACCGAAGGTGTTCAAATTAGGCACTGCAATTTTATGCAAGCAGGGAAGATAAACTTGCAGAAGTGGAGCTGAGATTTTTAGAAGTTTGGAAGGGTTGGTTAGAATGATAGAGGGCAAGTTTTGTAGCTGCCTTATAAGGTCAAGTTCCCAATTTCTTCAGTCCTGGCCACTACCTTAGTGCCTCCACAAACACCCAAGATACAGCAGCATTGACAGCATTGACTAGGCTTGGTTCAAACACTGAGTCCTTTGAATTATTCTCTCACCACCAATTCATTTACATTTCAGTGATGCATCAGGCAAGGATACAGATGAACCATGTCACCTGCTTCAGCTTGTCCAAACTAAATAAAGTAGAACAAATAGAGTACAATAAAGGTTTGAAAAGCATAAAATACAGAAGATAATACAGATTGCATAGGATTATAAAATATAATTATACAGGATTATAAAATATAATTATACAGGATTATAAAATACAGAGATTTGCATAGCGAAAAAGCCTTCCTAAAATGCTGAGATAAAGATTATGTAAGTGATAACTGGTCAAAAAATAGGTGAATATCATGTGACATGTAGAGGTGGAGTGGGATGTCTTCAGAGGTTGTTATTCATTCCAGAGAGAGGAATTGTCCAATGGCAGCCAGAAGGAAGACCTGAGGCAGAAAAATTAAAACACCTCTCAAGAGTTCAGATGAGAAAGGCAGGCACATTAATTAGAAGCGTAATAATTAAAATGGACTCATGAGGACAACAATTTGAGCCATCTATGAATTGAATCAATGAGATCTGTAGTGAACCAAGCTTTAAAAAGAATTTAATAATCCAGCCTTGGGTGGCTGGTTGCATGTTGGTACCATATTTAAACACAAAAAATACCAGAGGGTAAATAGTTTCAAAGAGATGACAAAATTAATTTTGGACACTGTGGATTGAAATGTCTGCTGAACATGAAAAGACACCCAGTGGAAAGCAGTCTATATAGTTTTAGAGCTCTGCACAGAGAAGTAAGACAAATATCATGATTTGGAAATCATCAACATATAATTACATTTATTGAAGTTTAAACAAAGCAAACTAGAAATGAAAAGAGCAAAGAACCAAGGAAGAATCCTTGATAAAACATAATTTTTAGTGCTAAATAAAAGAAGGGAAGACTGTAAAGGAGAACTAGGATAAGATGAGTAGGACATAAAACAAAGAAGAATGATATCATAGAAATCAAGAGAAGGAAGTTTCAAGAAAGAGGAGGAGAATCAGAAAAAAAAAATTGTTCATTGGACCTGGCATGAAAAAGATCATCAGAAATTTTAAGAGAAACGTAAGTAGAGCCATAGGGCAGAAGAAAGAATGCACAAGATAGAAGAGTAAATAAGAGCCAGGAAAGAAAAGTTCAGGTTAAAAATGGGTGGAAAGCATGGAAATATATAGGGTACTGAAGGTCTTGATGATATGTAAAAATGAATCAGTTTGGTGTTAGTAAGGAAGTGTGAACACTGAAAGGACAAGTTAGAGTTACATGGTGGGATGTTGCCACGTAAGTTTCCAGAAGTAGAGCAATCTTGGTCATACTCAGGTCCAGCCTAACAAGAGGGTGCCAGGCAGAATTGGATATAAAAGTCACCAAACTAAAGGAACTATAAAGGCAGGGTCTGGAACAGGGTATTACCTGGGCAAAGAATGCGAAAACAATGATACTAGCATCTGGAATTAAGATAAAATAAAATAAAATAAAATAAAAAGAATAGAAGCTCCCGCCCAAACCCTCCATAATTGTGGAGGAATCACCAAAGGTTGACAAAACACAGTGACAAGAAAAAAGCAAAGGCTGTAATAAATAACATACGCCTCAAATAAGGGGAAATGTAATGGTGTATAATTTGTAAGAAGAGGGGTAACACATTTCCAAACCTGTGATATATGGGGAGCAGTATGAAAATGAGCAGCTTTTATTAAAAAGATTCTAATGTTACAGTTTGTTTCCTATTCAAATTAACAAATGGATGAACTCTCCTTGAAAAAACTGAAGGTGCTGGAAAATTTATTTGTAAGGGTGCACGTATTCCAAGAGGCTTAGAAGAAAAGATTAGCAGAGAGGGGCATGCCTGGACCATTAAATCAACAGAGTATGAGGATGAGACAGAAAGAGTACAGATGAATGAACATATTTTCAGAAAAGTATATTGTCAAACATTGTAGTAACTAGAAATAATGTTGTCAAGAGAAAATTCCTGTCAACTTTTATATCAGATTTTATTTTAATAGTAAATATATAAGCTTTGCTAGAAAAAGAACCTTGGGACTCAGGAGGAAGTTAATTAGCTTGAAGATTCCAAATGGAATTTGGGTTAAATTTTACCCAAGTACAAATATGATTCATGATTTATCACCCAGTCTAATATTCAGGAGACTTTGCCCAGGGTTCCAAACAAAACATTTTGTTTGTTTGTTTGGGGGTGGGGTTTGCAAAGATGAACTCCGAATGGAGAGGGTGCTTCCAGTAGGCGTGGGTCCCATGAAAAAGAGTCAGCACACATGTGTTCTGCTCAGAACAAGGACCATTCACAGGCAGAAGAGGCTTATCATTCAGTATTTGCCAAGCATTTATTATTTTCAAGTATGAGTACAATACGATGTAGAAGAGACTTGGAGTCTAGTTGGAGAAACTGCAGATATTTAAAAAATGACAACTCAAGGGAGTAGTTATAAAAATGAAATAATAAGCGCAAAAACTGAGACTAGGAAGAAAGCTCAGTAGTGAGGAAGAGGCAAAAGGAAGATCAGAAAATTAAAAACTAGCTATAACCTTAAGATACTATGCAATCCTGTTCTGTGTCAAACACTTTACACAAATTATCTCTTCAAAGAGAGGATGGGACTTGACTTACACATCAAGTAACTGGTAGTGAGTAAATAAACTGTGAAGAGAGGAAAAGAAACGTTTCCTCTAAAGGTTTTCTACACATATATTTAATTTATATTTTGATTATTGGACCACACATATTTATCTAAACAATTAATACTAATGAATTCTCTTTGTCATTCCACTCAGTCGATAATTCAATTGCCCAAATAAATGGAATGGATGGGTCAATTTAGTGGAAATAACTGAGCTATTTATTACAGCCAAGAGGAAGCTAACTAATTAAAAAAAAACATTATAGAGATCACAAAACGAATTTGATGACTCACAAATAACAGAGCAAGAAAGAGAATGGGATTATTTTAGAGTATTTTTTTCTTGTAATCAAAAAAGAAAAGGACATTCACTCACTCATCCATTAGGTTTGTCAGTGTAATTCCTTGGACATAGTCTTAGCAATTCATAGACTGAAAATGGAATAGCTCATCTAGAAGTACAGGATTTAAAACTTTAGATACACTCATACTTTCAAGTACTTTAGTTTTTATAGCCCATCAGTTACATTTTATAGAGGCAATAAACATAAATGAAACTTTTTTTATTAAATGCACATAAATCTCAACTCTATTGAACTCTTAATTATATAATTAGCAGGCCAAGCATGATGACTCATGTCTATAATCCCAGAACTTTGGGAGGCCAAAGTGGCAGATATCTTGAGCTCCTTGAACTCAGGAGTTTGAGACCAGCCTGCGCAACATGGCAAAACCCCATCTCTATTTAAAAAAATACAAAAAATTATCCAGGCGTAGTGGCAAGTGCCTGTGGTCCCAGCTACTTGGGAGGCTGAGACAGGAGGATCACTTCAGCCCCAGTGGCACAGATTGCATTGAGCTGAGATTCTGCTGCTACACTCCAACCTGGGTAATAGAGTGAGACTCTGTTTCAAAATAAGGAAATTAATTAATTAATATGCATATAATTAGCAGATTAATCAAGCCCTTCACTTCTTTTCTTGCTGCTAAATTCCCCATTTTGTTGTTTTATTTAAAAATCTCATGGGGTTTTTAAACTCTTGATTTAAAGTTTTAAAACTATCAGTAATATTATTAAGAATTCAATCATTTTGGGGAAAATTTGTTTGACACTAGTCAATTGATAATCTAGACATCTCCTGCTGCTAGAATAATAAGAATTCTTACCTGTATTATTATTCGTTTCTGTTATCATTAATAAGAGTACCTGATTTATCATTGAGTCACTTTCTTACTCTGCTATTGGAAAACCCAATATCAAACCACATTTTCTACTATGAAACATGAGTTTTCAGGAAGACAAGTAGAAAGAAATAGTCAGAGGCAAATAATTTAGAGGCTACTAACATTAAAATCAAGAGGATTAAAAAAAACAACAACAACAACTGTAAGTAGTACAATTTACAATCTCTTCCACCATATCTTACCATTACAAACTATATATTCTTCGTGTTCCTCCCCTGAGCTCTTATTTTATTGATAAAATGTGTCCACATTGAATAATAATCACAATATTTAATAAGTGCTAATAGGAGAACAGAACTCTTGCTTTCCACAAGTATGAGAGAAAAAATATTTGACGTGAAGCTTGACTCTCTAAAACTCAATTAGCATAATATCATTCAAATGGACTGAGTTTATGAAACATGAAGAGCAATAAACTTCTGCTGTGATGATTCTACTTTCCTCAAAGCAACTTACTGAAATATAGAAAATATTCGAATCATGGAAAAAATTTGAATAAAATTTTAACAAGAACTGACACTTTATACACTTAATGTGTTTTCAAAAATATTTTTTCCAAATCCTAAAAAATCGAATAACAACATATTGATGACTTCTAAAGACTAAGAAGGTATCATTTAGCAGTAATTATTACCTAGCACTGAGCTAAGGAATTTTCATAAATTATCTATTACCTACCAACAGCAGTAAAATTATTATCTTCATTTTGCAGATGAGAGCACTGACAACTAGAGAGATTACATAATTGCCCAAGACCATACAGTTACTAAACGCTGGAAGAGGGACCAAACTCATCAGAAAGAGTTGGTTAAGATTTTATACCCTCAACAGCTCTAATATAGTGACATTAAAGAAGCATATGACTTTTACCTTATATTATTTAATTGCTACCATAATAATCATACCAGAATTCACAAGATATTATCATTTATTAACATTCCATATAATTATTCAGATAGCTGTGTATCATGTCTTAATTTCAGAGTCCTGATTTAGATATAAGGCTATAAGATTTAGCTTTGTAGGCTTTGATTACAATAATCTATAGACATATTTTTATGTAAGTACTCAATAGAAAAAAAATTACTTTCCATTTAAACTTAAATCTTCTGTTTTAATGAAAAGAAGTATCAAAAATAACCCATAGAGTATGTAACCCAAACTCTTTGATATTTGCTTTTAGAATTAAATTGACTACGCAATGGCATGGGTAGGGGTAACATGATGAAAAGTAAAATAAAAGTCCACTGCAAAATTAAGACAGTTCAAATTATCCTGCTTATATACTGACATGCTCCACTGCTCCCAAATATCTAATTAATTTGAGAGAAAAATTCATTCATCTTTTCAAAAATGGTAGCACTTGCTGGCTCAATGCCTGCCTGGTTCTTGCCTTGATAAGATAGTGTGGAAAAATTACAATAATCATAATCAATACTTTGAAAAACCTTTTCTATCAGCTGAGGCAAAGAAAGGGGCAAATTCTCTTTTATTGTTAACCTGAACTGCTATTTCAAGACGGAGTGGCTTTTGAATATCTTAAATCTTGCAGTTCAACTTCTGCAGGTTATTTGAACATGGTATTAGTAGCATTGGCAGTACATAAACATTTGACTTGTAATATCTGACTGAAAAGTGATATTCTGTAGCACTGAATGTGAATTAAATAGATGGGAAAAAAAAACAGGAAAACAAACATTTAAAGCAAAAGCTGTTGCCCTAATGCCCCAGGTGCAGTACACAACAAATGTGATGATTTACTTAAAATAATGAAAACATGAATATTATCTATTTTTATCATTAGCTTCTCCAAGAAGGCAATGTCAAAGTGTGATTTATTAATCTGTTTCCTTTACTTTCCTTACTAACACATAGCAAAACAAAGATTTTATTAGCAAAACAAAAACTGTACTGTCTTATTGCAAACATTCTGTTGAGATTTTTAAAAAGCAGTCACTTTTATTGTTATTCTTAATACATAAGCTGTGTAAATGTCCTTGTTTGCCTTTGTTTTCCCAATGACACAAATCTACAATGTTACAATAGTATACCCAGAAAGTAAAAAGGATTAACATAGTGTTTTCTAATCAGTCATGTTAGAAACTTATATTTTACAATGATTTATAGAAGTTGTATAGTTATGGGCAGCAATTAATTTTTACCAAGGAACAATAATACATAGACTACTAACTGTGTATAGGAACGAAATCTTATTTCTAGGGTATGATATGGAAGTATGCATTAAACACCATGAAATATAAATACTCATACTCTTATTCCTCAACAGGGTAATTTCATTTATTTTAGTAAATGAAAGAATTTATTTAGTAAATGAAGAATTTATTTTAATAAAATCATCAGTGAATCCCCCAAAAAGCCTATAAGTATTTAAAGACAAGAATGTAAAATATCAACATCAAAGCAACCTAAATATCTAACAACACCTAATTAAATAAACACGATATATTCATATTATAGAATATTATACTATCAAAAGTAATCTTGTTTTGGAATCTACTTAGAAATACATGTCACAAAACAATGGATTTAAGTAGGTTTACGTAACAATATGTTAAGTGAAAACATCAGTTTGTACAACAATATCTTCTATTGTATAACTCCACTTGTGTAAACATAATCCTTAAAGTCACTATATATATAAAAAAAAGTGTGTGTGTGTGTGCACACGTGAATAGTCAAAGTATTTTACATGTTCTTCTTTTAAAAATTCTATACATTAAAATGTACCAACTTTACATTTTTTAATGTTCTTGAAAGAATTTAACGTAGTATTTGTAGTCTAGAGGTGTTGGCATTAAATGTCAAAAATATATTTTTAAGATAAAATAATAAAATTATTTGAATAGTTTATTAGCAAATAAATTTTCTAAGTTTAAGCATAACATTTTTCCTCATGTTTCCATTCTGAAACCGTCTCTCTTTGGGGAGTTTACCAAACCAAAAACCAATCCCTCTGAGGCCAGCCCCTTCATAATCAATCTAATGAATTTCTCCCTTTCTTATAAAAGTATACAACATGAGTATGTGTATTTGTGACATTTATTCATTAACTCTGATTATATGTGACTACTGTTCCACATTCTTGATATTCTTGGCTCTCTGTAGGTGTTTTGAATATACTGAATCGTCCCTTTCATTCAGCCAGTTTTTGAACCTACAGTCTATCATACTCATCCCATTTCATTAAAAGAGTTTTTTAATTTATGCATACAGATTTCTAAATCAATTTTTACTAAGCATTACCTACAGTGTACTCCTAAACCTTCTAAATGCTACTTTTTAAACAAAGTGACTCTGACTTTCCTCTTGCTTTTTTCATTCCAACACCAGAGAACACATTTTTGTAGCCATTGTTGTTTTAAAAATAGTGTGTAGAGTACAATATACATTATACAGGTTTTAGCTACACTAAAAGCCACAACTTTACCACTACGTAGTGTATCCCCGTAACAAAACTGCACTTGTATCCCTTAAATTTATACAAATAAAAAAAATGCAAAGTAAACACACTGTGACCCTCTAGTCTTTGGGAAATCACCAAAATGTTAAAGCAGACATTGAAAGGAATAAAGCCAAGTATACTGCTACTTGCCAATCTTTACTTTTCCCACACTTTTGACCGAGTATAGCTGTTCTTCACACAAGGCATTTAAAATATGCCAAATGAGCAAAAATACAAAAGGCTGAGGGTAAAAAGAACTGTATAGAAATCCCACATCTGCCACAGGTGATCAGCAGATGCCAGCTACTGACAGATAATATTTGTTAACAAGCAGGACAGATTCTAATTATGAGATGGCTTGTTATAAGAAAGAGAAATAGTGTAATGGTCACTGCAATGGAGGACGGGTTTCAGGTGACAGCCCCAAGCCCGCACTCCTCCTCCAGAGCCTTGCTTTCCTGCTTCCTCCCAGACCCTGGCACTAGCCTCATTCCTTTCTTCACTGCCCTTCCAGATAATGTAGGACATGCTCCTCCAGGTGAAAATGACTTTTTGGTGAGGAGGTTGGGGTGGGCAAGGGCTCCATCACTCACAAAATCCTAAAGGTTGATCTACTTTAAAATTTTAAGTAAAACAAAGCTCCTGTTTCTAAATTGATATTTTCACGTTACTTGGCAGTAAAATCGAGTTCACCTCAACCACATTTTATAGGTGTATTCTCTTCCTTACTGATATGGTTGAGATGTTACACCACCTCCAAATCCCATGTTGAAAAGAGATCTCAGGCCGAGTGCAGTGGCTCATGCCTGTAATCCCAGTACTTTGGGAGGAGGAGGTGGGTGGATCACTTGAGGCCAGGAGTTCAAGACCTGCCTGGGCAACATGGTGAAACCCTGTCTCTACAAAAAGATACAAAAATTAGCCAGGTATAGTGGCATGCACCTGTACTCCCAGCTACTCGAGAGGCTGAGGCATGAGAATCACACAAACACACAAAAAAAGAGAGATAGAGAATGATCCCCAATGTTGGAGGTGGGGCTAATGGGAGGTGTTTGGGTCATGAGGGCGGATCCTTCATGAATGATGTGATGCAGTCCTCACTGCAATGAGTGAGTTCTCACTCTGAGTTCACAAGAGAGTTGGTTGTTTAAAGAAGCCTGGCACCTCCTTTCTCTCTTGCTCCCTCTCTTGCCATGAGACATTCGAGCTCCCCTCTTACAACTTCCACAATAAGTGGAAGCTTCCTGAGGCCCTCCCCAGAAAAAGGATGCTGGTACCATGCTTGCACAGCCTGAAGAACTGTGAGCCAAAATTAATCTCTTTATAAATCACCCAGCCTGAGGTATTCCTTTAGAGCAATGCAAACAGACTAACACACTTGTCATATACCACCCCCGCACCAAAAATACCAAGACTTCCTCAACACCTATATGATGAAATGATGGCTTTGTTAAAAGAAGTTTTGCATTCTGAAGACTCATTAATCAACATACTACAGGGCAATGTGGACTGACCTACAATATTCCAAGAATGCAAATCTCCAATGCTCTCATAGTACAATCCTTTGTACCAAATTCTAACTTATATAATAGTTAATTTGTATGTCTTATCTCTCCAGCACAATATAAGGGTCAAGGATACTGTAAGTGTGGGATGATATCCTTCAAGTACTTCTTATGCATTATCCCACATCATAAGGTAGCAAGATTAAGTTAAATTTGAACATAATTTGGGATGCACAGAGGAGCTGACCCTGGCTTCATTATAAAAGTTTACTAGAATGAGATATTACATGAAATATGTTGTAGGAAAAATGGAATCAGTAAGTCAGAGCAACTCGATAATAAAAATTTTAATTAGTGTTTATAGGCATGCATTTAATTATATGTTTCTGTAAGTACTAGAATTTCTTTCCTATCTTCCATGTGGTAGTAAAGCTTCAAGTGTAAAGAGATGTATTACAAGCTTCTTTCTGGCACTACAAAGAAGAGGGAAGTAAATCAAAAGTGCTCTTCACACCTATGTTTGTTGCGGCACAAGATTTGGAAGCAACCCATTTCCATCAACCGATGAATGGATAAAGAAAATGTGGTACATATACACAATGGTGTACTATTCAGCCATAAAAAAAAATGAGATTCTGTCATTTGCAATAACATGGATGGAACTGGAGGTCATTATGTTAAATAAAATAAGTCAGAAATGACATCTTTTCACTTATTTGTGGGATCTAAAAATCAAAACAACTGAAGTCATGGAGACAGAAAGTAGAAGAATGTTTAATAGAGGCTGGGAGGATAGTGTGGGGGTGTTGGGAGAGGAGGTGGGGATGGTTAATGGGTACCAAAGATAAAAAAGATATATATATATAATCTTATTCATTCTAACTGTATATTTATATATTTATATTTATAGCACATATATTAATATATAACTTTCTAACTATATATAAATATATTAATATATAACTTTCTAACTATATATAAATATATAAATGTATTTATATAGTTATAGTTTTATATAGTTAGAAAGTTATATATTAATATATGTGCTATCAAATGCTTCCTAACCATATATATAGTTAGAAATACATATATATGTCTATAGACATACATATATGTATCTGATTATATATGTATGTATATACACATATATAAATATATATATACATATATATATATAGTCAGAAAGAATGAATAAGACCTAGTATTTGATAACACAAGAGGGAGTCTATAGTCAATAATAATTTAAATGTACTTTTACTTTTATGTATTTTAATTTTTTATTTCTATAAAATAAAAAATAATTTCTATTAAATTTAATAAAAATTATTTTTAAGAAAATTTAATAAATTAATTTAATAAAATAATTTTTTATTTCCATAAAATGTGGGGGGAACAGGTAGTATTTGGTTACATGAGGAAGTTCTTTAGTGGTGATTTGTAAGATTTTGGTGCACCCATCACCCAAGTAGTATACACTGAACACAATTTGTAGTCTTTTATCCCTTACCCCCTCCCACCCTTTCCTGCCGAGTCCCCAAAGTCCATCTATCATTCTTATGCCTTTGCATCCTCATAGCTTAGCTTCCACTTATGAGTGAGAACATATGATGTTTCGTTTTCCATTCCTGAGTTACTTCACTTAGAATAATATTCTCTAATTCCATCCAGGTTGCTGCAAATGCCATTAATTCATTCCTTTTTATGGCTGAGTAGTATTCCATCATATATATAATATATATATATATATACACACACACACACACACACACACACACACATATATATGTGTATATATGTATTTTTTTATTTTTTTCTTTATCCACTCATTGATTGAAGGGCATTTGGGCTGATTCCAAATTTTTTCAATTGTGAATTGTGCTGCTATGAACATGCATGTGCAAGTATCTTTTTGTATAATGACTTCTCTTCCTCTGGGTAGATACCCAGTAGTGGGATTGGTTTCGAAAATAACTAAAAGAGTATAATCGGATTTTTTGTAACAGAAAGGATAAATGCTTGGGGGGATGGATATCCCATTTTCCATGATGTGATTATTACACGTTGCATGCCTGTATCCAAACATCTCATGTACCCCAAAAATATATACACCTACCATGTACCCACAAAAATTAAAAATTTAAAAAACTGGTCACTCCATGTAACAAAAAAGAAACCCTACAAAAGATATGACTTTCTACACATTTAATAATAGGAATGTACATATTTTTGAATAGCGTACCTTCTATTCGAATACTTAGAACACGTTGTTTAGATAATGGTCACAGATGTATTTCACATACTTTTTATTCTTCAAGAAAATCATTCTTTATTCATACTAACACTGCAAAACTAAACAGACCCTAAACTATTATAAGCACTGTTTCTCAATAAGGAAAAGAAAAAGATTTTTACAGAAGACCAACACACACACACACATACACACACACAAGAATTCAATACCATTCATCTCAATTCTGTATAACTACCACTACCTATGTGAGTATGAGATGGAGTTGATCATTTACAACACCTCCACATGTCCCTTGGACAATGGCACTGCTGGCTGTCAAGCAGATTGATGGTTTTCACTGAGCAGTTCCCTGTGTAAATTTCAGAATTCACTTTAACAGTCATTTGAACTGTCACAGTATGAATTATGGACTGAAGCACATTCTGCTTTGCTATTTCCACAGAAAAGCTCCTTGTGAATATTAAATTAGATGTAGAAAAGACATTTTCAAGTCAAATACCTTAAACTACAATGCCTAGGCTTAGAATGAACATTAAAAACTATTTTGTTTCTAAGGGGGATCAGAATTTTAATTCAAATGACTCATTTTTATTATAATAATGTACACATATATATGTGGTGGCCTATATATTCATAGCTGTGACATATTTCTTTTTCTTTTGGTAATATCTTCTTTATACTACAGGACTAAAATTCTTGGAGCCTTTGTATGGACTACTTGCGTTAAATAATGTAGGAGGATCCAAAACGAATTAAAGACATGGCTTTACCTCTAGAAAGTTATGTTATACCTTCAAAAATATAAGCATAATTATAAAACAAAATAATGGCATGTAGAATATATGGAGTAATCAGAGTGATTTCAAAATGTCATTAATAACTCTGGCACTGCATCCAATTTAGAGTCTGGTAATGAAAAAGGGGGTGACATGATACCAGACAGCCTCAGATCATGGTATGACACAAGCAAAGGCACTAAAGCAGACATCAGCTTGTGAAAAGAGGGATGATTTCTGTGAATAAATACACAGATCAAATTTCAAAAAGCATTTTAGGAAGAAAAGCCAATTAATAAAGAGCTTTGAATGTTGAGTCAGCAGTTTATATTTCAAATAATAGCATTAACGGCATACCATAGGTTTTTAAATGGGAATATGATATGGTAAAATCATGTTTAAGAAGACTATGATGAAAATGCATAGGTTGACTGAGGCTCGAGTTAAGCATTGAAGATTATTGGAGATAGGGTGCATAAAACAGACCTGGAATAATGAGCTATGCTGGCAAGTGCTGTAGTAATTTAAATAAGATAGGATGAAACTGTACCAAGAAAGAATAGGTGGAGCTCAATACCTAATTGAGGAGGGAATTTGAAAAAAATAGTACAAATCTACTGTAAGTTTTTGAAATGGAGAATTGAAATAATTATATTGATATTAATGAATTAATTGATATTAATGAATTAATGATATTAATTCACTATAATTGAAATAATTATAGTGATAATAATGGTGATAGACAAATTAAAAAGCTGTGCACTAGCTTGAGGTTATTCATATGATATGAATTACTTAGCAACCAGAAGTTGGCTACAATAGTCATGTGCTTTATATATATCTCTATCTATGTGCATATAAACAGTCATCCCTTGGTATCTAGAGGGGGCTGGTTCCAGGACCCCTGGGGATACTAAAATCCACAAATGCTCAAGTCTCTGATATAAATGACATAACGTTTGCACATAACTTAATCATACCCTCCCATCAAGTATAAATCTAGATTACTTATAATAACTAGTACAATGTAAATGCTACGTAAATAATTGTAATACTGTACTGGGTTTTCATTTTTATTTTTTGTAGTAGGCTTTTAATTTTTATTTTTATTTCAATAGTTTTTGGGGCACAGGTGGTTTTTGGTTATGTGGATAAGTGTTTTAGTGGTGATTTCTGAGACTTTAGTACACCCATCACCTGAGCAGTGCACACTGTACACAATATATAGTCTTTTAACCCTCACCCTTCCTCCCGACCTTCCCCACAAGTCTCCAAAGTCCATTATATCACTCGTAGGCCTTTGCATCCTCATAGATTAGCTTCCACTTACAAGTGAGAACACATGATGTTTGGTTTTCCATTCCTGAGTTACTTCACTTAGAATAATGGCCTCCAGCTCCATCCAAGTTGCTCCAAAAGACATTATTTTGTTCCTTGTTATGGCTGAGTTGTATTCCATGATGTGTATATATATATATATATATATATATATATATATATATATATATATCACATTTTCTTTATCCAGTTGTTGGTTGATGGGCACTTAGGTCAGTTCCATATATTTGCAATTACAAGTAATGCTGCTATAAATATGCATGTGCATGTGTCATTTTCACACACATAGTGACTTCTTTTCCTTTGAGTAGGTACCCAGTATGGGATTGCTAGATCAAATGGTAGTACAACTTTTAGTTTTTCAAGGAATCTCCACACTGTTTTCCACAGTGGTTGTACTAATTTACATTCCCACCAGCAATGTAAATGTGTTCCCTTTTCACCACATCCAAGCCAACATTTATTGTTTTTTGACTTCATAATCATGGCCATTCTTGTGGGAGTGAGGTGGTATCACATTGTGGTTTTAATTTGCATTTCCCTGATAATTAGTGATGTTAAGCATTTTTTCATGTTTGCTGGCTATTTGTGCATCTTGTTTTGAGACTTGTCTATTCATGTCCTTTGCCCACTTTTTGATGGGATTATTTGTTTTTTAAAAATAATTTCCCTCCATGATTGGTTAAATCCACAGAAGCAAAACCCATGGATATGAGAAGGCTGGCTGTATATGGCTATATTAATAACCAAATTCAGGATTCTTACAAAGTCTTTATTTTTCAATTATTTATTTTGTTTGTTTGAGACAGGGTCTCGTGCTGGCATGCAATCATGTGATCACGTTTCACCGCAGCCTCGACCTCCCAAGCTGAAGCGATCCTCCTACCTCAGCCTCCCGAGTAGCTAGGATTACAGCACACACCAACACACCTGGCTAATTTTTTGTACTTTTTGTAGTGATGGAGTTTTGCCATTTTTCCCAGGCTGATCTAGAACCTGGGCTCAAGCAATCTGCCTGCCTTGGCTTCCCAGAGTGCTGGGATTATAGACATGAGCCACCCACCCAGCCCTTACAAAGTCTTAATAGAACATTAAATTGTATATTTACTTTGGGCACTTGTGGAAAAAGAAAATAAATTAGTTAGTCCAATATAGGTGAAGAGGAGAGAGTAAACATAATTCAGGTTTGTGTTTTGGTTAGAATCCTAGTATGTTCTCCATCAAAGGACAGCCATTCTATTATAGTATCTATTGACTACATTTACATATCAGGTTCTCAACAAAGAATGTAACTTCAATCTCTTCGCATCCTTTATTATTAATCAAAGCCACCTACACTAAAAAAAAAAGGTTTTTAAGGAAGATTACATGAAAGACTGAGCAGTGTACACTGTACACAATATAATATATCAATAATATAATCAATCTGTAACCTCACGTACTTTTTTTTTTTTTCCTATGGGATATACCTGAAATACAGTACTGGGTGTGTCCTGTAGATCTACTTTAAGAGAACAATTCTCTATAGTTATATCAGCACCAGGGAGTGAGAATGTTATGAGTCTTATGAAACTTGCTATTTTATGATAGGAGAGTGGATAAGAATACTGTACACTAATCAAAGATCCACAGGATAAATTTTCTTTAAATTTGAGCCCCAAGGAAAGCTGTGTTTCTTCTGAACTACCAGTTCATTTCTCATCTTATGCAACTGATCATGCCCTTATCTTTGCTCTGGCTAACCTCGCAACCCATCTCCAGTAAATACATACAAATTTGTGGAAGTCATACTATGTACCTACATACTCCTAACTTGGTTTTTTCCTTATTATCTTTTCATTCTGTTGTACTTTCTGTTTACTCTATGCTATTGCATGAATTTCTGTGAACCACTGCAAATCTTTAGAATAGGCAAAACATACTAATAAGTAGGTGTAAGTGTTAAGCCCTAAATCAAGTAACTTCACTTTATGATATGTAAATTTCATAACATCCCTGCATAGTGTTTTCATTATCCCAGTACAGTGTTGAGAAAAAAATCAATTTCACTCTAGTACAAATACTTCAGGAGATAGAAGCATAAATAGGAAATCTTAAAGTCTTACTGAGAAAAATATTAAAAAATAAAACACATAGCTATAAAAAATAGTAATAATTGTGGATTAACTAAAGTAGCAAATAAATGGATGACCCTGTCCAAAGCATTCAAAATGGACATTTTAAAACGTCTTAGTAAGTTAACTATTTGATCTTACATGATGTCTTTTTGATTGATATATGCTCATGATTCATTTATTATTCACTTGCTTTTTCATATTATCCATTGTGCTGTTTTTATTTTGTTCCTGGGATACTGTTTTCATTTTGTTTCTGGGATACTAACTACCTTTACCCTATTTCAGTCAATCAATCAATAATAATCTATACCCCCATACACACACAAATAAAACCATTGCCTTAGTTTGTTTTGCTGATTTTCCATGTCATTCTACTTTCTCCAGACTATCAAAAGAACCATGCTCTACATCTAGAGGCAAAAGAGGTTTTTCTTTCAGAAAGTATGACCAACTTCAAAAATTCCTTAACACTTATTTTAATCAAGTCACTATAACACTGGCCTATGGGGATGCAAGAGCTGTATGACTTTTCTGACTTCAAAAGCCTTTAAATTTGTTTGAATTTTGTTCTTCCTATTATTTAAATAGCATTAAATCACATTTGTGTATGTTGTAAACATAGTGAATAGGCATAATAATTAGATTCTAGTTACCTCTTACAGGTCATGTGACTTTGAACAAGTGATATATTTCTGTACCTTGGTTGATTCATTTGTAAAATGGGAAAAATAACAGAATTTCTCAGAATTGGTATAAAGATTAAATAAAGTAATACGTAATACATGTAACATGCTTAGAAAAATGTTTGACACATGCTAAGTAGTTGGTAAATGTTCTCTGATGCTGTGATAAATACTATATTCAATATTATCATACATTTTCACCTTATCTTCTGCATTTTTATTGGAAATGGATGAAATAGCACATAAACTCTTTTGAGCAGAGAAAGGTAAGAAATGGAAACAAAATACTGACAGCTTCCATCTATAATTTGCCAATGTAATCACCACATGGTGTGGCAGTGACAGAAGTCATTACCATCACTCCTTAATGGAACCTGTGCAGCTTGCTGATCACCCTATCTGATCCCTAGGGGACAGAGTAGTATTTCAGTTTTTGACAGACTTGAGACAGCAGGCTGTCCATTATTAAACTAGACATCTGGACCCTGTTGTTAACAACTAGTTGTTTATAATATGTGGACAATCTACAAGTTTTCCCACAGGGAGTTAAATGAGGTTGAAATGTGTTAATCCACTTTTATCCCTATTCACACAGTGATTTACAAGATGGCTAAGTGTGCCCTTGTAATAACAATTCATCATTATGATTCTGTGTAAGTCCAGTGCAAGAAAGCCAGGAACAACCAGTTCACTGTTTCTTAGATTTACTGTTTTCTGGCTTTATATGCAAAGTCCATTTCTTACCCATATTTACATACTGTGAAAATTGGAAGTAATACAACTCTGAATTCAAGGAATGTGTACACAGAGGGATATGATTCTCACCCTTTAAAGCCGTGGCATAATTGCAGTAGTGCTAAGACTACTAAAGCACTGATTGGAAGAGAGGTACAGCTAAGACTCTAAAGAGGAAAGAGGTCAAAGAGTTGGAGATGTGCTGCCAGGCGATTGTCCCCTACACATCAGCCATGCTTGACAATTGGGTTCTGTTTCTGTTTTCCTTCACTGCTTCTATTTCTCAGAAAAGACTAAGATAAATACGTTCAATCTAAGGCAAAATTGTGGAGAGAAATCTCACTGTCCTTAGTCTCCCTCTTTTGCTGATTATCTTCTGCCTCACATCCAAGAGCATATTTTTCTTTCTTTCAGGCAACTAGGGCTTTCCAGGTTCTCAACTCTTTACCTCCAAACTCCAAAGCCATCTCCACTTCCCAGTCAAGAGAGACAAATAAGTCTAATATCACTGAACTAATTTATTTCATTTACGTTAATGATTTATTTTTTCATGTATATGCAATGGTTCCTCCTTAATCTGAAATTATACTACATGTAAGACTTTATGTATGAGTCAGCTTGTTCTAGTTGTACCTAGTTATTAAGGAGTCAGGGTCAGAAATTTCTAATTCACTCCTCTGCTTTTATATGACCAGCTACAGAGAATCCAACATCATTTCACGGTGTTTTCTGGCCTCCATGGAGCCTAGTTTTCTATTCATCTGCTGCAAGCATGTACGTGATCACTCTTCTACATGAGAGGTATGCAATGAAATATCCCTGTGTCTTAGGGTCCGCCAATACCGAATTTTCTGGGACAAATTGTGAAGCCAAATACACATAAACAAAGCTGTAAGCTGGAGAGATGGAGGTGGTTGGCTGCAAGGCATGCAAAGGAACCACAGCTCCTAAGAGCACAAAGTTTTTGTTTTTATTACATGAGCGTTTAATTAAGAAAACTACAGTGACAAAACACATAATATCAGAAAAGTTGTCACTATCAGTGATTGTTTTAGGCAACAAAAACTAATGATGTAGTTTGGTTGACGAAGTAAAACATGGTTATGATGTGTGGTGAATTTCTTGGTTTCTATGTTATGGAGCACAACAATAGAAATACATTTATATTAGATATCCATACTTGATATGGATCACACTGAATGACAGATTAACAGTGTTCTATATTTTATTTAATTGCAAGAGTAAAACAGTATCTATGCTCAATATTGACAATTTGTTTATTCATAAAATTTGGTCATTTGCTGATACCTTTAAAATTTCACACACCACCAGCACTTCTACTTCTAAAGAAGTTTCTGGCCTTGCTTATCCATCTCTACTCTACATAGGCAGAAATCTCAAGATGAGAAGGGACTTAAAGTCCCCCACCTTCACTTGTATCCTACCATCTACAACCTCACCCAACCAGTTTTGACTTTGTACTGTGTATGAAATTGTGTCAGTGCTCCAGGCCCATCCTTCTCTTCTATAAGTGATTTTCTCCATAGCTATGGATAGCTTCAGTAACAAGCCACATGTAAAGCCTAGTTTGGTCTCTTGAACTCCAGACCCATACTTCCAAATGCCTCCTGACTCTCCTCAGTTCCTTGAAAATGCCTTGCTCTCTCCCAGCACTGGCCTTTTAGGCAAGCTGCTCCTTAGCCTGAAATATTCTTTTCCCATTTAATCTACCAGCATCTTCTCATCCTTACACCTCGATCTCAACACAGATTTCTTTGAAAACTTTCCCCAGACCACTATTTCATCTGCCAGACTAGGCTCATCTTCAATCATGCTCTCTCATAACATTGTGCCATTCTCCTTTATAGCCTAGCACAACTGTAATTAAGTTCGCATATGTATTTTTAAATCTAATATCGGTTTCCACTACTGTAAAATCATTTACATCTGAACTAGGTCTATTTTGCTCACAATTTTATCCCTAGAGCTTAGTGTGCTTCTTGATAATTAGTAGGGTGTTTAATGTCTGTGAAAGAACGATGTCAATGCTATTAAGGGTTTCTGCAGGCTATCATTTAAATTTTGAAATGATAAAGACCAATATATCCACAACTGTCAGAAGTTTCTGTAGGGAGATGTTATTTAGCAAAAACAGAATTGGCTCTACTGATACGGTGATTATTTTAAACCACTTATTATGATGGTGTTTCACCAATTTTATAGCCATCTTACCAATTCTCTGACCCTGTATGTTAGCCTACTTCCTTTTTTTAGAATTGCCACATAAAATTACAAAACAATGTAAAAGATAAATTGCCCCATACTGCATTTTTATTCCTAAATATTTTATCTAAAAGTCTTATTTCTTTGGTAATATGTCTGACATTCATATCCATCCTAATTTCAAAAAGAAGTTGAGCAGATGATTATAACATATTGTTACCAGTATGGATACAGTTTATCCTATTTACTATCTCACAATGTTTAGATAGACGTCTGTTACTTAAATTACAATTCAATTGCTAATGATTAAGATTCTGTGAAAAGGATTTTTTTCTATGACCCATTAAAAAAAATCCCATATCCAATCAAGGATTGTGAAAGATTAAAAATAATTGTCTTTCTGGATAATTATTTATTGTTTTGATTGCTTTTGCAGAGAAAATTTTAATTCCAAATTTAAAACTCAGAAAAAGACATCTCAATGAAGGATACCGCTAAACATTAAATATTGCTCAGAAAAAGGCCAAGTGAACTTAATTTCAAATTGTAAGTATATAAAGCAACTGGTTACCGTTTTACTGTAAAAAATATTGCTTTTTGCTTTATTTTCTAAAGACAACTTAGACAAGCATGGTGCATAATAAATAATATGACATAGGCAATACATAAATTAATAAAAACAGATGAACCATCAATGACAAAAGGATCAATTGCTGTGATCTCAATGTTGGTGTCCCCATGAAATTCATATATTGGAACATAATACCGAATGTGACAGTATTCAGTGGAGCCCCAGGGAAATGATTAAGTCACTCACAGAAGTACTACTAATACATAACCAAATGCAGAAAGTGGCTATATGATAGCTGTTAAATTAAATCAAACTTTAAAAATAAAGTATCAGTAATTTGAAAAGTCACATTTCAATTTTATTTATAAGAATTGGTTAAAAGAAAAGAACCTTGTGTGTTTTATATAAAATATTGATGTCTGAATTCTTAGTAGTGATTGAAAAACAATAATTATTAAATAATACATTTTTCTCTGCATTTTATGTATTACACTATATATATTCAAAGTCTATTTTTTTTTTTTTTTTTTTTTTTTTTTGAGACGGAGTCTCGCTCTGTCGCCCAGGCCGGACTGCGGACTGCAGTGGCGCAATCTCGGCTCACTGCAAGCTCCGCCTCCCAGGTTCACGCCATTCTCCTGCCTCAGCCTCCCGAGTAGCTGGGACTACAGGCGCCCGCCACCGCGCCCGGCTAATTTTTTGTATTTTTAGTAGAGACGGGGTTTCACCTTGTTAGCCAGGATGGTCTCGATCTCCTGACCTCATGATCCACCCGCCTCGGCCTCCCAAAGTGCTGGGATTACAGGCGTGAGCCACCGCGCCCGGCCCAAAGTCTATTTTTTATACCATTATCTGTTTAAGTTTCTAATTTTCTATTGCCTTATTTGTGGATATTTTTCTTAATAAAGTCGATATTGATAAGAAACACAGGATTGTCTAAACTCTCTTTCTAAAGTAAATGCTTAAATCATTTTTGTAGATATTGTATATGCATAGTTGATGCCACTATCGATTAAAGAGTAAAAATAATGTGTCATTCATTTTAATGGCGCTCAAAAATTTAAAATTGTCTTTACTAACCTGAACTTAAAATTTAGAATAAATATTTTATAATAAATGGCTGTTTTTCAAAACAATATATAATTTATAATGGAGATAAAGTTAGTAATTTATAAAATGTTTAATATGTCAATACAAAACCCATTCTCACAATTGAATTTGATTATGTAAAGCAATATATTTTGCAGTGTATATCTAAAATTACACATATTCCAAATGCTGTGGAAATATTTTTCTATTTTTGTAAATACCTCTTAAACTGTTAATGGATTGACTTGTACTATGTTCAAATCCTTTAATGTTTTAACAACTACAATGCATTAGTTGACTTCCTTGAATTACTTCTAAAGGCCACCTATAAAATACAAAAGGTATGCATGATTATTGGATTTGAAACAAGTGACCTGATTTTTGAAAACTAGAATGGTCTTAAATAAATGACCTTCTCTTCTATGGCTACAACTGAGGATTTTCCATTAACAGTAGTTGGAATTGTGACAATTTATTCACATTAAGTGTGTTGTGTTCCAAAGTTTAAAATTACTAAATCATGATGAAACAGGAGAAGACTTGTATAACTGGCTGATGACTTTTAAAACCTGTAACTTATCAGTGTTTAACTGCAGGAGAATACTCTAAATCTTTACTGCTTTGTGAATCATAGAAATATTAAAACAGAAAACAGGCTTGGAGCAGTGGCTCCCACCTATAATCCCAGCACTTTGGGAGTCCAAGGCAGGAAGATGGCTTGGTGCCAGAAGTTGAATATTGAATGTTGAATGCCTTGAGCTATCTCTAATATGTGATTTCAACTACTTTATTTTCAAGCAAATGCTGAATATCCTTTCTACAAATGGTGCAGAATCTTCTTGACAGTATTAAAATGGAAATTCTATAAGGACATCATCATAACATAAACAATACTGTCAATATTCTGAGGTGAATTAACCTCTTATCATATCTGTGACCCCCTCCAGACTGAGCGCTATTTCATATTCTTTTCCGTATTTGTCCCAAAACCTAACTTAATGGGGCCCTGAGACATAGCAAACATTCAAATATTAGCTGAATGAATGAATGGCCATTAAAGACATATCATACAAACCACTTGAATTAGATTTTTGTTTTTTGCTCAGGATGTCAAACAAGTAAGTGTGCATCATATATACAAAAGACATCCCTACACATAAGCAATATTCTCATTTAGCAACTCAAATTTATTTCATGGCCTCACAGAAGTAGTGTTATCCATGTGCTAAATTCTCTGCACTGCTGTGTCTAACCCTATTCCCATATGTCCTACTCAGAAAAGGATATCAGAGTGCAAATGAGAGAGAAGCAATTATCTAAGGATGGCGTAAAGATAATACAAAGACATATCTATTCATTACATATATTATAATATATATTATTAATCACATATTTGTAATATATGATGCATTACATAATATACAATTTTAGCATACAATATACAATATTTTATAATACATATATTACAAAAGCAATGCATATCTGTTACATATACACTATATACATTACATGTACATTATGCCAGTGTATGTGTATGTGTTTTTACCTACACAAAAGGTGGCACAATATAAATTTAGATGACCTACTTATCCAAAGTTGATTCACAGAAAATCTATGGTATGGAATACACATTTCCTACACCTAATAGGCCCATCAATATTATGTCTTTAACAACACCCATTTGAGCATCTATCATATGCTTCATTCATTTTCATGTGCCAGTCAACTATGACCTAAGATGGAGTTTGAAATTCTTACAGTGAGGAACAAGGTAGAAAGTGTTTATACTCCTACATTTGGAACACAATTCCCCCATCATTACAAGGATGTGGCTCTCTACATCCAGAAAACAGCTATCTTGATGCAGATTCTCCCAGAAGGTAAGCTTGAGATAGGATTGCAGCAAAAGCAGTTCATTTGGGAATTGATCACAGATAAAATACCAGTAGGGGAGAAGAGAGACAGAAGCCAATAAAGCTTTCAGTATTAAGCCAGTTATCACTGCGGGCAAGTGGAGCTCAGTCCCTTTGGACACAGTGTAGAACATGCTTCAGAATTCTCCAAGCTAAGGAGCAAGGAAGCAAAAGTATTGATTCAGAAACAGCCTATTTACTCAGTGACACTCCAGCTTGTTCTCCAAGCAGGACTTGGATGCACCTGAGGTTGGTGGTGGGGAGAAAACCTCATGCAGGAGGTGTTCAAAGAAAGTTGCTTTGAGAATATGGGCAGAGCACTAAATGTATCTGTTGTTGGAAATGATCTACCTACTCCTACATGAAAGAGGGCTTCCTCCTCAACTCTATAAGAATTGAGTCCAAGAAGATAACTGAGTAGAATGAGATTGCTATCCAGGCGTAATTGCAAAGAGGAATTTGTCACCATATTATAGACAAGGAAGATGACTTTACCTACCACATATTAGCTTAGGAGTCTGAAAAGGGAGAAAAAAAGGATTGCAAAGGGCAAATCAGAAGTGAAGAAGGGAACTAATATTTAATGAGCACCTAAACTATGCTAGGTGCTGTAAATTATTCTTATAAGTTCAAATAAATTAAGTGAAAAGAACTTAAGAATTTCTTGAGGGATTTGAATAATAATAAACTGAACTGAAGAGTTATCTTTACACTGATAAGATATAATATCCAAGACACGTATTTAATTTACCAAAATTTCAGTTTCCTTGTGCCTAACATAATTGCCTGCTATTCAGAGTTTGTCTGAGGATTAACTAAGAAAGAACATACCGCACAGTTAAAAGAACTTGGGAGTACTTATTTCCAACTAAATGTTAGTTCTGCGCCTCTCCATCCTTCCTCTTGTCACAGTTTTATAAGGTAGACAGTATAATTCCCATTATAAAAAATAATATTGCTGAATCTCATAATGGCTGAATGACTTTCCCAAGGCCACTCAGCTAGTGAAGGAAACAGCCAAGGACTGAATCTGGGTTTCTCTGATTCCAAGTATCTTGCCTTCAAAGATTAACAACAAATGGAACCAAAACCAAAGAATAGTTTTCCATGAAGCCACAAAAGTAGCCAAATCCTTAAAAATGGTTGAATGATTGTTTTAAATATTTAATAACTTATTTTAGTAGTAAATGTGGCCTGCTTTTTAAGTTAAAGTTGGGCTAGCATAACCTTTTAATAGAACATAAAATTTTAACCATTCTGCAAAACTTTTTTAATATGGCACTGATCCATTTAGGCAGTGTTCAACTAACCAAAATTCTTAATTACTAAAATATTTCTGCAGCATCCTTAGAAAAATGAGGGCAACCACATGAAAATTAACATATTGGATATGATATTTAAAACAAACAAACAACAATACCATCACTATAACCAAAGTATGTGCTTTATGTGTTTAATCTATCTCACACTTTCTACAAAGAGGATTTCTATTCTATATAATGATCCTGAGGTCCTGAACTAAATATACATTCAGTCACTAGGAACACCATGCTACACTTACTAAGCCATTTAACCAGGCTAATGCAGTTTATCTAAATGTCAATTTGTATTACAAATTCACTTAAAAATTATTTTCTTTATCTTCAGTTTACCCAAACACTTTACAAGAATACTGAGAAATTGGTATTACTTCTTTAAATTTTTAGCCAATATGTGTGGTTTTGCCTAAAAAAGAGATTGAACCAAAATATCCTCTACAAAACATCCATCTCCTTTCAAATTACTAATATGAGACCAAACAAGATGCCCATAATTGATGCTCAAGATAAAATCCTCAGTGTGTAGAGACAGGAGTTGGTATTGGGAGCTGAAAAGGTGAAGAAAAGAAATAGAGTGTATTGGTCAGTGGTGAATGAGGAGGGGATTTTGGATTGGACCAATAATGGATCTTTTATATAACTAAAATAGCACATCAATACTAAACTAAACTTCAATGAAACATTTCAATTGAGTTGAGAACCTAGTTAGTATACATGTATTATTTTAAAACAAAGAAATGTGGCATGTGATATATGGGATGACTATTCCAGAAAATACTAAATTCGCTGAAATACAAAATGTGCTTGAGACAGAAATAGACAGAGGAATTTCAGAAGTTTGTGCAAAGCAGTAATGCTATAAATAAAACACATGAACAATATTTTGCTAACAATAAATATTCTAGTTTTGAAACTTAATTTTAATTTTGAGACATATATTCTGTTTCAGTTAAAAAAATATACTAGTTATGAAAAGGTTGTATCATGTTATACAAACATCATTATTCATAATGGTCAGAGTCACCTGTTCAAAGTGAGTATATTGTATTAAAAAGGTTGTCATTTTCACTAACTACCTGTTACATATTTAAACCAATTGTCTACTTAAAACTCCAAAATGTTTAAACAGCATAAAATTTCCAGTGCCAAGTAGATACCTACTCAAGACAACACAGACAAGGAGGAGGTAAATAGACTCAGGAGATTTTAAGTTTCTAATGTGCTTTTTCAAACAACTTGCATGCAATTTTGAGTTTGATTAACCACACCTAAGGAAAAAATGCAAATTTTCTGGAAATGATATTGCATACCATTTGGGTGTATTGTACCTCTGATACCAGCCTTATACACATCCTAGAAAAGCACAGATAGACAAAAGAATAAGCACCAAATGAATGCAATAAATACCTTGCAAGAATAAGAAAAGTGTAAAGAAAAAGAGTTCCTTATCTATAGCAACAGTTATATAGAGTCAAAATGGAGAGACAAATCAGAGTCTCTTTTACTCCCTCCCCCAGCCTAGTCTCCCTCTCTGGCTCCGTTTTCCTTTTCTCCCTCCTTTCCCCACTTCGGCCCTCCCATTTCCGTCTCTTTTTCAGCAATATTTACAGAACAATCCTCCACCACACCACTCACCTGTCGTCGTTTTGCCATCCTTGGTCCCCTAGCAGCAAATCTCGAAACCTGTACCTGGGAGGCAGAGGGGGCACTTCGCTCTCCAAATCAACCATCCTTCCTCAAAGAGTGGGAAACATCAAACAACAAATGGAGGAGAGGAGGGAGAAAGAAAGAAAATATTGCGGAGTACAGGGAGAGGACTAACAAGACGCTGTGGCCGAGAGAGGGATGGGAGAAGGGGAAGGGGACAGGGAGGGGGAGGGGGTCCGCTTGGAGCCGGAAGCTAAGGCTTGAAAGGGGGCTGGCTCCTCTTTCCCGAGGGTGTAATGGGGATGATGCAAACCCAACCCAGGAGCAAAAGTCTGGCTCTGACAAGAATCAACGCTGCCAAGGAACCGCCCCCAGGCTCGGCACCGCCTCTGGTCCCCAGGACTAGGGGGAGGCGGGTATAAAAAGTTACTTCGCCGAAAAAGACGCGCGGTGCCTAGAAAGAGGGGAGAGGGGTGGGAGTGAGCGCCGCTTGATGGTGAAGCACTTTCCTTAAAGGCAGTTGCCAGATCCTCCCAGAGGGCAGCCTCCCGGCTACTGTTCCCTCGGGCGGGCTTGCATCCGGCACAGCCCTGAGCTGGCGGGAATCGGGGGCGGTGGGTTTCGGCCCCAGACGCGGCCAACCCGGCTCTCCCCGCAATCTCCCTGTGGAGATGGAGCTGGAGGCCCAGCCAATGAGACTCCCCCTCATTAGCATAGCACAGTGACGGCACGGGGGTGCCTTGGGGACAACCAATGGGGGCGAGCTAATTAGCGGATTGCGGGGCTCCAGACCCTTCTCTGGGAGGAGGGGGGCCAGGGTGCTTGGAGTGTTCCACTATGCCACGAGCTCCCTCGCTTTGATTGCCTTCAGTCCAGGTGGGCGGGATGAAAAAATTGCACGTTTCTGGAAAGGGAATCCCCACTCTCAGCCCCAGGAAAATCCCATTTTTTTCTCACATTCTGAAAGAAGGGAGGTGTTTCCCTGAACTCGGGGAAAAAGAAGGGCCACCTTAGGCCGCTGAAGAGAAGCATTTAGATGACAGGGAAAGCACATGGAAACGCACTGAGGATTTTACAGTGGTGAGTTGCTGTTACTGCTGTCGCTGCTACTAGCAGCGTTGTGGGCTTCCAGGTGGCCTGGCCTCAGCCTTCGGTCCCCTCCTATTAGTGGTTCACACGGAGGAAGAAGTGAGCCCGAGAGAACAGGGTCTGTTTTTCAGTAAGAACCACTGCTTACATGAACCCTGCTACACAAGCTATGGTTCTATTTGCGCTTACCGTTCTTTCCTTCAAAAACTGATTGCATCAGAGTATATACAGACCGAATACCAACCACCTGACAGCCTGGGCCGGAGGATAACCATATGGCTTCTCCTGCCCTTACTTAAGAACCGCTCTGTGTGGAGGAACAAGCTTGTTCCTTGATAAATGGATACGATGTGAGAGACAATAATCAAAGAACATACAGAGGGATTTGGAAATACCTGTGAGGTACACATACTTCTTCGAGGTGGGGGTCAAGGAAGACATTGAAAATGAACCAAGCCTTCTATATTCGTTCGCAGCCTACTTTAGGGAAAAGAGCAAAGGTGAAGCAAGCAGAGAGAATAGTATGAGTAGAGGCATAGGGATTTTTTAGAATATTTGGCTTATCCAGAAAATAGTGATTAATTTGGCATGATTAATGCTCAGTAGAGGTCATGTAGCAGAGGGTTTATTTAAGAAGCTAGAAATGAAGGAAGAAATTACCAAAACTTGTAACATCAAATGAAATACAATGACTACTGAAACCTGAAGAATAGCAGTTGAAATAAAAGTCATACTGTTTGTCTCTGTCTTCAAAATCCTACTCATCCTTCCAGACCCATCTCAAATTACATATCCTCCATTAGATTTCTTGGTTTTTCCAGCTTCTTATGATGTCTTCTTCCTTTGAACCCCTTTGTTTGAACCCTTCATAACCCATGTGAGTATTTTGCCTGGAATGCTTACTATAACCTGACCCGCTATACGATTATCTGTGCGTTTTTCTTTCAACTCTTCCCCTCTCCCTGTGGCTTAGCTGCCTCTAGCACGGGACCTTCAAAATAGCCACATTTCAACAAATAGGTGTGGAGTTGCATTAAAAGCTATTAAATCTAGGAAATTAAGCATGTTTTTTTCCATCCATGCTTGCACTCCTGTGGTATGTGTTTGTTTATGAAATCATAATTTAGCACGAACTTTTGTAATTACTTTGCTAAATAAGAAAGTAATATTGCTACATTATTAGTTTATACAGATAGAGATAGAGAGAGAGATCTGGTTTATATTTTAGACCTTATCATCTCCTATTAAAATGATTCTATTAATTTTATTTGTAATGTTCCAAGTTAATATTTATAGTTACAGTCTAACTGTATTATTTGGATGACAGAAAATCTGAAATATTTACATATCATTAACAGACTAAAAATCAAGACACTGAAAAAAGAAAAAAAATAGCAATCGATTGTTAGTCCTGGGATGCTGGAGGTTAGAGGGTAAAGTAACATTTTACTTAAAAGAAAGCTATGTGCCTCTATTTTACCTTTTGTGAAAATCTTAGTCATTTGGCTTCCAAATACTCAGATAAAAGTTTAGGAGAGAACAAATAGTACATTAAAAATAAATAAATAAGAAAAAACCTACTCAGCTAATACTGTGTGCCATTATGGATACAAACTATACAAAGTAATGTGCTCAGGGCAACCAATTGGAAACTACCACATTGATGATATTTTGATTCTCTGGTGTGTCTTGAAATTGTCCAAGTGAATTTTTTTTACTATAAACTTAAGAAAATTAGAAGAATAATGTATTATAGGAAATGCTATTGATATGGTTTGGCTCTGTGTTCCCACCCAAATCTCATCTTGAATTGTACTCCTATAATTCCCATGGGTTGCAGGAGGGACCCGGTGGGAGACAATTTGAATCAAGGCAGTAATATACGCCGTACTGTTCTCATGATAGTGAATAAGTCTCGTGGGATCTGATAGTTTTATCAAGGGTTGCCGCTTTTGCATGCTCCTCATTTTCTCTTGCCACCGCCATGTAAGAAGGACCTTTAGCCTCTCATCATGATTCTGAGGCCTCCTCAGCCATGTGGAACAACTGTAAGTCCAGTTAAACCTCTTTTTCTTCCCAGTCTCGGGCATGTCTTTATCAGCAGCGTGAAAATAGACAAATACAGTAAATTGGTACCAGTAGAGTGGGCATTGCTGAAAAGATACCCAAAAATATGGAAGCGACTTTGGAACTGGGTATCAGTCAGAGATTGGAACACTTTGGAGAGCTCAGAAAAAGAGAGGAAAATGTGGAAAAGTTTGGAATCTCCTAGAGACTTGTTAAATGGCTTTGACAGAATTGCTGATAATGACATGAACAATCAAGTCCAAGCTGAGGTGGTCTCAGATGGAGATGAGGAACTTGTTGGGAACTGGAGTAAAGGTGACTCTTGTTATGTTTTAGCAAAAAGACTGGCGGCATTTTGCCCCGCCCTAGAGATTTGTGGAACTATGAATTTGAGAGAGATGATTTTAGGGTATCTGGCAGAAGAAATTTCTAAGTAGCAAAGCATTTGAAAGGTGACTTGGGTGCTGTTAAAGGCATTCAATTTTAAAAAGGAAACAGAGTATAAAAGTTCAGAAAATTTGCAGCCTGACAATGCAGTAGAAAAGAAAAACCCGTTTTTTGAGGAAAAGTTCAAGCTGGCTGCAGGAATTTGCATAAGTAACAAGGAGTCAAATGTTAATCCCCAAGACAAAGGGAAAAATGTCTCCAGGACATGTCATAGGTCTCCATGGCAGCCCTGCCCATCACAGACCTGGAAACCTGGGAGGGAAAAATGGTTTCATAGGCCAGGCCTAGGGTCCCCATTCTGTATGCAGCCTAGGGACTTGGTGCCCTGCATCCCAGCTGCTCCAGCCATTGCCAAAAGGGGCCAACGTACAGCTCAGCTGATTGTTTCAGAGGGTGCAAACCCCAAACCTTGGCAGCTTTCTCCCATTTAGAAACGGGTGTATTTACCCAATACATGTACCCCATTGTATCTAGGAAGTAACTAGCTTGCTTTTGATTTTACAGGCTCATAGGTGGAAGGGACTTGCTTTGTCTCAGATGAGACCTTGGACTGTGGGCTTTTGGGTTAATGCTGAAATGAGTTAAGACTTCGGGGGACTGTTGGGAAAGCATGATTGGTTTTGAAATGTGAGGACATAAGATTTGGAGGGGCCAGGGGTGGAATGATATGGTTTGGCTCCGTGTCCCCACCCAAATCTCATCTTGAATTGTACTCCTATAATTCCCATGTGTTGTGAGAGGGACTTAGTAAGAGATAATTTAAATCCTGGGGGCAGTTTCCCCCATACTGTTCTCATGGTAGCAAATAAGTCTCATGAGATCTGATGGTTTTATCAGGGGTTTCCCCTTTTGCATCCTCCTCATTTTCTCTTGCCACTGTCATGTAAGTGCCATGTAAGTGCCATGTAAGTGTCTTTCACCTCCCTCCATGATTCTGAGGTCTCCCCAGCCATGTGGAATGTAAGCCCAGTTAAACCTCTTTTTCTTCCCAGTCTCAGGTATGTCTTTATCAACAGCATGAAAACAGACTAATACAGCTATTCTGGCATTTTTTAAAATATAGCAATATTTGGGCATTGAAACACATTTATAATTGGAAGATCATTTTGCTCCTTGTATTTTTTTTTCAGTCTTCTGTAGGTGTACTTTTTCTTTTTTGTCGTTAATTTTGACTTCTGTTTCTCCCATCTGTCTTTCTACTCTTTCATTCGTTTTTTTCTTGTCATGTCATGTCATTTCCTGCTGTTAAAATGTATTTTCCTCTTTCACTCTTTTTACCTTTGTTTCCCTTTTTCACTGTGCTCTTTTAATTGCCTACCTCATAGAGCCTTTCCTTTCTCTATGTTTTATTCTACTATGACTTGAGATTTGCTTTTTGGAAACAATTTTAAACTTAGTTCTGAACATTGCAATTTTGTATCTTACTCACTGATGTTCTTAAATCTTCTAATCAACATCTAGTGTAAGTTAGAGCAACAGAGGAGATTGCCCCACACTAAGAAAAAAGAACTTTGTAAAATGTCCTGAATGATTATGCCAATGGGGTAGAGTAAGTATTTAAAAAATGAAGATTAAGGAGAATGGCTTCCTGGTTTTAGAAATTTTATTCTTTTTATTTTCTAGAAAACATATGTGATACCTTCTCATTTCTCCTTCTTTTTTAATAAAAACATTCGTGTTTTAAAAATCTCTGGTTTCCAATACACTGATTGATTATACTGATGTTTTAACACAAAAAGAAAAGATTCATTCCCAAGGGTGAAGAATAATTTAATTAACAATTTTAACACCTTATTGATAATTAAGTTGTGATGAGCTCATAAATGTGTAATGAACACAGTTGCATTCATAGAATATGATGGGGATTTTTACCCAAAACTCAAAATATGTGTCTATCACATATGTCATTTTTATGATAAAATTCCTAAAGTTGTCAATGATTATGTCTACATAGCCCTGTAACTACTATTTGAAAATAAAATTTAAAAAGATAAGAAACTTACTATATATTAGGCTACCCACTTATAGATACTTCATCTTTGTAGGCAGAAGATGCGATAATCCACATACCTTCAAACAGCATCATTAAGCTACATAATATCTCTATGAAGGTGGTTGTATGTTCTACTATGGGTTTCTTTTTGTTGGTTTATTTGTTGTGTTTTTGTTTTTGTTTTATGCCAAGTCTCTTTTATACCAATCTACTATTTTTTATCAATAAAAATGTATTAAGTGGTTACTATGAATTGAACTTTTTGTAGTCTAATGAGTGAGGGTAAGTAAGTGCTGAGAGACAGAGAATCCAGCAGATAAACTAGAATATAATAAGCCTCAATAGTGATTAGTACAGGCCGCTGTGCTGCTAATGAGCACATAATGACACATGATTCCAGTTTTGGAAAATCAGGGAAGGCTGTCTGTAGAGGCTGATATCTATACTGAAGAATAAAAAATTGGGTGAGTAAGGTGGAGGCAAAAGTAGCAGCAAGTAAAGTATACAGGCACAAATGACAGCAATGAGAAAGCATGGGTGGATCCAGCAAATGCAAAAGCTTCATAGACTTTGAGCAGGGGCATGAGTTTGGGTGAGAAGGAGTCAAAGAAGGAGGGTGAAAAAAAGGCAAGATTGGCACCTTCATTTATTAACAACCATATCAGAAGAGCCTTGTGTACTATGCCAACAAGGTTGGGTTTTATTTTGAGGACAATGATGAATCTTTTAAGGATTTTAAGCAGGTAAGTGGCAAAGCCCAATTCATGCTTTGGAAAGATCACTGTGGTAGCAGTGTAGGTAAGTGATTGGTGGGACAAGAATGTAAGAAAGGAGACCATTTATGAGCTATACAGTATTTTAGTAGAGATATGTCAATTGTCTGAAATGAGGCAGTGGTGACAATGCACATGAAATCAAACAACAGATTTATAAGAAATTAAAATGACAGAATTGATGGGATAGTAATGGAGAGATTGTAAAACTTAATGGAGAGTGAAGAATCAATGATAATTCCTAGGCTTCTGGGATTAGTAAGTAGGTGGAGGGTATTACTGTTGGATGAGAGGGAAATACAGAAGTAGGTTTGAGTGAGAAAATGATTTTGCTTTGAACCATTTGCAAAAGGTCAAATGGAGAATTCCCGAGGGTTTGAATATATGGGTCTGAATATCAAGAGCAAATATTTTTCCAGAGATACAAAACTGGGAACGCTCAACATGTAGGTGGCTGTTGAAATTGAGGAAGGATAAATGCACCTGGTTCTTACACTATGAAAGAAGAGGTGGGTAGAGACTGAGCCCAAAGACCACTAGGGAGAAGGATGAATGGAGAGGTGGGAGCAAAACCGACGGGAATTCAACTTCTCCCACCAGAGCAGAGAGACACGTGTTCCTCTATTTTCTTGATTAGTTTTATTCTGTGACCCTTGATTCAAGCTAAAATAGATTCTATCTACAGAAATAAAAATGTAACAAAACGTGTCCTATATTCTAAGCATGTCCAGCTACATGAGCAGAATCATTTTATTTCAGCAACACTGAAAAGAGGAAGGAGTAGAGATAAAATAAAAAAGGCAGTATATCACATTTAATTCACAAATTTTACCCAATTAGCACAGGTAAATAATACAAAGAAAAGCCATTTAGAGATTTATGTATAAAGATATTCCAATACATAATATAATTTATCCAACACTTCTAGTATTTTTTTTTTGTCAGCCATTCTAAAAATACAACTTGTGGCCAAGGTTAAATGTGTATGCAAACCTTATGATGAAAATCTGTAAGGAGACAGTTAATGTTTTATTGTGTTCATAGTAATATCCTCTGATCTTCCTGGTATTTCTTTCCCTCTTCTCATACATCTCTCTAAAGATACATGCTGTTCAACACTACTCTTAATGATAACACATAACACCTTCATTTATCTGTTTTTAAATCTCCTTCACATTGACTGAATTTTGGGGGGATAGAGAACATAGAACCAAAGAAGGAATTATTTAGTGGCAAATGTGATTCAGTAACATTGAAGTATGTTCTCCTACGACAATCAAGAAATCACATCCTCATTATTCTTCTACTTACAAAACATTTTCTTTGTGAGAAAAAAGTCTCCATCAGGTTTGGAAAACTCCAGATTTTTTTTTAATATTGAATATTCCCATATTTATGTTGCTAGTGTCCCAAATTCTGCCACGGATAGATTGAAGGGTGTACCTCTCTTCATGACTATCCTTCAGCTTGACTATTGGCATATCTGTACCTACTTAGAAAAGGCTACTAAAGTACCTGGCAATCAGTGGATGATCAATAACTGTCTAATGAATGAATGAGAAATTAAATACAGCTGGTCTTTCATATCCATGAGTTGCACATCCATGGATTCCTCATCTGAGGATTCAATCTACCATCGATCAAAAATATTCTAAAAATAATAAAATGAAAATAAAAAGCAATATAAATAAAAACACAGGATATCAATTATTTCTATAGCATTTACATTGTATTACTTATAATCTAGATTATAAGTAATCTAGAGATGTAAGTGCACAGAAGATTGTGCATAGGTCCCATGCAAACACCATGCTATTTTATATAAGTCGCTTGAAAATTCACTCATTTTGGATTTGAAATTGGAGGATAGGAGACTATCTCTCAGTAGACAATGTCAGAATTGAGTTAAATGTTGGTATCTGCATGGGCTCCTGAAACCAATTCCCCATAGATACTAAGGGAATGCGAATGAACTAAGTCAGACCTTTGTTACTATTAAAGGTTGAAAACATAACGTTGCTAATAATATTGATAAAACATTAGTAGCTACAGTGTGAATAACCATTATGTGCCAGGTAGTATTACAGGAGCTTTACAACAACTCTGAAAAATAAATAACGTTGTCCTAATTTGAAAGATGAGAGAATTTAGGCTCAGAAAATACCACCCAGCTAGAAGATGCTAAGCCAAGATTTAAATAATTTTCTAACTCCAAAGTGCATGTTCTTCTCAATATACCTAAGAAAGAAGCTTTTTATTTAATAACTAGCAGATGTTGGTGCTTACCAATAGGTAATACAAATTATAAAATAAAATTATAAAATTGCTTTATCACTATCTTATTCATCTACTTTACTCCAGTCTCAATTACCTTCATTCATATTGTGATATATAAGAAATATATATGTAGTTTCAGTCCCTGGTTCCTGACATACAGCTCCTAAAACTCTTGAAATGTCTGAAGTAAGAAATGTGTCCTTTGTATGCTAATTACTGGTGGCTGGGACCCTTAGATAGTTTCAGGATGAGGGCTGGTCACCGGAAAGATCAAGCCAGGATTAGACAGTTGGAACTTTTTTCCCAATCTCCAACCTCCAGGGAGAGGAGCAAGACTGAAGATTGACTTGATCACCAATGGTCAGTAATGTAATCAATCATGCCTATGTAATGAAACCTTCATAAAAACCCCAGAGGACAGGTTTTGTAGAGCTTCTGGATTGCTAAAAACATGGACATGCCTGGAAGGTGGCATGCCAGGGAGGGCGTGGAAGCTTCATGCCCCTTCTCATGTACCTTGCCCTATGCATCTCTTCCGTTGTTCATCTGTATCTTTGTAATTTCTTTTCAGTAGACCAGTAAACACAAGTAAACTGTTTCCCTGAGTACTGTGAGCTATCCTAGCAAATTAACCAAACCTGAGGAGGTGGTCATGGTAACCCCATGTCCACAAAAAAAAAAAAAAAAAAAATTACCTGGGCATGTGGGTGCTCACCTGTAGTCCCAGCTACTCGGGAGGCTGAGGTGGGAGGATGGTTTGAGCCTGGAAGGAGGGGATTGCAGTGAGCCAAGGTAGCGCTCCTGCACTCCAGCCTGGGCTATGAAGCCAGACCTTGTCTCAAAAAAAAGTTAATCACGTAAATTTTAAAATTCCAATCTGGGAAAATTGTATTGCACATGTAGACACTGTTTTTAAATGTGTGTATCTGCATGTGCGTGCATGTGACATACTTAACTAAGGTATGCAAATTTTTAAAACACTGTCAGAGCCTTATATTGAGGTCTGTTAGGTCCTCTCCCATACAGGGTTTGATTTGAGAAGTAGGATAATGCTTGTAAAGAAGAAGAAACATACTTGGTATATCTTATTAATTGAAAGTTTTACTGACGTGAAATATTGTCTTTTATTTTTATTAATTATTTGTATTGAGAAGTTTAATTGACAAAGAGGAAAACTTTAAACGTTATTGCTGAATTATGTCTAAAATATATCAACAACTTATAAATATACAGTTACTATCTATTCATTCCAATATTAAACATGACTTCAGATTCATTAGTTTAAAATCTATCATAATTTGAAAATATTTTATACTTGTAAGGTAGATATTTTCTTCATTTTGAAGATGATTAAACAAAGACCAAAAAAGCCAAAGTAAATCACTTAGTGGATATTTTACTATAATTAATATGAAAATTAAATTTTCCTGATTATTATGCAATACTCCTTAGCTACAAGCTAACAGTAGTTTTCATTGCAAATGCTATGATAGTTCAGACACAGCACGTGACAATAAGTCAAAGAAAAAAATGTTGCCTATTGGCGGGAAATTAGGAAACTCATACTTTTTAGTACAGAAGAGTATTACATACATCAAGAGTGTTGGTGTGCTATATATAAACACATAAGTGGTTTAATATTCATATATTTTCTTTTCCCACAAAGATATGTTGTAAATATTAATAATATTGTCATCTTATACCAAATTTGTATTCTTATTTATTTTTAGGTAACTCACAACTTCCAAGTGTTAAATGGTAGCTATGTTTCCATTAACACTTTGATTTGTGCAGTTTCAGTGTACAAATTAAATATGCGAGTGTTTACTGTAAATTTTTTATTGTCGAAATATAAGAATGAAACAGAAAAACACAAATAGTGATACTATTGTCAAGACATCGAATGCACATACTTACAGATTGAGAAAAGGGAGGAAGTCAGTAGGTAAGGCCATAAGCAGCAACTGTTTAGATGCATTTGAACATTCTCTATTCAGTGCTCAAGAAAAGAACAAAATTATAGAACATGAGATGCTATAGGTATATAATTGAATAGGTTTATATGTAAAAGATTATATATTATTAGTGATTTTACATATTGTTAGCTATCTGAGATTGGACTAGTTTATTCAACATGCGTATTTATTATTTGAGAGTAGTGAGTCAGCATGCATCTCTTTCTCAATGTAAATGCTACCTTTGCACCCCCAGATCACTCCAGCCTGAAGAGTACAAAAATTGTATCCTATCTTTTACACATACAAACACACCCACACATAAAATCTTAGAAAAGCTTCTTCAGCAGTTCCATCATTTGGGCTGTGAATTCCAGAATCGGCATAGCTTAGTCTAAAGCCTACCCCTTACCCTTTACCTTCCTCCACATCTGGGCTTATGGCCTCTCCAGTCCACTCTTCCCCACTGCCTCACTTTAATCAACTACCTGAGAAGTAATATTGTTTGGCAATATACAACTTATGAATCTGGGCTATTTGGATTTAAAGCCTGAAACTGGCATTTACCAGCTGCTTGACCTTGGACGATTTACTCACTGTGCTTCATTTTCCCCATCTGCTAAATGGAGTAGAGTGCTTATTTGGGGGAATAAAATACATTAATACATATAAATAATTTATTACGGTGCTCACCACATAGTCTGCTATTGCTATTATATGTGTTTTTCAAAATATAGGTATCAACATTTTTAGAATTATTTTTCTTAATATAAACTCTTCTTCTAAGTTTAGCAACTAATGAATTTAATTATGCTTTTCAAGTTTTACTCCTCAGGTTGAACAGTTTTGATTATATCCAAAAAGATAAACTAAAGTATGTACCCTCAGAGCGACTGAAACAACATAAATGCACTAAAGTTAAACAGAAAAAAAATCTGGCTGTTCAGTGATTCTTCTGGACTCCCCTGGAAATAATAAATATGGATAATCAGAAAACCTTAAATACTCTGTAGTTAGAAGCCAGAGCATGTAGGCATTTAAAATTAAAACAAGCATCTTGAATTACATTCACATGCATAGCAAAAAAATATATGCACCATATTGAGTTCAGATGCAACAAGCTGAACATGTGCTACAGAGCTAAATGAGTAATGCAATTTTTACACTGGGTCCACGCAAGCTTTACGGTTGCAAAAAATAAGGATATGGCAAAAAAGCAATCTGGAAATGTCATAACCAAATCAATAATTGAGAGAAAAATTCACCACCTCCCACTCAAATATCAATGCAAAGTATATTAAAATACCAATTAATATGCAGAAAGAGAAGATATGATATTTCAGAATATTAGGACTATTAACACTTTTGACAAGGCATCCACCCAGATTAAGAAGCAGAAATAAAAAACAACTCTAATCTGTGCTTTACACTTTCTATTTCCTTTCTTTTTGCCTGCAAGCCTACAAGCTCACTTGTACTTAAGCCCTGGGAAAATCCCCAGGTTACGCAGTGTGGTACAAAAATACTGAATGCCATTAGATGTTAATGACCTGACAGCCAAAATGAGTTTTCAACTAATTTCCTGAATCAGGAATAGGCTCTTTTCCTAGGAGTTGACTATCAAATTATCCTAGGCCATGATTTTTTGATGGCTTATCGTTTATTCAGGCAACTCTTCAAAAATATTTTCTTTATAGTTTAATTAAACTAGAACATGAGTCAAATGAGGCTAAGATTGTGAATATAGGAAATCAAAGAGCTTTGTTTTTAAATGCCCCACCTATTTTTTGTTCTCATTTCCCTTCATTGCTAAAACTATTGCTAAGGATAAGTTCCTAATAAAGCCAACCACAGGTGAAGGACAGATTCCAAGTGCATAGGTGAAGCTCAATCATAATTAGAAAGAGTAATCTAGAAGCCAGGTTATTCATGCTAAAGCCATGTGTGAACTAATAAGCAGCAATTCATCAAATAGGGGAGAAAATATAAATGCCCAAATCATAACCCAAAAGGAAAAAAGGTATCTTTTTGTTTAGTAGAGATAGTGCAGAAACTGAACTGTGAAAGAAGAGCCAAGTTAAGAAGTCAAGTCAAATGTGAAGTGGGGATGCCCAAAATAAGGAGAAGATTCTATCGGTTAGTTAGAGCAAGAGGAGTCATAAGAAGAAGAACATCAAAGAACATCCAGGTCAATATGACTTATCCAAATTAGCAGATTGTAAATTCTCAAACAAGGAGGTTTTGCCACTATTCATAAGGGCCAAGGACCAAAATGTCCCAGTATATCCCTTAGGATGCTCTGAATTATAAGTAGCAGATATATGATCTACAATGTCATTTTAAAAATTAAATAAATTTATTATCTCACATATGGGGAAATTCAGACATAGGTCAGCTTTAGCAAAAGCTTAATATGGTGACCTACAGATGCCACAAAGGACTTAGTTCTTCTGTATGCAATTGCCATTCCTTCTACATCCCTTCCTGTGATTTCAAGATAGCTGTCAGAAGCTCTGAAGCTTATTCACTTCCAACAGAAATAAGAGAATATCTTTAAATCTAGGATTCCCAACAAAACCTAGAGCTACCAGAACAGATACCCCAAGTCTTTGGTTTTCCAATCTGCAACTAAAGAATAAAGATTGCTAAAATAGTCTAGTTTGTCTTTGTCCAGTTTTTTTCAGAACAAAACAAAGTAGAATAGACTTCAGAGTCTCTGCATATACTGTACTCAAAATAGAAATGTAAAGCCTATTCTGAGATCACACTGCAATCAGGATATTATAATATTTGTCCCAATTAATTACATTGGACTTATTAATAAATTTTCATCTACCAATATCCTGTTCCTATATATAAAAGTCCTATGTTTTTAATTAGATCATGGTGGCATTCTACTACCCCTTTCTATATACTTGCATGGGCATATAATCTAATGTGGTTCAAAGAGTATGGGCAATGGTGACAAGGAATATTTCATGTATGAGTATCAGGAGACAAAAATTCTTGTTCTGCTAGATTTCTAACTAGGGGCTATGTCTGTCCATATTGTGAATGGTCCGAAAATACCTAAACTTTGCAGCAACACAAGATTTATTTTTAATCTTCTGGATCTGGCTATGACTAAAGCAAGCACCACTCCTAGAGTACCCAGTCATAGGAATCAATAAGTTATCTTTTTGCTTAAGAGAGCTGAATTTCTATCACTCACACCTGAAAAATTCCTAGTAAAATACATCAATCTCTTCAATAGTGCTATGAATAATTATCAGTCATCATTGGCCCAATGCCAGAATCTTTTCCTAGTAAAACTAGGTAGTGTAATAACTTTCAATTTTTCTCAACAAATTTTATTGCTTTTTGGATGCTAATTTTCAAATAATTGGCATGGACTAACATTCCAGGTTCAGTTCCCAAATTTTCTTCTGCAGTGATTACACACCCACCACAAAGCATCAGTCCATCTGATCCCATAGAAAAATCAATTTCACAATAATAGCAGACTTTCAAAGATAAGCAATTAAAAATATTTTAACCAGGCTGGAACGGTGGCTCATGCCTGTAATCCCAGCACTTTGGGAGGCCGAAGTTGGTGGATCGCTTGAGGTCAGGAGTTTGAGACCATCCTGGCCAACATGGTGAAAACTTGTCTCTGCTAGAAATACAAAAATTAGCCAATGTGGTGTCGCATGCCTGTAATCTCAGCTACTAGGGGGCTGAGGTAGGAGAATGGCTTGAACCCAGGAGTCAGAGGTTGCAGTGAACTGAGATCACACCACTGCACTCCAGGCTGAGCAACAGGGTGAGACTCTGTTTTGAACAAAGAAAAAAAATTTTACCCAATATTTTACCTAATTTTAATATATTACTTTTACATCATTTTTAACTGCATGAATTGAGCATTCTTCACTTTTGCAATTTTATTCATCTCCTTCTGTATTGCCAACTGAAACAACCACCAAGTATAAAAGAAATATGGACTGCTGTGTCATCATTGGGACCAGGAGACAACCACATTTTAAATCACAAACTCCAAATAAAAGAAAAAATTTATTGGGACCAAAATGGGAAAAAGTGTCAAGAGTAAGTGCAAACACTTACAGATATTTTAAATAGTGCAGAGGTTCTTCAAAATATATAGCACAGCTCTGAAAGGATCAAAGATATCTTACATGGAAGATGTGAATACAATACAGTGTTTATAAAGCAAGATTGAGGAGTGTAGAAAGGCTGAATAAGAAGCCACATATATATGCCATCTTTTCAGAAATCAGTCAAGATGAGAGTACATACACCCCAATCACCTTGGTGACAGCTAATCAAAGCCAGCAGAAAATAAATTAATAGATTCTAAAAATGTCACAGACACCTGGAGCATAGGACTTTACTGTGGAAATGAAAACTCCAAAGATTTTCTGCTCAGCAGACATGAGAAAGGTAAATAAAGAGTGGAGATTATTACCAAGGAGATGACAAAACAAAGATGATGAGGATATGTCCTAAGTGTTCACTGCTTTAGCTCACATCTCTCACCTTTAATTTTATTTCAGCAGATATTTAAACTAGATATGTGCATCCCATTCAAAATAAGTAAGAATCAGAAAGAAACAAGCATGGATGACATACTCGTAGATTAAAAATTAAATAAGTAAGAAAAAAGCAATATAAGAAATAAAAGAGGGTTAAAAATACCACTAGAACAATTACCAAAACCCAAAATATAGTTTCTAATCAAATCTTCTTGAGTTCAAAAGACTTAAAGAAAACATAAACCAATTATAAGACCAGAAATGAAAAGTAAGTTCACAGAGCTCAGAAAAAGATAAAAGAGAGAAACAAAACAAATACAGAAATAAAAGCAACATTAGCAGCATTGTGTGCATATACACATACATAAACCCCCACCATGGACACACTCACACACACACACACATTTATCCCTGTTCTATATTTTAGGACATGAAAGAAAAACTTGAGAGAATCAACATGGAATTCTTAAAAATGATAAATAAAGCAGATTAGAGATCTAATTATAGATATAAAAGACAAATACAATATACGCATAATTGCTGTTACTGAGTATGAGGAAAAAACAATTATGTAATCAATATATGATAATAGAAAATATATTTTAAAAATTCAAAAATTTACTGTTTTTTTCTGAAGAGAATCCTTTATTTATAGGTTAAGACAGCATATTGTATTCTAAGAAAACAATCTAGAACAATAAAACTAAGAAAAACACTGGAGGAGCTGAATTCATTGACAAACTATTAACAATAATAAAAGAGCGCATGAAGGCCAGGTGTAGTGGCTCACGCTGGTAATCCCAGCACTTTGGGAGGCCGAGGCGGGCGGATCACGAGGTCAAGAGATAGTGACCATCCTGGCCAACATGGTGAAACCCCGTGTCTACTAAAAATACAAAAAATAGCTGGGCATGGTGGTGCACACCTGCAATCCCAGCTACTCAGGAGGCTAAGGCAGAAGAATCGCCTGAACCCAGGAGGCAGAGGTTGCAGTTAGCGGAGATCTCGTCACTGCACTCCAGCCTGGTGATAGGGCGAGACTTGGTCACAGAAAAAAAAAAAAAAGAGTGCATAGAGTGCATAAAGATTGCTGGATACAAAATAAACTTACAAAATCAATGCCTTTTCTGAACAAAAGAACAACTGTTAAAGTTAACAAACCAAACCAATGACAGATTGGGAAAATCTGACTTTTACAATATATAAAATCAATTAGGGGTTAGTTGAGAATAAGTAAGAAATATATAAGAAATGTATGCATATCAATTATATCAATAATTTAAAAGTATGGCTTCTCATAGAAAAGGATATGAAGAGGAATTTTACAGAAAAGAAATAAAAGCTAATAACCATCTGAAGTTTAAGAAGAAATGTTTACCTAGATTAGTAACTAGAGATATACAAATTTTAAAACAATAGTGAGATATAAGGATATAAGAGCCTTTGTATACTGTATTGTAATATAGACTGATGTAGACATTCCAGAGAGCAATTAGTTGGTATAAAATCGTATTTAGGATACATAAACTTTTTGGAAAAGGAATACAGCTCAAAAGCTATACCCCGAGATGTCTTCACAATCACCCATAAAGACACATGTACAAAGGGATGCATTGCATTATTGTTGGGATAGAAAGAAGTTGGAGCAGTTAAAGTGACTGTCACTGAGGGGATAGAAAAGTCATCTGTGATTGGTGTACATTATGAAAACTATGCAGCAATATATATATATAAACACGATAGGTATTTAAAATATAATACAGAATAAAAAATTTAAGACCTAGTATAAGATGTGTAAGAAAAATAATTTCTATGAAAAAGTGAAACATATGTTTTGGAAGAACATGCACACAAATGTTTATGCATCAAATATTTTAATGTGTTTGGCAGTTAGTAGGAGGAAAGAAAAATCAGAGAGGGAGTGGCGATAAGAGAGGATATGAAAATAAAATGAAACAACTAAGGTGCTTTTGAACTAAAGAGTATGATTATCTCAACTCACTGCTTCTGGAGCCGAATTAATGAAAAATTAATAATAAATTTAAAATGATGGTTAAATAAAAGCAAAAAACAATTCTTTTGAAAATATTGAATTTCAAAGATAGATCAAGAATTCTGCAAAGATAACATTCCATTTCTTAAGCAGAGGTAGGTTTATTTTACAGTAAGTCCTTATACATGTTATAAATAATTATTTGCATGATTAAATGTTAAATAACAAATGAAGATAAAGTAGAAAAAAATCATCTGTATATCTTTATATATGAACATAGAAGAAAAGCTGTAGAAGAATATAAAACTGTTAAATAAGTGCTATGGACTGTATGATTGTGTCCCACGAAATTCATGTTGAAAGCCTACCCTGCAATGGAATTACTTTAGCACACGGGGCCTTTGGGAGGTAATTAGGTCATGGGCCTGGGGCTGGAGCCCTTATGATGTGATTTTTTTCATTTTAGCTTTTTTTTTTTCTTTGTGGGTGAGTGGTAATAATGCATTGTAGTTTGAGGTAATTATTTTCCTTGACAATTTGGGCTGCTAAAATAGAATACCAAAAATTGTGTGGCTTAAATAACAAACATTTAATTCTCACAGTTCTGAAGGTTTGAAGTCTAAGATCAAGATGTCAGAATGGTCTGGGTTTTGGTGAGTGCCTTCTTTTAGGTTCACAGATGGCTGCTCTCTTGTAATATCCTCATGTGGTGGGGAAAGAGTGAGAGAGAGAGAGAAAGAGAAAGGGGGAGAGAGAGAGATTGAAAGAAAGAAGACTCTTTTGGATCTCTTCTTAGAAAGGCACCAATTCCATCGTAAGAGATATTGGAATTTTAATACATATCATGTCTGTCGGTGAACATGTCTATAAATTTTTTAAGTATATACCTAGGAATAGAACTGACAGACTGCAACATGTGGATATTTTCAAATTTGGTAGATTCCGCTACAGAGTTCTTTAAAGTAATTGTACCAATGTTCGTTTTCATTAGCAATATACAAAATTTCTGGTTTCTCCAAATCTTTCTCAATGCCCACGATTTCACATAAGTACAACCGTTGATACCTGCAGATATAAAAATTTAGCCTCCCTTCACATAGCTCACAAAATTTAATTCAAATATTATTATTAAGAATATACACATACCTTTTTGTGTGATGCTACACTATCTGTATACAATGCTTTCATTAATACAAAATATAAACAATATTATATCCCATTTATATTTCTGACTATGTGTATTTAAATTTTGCAAAAAACTTCTTGTTTTTTTATTCAAAAAAAAGATAAGCAAAACTATTTTAGCTGTTAGTAGTCAAGTTAACGGTTACTCAAGCTAATGGAAGGGGGCATGCAGGAACTTCTGGAATGCTACTACTCTTGTAGTGTTTCTTAATCTGCATGTTACTTACATGGTTGTATTTACATTTAAAATAGTAATTCATCCTAGACATACGATTTCCACATTTTCTCTAACTGTGTTGTAAGCAATAAATATTTATATTTAAAAAGGGGAAAAACTAGCTTAAGGAGGGGGTATATAAATACTACTGATATTTTCTTTTCTATATCTCGGTGTTACCTGACTTGGTAAAACAGTATATCTTATTTTGTGATTTTAACAATGTAAATGAAATTAAATTAAAATTGGTTACAAAGTAAAAAGTACCCTATAGGTATTCAGAGAAAGTCACAGAAAGGAGAAAAATCTGAATGACTCTTGCACGTAATCACAGACTAAAAATGAGTGCAATAATATTTATAAAGTCCTTAGAAAAAAGAAGTGTGACTCAATACTTTTTATATTTAGTCAAGTTGACATTTTAGTATAAAAGAAATAAATTTATGAATGTGCAGGAAATCAAGGAATAGAGTCCAACAACAGCTTATCCTAAAAATTTGATGATGAAATACAGGGAGAAAAAAGATGAATCAAAATTAAGATCTCAATAACAGAAGAGCCACATTTGGAAAGATTCGCGGCAAAAAATAAATCCACTTAGAAACAAAACTAAGATTTGAAGAAAATTGAAAAATTAAGTATGAAATTGAATGTAAGGTTGGAAACTCAGAATAAATGTTAAACCTAACAAAAATAGGAAACAATGAAATGAGAGTATTTGAGACTAACAGTAAGACTGTACTTCATAGTTTTGATACTAAATACACCCATGGAACCCTCTTAGGACAATTAAATGAGAGTTGTATTGATTTATATGATCTCTAATCAGAAGCTTTAAGAAACAGTGTACAATTTACCAGATTTCTTCCTTTCTCTTCGTGACTGATAGCGTTCAGATAGCCTAGATCTCAGACTGAGATCTCATATTGATCTCAGGGTGAGAAAAACATGTACTGTCAGTCCATGGGGGGCCCTTAAAAACAAGCAGCATGAGTGAGAAATAGAATAAACAAATATTAAAGAGTGTTCTATAAAAATATGTCTAAACCAAAATCTGTTTAAAATTATTTGTATTTTTGTATATTGTACATACAAACACAATATGTTGTATATTATACACACAAAATGCAATATTTTGTATATTATTATATTTTATGCATTTGTGTTTTTACATATAAAAACAAATAAAAACTCATTTTAAGCCACTGAGATTCTGAGTGTTTTTATTACTTCCACTTTAGTTAGTGGGATGCTTGGAGCTATCTAAAATGTTGCATGGCTCACTGCTGACTTCTGGAACCTGGCAGAACCAAATGAAAATTTCCTCTTTCTTATGAAAAATAATAGGCCCTCATATGTTCATATGTTCCCACATAGGAAGAAAATGTGAATTGACAAACACAGATCACTGAACACACAGAGAACCTTGTCTTCAAGAGTGGGAGTCAGAAAAAATGAGACCTAAAAATTTACAATGACACACACATTAGATAGTAAAATTATCAGGCACAGAATATAAAAGAAATATATAAATCTGAAGACATAGCCCCAAATATAAAACAGACAAAATCACATGAAAGAGAAACAGAGGCTATAAGCGAGGGTATCGTATACCTCTGAGTCCCAGAAAAAGAATATATAAAAGAAAAGAGAAAACATTTGAGGAGATCATGTCTGAGGATTTTTCAGAACAAATAAAAAATAGATAGGAAGCAATGAGTACAGAAGGGTTGTAAACAAGTAAACAGAAATGCATACCTAGGCATACATTAGTAAAAATGAGGAACACTAAAGACAAGAAGAAGATCCTAAAGGAAGCAGAGAAAAAAGAAAGCTCACCAACAAAACAAAGACTGCTACACTGTAAGAAGCCTTTTAAGCCAAGATGGAAGCTATGAGATAGTGAAATAGTCTCTTCACATTGTCAAGAGAAAATAAAAATCAGCTTCCAATGGAGTACTCAGGAAAACTCTCTTTGAAGAAAAATTTTGTATAAAAAAGCTAATAATTATTAAACACAGACTTTGTTAAAGAAGCTTTTAGCAGGGTGTGGCGGCTCATGCCTTTAATCTCAGCACTTTGGGAGGATGAAGAAGGAAGATCGCTTGAGGCCAGGAATTCAAGACTAGCCTGAGTAACATGATGAGATGCCGCATCTACAAAAAATAAGAAAAAATTAGCCAAGTGTGATGATGAATGCCTGAAGTTCCAGCTACTAGGGAGGCTGAGGCAAGAGGATCCCCTTGTATATCTGCAGAGAGCACCCTTTCTGCAGAAAGTAAAAACTGCCTTGCTGAGAGAATTAAGTTTATGTTCGAATGCTATTTCTTTGCAGCACTGGGGAACAAACAGTTCCAACACCCTGAACCCAAGAATTTGAGATTGTAGTCAGCCATTATCATGCCACTGCATGCCAGCCTGGGTGACAGAGCAAGAAACCCATATAAAAAAAAAAAGAAAGAGAAAAGAAAGAAAGAAGCTTCTAGAAGTTGTGCTTTCATAAATGACAACAGAGGGATAGTCAAAGAGACAATTTTGAGGTAAATTTAAGTAAATATTATTTCCTTAAAAATTAATAATCATAATTTTTAGTTAGTGGTGTTAAAAGAAAGGGCAGGATTAAGATACGAAGAAATAAGATCATGTAAATTGGGAAAGTCATAAACAGACAAGTATTATAATTTCTTATTGTTTGAAGGGTCATTGAAATATGGATTTATTTTATACAATTAAGTGCATTTTAAGATAATGATTTAAACAATTAAAATAAAAATGAAAAATGGAATAGGAACGATAAAAAAAAAGTCATTAAAGGAGAAAAGTAAAAAGTGTAAAAGAGGAAATAATTGTAAGATGACAGGAAAATGATTAAAACAATTGAAAATCACAATTGCACTAATTGGGCTAAACTCTGCAGTGAAAAGATAAAATTGTCAAATTAAACTAAAAAAATCCACTAGATTACAAAATGTTATTAAATTAAAGAGGATCAGTGCATAATGGTAAAATGTTCCCTTCTCAATCTGTAACAGTTTTACAATTTTATCTATCTAAGAACATAGGAGACAGGAGAGGGGAGAAAGAAGAAAGGAGGGGAGAGAGAGACAAAGAAAAAGAGGAGGGAGAAAAGAGAGTGAAATAATTCACACATCTACAAAGAGATATTGACAAATCTATCAACATTCTGTGTTATTTTATCATACCTCTCTTAGTGGTTAGTAGAATAAATAAATTTTTATAAAACAGAAACAATTTAGAGAATTTTATCAACACCATTACTAAACCTAAAGTAATAATATATATCAAATAGTGTACCATAACAATTCAAGAATATGCATTTTTATGCACATATAGAATATTTATGAAAAGTGATAGTGTGCCAAGTCATCAAGTTAGTTTTTAAAATTTTCAAATAGTTGCTAACACAGTAACTTCATGAGATGATGACACAATTAAGGAATAATAACAAAATATGACTAGAATAAAACTATACTTGTAAATACAAGAAAAAGCATACAACTCGTGAATCACAGGAAAAAGCACTAAGGAAATTAGGCAAAATTTGGAAAATGAGAATAACTTAAATACTATGTATCATAATAGAGTGTTAAATTAAAAGAACATATAGAGATAAATGGATAGCCTAAAATTCTTACATTAGAAAAAAATAGTGTTAAAATCAATGAGCTAAACAGCTATCTCATGGAATTAAAAATATAACAATGATATAAATCCAACAAGAGTGGAGGGAGGGAAATAATAAAGAAAAAAATAATAAAATTGAAAAACCTAGTTAACTAACGAATCCAAGAATTGATTTTTTTGAAATTACTAATAAAATAGGTAAACCTCAGATAAGATTAAGATTAAGGAGAACTAAAAAGAGAACAGACAGAATTAAATAATATTAAGATTAAAACAATGAGACAATTATGAACAAATTAATGCCAATATATTTGAAAATGCATATGAGATAGGCAAATTTCTAGAAAAATTAGAAGTTGAGAAAACTGATTAAAAGAGAAATAGAAAATCTGAAGAGTCATACAACTACTAAAGACATTCGGTCTTCAGGTAAGACTTAAAACCTGATTCCAAGCAATACCCTGAACACTCATTTCACAGTACAGGCAAAACATTGAATGTCTATGTGGACCATTACCAATATTCCATCAGGCAGAAGCCTACCTGTACAGGATGGATGTGGAAATGAGAATCACAAAAAAAGAGAATATGTCCTATCTTCTTGTTACAAATATTTAAGTTAGCTTAGGATGAATATAGAAGTGCATAATTTAATTAATAAAAAATGTTTCAAGGAATCTCAGGAGCAATACCAGGGACTAGGCATACTTACAGCCAAGGTCTGCAAAGTAAGTGCACTTGGAAAGACTTTGAATGACAAGAATGCTGATGTCAGCCAAAGACCTTGTTTCTCCCCAGATTGGCTCAAGCTGGGCCAGATCCTTGCTATACTACCAAAAAAAAAAAAAAAAAAAAAAAAAAAAAAAGAGAGAGAAGGAAATGAGCCTCCAAACCATTCATAATTTTCTCTCATCCCCTGGGGGCACTCATTAAGTGTAAGTAATTTAGCTCTGATTGACACAAACTCATAGTGGGTTTCACAGTATGTCTGGGAGTAGAGAGGGTTACACAGTATTTTCTGAGAATGGAGCATCAGTGAGAAACCACAAGCTGGATCCAGTGGAATGTAACATATCCAAATTTGTACAGGATTTATATCACAAGACATTGCCCAAAAGATTTGTAAAAGAGTATTTCAGGTTATTTTTACATATGTGTAATAGCAAAAGACAAAATTATTTATGAGTTCTCACCCTCCCATCCATCTCTCAGAGTTGGGTAGTTTACACCCAACCAATCAAAGTTTACATTCCCTCTTGGGACTGAGACAGACTGAATGTTCTTTCTCCAGGATGGTGAGTTTCACAGGGAAACAAGTCACCATATTATTTTCATAAGCAGTCCATGGGGGCAGAAGCGGGGGTGTGTAAAACCACTTGAGGCAAAGTCAATGTCCAAGTTCATGTCTGCTCAATTATCCTTACGTTGAACAATATAATCTTTCCTTTCACATATTGAAGTTTAAAAAAGCATCTAAAAAATTCTATATATCTTCAGAGGTCATGGTAGGCACAAAAAAAAAGAAAAGAGAGATGGCACATATATTTAACAATACTGTTATTAAAAGAAGGGAGGGATACTGTTCCTTCTCAAAATTTTATCATTCCCCACTCCAAGACTCATGCATTCCTAGTGGGCCAGGTGTTTCCTATGCTATCACACAACCACAGTCCTGAGTACGTATATTTTCAGGCTATTAGTGTTGGCCCAGAAGTCTGTGTAAAGGTAAATTTGTTAATATTGGGATGTCTAGGAACACCATTTGATGTGCAACTCATTCCGAAGAGCAATCAACGACATAAATTATTGGCAATCTATTATTATGTTGGAAGGCTGCTTCTTTGCACTGATTTTGTTTTCTCTGTATGCAGACTATTTTATAGACAGCCATGATATCTTTGTGTAAAGGTGGAATTGGTAGCCTGGCTAAGGTCTCAAGGACCAGTTCTAGCTTCTATTTGGGGGCTCTGCTAAGGAGTAACGACATTTTTTGAGGTGCGATAATCTAAATCTGTAAGAGAAATGGTAGGAGCATTTCTCTGTAGCAGGAGAAAGTCCTTGAGTATGAATCCTAGAGGCTGAGGAGTACTCATGGTCTTTTGCCATAGGTTTCAATCAACCCTGTGGCTAGAAACATTTGTAATGTCATGGAGTCTGAAGGAGATATGAGCTTCAGGCCTTGAGTTACTAATATTTGGCTTGATTTCAAAGCCATGAGCTGTAGATATTAAGCTGGTAGTCTGTTTGATTAGTCTAGAGGCTGTAGTACAATTTTTAATTGTGGTATGTGCTATCTGCAATATCCAAAACAATCAGTCAAGTGTTGAGGCTCCTTTTTTGTACTTAATGGCTGATGAATCAACAGCTCATCTTTACAATTTCTTTGAATTATGGTCCAAATAGTTCCCAACAAGGTACCTTGGATGATGCCTTGGATTTTGGCTATATTCAAAGTCAGCCTGTTTTTGTCAGTTGTGCTAGGATGGTATGCAATGTGATACATAGGCAGTTTTCTCAGTAGAAGCCATTATCAAAAATCATCATTGTAACAGAATCTGAACATGCATCAAGAGTTTATATTGTTCTAGAATTTATTGATGATTTGCCAATAAATTTGACAATATTGTCCTAGAATTTATTGATGATTTGTCAATAAACTCACTGATGATTTGTCATTAGCATATTAGCATGACTTGGTTTTCCTTTAGAGGGTTATTTTTAAAAAGCACTTGCAATGTTTAAGACAACATACCAGGGCCACATTTTGTCATTTCTATGTCAGTTTGAGAACATGACCCTTTCTTATCTAAGCCTCTGTAGTCTTCAGTGGCTTATACTGTCTTGTCAGGACTGTTAAACTTGGAAGTAACCTGGGATAGAGCCCCTACTTATATTAACTCTTCTGTGAGGAGACCAAACACTATTTCTTCTCCTGGTCTGAAACATTGCTTCAATTGTGCAAGCTAGGCAAGCATATTAGGTTTGGACCATTCTGTCATGCCTTCCTCTAGCTTTTTTAGATGCCAAAGACAAAGATCATGATGACTATAACCCAATAGAGATACCCATGCATTTGAGCAACTGAGACATTCATGTCAATAATATAAAGGACTTTCAGCTCTCATATGTCAAAATCTAAGAAGCAGGCACTCCTATTCTTACAACAAGGAAAAGATGGATAAATTAGAAATCAGTGACTTTTCTTGAGCCCAACAAAGAATTGATTTTGCAGGCAAACCACCACCCTGAAATCTGGAGAAGTAAATTCAGAGAGTCACAGCCCAGGTCTGCTTATTTCAAGCAAAAGTAGCTGAAGCCATAAACTAATAAGAATTAAATGATAATTTTGACAAATTTCTAGAGACTAAGTGTGGAATAGAATGAGAATGAGAAACTCCAGGGTCCACAGACTTAACAGGACCCCACACCCCCTAGTATACACACACTTTTGTATGCTTTACCTCCAGAAATAGCACCAGGTTCTCAAAATGAAGAACCAAGAAACACCTTCTTCTGGCATGAGGAATTGGAAGAGTAATCCTTGTGAAATATGCCAAGAACCTTTCCCATAACAAATCCCAACTCTCCAGGGAGAAAACTTAACAGAGCATTGTCCCAGAGCCATGGAGAAGGGTATTCTTATCACTCCAGCCTCTTCTACTCTTTCTGTCTCACCTTGGGAAGAATAATTAAAAACAAAACAAAACAAAAAAAATATGAGAAAAAACACTTGTGAAGATCACAGGCCAAATATACAGCCCCCCACCCCACAATTAGATTTAATTGAATGATTACAAAACACCCCCTCCCCTAACACCTTACCATCAAATCAACAGAGCTCTTGTTGATTACAGATGAAAGAACTGCAAGACACAGACTCTTGAGAAAAAAATACTTAGGAATGCCCAAAGTCAAGGAGGGAAAGTCAAGGACACTAGAGGAATATGAATTCTTTGATATCCATAGCTGCAGCAAGCATTAAATAAAATTCAGTTTCTAATCAGAACATAAATCTTCACAGTAGAACTCTATTTACCTCAGTTCCTATGATCTGATATAACATGTTTGGTGTTTGACAAAAAATTACAAGGTACACCAAAAGGAAACAAAAAAGACAGTTTGAAGAGAGAAAACAAATATCAGAACCACACTTACCACACTTATATGACACAAGTCTTGGACTTATCAGACAGAATATTTAAAAATAACTATAATTAATATGTTAAGGGTTCTAGTGGAAAAAATAGACAACATGCAAGAACAGATGGATAATGTAAGCAGAAATAGAAATTTTGAGAAAGAATATAAAAGAAGTGCTAGAAACCAAAAACACTGTAACAGAAACGGAGATTACTTTAGGTAAGCTCATCAGTAGACCGGAATAGGCTAAGGAAAGCATCACTGAGCCTGTAGAGAGGTCAATAGAAACTTTCCAAACTTAAATTTAAGGAGAAAAATATAAAGTAAAGAAAAACAAAAAAAGCTCAGTCAGGAACCTTTAAGAACTCTGGAAAAAATTCAACTGGAGTGACTATGTATAATTTGAATATTAGAAGAAGAAAAAACAGAGAAGGGAGCAGAAGAAAATTTGAATTACTAACAGCCAAGAACATTGAAAAATTAACGACAGACCCAAACCACAGTTCCAGGAAGATTAGACAACACCAACCAGAATAAATACTGAAAAAGTACTCCTAATATTTTATTCAAATTTAAGAAAACCAAAGACAAAACAAGAAGAAAATCTTAAAGAATCCAGAAGAAAAAAACACCTTACCCATTAGAGAATCAAGGATAAGAAGTACAGCAGAAATTACAAAAGCAAGAACAGAGTGGAGTAAAATACCACAAGTATTGAAAGAATGATCTATCAACATAGAATTCTATATCCAGAAAAATTATCCTACAAAAATGAAGGAGAAATTAAAAAACGAAGGAATTCATCACCAGTAGACCTGCATGAAATGTTAAAAGATTTATTTCAGGCAGAAGGAAGATGATCTAGGTCAGAAACTTGGACCTACATAAAGAAAATAATGTTGGAGAAGAAAAAAATGAAGGTAAAGGAAAATATTCTATTTCTCTTATTTGTAATTGATCAACTCTATAAGCTGGCAGTACCATATGTTACTATAGTGGTGAATATGGGACATTACGCTTTCAGCAAAAATTTATAAAACTTCATAGCACAAAGAGTAAATATTGATGTATCCAAATTTAAAAATAAGCAAGTAGGAAGATGATGGATCTCTGGGTGGAATTCAGATTATAAAAATTAACTCTATTAAATGTATGTTATCACCTCACTTAAAGAAGAGGGGAAAAGTTGCTTATCTAAGTAACTTTGATGATTATTGGAAACTGTAAGTCTGAAGGCAAAAGGAACAGTACGTAAGTACTATTCTAGCTGGCAAAGTTATGTCTCATGTGGGTGTGGATGAATAATTCTCAAAATTCTATACATGTGTACTGTGATTAAACAAAAGTAAATAGATGTTACATGGTAGGAGCCAGCTTCTCACTGTTGGAAGGGGAGGTTACATCAAACAGGAGGAAATCTAGAATAAACCCTGTAGCACTGGGTTAGAGTCAGAGACACTAGTCTGAACTCATGCTAGCTTAATATATGGATAGGTACAAATGGAAATTATTATAAATATGTGCATGCATAGATTAGTATACATAGGTACATTTCCTAGCTCTATTATTTGCTGAGAGGACCTATGAGAAATAACACCTCAGTACCGACAAAGCAACAAACCCACTCAGCACCCAGATCTTCGTTTCTAGAACTATCCTCCAATAGACGGAAACAAGCAGAAAGGGCTTGTTACTTGCAGAAAGGGCTGATTCTAGGACTGAGGCAGGGAATATACAAGATGAAACTAGATTATCCTGTAGTGTCAGAAATAAGGAAGCACTGAAAAAAATAAAATGATGGGGTCATGTCAAAAGCATACAAGAGTCAATCTGAAAGGTCTCCCAATGGCCTAATCTGGAATAATTTGAAAGACAAAATAAATAATATAGTTTTGGATCATAACCCAAAATGTAAACTAAACATCCATGAGTCCATATTTATATACATAAATGATTGAATGCATAAATTAATGGGAGGGAAGAAACAAGTTTCCAGCACTAAAGAATTACAAAGAATATATGTAGTATTCCCCTTTCAAAGGAGTGAAGCTTAATGTCCTACCCCTTGAATATAAGGTGTGCTTAGTAATGCTCTTCCAAATAAACACGGTATGGAAATAGGGAAATAAGTTAAATAAACACTGTATAAACCTGACAAACACTACTCCAGCCAAGTGATTCAGGTTAACATAATCAGTGATGTATGTTGGTATCATGTACCCTTGATGGGATGTAATGAAAATGACACTTCATGTGAGTGATCTTCCTCCAAAAACCCATAACCCTTATTTAATCATGAGGAAAACTTCAGACCAACTCCAACTGAGAGATGTTATTTCAAATACCTAACCAGTTCTCCTCAAATTTTTCAAGGAAACAAGGTAAGTGTAAGAAACTGTCAGTCTAGATGAGCCACAGGAGACATGATGACTAAATAGGTGATATCCCCAATGGGATCGTGGCACAGAACGAAGATTTTGGTAAAAATAAGGAAATAATTGTAAACCATGAATTTTAATGAATTATAATGTGGCAATATTGCTTCATTTGTTGTGACAAATGTACCATAGTAATATAAGATATTAATGATAGGGGAAGTTCTATATGAGGTATTCAGGATTCTCTGTATTCTATTTTCAACAGTTCTATAAATTGAAAACTATACTAAAATAAAAAGTTTATTAAAAGGTTAACACAAACAGAAATTAAAATATGAATATTTTATATCTATTAAAGAAATACACTTCATGATTAAAACCTTCCCACCAAGAGAAAAAATAGCAGAGCAGAAATTCACAAAGCTGGCCTGTCGAACACTTACTAATTTTATCAAAATCCAGTTTGAGTGTCTTCTCTAGCTTGACGGCTTTCTCCTTCCATTACCTGTATTTCTTTTGTACTCAGTTCTGCACTTATTGGCATATTTATATGTGCCTCTTTGTTCTACTTTAAGTTCTCTAAGTCGATGATTATACTTAACTTTTCTCCACACAATCAATGCCCACCAAACATAAATATATGTGGTTGCCAATATGTGCTGACTACCCTAACCCCCACTAATTATGAATGTGACTTATTTGGAAATAGAGTCTTTGCAGATATAATCAAGTTAACATCAGGTCATACTGATTTGGTGATTTTATGAGAAAGAAGAGGGAGATTTACACACAGAAGCAGAGAGACACGCAATGAAAAAGTCTATGTGATGATGAATGCAGATATTAGAGTGATGCAACTGAAAGCCGAGGAATTACAAGAATTGACAGCAATCACCTTATGCTAGAAGGATTCTTCTCTGGCATCTCTGGAGGTAGCGTGGCCCTGCTGACACCTTGACTTAATATTTCTAACCTCCAGAAAGTGATAAAATGTATTTTTAACCACCCAGTTAGTGGTAATTTGTGATAGCAGCCCTGGGAAACTAATACGTTGAAAAGGACTATGGCCGGGCACAGTGGCTCACGCTTGTAATCCCACCACTTTGGGATGCCGAGGTGGGTGGATCACCTGAGATCGGGAGTTCGAGACCAGCCTAACCAACATGGAGAAACCCTGTCTCTATCAAAAATACAAAATTAGCTGGGCGTGGTGGTGCATGCCTGTAATCCTAGCTACTCGGGAGGCTGAGGCAGGAGAATCACTTGAACCCGGGAGGCAGAGGTTGTAATGAGCCAAGATCATGCCACCTCACTCCAACCTGGGCAACAAGAGCGAAACCGTGTCAAAAAAAAAAAAAAAAAAAAAAAAAAGAAAGAAAGAAAGAAAGAAAGAAAGAAAATAAAAAGAAAAGAAAAGGACTAAATGATTAAGGAGCTGACCAGGGGATGTGTCAAGATAATAGTTTTAGAAAAACAGTGAGAGACAAATCAAATAGCAAATAGCTAGGAAGTATGTGAGTAATTAATAAATTAATATCATAGTCATAAACCATTCTTCCAAAAATGTCTGAAGTGATCAAAACAAGAATATATTATGCTTTTTCACTTACATTAACAGTAACGTAAAAGTTTTATATTAAGCAATTTTGCAAGGCTGTGGAAAAATACCTGCCTTTATGTGCAATTGGGAGTTTGGGAATTAGGATAACATTCTTGGACAACAATTTGTAATGTCTTGAAACATAAAAATTCATAGCATCTGTGGCTTTGCAAATGTATTCTCATTTTAGAAATTCCCTTCCTAAGCGTATTTTAGCCAATATTACATACATCCATTTTCACAGTTACATTCAAATGAAAGTAAGAGGTACTTTTTCTCTTTCTTTTATTTCCCTGCTGTGTAATCTAACTCAGCTTTTCTTTGCAGCCAGTTCTATGTGCAAAGAATCAGGATACCATTTCATTCCATGTTATGAAGGTCAATATGTAGTTCAATCTTAAAATAACACAAAGGCCAGAGAAATGCTTCTATCTGGCTCCAACTAGCCCTGAAGCCCATATTGTGTTGGCTATTAGTTAGATACTGGTAGTACGGGGTTTACAACAACTAGTCACTACCATTATTCCCTTAAGAATAGGTTTCAACTGACTTTGAACATTGTTTTTCAAATCATTTTATTGATGTATGATTAACACATAAAACTGTACATATTTAATGTATACAACTCATTTTTAAGAACAAAGAAGGCATCTATTACAAATCTCACTGTAGAAGTGGAAATTACTTCAGTGGAAATTTTTCACACTATTAATGACCTTTTAAATTTAAATAGTTTAATCATTTTAAGATGCCATTATAAAAATAGTCACCCTCAGCTGGGCACAGTGGCTTATGCCTGTAATCCCAGCACTTTGGGAGGCCGAGGTGGGTGGATCACTTGAGGTCAGAAGTTTGAGACTAGCCTGGTCAACATGGTGAAACCCCGTCTCTACTGAAAATACAAAAGTTAGCAGGGCTGTGGTGGCGCATGCCTGTAATTCCAGCTACTCGGGAGGCTGAGACGAGAGAATTGTTTGAGCCCAGGAGGCAGAGGTTCCAGGGAGCTGAGATCACACCACTACACTCCAGCCTGGGTGACAGAGGGAGGCTCCATCTTAAACAACAACAACAAAAAGTCATCCTTACCATTGTGTTCTACAAAAGTGATCATTACAATTAGCCTGACCTTGGACAACTGCTGAAACAGGACTAAGGATTACAAATAAGACACCTAGAATTGCATATTTTATTTAGCAGTTTAACCATTTTTGTATATAATACCCTGGCACTGAAACCATGGAGAAGTGAAAATTTTTATCTGTGAGTAATTTTTAAAGAAGGTTTTCATATGTAATCAAAAGGAATCTTCATCACCTTGGCATTCAAATTTATTTCTAATAATTCACCTGACAGAGAAAAATAAACACTTGTATACCATTAAGAAATCTCCCAGGGAATTAATAGTTTACTTCATCTTTTTTGGTTTATTGATTACTTTTAAAAAATGCATGCTTTTATGTGCTATTGAGAATTTGGGATTACCTTAAAGATTACTTTAAAATCACTTTTGAGGAATACTTTGTGAGTGGAACTTTATTCCCTGGGAATATCTAATGGAAAAAAGTTTCTCTTTTACAATCAAATGCTGTTTTGTTAATTTAGTGATGACATTAAATATGAATATTATTAGTAATGTAATGTTTAATGATTAATAAATAGGATTTCTTATTAGAATTAAAACTTAACAATGGAACTAGCAGTAATTATGTTGTTTTCTGATATATCAATAAAATATTTTATCAAATCTACTAAAAGTTGGTCATGTACCCAGATTAATTTTTACATTTTTTTTTTTGCTGTTGATTTAAAAATTAATTAGGGTTAAGGAATAGATTTTTTCTGGGGGGGGAATAGAGATAGCATAATAACTATCAAAATGTAAACATATATGAATTCTCAGGCATCATTTTGAATTTGAATTTCATTTAAATGATATGTATAAGCTAATCTAATTAGTTATATTAACTGGGTTATAAATTATTTACTTACAACTAATAAATGACAATTAACCATCTACTTTCAGTCATTTACTAATTATACATCATAGGTAAGACTGGTTTTATTTTTCCCAAGAAATGATTACTTCTATCTGATATGTAGCAGTACATAATTTGTTAGATATCTTGGAAAATTAACTTACAGAAAGCAAATACACTCTACTTAAGTATGATCATTACACAACGTATTAAATTATGTCTCTATGAATCTTCATTAGAGACTGGAGAATATCAGCTCTAAGAGTTCCCTCTGTCCAAAACCAAAATTGATAACAAAGCTTTGGAATAAAATACACTTGGAGTCAAAAAGGCAGCGAGACTATTGTGTACATGCTCAATTGAGGAACCAGACAGCCAGGGATCAAATCTCAAGTTCACTACTAACTTAAGCAAGTCATTTTAACCTCTCTGGAATTCAGATTCCCTAGGCAGAAAACGGCAATGATAAAAGTATATTATAAAGTTTTTGAGTGAATTAAATTAGATAATGCATTTAATACAGCACCTGACACATATAAATTAATCATTACATAGCAATTAAAATTGAGTCAGTAGAGCTTGGAAAGTTGATGCAGTGCCAGTGCTGGGCCAAAAAAGTGACTTTGCTCACAGATTTCTAATATGCCATTTAAAAGACAGAAATTTGCAGTTGTGTTGTGTGTTGTACCCTGGGATAAATGCCTGGGAACCTGGGAAAGAGAACATTAAAAGAGGCAGCTGGTATAGTGAAGGGAGGAAAATCAATTTTCTCTGAAGATTTTAAAAGATTTTGCATGCGATTTTAGATGACTGAGGAAGTTGCCAAGGATATGGTATTTTTTTTTCCTTTACCTTCAGATGGTTAAATTATTTGAAGAGCTTGCAATCTAGCTTTAATAATGCACCTAATAAAATAATTGCAATAAATATAAATGTAGGATCATGTGTGTTTTCACTTCCTTACAACTAAAATTAAACAAAATCTAAAGTCATCATTCTTCACTTTTGTCCAAATTATTGAATTGTGCTAGCAGTGTCCTTTTAGAAAGAAGTAAAGCTACTAAGTGGGAAAGGAAACTTTGAATGTTAGGGCTTCTTCATGCAATGAAAAAATGTTCTAAAATAAATCATAAAGGTGACCTTTATCTTAGGCAATGCATATAAGCACATAAGGGTATTGGGGCATTATTTTTTTCCTGCAATTAAAAGGGAAATATAACAAGGACACTTTTCAGGATTTTAAAACTCTTTTTTGGGAGAGAAAGGAGACCAGTATATGTCTGAGTCAGTAAGGGGAGGAAAATTTGATTTCAAATCAGGAAAAGTGAAAGAAAATGACAAGCTGATCATGATTTGAATTAATTAGAGAAAGGACAATGGACTCTGCACAATTCTCTTCTTTTTTGTAACTTTAATTTGTGTTGTGCTTTAATTTGTACTAGCTATACTTTCAAAGTGCTGGTGGTTGTGTGAGGGTACAGACAGAAAAGCCCAAACCATGACAACTGAAAAAATAAAAACACAGACTGAGTAATTGATGACTGAATCTTCACATGTGAATTATAACACTTATATTTGTGATTATTAAAAATAAATTGGCCGGGTGCAGTGGCTCATGCCTGTAATCCCAGCAATTTGGGAGGCTGAGGCAGGTGGATTGCTTGAGCTCAGGAGTTTGAGACCAGCTTGGGCAACACAGTGAAACCCCGTCTCTACCAAAAAATACAAAAAAATCAGCCGGAAGTGGTGGTGTGCGCCTGTGATCCCAGCTACTGGGGAGGCAGAGGCAGGAGAATCACTGGAAACTGGGAGGCAGAGGTTGCAGTGAGCCAAGATAGCACCACTGCACTCCAGCCTGGGTGACAGAGCGAGACTCTGTCTTAAAAAAAAAAAATTAAATTGGTTTACCAATCAGATGTAACTAGTAGTTTTATTATTAATAATTCATGATGTTTAATATCCTGCTCTTTTGAATATATATCAAGATCACCATATGGAAAATACTCATTTCCTTTCCATCCTTTTTCTGAGCATAATGGGCACCTGATTTGGACTACCATATCACTTAGCACTATCTTATGAAAATTTCTATGATGATGAAAATGCTCTGTAATAGCCATTACCTATATGTGGCTATTGAGTATTTGAAATGTGACTAGTGAGACTGATGAAGTGATTTAAAATGTTTAATTGATTTAAATGTTTAAGATGTTTTATGTATTCCTCATGGTAACTAACCACAAGGCAGAAACCTATAGTTGATGCAAAAGAACAAAAAAGAAAGGATTAAAAGAATACCACCAGAGAAAATTATCAAACCACAAATAAAGACAGCAAGAGAGGAAGGCAGAAATAGAAAGCCAGAAAACAAATTACAAAGTAGCAGTAGCAAGTCCCTACTTATCAATAATTACCTTAAATGTAAATGAATTAACTTCTGTAATTCAAAGATCAAGAGTGGCAGGATGAATATTTTTTAAAAACAATAACAAGATCCAAGTATACTATGTTAACAAGAAACTCAATTCACCTTTAGAGACACACAGAGACTGCTGGGATAGAAAAGGATACTCCACGCAAAATGAAAATCAGAAGAGAGCAGAGGTAGCTTCACTTGTATCAGACAAAATAGACTTTAAGTAGTAAAGTGTAAAAAGAAACAAAGAAGGTCACTGTGTAATGATAAAGTGGTCAATTCATCAAGATAATATAACAATTGTAAATATATATGCACTCAACATCAGAGCACCTAAATATATAAAGCAGTTATTAACTCTTTTCCCATTTAGGAAAAAAAAGTAAAGCTTGCTGCCAACATTCACTTGATTTTACATAAACAAAGTCTTTGAGGTTGAAGCAAATATGACTGATTTTCAATGTGAAAATAAAATATGAAAGTTTCTTGGAGTTATTTCTAAACAGAATGGACATCAGAATCATCTATTTGAGAACAATCAGATTCATCAAATGAATCTTCAGCCAACATCTGTTCGAGAACTATGTTAACGTAACATGTAGGAATGCTACGTTTTCTAGGATTTGACATTTTCAGTGATCAAGGATTACCATATTTTGTAAACGAAAATATCACTACTAAAAACAGAATGCTATAAATAGAATGACGTCTTTTGTTTCCAAAGTTGATATACTAGAGCAATGTAAAAATAATAGTAACACCAAGATATTTCAATGAAAAGTCATCTTGGGGTAAATGCTGCAGTCACAAATGCCACCAGCTAGTATTCTTGGGTCAAACAGGAGAATGGCTAAGCAATCTGAAGGGAAAGATAGAATGAAACATAAACATAGCAAAGGACTTCAAAACCCCATTTTCAACAATGAACAAATCATCTAGACAGAAAATCAATAAAAAATAAAATGGACTTGAATTACACTTTAGACCAAATAGACCCAACAGATATATACCAAAGATTCTAACCAACAGCAACAGAATGCACATTCTTTTCAAACACGTAAGGAACATCCTCCAGGATAGATCGTACGTTAGGCCATGAAATAAGTTAGGGTTTAAGGGAATTGAAATCATAACAATCTTTTCCAATCACAGTAACATGAAACTAGAAATCAATAACAAGAGAAATCATGAAAAATTTACAAATATGTGGGAATTAATCACCATGCTCTTCAACAATGTGTCAGAGAAGAAATCAAAATGAAAATAAAAAATACAGGATAAAAATGAAAAAACTACATTGCAAAACTCACGGGATGCAGCGAAAAAAGTTATAAGTGGAAAGTTCTTCATAGAAAATATATAACAACAAATGTCTATATTAAAAAAAGATCTCAAATGAACTATGTAAAATTCAAGGAACTGAGAGAAGAACAAAGTTCAAACCTAGCAAAAGGAAGGAAATAACAAAGAACAGAGCAGAAAAATAAAATAGTCAGAAAAAATCAATGAAAAAGTTGATTTTTTGAAAAGATAATAATATTTAGCTACATTTAAAAAGGAGAATGAAATAAATAAAATCATAAATGAAAGAGGAGACCTAACAATTGATACCACAGAAATAAAAAGTTGTGAGACAACTATGAAGAATCATACACCAATAATTTGGTTAACCTAGAAGAAATGTATAAATTTCTACATGCATACACATACAACATATCAAGACACATCCACATGCAACCTAGACATATACAATCTACCAAGCCTGAATCATTAAATAATAGAAATCTGAATAGATCAATAACAAATAAAATGATTGAATCAAAAAAAGTTTCCTGTCAAAGAAAAGCCAAAAGCTGTATGGTTTTACAGCTAAATTCTACCAAACTTTTAAGAAGAACTAATATCGATCTTTCTTAAACTTTTTAAAAGAATTGAAGTGGAAGAAGTACTTCTAACATCATTCTATGAAGTCAATATTATTTTGATACCAAAACCAGCCAAAGACACTACAAGAAATGAAAATTACAGGCCAGTATCTCTCATCACATAGGCACGAAAACCCTCAACAATATATTAGCAAACTGAATTCAACAACACATTGAAAGAATCATCCACCATGATCAAGTGGGATTTATCTCTGGGATGCAAGGATGTTGCAACATATGCAAATCAGTACGTCTGATATACCAATATAACAGAATGAAGGACAAAAACCAGATGATCATCTCAATAAATACAGAAAAACTATCTGACAAAATTCAATATCTTTTCATGATAAAAATTCCAACCGACTAAGTATAGAAGAAATGTACCTCAACACAATAAGCACCATATATGACAAGCCCAGAGTAATTCATATGGAAACACAAAAGTTCCCAAATAATCAAAACAATTTTGAATAGAAAAAATAAAGGTGGAGGCATCATACTCCTTGATTTCAAAATTTATTATAAAACTATTGTAATCAAAACAACATGGTGCTGGCATAGAAACAAACATATTTATCAACGAAACAAGATAGAAAGCCCAGAAATAAACCCATGCATTTACGGCCAATTGATTTTCAATAAAGGTGCCAAGAACACACAATGAAGAAAGGACAGACTCATCAACAAATTGTATTGGGAAAATTGGGTATCTGTATGCAGAAGGATTAAATTGGATCTTTATCTTACACTAGATACAAAAATCAACTCAAAATGGATTAAAGACAAAAAACTGTAAAATTACTAGAAGAAATGAGTTAAAATCTCCACAATATTGCAATTTATTTTTATTTTTATTTTTTTAGTGTCTCTGAAAGCACAGGCAACAAAAGTGAAAATAGACAAATGGGATTTCATCAAACTAAAGAGCTTCTGTACAGCTATGGAAACAAATAACAGAATGAAGAGAAAGCCTATGGAATGGGAGAAAACATTTGTAAACCATACACTTGATAAGGAGTTAATGTCCAAAATATATAAGGAACTCTAAACAACTCAATAGCAAGAAAACAAATAACATAATTTAAAAATGGGCAAAGGAACTGATCAGACATTTCTCAAAAGAAAACATACAAATAACTAGCAGGTTCATGAAAAAAATACTCAACATCAATAACTATTAGGGAAATGCAAATTAAAACCACAATGAAATATCATAGAAACACAAAATATAGTAGGTATAGTCATTGTGTGATAAAGTCTTTGTTACCTTGAATTTCTACGTTTTTGTTGAATACTTTTTTGACTTTTCCTTCATATGACACCATTTTATAATATTTTCAGTGTACATAAAATAGAAAAAATAATTCAGTCTTTCTTTTAGTATGTTTGATTTAAATTTGTTTCTTGTTATGTGGAAATATTTGAAGTCATTTCAAGTTCACCACTTATGTCTAAACATTTTTAAGATTGTCATCAAATTTCGGAAAAAATCCTGTCAGATTTCCCTGACATAATAAGCTCCAAGGTTTCAGGACATTAAAAGAGTTCTAATGATATAATTAATATTAAATGTTCTTTAAATTGAAACATTGAAAACTAGTTTGACCTCAATGTCTTCATTTCAAAGGTGCGTTGTAAATTTTATGGTATTGTTATTGATGCCAATATATTGTGAATGACTTGAGCAAGTTTTCATTTTTACTAGGAGAAGAATCAATGAGAATGGAATCATCCACTTAAAATTTTACACAGCTGATCATAGTCTTTATACTTTTTAATCTTGTTTCTCCTTCACTACACATAGACTTCTGGTGTCGGGCATATTCATATGTGCTGTCTTCAGACACTGAAGTTTTGTGTTATGATGCAAATTGATTTGGCACAGGGGTGGTAGGAGTATTCCTGGAAGCCATTCTTACACTTGGAGGACCATCAGTTATCAAATTATATTTAATTGAGACTGTAAAATATACCACATAAATCTCAAACTAATAGCATTCTATGTGTAACTTTTTCTTGCATCCTTCAAATGCCTGAAACTGTAATGTCAACTGAATCAGTGGAAATGCAATGAAGGGGAAATCAGCATAGAATAAGAGAGACAGCCGTTCATTCTCTTGCAATTAAGAGATTAATTCTCTTCAATTTTTTACAAAAATAGATGACCATGCAGAAACGTTATTAAGGGCCAGCTCAGGTCCTTGATGGTGTCTGTTCAAATTAGGAGCCCTGAAGCTTAGACTTCATTAGCTTCATAGAAAAATCAAGCTCTGTTATAAATATTAGTTTTTACCCTTTTTCTTTACATTGAGATGCTGTGTAATAGTTGTATTATGAATTCATTCAGTAATTTATTTAATTTGTCATTTCTCTGAGTCCTTTTTCCTCCATCTATTTTAATACAACCGCCAAAGCACCATTACTTAAATAATGCATGACTTACATTTCTTCCTCAATTAGATCTATCAAAGATTCTTTATTGCCTGTAAAATAATTTGCAAGTTTTTGATCTGGAATTCAAACCATTCCTCATTTAAAGCTCCTTTTACTTCTTCCACAATTTCCTTGTGCAAAACCACTGCTCCAATGTGAGTCTTCTCATTAATTCTAGATTAGTCCCCACACTTTCCTATTCTTCACAGTCTCAGTGGTACTCTTCCCTTAAACTACAGTGTAATATCCAAGTGTTCTTAAAATCATCCCTGATCAAAACCAGTGTTCAGTAATTTCTCTTTCTTGTAAACTTCCTTCGAAAATTTTAATCATAACAGTCATTTGTTACTTAGCATAGATATTAACTATTTCTAATTTTTTAAATATGGATTTTTCTCTAATACAAATTTATATCCTTACTCTTCTAAATTTTTAATGTCCAAATATACATAGTATGTATTTGCTGAGAATGTGCCAACATGAATATTGAAAATAAATTGGATCCATTTCATGTTTAATCTTAGTATTAATAGTTAACTATTTACTATCTGGTCTTTCTAATGGTAATCTAATACTACATAATAATTTTATGAGTTTAAGGCATAATATGTTGCTAATTTTCTTATGTTCTGAATTTCTTTATAATAGACTTTTGTAGTTTTGAAAAGTATTGATGAAAAAAGGGAAACAAAAACACTCAATTGACGTTAGCCATCAGTCTTTGAAAAAAGGTAGGATAAAGAAAAAATAGTAAAAATAATACATCTGAAAGATATTTGTTGAAATTAATTCAAGAGGATTATTTCTACTTGGATAGTAGAGTGGCATTTTACATTCAACAATTGCAAATTAGGTGAAGATTTGTATAGCAAAATCATTCCTGTATGTACTTTAAATTATCCACAAACATATATATGTGTGTGTGTACCTTCAATACTTTTACAGTATATGCATAATTGTAAAATAAATAAATGTGAAGCATACACTAGAGTACATATGTGAATATTTTACTATATTTTTAAACACATATTTTAAACACAGACCACTGGATTTGATACCTGGCTCCAGCAATGTCTTGTGACCTTAAGGGAGTTGCTAAAATGTTCTGTGGTTCAGTTCAGTCATCTATACCTTTGAAAGAGTAATAGTCTCCCATTTCATTGTGTTGCATTAAGTATTGAATAAATGTGCTTAGATCTGTGCCTGGTATATAATTAACACTCAATAATATTAATCTTAGTAAGTTTCTGGAATACTCTCCAAGTGATAATATTGCTATTAGAATAGAAACCACTATTGGAAATTTAAGCCCCAGGTAAAATGTTTGGATTCATACTCAAACAGATAAAACTAAGGAAGGAATAAAGAAGAAGTTTAAATGATCTAGTATGTCAACATATGTGTTATCAGTTAAATCAAATTAAACTTCAGAATGATAGTTCAGAATTCGAATTTGCTTGATTATTCATATATCCATGCTATTTTATTTCTTATTTTTCTCAGAACAAATGACTAAGTCTAACTCTTATTCCTTATATTTTTATTACAAAAATAAAAATAAAAATAAAATAAAATGTAAAATTCACATTGGAAGCAAAATTAGAGTTAGGGTGGGCCATTTAATATGAGAAAATGACCAATGCAAAAGAAGGATATCACAATTCTAAATACGTATGCAAGCATCATCATAGCCCTAAAATATATAAAGATTCACAGCATTAAACAGGGAAATACACAAATCCACATTTATAATGGGAGATGTAATACACCCTTTCAATATCTGATGGAATAATCAGACAAAAACATAATAAAAATACAAAAGATTTTAACAAATTACAAACTTGACCTACTGACATAGGTAGAATTTTGACTATAATGGGCCATAAAGAAAGACTCATCAAATTTTAAAACAGTGTAATTATTTAGAATATGAAATTAAAAAAGAAATCAATTTAAAAGATAACTAGAAAGCCAAAGTTCCCAGAAATTTACACTTTAGAAAAGTTTTAAAAATAAACTATTACAGTAAGAAGAGCTTGGTGATATAGACCCACACATATCCAGCACCTGACTTATGACAAAGGTGAAAGCATGTCAGTACAGAGGAAAGAATGATACTTTCGTTGAATAATGCTATAACAATTGGATATCTCTATTTTAAAAATGCATCTGGAGCTTTTTATTATGCTATACACAAAAGACAATTACAGTTGTTCTAAAGGTCTTAAATGTGAAAGATAAAATAATTCTTTTAGAAGAAAAGCATTGTGTTCTAGGACTAGGCAAGCTTTCATTAAATAGGACACATAATGCACTAGTCATAGAAAAAAATTGAAAATTTGCTCTATTTTAAAATTAAGGAATTCTTTTTATTATTATAAAAGACATGTAATACTGAATAGAAAGAAAACCCACAGACTGGAAGAAGGTATTTATAATACATATTAATAAGATTATTTTCATATCTAGAATATATAAGTAATTATATATAAACAGTTCCTACACTCCAATAAGTCAAAGACAAACAACTCAATAAGAAAAAAATATGCAAAGGATTTGAATAGAACCTTTACCAAAGAGGGTATCTAAATGACCAGTTACCACAGGAAAGTTTCTCAACTTCATGTTAAGGGCAGGAGACAGGGAAATACTGGGTAGAAGAGGGTGGTCCCCAAGCAAAGGCCCCACCCTCAAGCCTGAAGACCTGTGGCCCTAAATGAGGACAGGCATTTCAGGTTTCACACCCAAAAAGTTGCCTTTTGGCCCGCCATGCCCCGCTGTCGTACCCCCATATAAATCCCAAACTCCAAGCTCCAGAAGAGACCTACAAGTGAGGAGACGGAGAGGCAAGCCGACAAACAGGCCTGCGATGGCAGAATGACACAGCAGAGAAAGAGAGGAGGGACATCTGGACTCCGAGGGGAGTTTGGCCAGGGACGGGTGGAGAAGAGTCTGGCCACTGGGAGGCCTGACACTGGGCGAAGGTCACCTTCCCACTCCATCTTGCTGACAGCCACCTCCACCACTCAATAAAAAGTTGCCCTCATCCCTCGAGCCCCCGTGTGATCCGATTCTTTTGGGACACTGGGCAACAGCTGGGGATATAGAGGGCTATTTCACTGTCCCACTACCCATGAGATAAGGAAGAGGGTTTGTTGAGCTGATTAACACATAAACCATTTGCAGATGGCAAAGCTAAAGGAGCACACTGTAACATACGCCCACTTGGGCTTCGGAAATCGCAGACACCCACCCCTAGATGCTGCTGTGAGGCCAGAGCCCGAAAGCGCTCACTCCGGTTCCCGCACCGGTGCATCTGTGTGCTCCCCCTCCCCGTAAGGGGTTTGAGCTGCAGGGCGACCTAACTGGCAAGCCGCACACCTGTTGCATGTCCTTCAAGGGGAATCAGGGATCTCTCACATTTCAATTAGTCATCAGGAAAATTCATATTATAACCACGGAGAATTATTGCTTTGTGTTACCAGAAAAGCTAAAATTACAAGGATTAAAATTACCAAGTATCTCTGAGGGTATGGAGCAACTTGGACACTGCTGATAGAAATGTCAAGTGATGTCAAGTGTTATAATCCATTTGGAAAATTGTCTAATTTTATCCATTACACCTAAACATAAATTATGTCCCAGTGTTTCACTACCAAGTATGCACTTACCAGAAATGTGGATTGTGTTTACCAAAAACCTCATAATATAAGGCCCATAGCAGCACTATTCATACCAGCTCCAAACTAAAATCTGCTCAAATGCTCACTAACAGGCACACAGATAAATAAAATGTGAACTATTCAAAAAGTGGAGTATTAAATCGCAATAAGAATGAACTATCTGTAACTACATCTAACAATGTGTTTGAATGGTCCAAACACAATTTTTGGTGAAAAACTCTAAACATAAGAATAAACTGCTTCTTTTTCATTATACAAAGTACAAAAGCCAGACAAATATATTCCATGTTCTTGAAGATCAGAATCGTGGTCTCTGTGTGTGGGGGGTGTGGGAGAGGGTTGAGAGGCGTATTGACTGAAAAGGAGTACTGGGGTTTTCTGGGATGTAATAATGTTCAGTGTTTTGACCTTGGTGGTGGTTTCACAGGTATCTTTACCTTCTCAATATCCAGCATATGATTTATGTTTTCCTTATACATATTACACTACAATACAAAGTTTTAAAAATCAGCATTTCAATTTGTTGATTTTTGGATTATTAAACCTATTTACGTCAAATGAGAGTGAGCCAGTTGCTTCATACACATATACAAAAAGTATTTAGAAAACTAATTTCATAAATTGCTAGAAAAGCAGACCCCCAAATTCATCAAGCACTGCATTCTTGGCAAAGTTTGTACACATTGTCTGGGTGCTGATTGTGAAAACATTGCCTAAACCAAAGTTTTGTATGTGATTTCTTTTAAAGTTTCTCTTATTTCCTGTTCTGAGGTTTATACACAATAGACCCGAATAGAGTTTGAATAATTGAAGGGTTTATGAAATCCAGAGGATATCACCAGCTGCTGATTTGCACATACCAAGAACATGAACATTTTCCAACGGAGAATTTCCCTAGCTTAATAAGAAAAAGTCCAAGAGCCGGTCACAGCATTAACATTTAGTGGGAGTGCAGTGAGAATTGGGTTTAACTTCTGGCATTTCTGGGCTTGTGGCTTGTGGTTGATTTTTTATTTACTTTGCAAAAGTTTCTGATAGGCGGAGCATCTAGTTTCAACTTCCTTTTGCAGCAAGTTCTTTCCTGCACTAATCACAATTCTTGGAAGAGGAGAACTGGACGTTGTGAACAGAGTTAGCTGGTAAATGTCCTCTTAAAAGATCCAAAAAATGAGACTTCTAGCAAAGATTATTTGCCTTATGTTATGGGCTATTTGTGTAGCAGAAGGTAAGATTAAAAGAGACTCTTTTCTGAAAACTGTATTATGAAACATTTGCTAATGATGCTTTTCACAGGAGTAATAAAAATTTGATTTAGAAAATGTGCTTAAGTATTCTGTAACTTGACAATTGAGTGGCTTTTGACATTGTTGAGTTTAAAAAATGTAAGAACCTTATTTGAATGGTATATCTAAATATTCATCATAATTATATTTAATATAAAATAGAATAAAATGTTTTAATAAACATTTCTGAAAAACTATGATCTGGAATAATCATTTCCCTTGTAATTATCATAAAATGTAATTTACTTTTTTGCTTAGGAGTATAACCAAAATGTATTATGTGAAAGCATTAAGAAGGATGTGAATATACATAGTCAATAAAAGCCATCAAATCATAATGATTAGATTTATTTCAAATATGATTTTAACTCTTCCTAAATAAAAATTCATTTATCATTTACAACTGATATTGTCATGACCTTAGAATTCTTGTAGACAAGTATTACTTGTATTATCAGAATAAAAATATTATATAAATTTGAAACCCAATTGAATATACAATATTTGTAACAGTTAAGTTGTTCAATAGAGATTTTTTTCCTGTAGTTGTATATAACATATATTCTTGAAGAGCAGTCTTTTGGAGTAGTGAATATGAATGTAGGAGTTTTTTTCTGACCTCAGTAAGACAATTTCTGGATTCATAATAAAATTTAATTATATCACTGCTTCTTGATAGATTAAAAAGCTTATTCTTGGAGGAGGTTTGCTTTCCTAGTTTTTGATAGGTAACCAGTTATGTGATAGATATTTGGTAAACATTTTTAAACTGAATGAATTACATATTATTCATAATTTCTAAAATCTTTTCACTTAGTAAAGAAATTTTGATTGAGTGACCATTACATAGCCTCTAGGAACTGAAGAATATTAGCAAATAATACAAATCTCTGTTTCAGTCTTCCAATCTAGAAAATAAAAGCAGATATATTCTTATAGTTATACACTTTGGTAATTTAAAAAATATTCAAATATGTTTAATACCTTTTGAAAGGTTGAATTATTTTCAGTTATATTTTCTAATGTTATTGCTTGTTCTTTGGCTTGTAAACTTTATATGTAGCCACTTTTTAAATGAAGAAAACAATTATTTCCTTGTACATATAAATATTATAATTAGTATTTTAAAATGAAACCTTTTTGTATTTACAAACAGTTCCAGAACAATGTCAATATTACCTATTGTAAAAGACATCTTTTTCTGTTTCTTTGTGTAAATATTTCTGTCTTTTCTTACTAAATTTATGGGAATGTTTCTAACGTTTCATACCTACATACTGTTTGCTCCAGTTTTACATAGATACCATTTGTCATATAAGGGAGATTTGTTTTATTTCTAATCTTTAAAATCAAGAATCAATGGCAAGTTTAATAAACAGTTTAAGTTATTAAAAAGTTGAATTTGAAATATTATTAAAATAGAGTACATCAAAGTATATGTGATAATTAAACAATAGTGATTTAAACATCTTATTTACATAATTGATTATTGCTGACTTGTTTCACTTTTATTTTATTTTTCATCAATGTGTGTTTAAATGTGGTATCAGTTTCTACTGGTGAATTGAACATCGGCACTATATATGTTATGGTGAAAATGATATAAATCTGATTATTTCCTAAAAGATAAAGCACAACTTTGTATTTAAAGCAATGCTTAGGCCAGCCTCATAATTTTCATAAAAGCACATGTAATGCAAAAGCCAATGGAGAAAAACTACATGAATTTTCAGTGGATATCAGACTCCTAATTTATTCCTTGTTTCCCAAATACTCTCTGAAACTAAACTAGTTCGAGATGTCCATCAGTTCTATTAATCTACCATATCTAAAAAATTTTTACTTAACAGAGTAGCTTTGATCATGAAAAATACTCACATATATTTCAATATTTGCTTCTGTTTATATTTTCCACATTGAATACTGAATACCAAATTGAGAAGATAGTTTGAATACTATCACAATCTGCTTTATTCAACAGCATAACATTTTAGCATTACTTCTGCTCTGTTAAGAGTGAACTTTCTTCAAAAAAAACACTATTCATTACTAAGAAAGAATTATAGCCAGCAGGAATAATTTGTAATTTCAGCTTTCTATTTGTTTTCTTTTTTTAATATATTGGGTACTACATAGAACCTTTCTAATGCAATATATTGTCTACAATAACATTTCCAATTGTGTAGGAACGTTAATTGCCTCCTTGTTTTAACAGTCTGGCTCAGGGGGTCACTGCAGGCTACTAAGAATTGGGTCAGATTTACAGGACAAAGTTTAAAATAACAGTTTCTCAATCGTACCACCTAATTTCACCTTTTTGAAATATAGTATGACCAAGGTTTTGAATATATTATGACCAAGCAGATTTTTTAGATTTAGGGTCTAACAATTGTGTACTATATGAAATTAGGCCACAGCCCAGAAATTCCAAGATGATTAAAGTGAATAAATTAAAACTCTACTGAAACATGTTCAAGTAAATACTGGCTGTGTTGTTTGGGAGACATGTTTTTTAATCCTGGAGATTTAGAGTGCAGAAACGTTATTTCAGGTCCCAGAAGACTTTATAGATCAGAGATTGATGGATTCCATTACAGTCAGAGAAAGGAGAATAGTGGTCTAAAATCCTAAATTGTATGTTTGAATTTCAGTGTGATAAATAAGAATTCCCCTTTGCTCCCCCAAACCCCCATATTTTCAGAGATAGTAGTATGTGTATTTATCTATATGGTGTGATTTAAATTGTGCGATGGCCCAATTGGCTTCAATATCTCATCTCCTCCTAAAATACTTTACGTGTTGATATTAATATTACTATAATTTCAACCAATCTGTCATTTACATGGAATGACAAATACACTGAATACATATTTTAGGATAGTTAAATTTAGTATTATTCATAATTTACTTTGAATTATTATCATCTGACAACTTCCCTGAAACAATTTCAGTGGGCGGGGGAGGGTAGAAATGGATGTTGATGAGGATAAGAATAGAACAAAGTGATTCTGGAAGATGGGGTTTTCCCAGGTAGGACAGATCTGCTGGTTGAAGTGCTATAGTGAGTGCTATAAGAGAAGGGGTAGAGAAAATGCCCACAGAAATGGCACGAGCCTGAGACGTCTGCCAAGGCAAGCTTTGCTTATTTTAAATTTAGGCATATCCTGGGAATGCATATGCTACTCTTTTGCCTACATATAATTTAAACTAAAAATGAAATATCTAAGTATTGCTAACTAAAATTATTCTTAGGTAGAAGTAAGTTCCCAAATATAAGTTCAAAAGCAGATTGGTAAATGTTCTTCATGTGTGGCCTTTGGTTTCTAAGATCTGAGCCAGTCTACATTGACCCACTTTTATTTGCTTAATCCTCGATTGTTTATTCTGCAGTCTTTTGCCACTTTTCATTCTTCCCAGTTATGCCTTCTCCTCCTCCCCACACACACCATCCCCCACCTGCCTAGGCCTTTGAGATTCTGCCACCCAATCTATCCCGTGCTCAGTTAACTAACGTGTACTTTACCCATTTCTTCACAAAACCATAGTACATGGAAAGGGGATGATGTAATTGACAAAAAAGTATTGCATTTTAGCTTAAAATTATAAGGAGTCATAAAAAGATAGCTCAGAGGAAATAAAGTAACTGAACATCAAAAAATGAAACAATAAAAAGGAAAGAAAAAACATTTGACAGAACACTTTTATTTCTTCTGACATTTTAACTTAGCCAAGTTTTTCATAAACCTTGTTAACTGGAAATGTAATAGATAGAAAAGTGATTATTCTTCCAGGCCGGGCATGGTGGCTCACACCTGTAATCCCAACACTTTGGGAGGCCCAGGTGGGTGGATCACCATGTCAGGAGTTCGAGACCAGCCTGACCAAAATGGTGAAACCCCATCTCTACTAAAAATACAAAAATTAGCCAGGCGTGGTGGCGCGTGCCTGTAATCTCAGCTACTCAGGAGGCTGAGGCAGGAGAATTGCTTGAATCAGGGAGGCGGAGGTTGCAGTGAGCTGAGATCATGCCATTGCCCTTCAGCTTGGGCGACAGAGGGAGATTCCATCTCAAAAAGAAAAAAAAAAAAAAGAAAGAAAGAAAGAAAGAAAAGGAAAAAGCAATATTCTTTCAGAAACTCCTGAACTGTAACATAAATTTAAGCTTAGGACACATAGGTCAGATGTACAATGGAATTACAAATGTTAGAGTTTCCTGGGTTCTTGCAACAGAGTTTTAAGTGCACTAAACAGTTATCACCTTGTCTTCTCTTATATTTTCTAGTCACTACTGTCTACTACGCTTTTTCCACAGGCTGTCCATAATCTACAGATATAATGGAAAGGCTTCCAGATAGTTTCATTGTTACTCATCTGTTCTTTCGCTCATTCATTTTTCCATCACTTTAACTTCCACAAGTACTACTTAGTAATACTTGGTACAATGTGTGTTGCGTTTTTTTTTTTTTTTCTCTATTTTCAGGGTCCTAATTGTACTGTCTCTTTGTGGCTGAGTTCGTTTTTTGTGACTGGAACAATAACTGGCATTAGAAATTAGCTATTCAAATACACATTTCAAGAAAGTTGTGGAATTTCAACCCATGTTCTGATAGTATCTTGTTTTATCTCTAATTATGACATACTTGTTATTCTATCCAACTTCATGTGACTATCGTCTATTCTCCTATCTGCTTTTTATGGTTCTGGAATTTTCTTCTTGCTCTTTTCACTGTTAAGTTGTTTGTTTGTTTGTTTGTTTGTTTTGAGACAGGATCTCGCTTTGTTGCCTGAGGCTGGAGTGCCCACGCTGGAGTGCAGTGGTGCGATCATAGTTCACTGCAGCTTCCAACACCTGGGCTCAAGCAATCCTCCTGCCTCAGCCTCCCACACCTAGCTAAATTTTTTTCTTTTCTTTTTTCTTTTTCTTTCTCAAATGCCTATTAAGTGTGACATAATCTCTATTCTGCTTTGTCTCTAGAGTTTGTTTCTTTAAACAATTCTTTACTCTGTTTACAAAGGTATATATGTTACTTCTGAAATGATCTTTATTCTCATGTTATTTATAAAATAATTTGAATATTTCTTATTTTGAAAAGCTAATTAGATCATATCGTATATATGCATATAGAATTGACCCTTGACCAATATGTGCTTGAACTTCAGGGGTCTGCTTACTATGTGAATTTGTTTCAACTAAACCTGGGTCAAAAATACAGTATTGGTGGGTTGCAAAACTTAAGCATAGGAAAAACTGACTTTTCGTACATGCGGTTTCCAGAGAGCCAAATGTAGAATTTAAGTATGTGCAGATTTTGGCCTGTGTGGGAGTCCTGGAATATATATCCCCTGTGTATACCAAAGCCAAAGGATTATTGAATAAATAGTATTACTATAGATCAGTGAGAAGATAAGAAAGAAATTTAATGCAAAATACCTATTTTTGCTATTTCTGTTTTGTTCATTTGCTTTATTTTTTTCCAAATTGATTTTGTAACTTTGCTTTATAATATATTCTGATACCTACTAAGTTTAGAAGTAGGCTATTTAAAAAATAATATCTACTGTTTTTTATGCACAAAATAATTTTAGAAAAATAGAATAATTGAACAAAGAGACCAACTTTAGTCTACCAAAACAATCTAGCACAAATTTGATTAAGGATTTCCCAAATATATAATTTTATCATGATTTATTTCATTTGAATAAAAACACTTTTCAACTAACAGTTAAAAGATATATTGACATTGAAAATAAGTAATTAGTTCTATGTTTGTATGTCAATAATAAGTAATTAGCTTGGTGTTTGTATGTCAATAATGCCCCCTTAAAATTTGAAAGTGAAAAAATTAGGTAAATTAAGATTATTAAAATATTAAGTAATATTGATTTTTAGCTTTGACCAAAATTATATAACTATTTTCCTCAAATTATAGTAAAAACATTCCTACTCTTTACCAGTAGTTAAACGTATTCACACTCTTAATTCATGGGCTAAAAAAAAACTTGATTTTGTTTAGTATTATTCTTACTTTTTTGAGACAGGGAATCACTTTGTCACCCAGGCTGCAGCGTACTGGTGCAATCATGGCTCACTGCAGCCTCGACCTCCTGGGCTCAAGCAGTCCTCCCACCTAAGCATCCCAAGTAGCAGGGATTACAGCCACCTTGCTCAGGTAATTTTTTTTTTTTTTTTTTTTTTGAGATGGAGTCTTGCTCTGTCGCCCAGGCTGGAGTGCAGTGTCGCTATCTCGGCTCACTGCAAGCTCCGCCTCCCGGGTTCACGCCATTCTCCTGCCTCAGCCTCCCGAGTAGCTGGGACTACAGGCACCCACCACCAAGCCCGGCTATTTTTTTGTATTTGTAGTAGAGACGGAGTTTCACCGTGTTAGTGTTAGTCAGGATGGTCTGGATCTCCTGACCTCGTGATCTGGTGATCTGCCGGCCTTGGCCTCCCAAAGTGCTGGGATTACAGGCATGAGCCACCGCGCCCGGCCTGCTCAGGTAATTTTTAAAATTTTTTGTAGAGACAGGGTTTCACCACGTTGCCCAGGCTGGTCTTGAACTCCTGGGGTCTATTGATCCTCTTGACTTGGCATGTCAAAGTGCTGGGATTATAAGCATGACCCACTGCATCCAGACTAAAACTAATTTTAAATTGTAAAATAAAGCCAAATGAATTAAAGCTTCACCAATGTAGTGTTTTGTAAACAAAATTAACTGGCAATTAAATGACTTGTAAACGTAAGATGAAGTATTCATTGTTTAAACTCAAATACTTAGATATGATGGCTTAGTCTACTCATTAATCTAGAATGAGAAAAATGAGATGGCTATTTCTTTTAGTTTTAAGATAAATCACATCTCAAAAAAATGTTTCTGTGCCTTTCAATTTGTATGCATCCTATTTAATAAGCCCGTTGTACATACATGCTGAGAGTTTGACTACTTGGGCCAAAATAACCGTTTGTTGTCTACTTGAAGGTGGTTCAACTGAGCTTGAACATTCGATTGTTAGTCAATTCAGGCAAATAAAAGTTATGTCACAAGATATACCTAATTATTATTAGAACTCAGTGCAGTGAATCATTACCTTAAATACTTTTGCTATGGCATGAGTTGATAATGATGTAGGACAGCAAGCCCCCAAATTGGGTCTTAGCCTGGGAAGGTTCTTGGTTTTGTCCAGTAAAGAATTCAAGGGTGAGCCTGTGGTGTTAAACAGCAATTTTTGTTGAAGTGGCAGTGTATAGCAGCCTCAGAGGCACCTCTCCTTGCTAAGCAGGGCTACCCATAGGCAGTGTGCCCACAGTAGCAGCTCAGAGGCAGTTCTGCACTCATATTTATATGCACTTTTAATTATATGGAAATTAAGAGGTAGTTAATGCTGAAATTGCCAGGAGGAGGATGGTAACTTCCGGTTGTTGGGTCATTGCTGTGGAAAGGGCCTGTAACTTCTGGGTGTTGCCATGGTAATGGTAAACTGTCATAGCACACTGGTCTGTGTGTCTTACAGGGAGGGGCTTCCACTCAGACCTGTTTTGGATAATCCTCAATTTGGTCCAGTGTCCAAGTCCCATCTCCTATCTCAATAATACTCAATACAATAATGGTTAGAACAAAAGCAGACAGGAAAGTGTATCTGAAGTGAGAAGACCTAGACATTAATGAAAATTCTTCCACGAACTATGAAAAACATTGTTCTTCAATTGTGGGGAGCTTACATTTTGATGTGGGGAGATAGATAGAAAACCTAATGAACAAAAATAGTTATAGCATTGTGAAAAATTTTGTGAAGGAGGTAAAGTAGGGCCTAAGAGAAAATAGAGATGGGGATGGTAGTATGTAGAGACATTAGGTGGGCTTGGTCTTGGGGACTAGAATGAGTGGATCACTTTGAGGACAGAACATTTGAGTAGAGGCCTGAAAGATGAGACAAAGCCAGTCATCAGAAATCTGTCGTAAAATTATTCTAAGAGGAGGAAATAACCCGTGTAAAGGATCTAAGGAAAAAATAAGTTTGAAATGCTCAACAAAATATAAACAAATAAATCAGCGTGACTTTGCACAGTAAATACATGGGAGATTTAACATGATGAGATCCGAGAAAGTGGCAAGAGCCAGATAAGGGGTTCCCAAACCAAGGAAAGGAGTTAGCAATGCTGGATAAGTAAAAAGTGAAGTCATAGAAGAATTTTAATCACAGGAATGACATGACCAGATTTGCAAGAATCACTTGTCACTCTGTGAATAGACTGAAGTAACAGGAGAGTAGAGGACTGGAGGCTAGTTAGCAGGCAAGTTTCATGACCAAAGTGACAGATGATGATCTGAACTAAGATTTTGAAGATGGTAGTAGGAGCAAGGGAAAATAGAACAGGGGCGGTCATATCTTTTTCTTACAAGCAGAATCAAAAGATGCCATTTAACACTGATGGAAAAAGCACCAGAATTTTAAGTACTATTTGAAGAGAAAAGGTAATCAATATGATAATTCTTTATATATAGTAAACATATTCACAGAGTAAATATTGTGAGAAGTTGGTAGGAAGATTTTGTGGAAGAGATGTATCCTTGTTTTCTACATCTGGTTGTTAAAAGCAATGAACTATATTTGGAAATCAAGAATTAGGGGCACAAACGTATCACCTGGAAATATAATAATAACCAGAAGGGAAAGCATTTACTTCTCACTAGGAAGTGAGCGGGCTAAACTTTTTTTGTGTTAATGGATTACTTTACTTATTTATTTTTTCCAATAACCTGAACATCATCAAATGGATCTAAATTTTGAAAGTGAAAAACAAACATATCAGCTTGTAATTAATCAGTTTTCCTTTTGTGCGGAAGGGGCCGGGGATTGTGTTGTTATGATAGAGTATTAGCACCATCTAGTGGAGTAGAATATGTTTACTTAAATTATAAACATCGAAATAGTGCAATGTGGAATCACATATTATATGAGTTCACTAATACAAATTTGCAAAAAGGTCAAGGGAAAATTAGTGCCCATAAAAACTTTCACATTATTTTGTAAAATATAATTTTATATGGTGTTTTCTTTCTTATGAAATATTGCAAAATGTTTTCATATGGATTTGTTCCACCATGTTAATGGGCACTTCTAAAACTTTTTTCTTTGGGCTGCTACAACAAAATATTATTAACTGCCTAGCTTATAAACAACAGGAATGTATTTCTTACACTTCTGAATGCTAGAAAGTCTAACAGCAAGATAGTACCAGCAGATTCAGTGTTTGGTGAGGTCTGCTCTCTGGTTCATAGACAGTGCCTTTTGGCTGTGTCCTCCAATGATGAAAGGGACAAGGCAGCTCTGTGGTGCCTCTTCTATAAAGGCACACATCCCAAATCATGACAGCTCCACCTTCACGACCTAATCACTTCCCAGTGTCCCCACCTCCTAATACTATCACATTGGTAATTAGGTTTAAACATATAAATTGGGGGTTGTGGGGAGGTTGCATGTATTCAGAGCATAGCATATGCCTTCTTAACTTACTAAAGTCTAATAATAATTTATCACTCAGGATTCAATGCGGGAAGCTTAAGTAGAAGTAGAAGATTACCTATCTATCAGTCAATTAATTGATTGACATACCAATCTCCTATCTACCTACTTAAAAAGAGGTTTTGTTTTGTTTGTTTTGTTTTGTTTTGTTTTTTAAATAAATTGCCTCAAGGAATTGTGAGCATGAGATAAGCAAGTCTGAAATCCACAGGGCAGGTAGTCAGAAAAGGAAGATTACAGACAGGATGGAACTCACAGGAAAGGAAGCTGCTTTCCACAGAATTCCCTCTCTTTTTCAGAGGAGCCTCAGCCCTATGTTTCAGACCTTTCAAATGATTTGATCTGGCCTATCTAGATTACCTAGAATGATCAGCTTGTTTAAAGTCAACTGATTGGGAGTGTATCTGGCAACATATTTTCTCACCAACATTTAGATTAGTTTGACTCAATAACTGGGAATGCTGACTTAAGCAAGATGACTTATTAAGAAAACTGTCACAGCTCATTAATACCTTTCTGTTTTTCTGGACACTGTGAAGAACTTAAAAGACATTAATTTTATTAATCCTTCTCACAGTTTACCTACTATTGTCATGTGTTTTATGTATATGGGTGTATACACATACATGTTTGTATTTAAAACCATGTAAGGTAATATTTTTATTATTTTATAGTCAGTATTCATTTATATTTACTTGAACATTTACCATTTTCTTTGTTTTTCATTTCTTCTTTCATCCTAAGACCTTATATTTAGGATCAGTTTCAGTTTTCTGAAATATATCTTTTTTCTCTCCTTAATGTGTATTTATAGTGGCAAATTCTCTCAAATTTTATTAATCAGCCCGGGCACGGTGGCTCACTCCTGCAATCCCAGCATTTTGGGAGGCTAAGGTGAGTGGATTGCTTGAGCCCAGGAGTTTGAGACCAGCCTGGGCAAAACGGCAAAACCTCGTCTCTACAAAAAATACAAAAATTAGCTGAGAGAGGTAGTTTGTGACTGTAGTCACAGCTACTTGGGGGGCTGAGGCAGGGGACCACTTGAGCCCAGGGGGTCAGGGTCGCAGCGAGCTAAAATCACACCACTGCACTCCAGCCTGGGCAATAGAGATCTTGTCAAAAAATAAAATAAAATAAATTTTATGAATCAAAACTTTATTCTCAAAAAATTATTTCTGTATATAGAATTCTATATAGATAGTTATTTCTTCCTGAAAATGGAAGTGATTAATACCTGGTGGCGTCTGCTATTGCTATTGAGAAGTCTTTGTAAATCTAACCATTACTGCTTTTAAATTAATATTTTTCTCTAACAAGGTTAAGATATTTTCTCTTTGGTTTTCTGCATATTCCTTATGATGCATATAGGTGTGTTTTTTTACTGCTTGGAATTTTTTAATTCTTGGATATATTAATTGGTATGTTCCATTCATTTTTTAAAATTCTCTTCCAACATTGCTCTGGCTTTTCTATCCTCATTGACTCTTAGCTCATCTTGTGTATTTTCCACACATGTGTGTCTCCATGTTGCATCCTGTATTATTTCTTTTGACCTGCCCTCCTGTCCACGAATTCTTTTTACAACTGTGTTATCTGCTATTAAGCTGTCCATTGATGATTAAAATGGGTTTTTTCATTTTTAGAAATTATATTTGGTTCTTTTTAAAATCTGCTACTACTTTGTTATAATTTCTTTCCTCAGATATCATTAGTCAAACTTTTCTCTTACATTTAAACAACAGAATTAGTATTGTTGATTATAGTCTGTATATATTTATTCCAATATCAAATATCTATTTTGTTCCTTATGAAGTTTATGGTAACTAGGTGCTTTTTCTCCCGTATAATGTCTTTGACATTTGTAATAATAATTTGGTGCTTAAGAAAAAAATCTTCCTCATATTAAAGTTACAACTTATCTTTTCTGGGTGGCTAGAAGAACTTTCAGTGTGAGACTACCTTAAGCCAAATTTGTGCTTTAAAATTCCTTGGTGCTCTAAGCAATTCAAAGCTGGGTTCCTGTAAGAAGAGTGTGGTTTACTTCCAGTTCTCCCTTATCCTGTGGGTGAATTCATTTAGGTTTCCAACTTTGAATTTTGTTGCTTTAGCCTAATAAGGCTATCAAAAAGCAAGCTTGTGTCTTCCCCAAATGGTGAATGCCCACAGTGCAGAAAAAAATTGGCTGCCTGTTTTCCTTTCTGGGTTCTGATTATACCAAGATATGTTATGGTAATTCTTTACTGTCTCGTCAGCTTTCTAAATGCCTCTATGAAAGTATTTATTTCAAAACATATGTTTTCCTGTTTTTTTCCCCTTTTGTGACAGGGTCTCACCCTGTCTCTCGGCTGGAGTGCGGTGACATGATCATAGCTCACTGCATCCTTAAACTCCTGGGCTCAAGAGACCCTCCTGTCCCAGCCTCTCACATAGCTGGGACAACAAGTGTGTGCCACCATGGGTAACTAATTTGTTTCTTTAATTTTTTGTAGAGATGGGATCTTGCTATATTGCCCAGGGTGGTCTCAGACTCCTGGGCTCAAGGGGATTCTCCCACCTCAGCCTCCCAAAATGTTGGGATTACAGGTGTGAGCCACCATGGCTGGCCACCTGGTTTTATTGTGAAGGTGTCCTAAGTGATAAGATTAATCTGAAATAATGAATCCCAAGGCACTCAAATTTTTTGTGAAATAGCCAGACAATAAATATTTTAGACTTCGTGAGCCATAATGTCTCGCTACTCAGCTCTTCTATTGTAACATAAAAGGAGTCATAGACAATATATAACTATATGAGCATAGCTGTGTTCTACTAAAATTTTATTTACAAAACAAGCAGCGATTGGATTTGGCCCACAGGTTAGTTTTCTGGCCCCTGACCTAATGTATCTCACTATAACAGAAAATATATACTGACTTTCCTTCTTACTATTATAAATTTTATGCACATAATTAAATATTACCCAAACCACAATTTTTAATTCAGATGGGTGTAGCATAATTTGACAATTTTCATAAATATTCTAATTATATCCATTATTAAAAATGCTGGAATAAACACTCTGTACCTAAATATTTCACAAAATCTTTAATTATTATTTGTTACTTTTAAAAAATTGAAATTATTTGTCAACTTACGTATGAGTACTTTTAAGATTCTTTATTGCTAAGTTGCTTTTTAGTGAAGTAATAGTCATTTATATTTCAGTTTTATTTAATAATAATATTTATATTACCTAATTTTCCAGCAAAATTGATTATCATCTCCTTTACATTTTTGTGTTAAAATTGGTCAAAAAATAATTTTCTTTTAATTTTTATCTCTTTTAATTATTGGTAATGGTCACGTTAATGCCTGTTCTTAAGTAAATGATCTATCCTACTCTAACATTTTTCTTTAGATAGTGTTTAGTGCTTTTGTTACTGCAAGAAGTGTTTGTGTTAAGAATAATTTTTCAGTTAAATTTTCTCCACATTTTGTATATATGATTTTTTCACAAATATAATTTTTAATTAACAAAGTTTTAATGTGTATATGTTCTGTTTGCAAATTGCTTTATGCATTAAGCCTTCCTTTTTTGATATTTATTCATACTTTTTAATAAATATATTTATAAAATAAATATAATTATAGATAGATGGCACTAAGATAATAGTAAGTTAAAATGACATATCATCATATATAGCAGATAATTAAAAAATTATAAAAGAATGAAACATATATGTATTTATTTTAAATTTGTTTAAACCTAACTCTTTAGTCTACCTGGCATTTGTGTGCATGTGTCTGTGCAAATAAAGTAAGGATTCAAATTTATCCCATTTCATTTCCAGTGGGTTTTATTTTTTATTTATTATTATTATATTTTTTTGAGACAGAGCTTTGCTCTTGTTGCCCAGGCTGGAGTGCAATGGCGTGATCTTGGGTTACTGCAATCTCCGCCTCTCAGGTTCAAGAGATTCTCCTGCCTCACGCCCCCACGTAGCTGGGATTACAGGCATGTGCCACAACAGTTGGCTAATTTTGTATTTTTAGTAGAGACGGGGTTTCGACATGTTTGTCGGGCTAGTCTCGAACTCCTGACCTCAGGTGATCCACCCATCTCAGCCTCCCAAAGTGCTGGGAATATAGGCGTGAGCCACCGCACCCGGCCCCAGTGGATTTTAATTGCAAGCCTGCCAGAGTGAGTTTCAATTTGAGGTAGTCCAAGTTTACACAGTACGATAGACTTACCCATTGCCAAGGTTACTTGGCTTGAAGGAAAATACAGAATAAGGATAAAGGCAGTATGCACAAGAACAGCTTGATGGAGATTTCAGGCACTGAAACTCAGCTTCTAATATCTTAACCCCCACCAGGATAATTTTGCTGATGAAGGATGAAAGTTGATGCCAGTATAGGTCACATCCATGCCCGGTAACAACAGAATTGGGTATCCTTAGTTTAAATACTTTAGTTGTCACCTTGAACTTGGAGGGTGATTTATGTGATCATCACTATTATTTGCTGTTTTCTATTTTCTTTAGATTTCATTTAATGTTTTACTAGTTTCTTGAATTAGAAATTTGGATAATTGATTTCCAACAGTTTTTTATTTCTAATTCATTCGAGTTATATTTTTTTCTCTCTAATCAGTGCTTCAGCATCAGCCCACAAATTTTAACATATATTTCCATTATTGTTTATTTCAAATCATATTCTCATTTATATTATATTTTTCTTTAACTCATGAGTTATTTATAAGTGTTGCTTGCCAAGTGCGGTGGCTCACGCCTGTAATCTCAGCACTTTGGGAGGCCGAGGTGGGCGGATCACTTTTGGGAGGCCGAGGTCAGGAGATTGAGACCATCCTGGCTAACACGGTGAAACACCGTTTCTACTAAAAATACAAGAAAAAAAAACCCAAAAAATAGCCGGGCATGGTGGCGGGCACCTGTAGTTCCAGCTACTCAGATGGCTGAGGCAGGAGAATGGCGTGAACCCAGGAGTGGAGGTTGTGGTGAGCTGAGATTGGGCACTCCAGCATGGGGGACAGAGCGAGACTCCGTCTCAAAAAAAAAAAAAAAAAAAAAGGGTTGCTTAACTTCAAAAATTTTGTGAATTTTCCACTTATTTTCTGTTAGCAATGTCTAGTGGTCAGGGAGTATACTTAGAGTGGCTTTAATTTTTTGAGATTGGTAGAGATTTGCTTGGAATGAATATGCATCTTGCAATTGTTGAAGACAGTGTTTTATTAATATAAAAAACTTAATTTGGTTAATAATGTTGCTTATATCTTGTATATCCTTATTTTTCTATTTCTTTTCTATTGGATATTGGAAACAGTGTGCTTAAATCTCAAACTATGATGGTGGATTGCTTACTTCTTTTATTTCTGTTATATTTTGAAGATGTATTAATAGTTTTATGCAAAGAGGCATGCTGGTAAATGTAAAACAACCAACTATTTTTTAAAAGGAAAGGGAACAACCATGATTTGTAAAATTTGCTGAGTTTCATGGTGTAAATTCTCACAATATGGTCAATTTCAAGTTACCAACGTGTCATCAGGAGACATTGTATTAGCAAAAGATGTGTATAATTGGCTCCTATGAGTCAGTATGAGCCAGCTCCAGCAAACATTGTTCAGACACATTTGCAATTATTACATCTTTCTGTTAAAGTAGCCTTTTTATTAATATGAAATGACTCTCTTTTTATCTAATAATACTTTCTAACTAAAATTATCATTTGCTTGATATTAATACATTAATATCATTCTTACTTTGGTTGATACTTTTCTAGCATATTGGTTTTTATCATTTACTCTCAATTTATATGTACAATTTTATTAAAAGTAATCATCATATATTTGAGTTTTCTTTTATGCTTTTATCCAGTCAGACAATCTTTGTATGTTTAGTATGGTGATGAATCCATTTATATTTAATGTAATTACTGATACAGTTCAGTTTAAGTCTAGCATATTGCTACTTACTTTTGCCTCAATTTTTCTCTCTTCTTTTCCTGCCTTCTCTTATTTTAATCAAATAGTCTTGACTATCTCATTACATCATGTATTCTAGTTATTTTATGTATCTCAATATTATTGGTTTAGTGGCTAACTTAGCAATTACAACAAAACATGCTTAAATTATTACAATTTATTCTAAATTAATATTTTTACCACATCAAGACTATGGGGAAAACATCACAACACTTTTATTTTCTTTACCTTTTCCTGACACTTTTGCTACTATTGTTTCATATTATACTCTTGAATTTATTAAAAACACTATTAAACATGGTCTATTGATTTAAACAGTCAAGGCTCTTTTTTATTTGAGTAAAATATACATAGCATAGGGTTTATCATGTTTCAATAGCTTTTTTATTTACTCTTCTATTTATTTTCTTCAGTTCTGCTTATTCCTTTTTGTACTTCTTTGCTTATATTTTAGATCAGTTTCCTTCAGCCCAGAGAACTTTTTTAGTATTTTTCTATAGTTGAGTCTGCTCTTGTTGAATTCTTTCTGCTTTTGTTTGCTTAAGAATGTGTTTCTATTTGCTTTCATTTTTGAAGTATATTTTCACCATTTATAGAGTTCTCTGCTGACTTTTAATTTTCAGCACTTTAGTAATGCTAAGACATATATATTCAGACTTCAGTATTTACTTCCACAGACTTGGCTGTTATTTTTACTATTCTCCTGGAAAAAAAATGTTTCCTCTGTCTGTGATATGGTTTGGCTCTGTGTCCCCACCCAAATCTCATCTTAAATTATAATCTCCATAATCATCACATGTCAAGGGAGGAACTCAGTGGGAGGTGACTGGATCATGGGGGTTGTTTGTCCCATGCTGTTCTCATGATAGTGAGTGAGTTCTTATGAGATTTAATGGTTTAAGCATCTGGCATTTCCCCAACTTGCACTTCTCTCTCCTGCTACCATATGAAGAAGATCCTCTCTTCTTCTTCACCTTCCACTATGATTGTAAGTTTCCTGAAGCCTCCCCAACCATGTGAAAGTATGAATCAGTTTAAACTTCTTTTTTTATGAACTACCCAGTCTCAGGTAATTCTTTATAGCAGTGCAAAATGGACTAATACAGTAAATTGGTACCAAGGTAGTAGGGCACTATTATAAAGATACCTCAAAATGTGGAAGTGACTTTGGAACTGGGTAATGGGCAGAGGTTGGAACAGTTTGGAGGTCTCAAAAGAAGACAGGAAGATGTGGGAAAGCTTGGAACTTCCTAGAGACTTGTTGAATGCTTTAGACCAAAATGCTGATAGTGATCTGGAATATGAAGTCCAGGCTGAGGTGGTCTCAGATGGGGACAAGGAACTTATTGGGAGCTGGATCAAAGATCACTCTAACTGTGTTTTAGCAAAGAGATTGGCAACATTTTGCCCCTTCCCTAGAGATCTGTGGAACTTTGAACTTTGAGAAAGTTGGTCTGAAATTGGAACTTATGTTTAAAAGGGAAGCAGAGCATAAAAGTTTGGAAAATTTGCAGCCTGATGATGCAATAGAAATAAAACCCGAATTTTCTTGGGAAAAATGCAAGCCCACTGGAGAAATCTGTGTAAGGAATGAGGAGCCAAATGTTAATCACCATGACAAGGGAAAAATGTCTCCAGGGAATGTTAGTGATCTTTAAGGCAGCCTCTCCCATCACAGGCCTGGTTGCCTCGGAAGGAAAAATGGTTTTGCAGGCCTGGGCCCCACTGCTGTATGCAGTCTCAGGAGTTGGTGGCTTGCATCCTAGCTGCACCAGCTGCAGCCATGTCTAAAAGGGGCCAACATACAGCTTGGGCCATTGCTTCAGATAATGAAAGCCCTAAGCCTTGGCAGCTTCCACATGGTGTTGGTCCTGTGGGTACACAGAATACAAAACCTCCACCTAGATTCAGAAAATGTATATAAGTGCTTAGATGTCCAGGCAGAGGTGTGCTGCAAGGGAGGAACCCTCATGGAGAACCTCTACTAGGGCAATGAGCAAGGGAAATGTAGGATTGGAGCCCCCACACAGAGGTCCCAGTGGGGCACTACCTAATGGAGCTGTGAGAAGAGGGCCACAGATCCTCCAGATCCCAGAATGGTAGATTCACTGACAGGTTGCACCTTGTGCCTGGAAAAGCCACAGAGACTCAATGCCAGCAGTGAAAGTAGCCAGGGCAGGGGGCCATACCTTGCAAAACCATTGGGGCAGGTCTGCCCAAGGCTGTGGGAGCTCACCTCTTGCATCAGTGTGACCTGAATGTGAGACATGGAATCAAAGGGGACTGTTTTGGAACTTTGAGTTTTAATGACTTCCCTATTGGATTTCTGACTTTCATGGAGCCTTTGGTCCCTTTGTTTTAGCCAATTCATCCCATTTGGGATGGGAGCATTTACCCAATGCCTGTATTCCCATTGTATCTTGAAAATGACTAATTTTCTTTTGATTTTACAAGCTCATATGTGGAAGGGACTTGCCTTGTCTCAGATGAGACTTTGGACATGGACTTTAGGGTTAATGCTGTAGTGAGTTAAGACTTGGGGGGACTGTTGGGAAGGCATGATTATGTTTTGAAATGTGAGGACATGAGATTTGGGAAAGGCAAGGGGCAGAATAATATGGTTAGGCTCTGTGTCCCTACCCAAATCTCATCTTAAATTGTAATCACCATAATCCCTGTGTGTTGAGGGAAGGACCCAGTGGGACGTGCTTGGATCATGGGGCAGTTTCTCCTATGCTATTCTCGTGATAGTGAATGAGTTCTCATGAGGTTTGATGGTTTTATAAGCATCTGGCATTTCCCCTGTTTGCACTTCTCTCTTGCCATCATGTGAAGAGGTCTTTCCTTCCCCTTCCACCATGACTGTAACTTTCCTGAGGCCTCCCCAACCATGTGGAATTGTGAGTCAATTATATCTCTTTTCTTTATAAATTACCCAGTCTTGAGTATTTCTTCATAGCTGTGCAAAAATGGACTAATACAATCTGCTTTTAAGATTTTGCCTTTATCTTTGGTTTTCAGCAGAGTATCAGTATAGGTTTTCTTGGTATACAGCATTTTGGGGGTTTTTAGAAATTTTGATTTTGTGAGCTGATTTCTTTCATCAATTTTGGAAACCTTTGAGCTATTGTTTCTTCAAATATTGCCTATGTTCATTTTCTTCTCTATTGTTAGAATTCCAATTAAACATGTTTTATAACTTGACTCTACACCACACATTTTTTTATACTCTGTTTTGTTTGTTGTTGTTTATACACTTTTGTCTTTCTATATTTCCTTTTGGTTATTTTTACATTAAACTTCCTCTAAGTTTAATAAGTTTGTATTGTGCTGTGTCCATTTGATTCTTAAAACCATCTGACAAGTTGTTATTTCTGATTTTTGATCCAATTTTAAGATAGCACATGATTTATGAGTCAATTTTATTTTGAATATCTTTTTTAAATTTTCATTTCTATATTTTCTATAGTTCCTTTAATGTTCCTAAAATAGCTGTTATAAAGACCTAACACTAATTCTAACATCTGAATCTGAGTGTCTAGTTCTACTGAATATTTATTTTCTCTTTTTGTTCACAGTTGTTTTTGCTTTTTTGTGTATCTTTTAATTTTTATTCAAAATCGTATTTTTAAACAAAAACATGTAATGACAAAAGTTTATATAACTTACTCTCATCAACAAGATTGTTTGCTCTTTCTTGAGCCACTCAAAAATTTAACTCAGAGGGACCTGGGTAACACTTTTAGTTTGAGTCAGTCCCATTTCTGGTTTCTAGTCTCAAAGATTAAACCCTCTTGGGTTTTTAAAGTCAAGAATCTGGTTGGTTTCTTCTATCTCAAAAGACTAATACACACACACACACACACACACACACACACACACACACAGAGTATATACATATACACATATATATACATAAATATAAATATGTGTATATATATATACTATATATGTGTGTACATATATTAGACTTTTGAGATAGAAGAAGCCAACACATATATATTATGTATGTGAGCATATGATATATATATAATAAAAGCCATTTATATATATGTTTGCTTTTCTGCTGTTTTGACTCTGTTCTTATATATATATAATCTTAAATGCTCATATATAAATGAAACAGCAGAAAAGTGAACATATATATAAGAGCTTTTATTATATATAAATAATATATATATGTATACAGCTTTTCTGCTGTTTTGACATCTGCTCTTAAATATCATCCAGAGTGACTTTCAAATATGGCATGTTTTGATGAGAATACTAGTTGTGTATTTGAGTCAGATCCATTTTCTTATTGAGACTTTTTTTCTATGAGACAACGGGAAAGTCAGTCTTCCCGTATGAAGCTACCTAGACTCTAGCAAAGCAACCTGATTTGGCAAAGTTTCAGAATTCTTCATGCTAGATATAGCCTCCTTATGTTTGGTTCTTTCTTACCTCATTACCATTCTTCCATTCAGACTAAATAGAGGCCTGATCTTCAATCCATATCCAGAGCTGACAAACATAACCAGGTAAAAAATGGCCAGAGACCCTATATTTACTTGAAACAGGTCCTTCCTACTTGTGTTTTGTTCATTTAATCCTCTTTGCTCCCACAACTTACCTTTGAACATACACATGCACACACAATTTGTTGTTGTTCCAATTTGGAGTAGAAACATTGTTCTTTTCCATCCTATTCTATCTTATTTGGAGTGCCTGTATAATTCTGTATTAACTTATCATGCTAATTTTTGTAAATATAATTTTTCTACCTGTAATGCATATTATACATCTCTTTGATTACTTAATAACTGGCTTCCCTAATAGAATGGAAATGCTTTGAGAACAGATAGTTTGTTTCTTCATTGTTTTTTCTTTATAACTTAGAATAGTGCTCAATAAATATTTCCCAAATTAATGGAAGAATAGTAGAATGCTCTCCAGCAATTAAGAGTAATATAACAAAATATATCTATTGCTTTGCAAAGTTTTTTAGGTGTTTTTCCACAGTGAACATTCTTATAAAATTATGTAGATACAAATTTTATAAGGTGAAATGTATAGTTACACTACATGCATGAAATGTATGTTTACTCCATAGATATGGGGTTAGGAGAGAGAGAGAGAGAGAGAGAAATTTAGATAGACCTGTGACTGTCTAGGCATTTTTAAAAGCAACAATTACCTAAATATACTGTACATTTAAATAGACACTTTATGCACTTATTTTGTTTTTATTGTTTGTAGATTGCAATGAACTTCCTCCAAGAAGAAATACAGAAATTCTGACAGGTTCCTGGTCTGACCAAACATATCCAGAAGGCACCCAGGCTATCTATAAATGCCGCCCTGGATATAGATCTCTTGGAAATGTAATAATGGTATGCAGGAAGGGAGAATGGGTTGCTCTTAATCCATTAAGGAAATGTCAGAGTAAGTACTTAATACATTTGTGAAATTTATGAAAACTAGGTGTAAAAATACTTAAGATTTAATATTGTAGCAATTATGCCTGAATTATATCACTATTGCCAGTCAAATACAAAATAATACATAATCTTTTTTTTTTGTTTTGAGATGGAGTCTGGCTCTGTCACCTAGGCTGCAGTGCAGTGGCGCAATTTTGAGATGGAGTCTCCCTCTATCGCCTGGCTGGAGTGCAGTGGCGCTATTTCGGCTCACTGCAACCTCTGCCTCCCTGGTTCAAGCAATTCTCCTGCCTCAACTTCCCGAGTAGCTGGGACTATAGGCACGTGCCACCACGCCCGGCTAATTTTTGTATTTTTAGTAGAGATGGGGTTTCACCAATGCTGGGCAGGCTGGTCTCGAACTCCTGGCCTCGTGATCCACCCACCTCAGCCTCCCAAAGTGCTGGGATTACAGGCGTGAGCCACCGTGCCCAGCCAATACATCATCATTTTCAAAAAGGGGTGGTCATCCTCCAAAATTAAAAAAGCAAGCATATAGTTTAAGTTCAATTATGAAATAATGGCTTTGCTATGTTTAATTTTCCTTACATTCAATCTGTCTTCTTATATAATATCAAATATACTTGTTCCCCCACTCCTACATAAAATATATTCCTTGCTATTACATACTAATTCATAACTTTTTTTTTCGTTTTAGAAAGGCCCTGTGGACATCCTGGAGATACTCCTTTTGGTACTTTTACCCTTACAGGAGGAAATGTGTTTGAATATGGTGTAAAAGCTGTGTATACATGTAATGAGGGGTATGTAGTCCATACGAAAAGAGGTTTATAATTAAGATAGTAAATAGGAACTCTACTACTTTATATATTTTTAAGGTTATTATATTTTTCTATGAGCATTTAAAAAAGTAATACACAAGTACCTGAAAGTTTAACTATGATGGAAATAATTAAATCTGGATACCATATTATCTCCTTAACATTGAAAAATTTAAATGAAGTATAACTTCTCTGATAGAGTATAATTATGGGAGAGTGGGAAAACAGTATGCACATATATAAGTATTCACCCAACAAGTCTTCACGACATTCTATTTTGTGCAGAGTATCATGGGAGTTCAATGTGTCAGGAACAATAGGAATTGTAACCAATTTATATTGTATGGTAACTGTTTTGACAGGTTTTATAAAATTTAAGGAAAGCAAGACTTTCACCTGCTTATAAGTTTTACTTACAACTAAGGTTACTTAATGTCCCAGGTCTGCAAATTATTCTTACCACATGGATTAAAAATACTACTCTTTCAGAATCATTGACTCTGTTCCTTCTAACCAACTACTGGGTTTTCATTGCCAAAATCATCACTGTATATCCTCAGTGTTATTTTATCCCCCTTATTCTCTGCTAGATGAAAAATTATTTTGGAGAAAAATTTATGTATGGGAAAACCAGGATTAGATCACTATAATCGTATACTTCATAAATATAAATGTAACCAAATATTACAAATGGAATAACATTATTATTTCCCCATTTTTTCCTTAATTTGAAGCAATAAAATATAATAGTTTAAAGCTTAGTCACTGGAGTAAGCCTGCCTTTCAAAACTCTACCACTTAACATTTATGGGTATTTAAAAATATATCTCTTCACTACCATTTCCTCTCCTACAAAACAGACACATTTTATGTGCATCATGGATTGGCAGGAAAAATAAATAAGACACACATCTGCAGCCCTTAGAAGAGACCTTGAGATATAGTAGATACCAAATAAGTATAATTTCTTATGAATTTATTCTCTCCTTAGTCACTACCTGAGGGAGGTTTTTCAAATACATTTTTAGCCCTTCAATCATTACTGCTGATCTTATCACACATAACCAAATAGGTTATAATATCCTGGGGCTGAATTTTTTAATTTGCTACCTTCCTCACCTCTGAAATATTTCTTTTATCACAGGCTTGTGTCCTCTCTTTAAGTTCAGCACTTGACTTGGCTAAGGAGATAAAAATGTATAGATCTGAAGCCTCTAGCAATGATTGCACATTTTGCACATGTCCCAGGGAACTCATATTCAAGTAGAGCATTTTTTAGATTCAAAGGGCAGGCTTGATGGGTTACTAAAATTACTTAAGTTCAACATTAGATGGCTTGGATGAGCAGATTTGACTCACTGGGTATTCTCAGGAAAAAATCTCTACGATAGAGATGGAGAGATGGAGGCAAGTGCTGAAAGTAAATCACACACTAACAACTTTTGGCTGGCACTATCTTTATTATGTAGAAACCCTAAGGTGTTCAGAAAATATCAGAATCATGGAGGACAGAAATACGGTCTAAGACTGGAGGAGAGGGAAACATAAGGTTAGTCGTTGGTTACTATGGTATTTTTAGCTTTTGTTTTGGTGATAGTTCATGGAGCTTACTATATTATTGAATTTAGCTAATTAGATAATTCAATGAAAAATAAGAATACTTTGTATGAAACAATAATGATTTTGTCGTGAACCAAGGATTATGATTATTTTCAGTCCATGCACCAAGAAGGAGAGAAAGATAAAGGGAGAGAGAGGTTAAGAGATTTTTCATCTATGAAAATTAGAGGAAGAAGATTAATGTTCTAGAGAACGTTAAGAAATCTAAGACAGAGTGAAGGAGGAGGAGAAGGAGGAAGGAAAAACAAACAAGAAACAAGAAACAAGAAAATGCATATGCTGTTCATTTTCCTTAATATGGAGTTTCTGGACACTCAGAATGGCATCGAGTTTAAAACTGCATGTAAACACACATTATGTCAACGTTCTGTTATTTTTTGGTTTTCAGGTATCAATTGCTAGGTGAGATTAATTACCGTGAATGTGACACAGATGGATGGACCAATGATATTCCTATATGTGAAGGTAGACATAAAATGTATTTACAAGTATATTGAAATAAATATCTAAGATTTAAAAAAAGTCTTACATTAAAATATCTTAAAGTCTCTATTAAATATTTTTATTTAATGTTTTTTTTTCTCATACAATGTAGAGTGGGAATCTAGTCTTTTTATTACTACATTCTTGGTGTTTCAAAAGCCAAAAACGAATGCAGCCTGATCTGATATAATAATTGAAGTATTAGACATTAAGGAATCTAAAACTGATTTTTATTTCCTTTTGGATTCTAATGACTAGAAACGCATATAAGCATCATTAGCTAAATAAAGACCAGAATTTTGCCTTTATTAATGAAGAAGAACTCACCCAGTAACCACCCAAATGCAGGGATCTATGGTAACAGCTGAAGTGGAGAACGTGATTGAGACCTCCCACTAAGGGAGGTTGCCTGTGGACTTACCTTTACTGAAAAGAGGAATAAACTAAGGGCGAGCTCTGTTATTTCTCACTGGTCTGTAAAGCAAACAGTGAAAATGAGAAAATGTAGATTCTGTTTTCATGTTTTGAGCTAATAATCCAAATCTCTAGTCATTATGGAAATAAAAGAAATCAACCAGAGTAGTATTTCCTAATTCCACAGTGAGTGGCAAGTGGAGAGAGATACAGAAGAAACGTGATAATCATTCAAAAACTGTCAACTACAGAAAATAATGGAAGATTTTTTCATCTATGAAAATTGGAGGAAGAAGATTAATGGTCTAGGGAACATCTACATTGAAATCACCTGGGATGCTTGTTAAAAACTAAAATCTTTGGTTACTAAAAAATGACCTACTGAATCAGTATCTTTGGGGTGAGCATGCAGGAAGATAGCCCTAAAATTTTTATTTTAACAAGCATCCTGAGTCATTCTATAGTACAATAAAGTTTGACCACAACTTTAGAGAAATTGGAAAATATTAAGTAGAATCAAAAGAACTACTCAAATTATTTTAAACACTTAGGTCGAAGAGGATGGAAAATTAACGATGATTTCTCTATTGAAGTTAATGTCATAAAGTTTGCTTTTACATCTTTTAGGAACACAGTGTTATATTATTCTAGGGCATAAATGAAAATGTATTTAATTATCTCAAGCTTTATATTTCTTAATTATTTAAAAATACTAGTTTGTTACTACAAAAATACAAGCTAGCATTGAAAGTAGTAATTTTCATTGTCCACTCCCATAGAAAAGAATCAGGAATAAACATTCCATTTGCTTGTTTCTTAGAGGAAAGTATCTCTAGCAAACAGGTATATCAAATGCTTCTAAAAATAATTTAAGTAATTTCCTCCAATCTTATCCTGAGGATGATTTTATACATACACATATTTTTCACAATAAACTTTTAAAATTCCATTAGAAAACATTACATGTATTTTCTTCAGTTGTGAAGTGTTTACCAGTGACAGCACCAGAGAATGGAAAAATTGTCAGTAGTGCAATGGAACCAGATCGGGAATACCATTTTGGACAAGCAGTACGGTTTGTATGTAACTCAGGCTACAAGATTGAAGGAGATGAAGAAATGCATTGTTCAGACGATGGTTTTTGGAGTAAAGAGAAACCAAAGTGTGTGGGTAAGATACACTTACTGTTTTAGTATTTTTAGCTTTTTAAATGTAAATATACATTTAAAACATCGTTCATTCTAAGGAATATCAGCAATATTAACAATAGCTAATGTTTATTGAGCACTTACTATCTGCCTGTAATTGAGCTAAGTTCTTTGCATGCATCATTTCATTTTAACTTTCAAAAAACTCCATGATTTACTTACTCATCACTTTCATTTTATAATGGAAGAGACTGGTGCAAAGAAGTTAAATCACATGCCCTGGATTATCATGGCATAAAGAGTCAAGTTAGGATTTAAATGTAGGTTATCTGACACCAGAGTCCATGCTTTAACCATAACTCCATTGTAGTTGTCTCTTAGGTTGAAAGAGAATGCTAAGTATTTCTGCTGCAAGCTGTAAGACCTCTGGAATAGACATTTGTTTTTATTTTGAAAGCCAAAGATTCATTATGTATTTCCAGAGATACATTAGAATGACATTCGTTTTTGAATAACACTTTTAGGAAGCAGACCTATTTTATATTTGTACTGCAAGTTTACTATAAATGTTGCTGAATTGAACAGAATCCACTAAATAAATTGTTGCCTCTTAAAAAAAGTTTTATAGTAAACTGTAAGCCAGGATTTTTTTAGTCATAATACTGCCAACCTGTGCATCATGACCAATCAAAGATTTTGGCTTCTGTGATAAACATCGTGGTTGATTTGTTTAGTAGTACCATAGTTCAAGTTCATTTTACCAATAATTGTTTGGCAGAAGTTTCTGGCATATTTATATTTTAATATTATCTAAAATATCTAAATTATTTTTACTATTAAAGTCTGTTATATCTTAGATACAGATAAAAGAATTTCTCTTCTTAAGAACACTTTGTAACAACAATAGTTCTTTATGTTAAATCTAATATTTTTATTCAGCATAGCAAATATTATGTACTTTAGAAGTACATGGATGGAATTTACATCCTTACAACTAGATTCCTGTGGTTAGTGAAAACTTCCTGGAATGGCTGATGCCTACGATTAAGTCTTAAAGAAAAAAAACGAGATTTTGTAGATGAAAATGAGAGCAAAAGCATACCAGAGTTCAGGGAAAGGGAAGTGGAAGGGCAGTGAGGCTTTAAGGAGCATGAAGCACCACTGATTCTTGTCCATTGTTCCTAGGCACCTTAGTCTAGGATGCAAGTAGGGAACGAGTCAGTGATAAATAGAAGGTGGGCCAATACATAGTGCTGAGGTGCTGCATGCACCATGCTGAAGAACGCGTCTTTTATTCAGATTGATTTGGGAATCAATGAAGGATTTCAAGTGGAGTTACGATGTGTCTACCTGAGAGGTCATTAAGCTATACACAAGGAAAATGGATTAGAAAGTGGGAGAACAGAGTTTGGGAAACTACTTATGATTGGCACAATCCCAGGTAAAAATGTTTGAGAGAAGTGGGTATAAAAGGTATAAAAGATGATGGCCATTTTTTTTTTTTCTGAGGAAATCTTGGCTAAATAGTGATGACACAAAAACAGGTCAGTTACTTTTCAGAGATGTAATGACAATGAGTTAAATCAATGTCTTTGACAAAAAGTCCTGTTGATAATTCCTGTCTTATCAATAACTAGAAGATGTGTTATTTTTTGCAGGTCATTCAGTGAAAACATCACAATAAAACTATATTTATGATCAATTTTATTTATACAGTTGATGAATGTTACTGGTCACTATTTATTTCAAGAAGGCTAATTTATCCTGAAACTAAATAAAATCAGAAGCATAATTTTAATCAGAATTTTAACTTTCTTCAGATAAATCATTTATTAAGCGGTCAAGTCAAAACAGAACTTTTGTTTGGTTGACTGATTTACCTGATGGAAACAACATTTCTGTTTTCATATAATTATGTCCTGGTCACAGTCCTTTAATTTGCAATAAACATTTTGGAATTTAATCCCTTTTATTTAGAAATTTCATGCAAATCCCCAGATGTTATAAATGGATCTCCTATATCTCAGAAGATTATTTATAAGGAGAATGAACGATTTCAATATAAATGTAACATGGGTTATGAATACAGTGAAAGAGGAGATGCTGTATGCACTGAATCTGGATGGCGTCCGTTGCCTTCATGTGAAGGTAATGTTACCTTTATTTTCTGGATCTTTATAAATTTATCACATATTTTAATTAATTCTTTTAATAAATCCACTTATTTTAATCAAAAGTAGAGTGCTAATTTATGTAAATAAACTATTATAAAAAACATATAGCATTTTCTGTGTTCAAGGTTCATTTTGAGTACACTTCGTACGATACACACACTCTGAAAACAGACATAAACAGGGCCAGAAAAGTTCAGTAGCTTATTAAGTCATTGGTCTATCATCAAAAACCATGTCTGGATCAGAGTGAGGACTATAATAGACTTCCTAATTCTCAGTAACATACAATTCTCAAACAAGTAGATTGCTCCACTAATGCCCAGAATTTATTTAAATTATATGAATATTTTAAAATACTTTAAAAGTAACTTGTATTAATACCAGGTGAGGAAACTCTCAACTGACAATGGAATTAAGTTGAAGGAAGTGAATATTTTTGTTAACAACAGGCCCAGTATGACTCAACGGTGATGATGGTCCTGGAAAATTACCAAAAAAAAAAAAAAAAACCTCTCAACTTTCATTATGGAGGGATGTTACACAGAGCCAAAGAGTTCATCTCAACTGTGCTCTTTGCCCACCAAAAAATATATCTGGAATAGAGTGTTCTACTTAACCTACTTCATTTTAAACGGGAAAGTTTCAAACTATCATGGCCAAGAAGAGAGAATATGGACAGTTGTGGACTTTTAAGAAATTATGCCATAAGACGTACAGTAAGAAGCTACAGCTATAGTGTGGTGATAACAGTTTTGAGATATTTTCAAACATTTATAAAATAAGTGGGTTTGCTTTTGATGAGGTCTGCTGCAATTAGTGAAACAAGGAACAGTGTTACCACATATGGTCCAGAAATCTAAAAGGGTGATACTGCCATACTGTGAGAGAAAGAAGAGTTGAACTCTTAAGAGCCCTCTGAACTTTAAATCCCATGATTCATAAATACATGTTTAAACTGTGCTTTAGTAATCCTCTTTTACAAAAGAATAGTTAATTTTGGGTTAATTTTATACACTAAAAAAATTTTGGTTTGAGCCCACAAGTGTCTCCTTGGAAAACATATTTTTCTTCACAATTGCGTGATCTCTACTTTTAGGCACTGTTAAGAGAATATTTTAGAAAGAAATTAATGAACATGAGACAGTAATAACCCACATCAGATCCATGTTTGGCTAATGGTGTGTGGGGTCCAACTATTTGTCTTCATGGCATTCGTAGTTCCTAAGCAAAGGAAGTGCATGCACAAGTCCTTTGGCATTAACTTCTACCTGAAGTATATTATTTCCAGAGCCCCTCTCAAATCTATAGTGAATTTATCCATGCAGTAATCAAAATGTAACTTATAAACCACTTATTTTACATCAGGACCTTGCTGTGTATTGAAGATAAACATTGCAATAAACCATCATTCCAGCTTTCAATGAATTCAAAATAAGACTCTGGGAATTTAGTTTTATTTGAATATGTGACTCTGTAGCATTACTACCTCATTGTAGTCATCTGATTTTTTCGTCTCTTTTACTTCTTCACTTTGATACCTACTTAAAACTCTTCCTTAGCACATATTTGTTTTCACAATGAGAGATCCATCTGTTTTTCCCAAATGTATTACTGCATTTCTATTCTTGCTTCTCTTGAACACTAATTGATTCACACACACACACACACACACACACACCCCTCAAAGACTCTACATTTATAAAACATTTTTCTTTTATAATTTTTTTCCATTTCTCAGTCACAAGTACAAGTAAAACCTGAATATTCAATACTATGCTTGCAGGTCCTGCTTTCTTTAGGAAAAGAGATACCAAGAGAAGGCACTGGGATTGGGTACTCCTTTTCAGAAGACAGTTCACTAATAATCGATATAAATAAAGGAGGATTTATCCCAAATTAGTTAAGCATACACTCTCTCACCACGTTTTATTTTATTGAAATATACTTTACGCTGATTAGATATAGAGAAGTCTTTCTTAATAAAAGAATTCCACTCTTTGTATGCCAACTAATATAGCATAAATATGACTATTTTCTTGGTACAAAGCAAGGATCTACTTGCTGATATAAGATGAATTCAAAATCTATACACATCATTTTCTCTGAAATCAGGTAACTTCAAACTCTCTTTGTTGCTTCTAAATCTATAAGAAGTTTGGAATTAAATAATAAGATAATATTAAAGTGAAATAATCTACTTAAATTTTAAATACTTTAATTTTCTTCAATCTGGTCTATGGCACACACATGTCAGAGGACTGATTTAAAGGTGAATTGTCAAAACTTTGGTCTCTGTGTCCAATAGGGACAATCTGTAACAGAAAGTTATTTATAGAAACAATCAAAGGTACGAAGAACTGCTAAAGGAAAGCTATCTTTGATCCGAATCTATCTCTTCCCTGTACAGATTGGATTTTCTATTGGTTCAAAGCATAGAGTGCTAACCTTGAATTAGTATTCTAACTTCAAATGACCAATGGTTGTTTCCAATAGTAGGAAAATATGGATAGTCTCAAGTATTGTTTTGGATAAAGGTACAGGTTCGGGCAATGTTTTAATAACATGATGTATTTTTAAAAAGATTATGAGTGTAGGAAATTAAGGTTTATCACAGGATTTATGTCTACTGCTTGAGCATAATCACCAGAAGTCTTTCTATTCTTAATTAACAAAATTGTTCCATATTATTTTATTGATTTCTTAGTTAAACTCTTGTTTTTTGCATCTCATAGCTTTTGACTTCAAAAATTGGTATTAAATTGAGCTATATCATAAGGAAAAATAATTGAAGATACATAAACTGAACTTTAATGGGTATATGAAAATATGATAGAGAAGAATGAAGTGACAGAAAAAAAGAAAAAAGGAATACATTTAGGACTTATTTGAAGTTAGTGTCAACATCAAACACTGAAGACATATTTTTACATAAAATAGTAAAATTTTAAAATAGTAAAGCTTTAAAACTTGTATATTAAGTCACATACATATTGTTTCTCATATAATTATTGCTAATCTAAATATATTATCCTGTTAGCTATAGAGATATATTAAAGCTTATTCTGTCAGAACGAAGTATAAACTTAGGAGCTGAATGGACACAGTGGAAGTATGGTATTGAGAAGAGGAAATATATAATGAATAATTAAAACTTTATAAAATTTTATGTTTGACTAATATACAACTTATGAGAAAGGAATGGTGGTAGTATAGAGAAGAAGTAGAAAAATGGCAGGAGATGAGATGTGACAAGTATGCAGGGCCCAAAAATTAAAAAATTAAGTAAAGTACAAGAGGAGAAGCAAAAAATATAAAGTAAAGGAAAATAATAAGATATAAAAGAAAAGCATCACTTAGACAAAGACAAGGAGAAGCAGGAGAACATAAATATATAAGGTAATGGAGAACACCAAAAAGTATGTAATCAACAGAGTCAAATATTACAGAGTTTTATCTGTTCAGTTCAATAAATAATTAAGAAGTCCATAATATGTACCAGTGACTGGAATATGTGAAATGCAAAGCATTTCTGAATTTGGACATTGGGCTCATTGGTAGCTTTTATCAGAGCAATGGCAACAAAATAGAGGTCAGAAACTAGGTAGTAGTGAGTTAAAGAATAAATGTGAGACGGGAAAGTGGAGACAGCAATTATAAAATGGTATTTTAAGGATTTTGGTTTTGAAGGGGAGGAGAAATGTAGTACATTAGCTAAACTTGAACAAAGGGTTGAGTGAAGGGACTGAAAATTGGAAAAGCTTCCATATCAATTTAAGAGTGTGGTTGATAAGGTAAGAAAGAGGGAAGGAATAAACAATGGTTTAAAATACAGGGGAAAATGAAAGAATTAAAGCTAACCTGAATTTGAAAGCAACACTTTACCACTGAAGACTAAACTAAAGACTTAAATCAGTATAGATACAGATAATGTTGAGGAGTGCTGGAAAGAAGTATAGGAAACTCACTACTGCTGGTCTCAATTGTTTTGTGTGAATGGAGACTTATTATCTGTTGATGAAGAGGCAATTGTTTCAGGTGGCTTGAGAAAAGAGAGGAGACTATGGATCATTTACCATGGGAAATCAAATAGTAAATAAATTGGGGGTATATAAATGGATTTCAAGCAATGCTGAATGTTTGCCACAGCTTTTTAGTCCAAAATAAAATATGACTCCAATAGAAGTGGTCATATAGTTTTTCTACAATACTTAAAATGCATAGTATTTTATCTTAAAACGAATTTTGCAAATGGATCCAATATTGAGATATAGCAGAGTTAATGGAAAGGAGTGAGAAGGTGCCTTATAGATTAAGATACACTGGGCCAAAGGATGGCAAACTATAGGCTGCAGGTAAAATACAACTTGCCCCCTTTGTGTAAACAAAGTTTTATTGAAACACAGCCAAGTTCATTTGTTTATGTATTGTTTTTCATTACTTTTGTACTATAATGGCAGAGTTGAGTTGTTGCAGCAGAGACATTTTATCTGGCCCTTTACGGAAAAGGTTTTCCAAACCCTCTGCTATTTTATCCTATTATAGTAAGAAAAATGTAATGCAGTATCTCAATGTTTAAGATATTAAGACTGAAGTTTATTTTCATTCATGTTCACTGTCAATGTAGATCAGAAGGGACTTTACTCATTGTATTAATTGTAAGAATCAAGTGACAGAAACATCATTTTTTTTCATGTCCTTCTTTAATCGCGGTATCTTTGGGAAAGAGAACATAAAAATTCACACAATGGCTTTTAAAACTTCTCTCTAAAGTGGAAGATATTACTTCCACTTTTATTATAGTCTCCTACGCAATCACATGGCCACAGTTACTTCAAAGAGGAAGGGTTGCGCAGTCCTATCAATTGTCCAGAAGAAAGAAACACTGAATATTTGTAAACAATCCTTATGAGAACCACAGAAACCAAAGAATAGAAGGAAAGTGAAAGTAAGAATTGAAGTTATATGTGATGAGAACATTGCCAGTTATGGAAAATCATGAAGTATGGGATGACTTTGGAGAAGAAGGGATTAAGAGCCCAGGAGGTACAAATATGTCAGATGAGAATATAGTGAAGGGAAAAATAAGTGATATACCAGAAAGGATACTATGATATGTTCATTTTAATGCCATTTTGTATTATGCTAAGGACAAATAAATAACACCCACTTTTAAATGTTTATATAAATGATTAATTTTAACGGATACTTATTTCTGCATTATCCATATATCCTTTTTCTTTTCAGAAAAATCATGTGATAATCCTTATATTCCAAATGGTGACTACTCACCTTTAAGGATTAAACACAGAACTGGAGATGAAATCACGTACCAGTGTAGAAATGGTTTTTATCCTGCAACCCGGGGAAATACAGCAAAATGCACAAGTACTGGCTGGATACCTGCTCCGAGATGTACCTGTAAGTTCCATTCATATCTTGACCCATTTCTTAATTCTGAAATTTCTTTTAAACACATAAAAAATAGGGACTCAATAAAACCAAATATTTGTCTTATTGTATATACAAAGTAAGGCTGTTGGAAGCATTCTTTAGTTTTCGAAGTTGCCGAAACTCATATTTTTTGCTACTCAAAATTAAATGTGTATGTGTGTTTATGAATGTATGTTTCCCTAATTAATAAATTATTCCAATATCTGAATTAAAACACTAGATAAAAATAATGTCATCTAACACATACTATATTAGTTATTTATTGCATTGTAACAAAATACCCCAAAAACATATTTACTTAAAACAACTAACCTTTATTATCTTACAGTTTCTATCGGTCAGTAATCTCAAAATGGCTTATATAAGTAGTTGTGAATCAGACTGTCTTCTTGTGTTGCAATCAGGATCATGGCCCAGGCTACAGTGATCAGAAGGCTTGGCTGGGAAGGAGGATCTGCTTCTAACATTACTGACACACATGGCTGTTGTCAGGAGGCCTCAGGTCCTTACCACATAGGCCTTTCCATGAGTTGATAAATGGCAGCTTTCTCCAGCACTGCTAATCTGAGAATAGAGGAAGCCACAATACCATGTATTAGTGTGTTCTCACACTACTAGAAAGAACTACCTGAGACTGGATAATTTATGAAGAAAAGAGGTTAAATTGACTCACAGTTCCACAGCCTGTACAGGAAGCATGGCTGGGAGGCCTTAGGAAACTTACAATCATGGTGGAAGGTGAAGGGGAGGCAAGCACATCTTACCATGGCAGAGCAGGAGAGACAGAGAGCAAAGGGGAAAGTGCTACACACTTTTAAACAACCAGGTCTCATGAGAACTCACTCACTATCATGAAAACAGCAAGGGGGAGATCCACCTCTATGATCCAATCACCTCCCTCAACATTGGGAATTACAATTCAACATGAGATGTGTGTGGGGACACAGAGCCAAACCATATCAATTATCTACTCACACACTGTTAACTTCAGCCATATCTATTCTTTCGAAGTGAGACACTAAGTCCAGCATATATCCAAGGGGAGAGAAATTAGGCACCACTATTTGGAGGGAGGAGTGTTGAAGGACTCCAAGTCTTAGTCATTTCCTAGTGTTGGAGGTAATTTCCAAAAATCATCACATGTAGCAAAATACCACTCAAGTCAATAGAGTATTTTATTTCTGGGATGCTCCTTTACCCCTTTTTAATGTTTTTTCTATCTCTACAATCAAATTTCTTTTCTTTCTATCTATAAGTACATAGACAAGAAGTACTACACTTAAACTATATATTCCATGAAAGAAAAATATGATACAAATGATTGATTAATGACTTCAACTTTAATTCCTGGCATAATTCCAATCCCTAAGAGAGGAAGCTATTATCAGTATGAAACATTTCAGTGTGCATAAGAATTATGAGGAAAATATTTAATGATTTTATGGTTGGCTTATGACAATGTAGTTCAGCCCAAATGTATCTAAACCAACTGAGACCCAACTATATTTGGATTTCAATTATTAATGTTTGACAATGAACCATCTGGAGTTCTCATGGACAAGATAGAGGAGTTGATGAGTTATATGGTTTATCAGTTTTTAATTTCATTAAATAACCATATCTAATTATCAGACGCATGACTTTATTCTCAGGCCTGCTTCATTACTCACTTGTGTCATTGAACAGTTTAATGATTTAGGGGAAGTGCAGTACAAATTCACAATTGGAATGATACAGAGGATGATAATAAGGAATCTGCATTAGGGCAGTTCAGCATTCAAAGAGACTCTTATGTGCTAAGCTGAATCTAATAAGATGAAATTTAACAATGTTGACTCTAAGATCCTGGACTTGGGTCAAATAAATTACAGTATGAATATATTAGCAGCAGTTATAAAAATTAGTGAATATTTTTATCAATTTTAAGATCTGTTTGAGCCAACTTTATGATGGAAACACCATAAATGCTGTGAAACCAAAAACTACATTTGTAGAAGTGTAACAAGTAGAATGAAGCTATTTGAAGTCCTTCTATTCTCAGCGCTGATGAGACTCTCTGTGGGTACTAATATTTGCTTCAAGGAATCAATTTGTAAAAGGGATAAAAACAGATGTAAATGTGACCAAATTAGAGAATAGCTAAATAGCTCGAGCCTGTGGTAATGTTATATGTTTTTAATTATGCCTCCTTTTTATTCCTTTTGGAAAGAAATCTCGGTGGACAATTTTATTTTATGACCTTCTGGGAAATACCATAATAAGATGGATACTCATACTTGCTTTGAAATCAACCACAAGCTTTGAAATCTCTACTCTACCATTTAATGTGAAATTCAATTGAGGCCTTTAAGGCACAGCTCCCACAAATCCAAGACTCAAGCTTTCCCAATGCAGAATTATTGTTAAATAATACATGTCTCAACAAATCATGATGAAATTTGTAAAATCCAATGGTAAATAGAAAATATTCCAAATCTTTAAAAAGTGGTGAGGAAAAATGTAGAATGTTACTTAAAAGAAATAAGACTAAGTAAATGTTTTAATTTCAACACTGGGAGCTTCAGATAAATAGGGAAAAAAATCTATCAATTATAAGATATATGGATTGTAGGCCAAGAAACTATACTGAAAGAAGTATCATTCACTAGTCTTTATTAGAGAAATACATTTAAGATATACAATTATTCAGTTTATAATCCACATAATAAATGTAGAAACTACATGAAAATTTCTCTAATCAAATACAAAAGAAAATAAATCACAGAATTTAAGAAAGATGGAGATGTAAAAGAATATTTATATGTGTGTGTGTGTATGTGTGTATTGAAATTCTTTTTAACCTATTGCATAAGGTTTATTGAAATAGAAACATATTTCATGGAAAACATTAATACCATTTTGTTATTGAAAGTACTAGATAATCTACAAATAATCCCATGAAAAGAGCAAATTTTCTGAAAAATATATAAACCTGTTAATATAATAAACAAGATAGCACTCAAATGTATTTGTCAAAATTAATATATAATAACTCAGTAAAATGTAATTATATTGTACCTTACTTAAATATATTTTATGACATCAAAATTATTTTTCTCTCCAATTAAAATTAGAAATAAACAAAAAAGTTAATCAAAATCTTAACTATTTGGATATGAAGAAATATTTCTAGTCTGTTTCTCTGGTTAAATACAGACTGGAGAACTTGGCTTAATGAATTGTTTGAGGCATGAATTAACTATGTTATTTTTCTGCGCGGTATCATCAAAGAAAAATTTTTGTGTTTCTCTATATTTTTACGTTGTCTGCAATAAATAGGAAAGAGCCTAATTTATTTATTTACTTATTTATATTTTTCGAGATGGAGTCTCACTCTGTAACCCATGCTGGAGTGCAAAGACACAATCTCAATTCACTGCAACCTCTGCCTCCTGGGTTCAAGCGATTCTCCTGCCTCTGCTTTCTAAGTAGCTGGAATTACAGGGGCGCACCACCAGGCCCGGCTAATTTTTTTTGTATTTTTAGTAGAGACGGAGTATCACCATGTTGGCCCAGCTGGTCTCGAACTCCTTACGAGTGATCTGCCTGTCTCAGCCTTCCAAAGTGCTGGGATTACAGGCGTGAGCCACTGCGCCCAGCCCATGAATTCAATCTAAAACAAATAAAAACCTTAAATCCCTCAAAATACTACTTCCTTACATTGAATTGTTCTGAGAAGAAAATGCAGGGCTCTTGTTTACTGATGAGAATAGAAAAAAAAGAAAGAAAGAAAGAAAGAAATACATGAGCTAAGCGGTAAAATTGGCATATTTCTCAACCGAAAAGCTTATTTAATTAACCAGGGATAGGGTATGTGTATTTAAGGGAAATATATTAAATAGGTCTGTGCATTTTTCTTTCTGGAGAGCCTTCATACAAATTTACGCATCATGTGATCCACAAGACATAATTTCATCTTCATTAACAAAGACCTTCTTGTTACATATCTCAGTCATCTGAGTTCTATCATTTGTTTTGACCTAGAAACCCTAATGGAATGTGTAATTATACTAAGAAGAGAATATAATTCAGTGATAAAAATTTATCTCTAATATGAGTGTTTATTACAGTAAAATTTCTTTATACTTTTTTTAAAATTTTTATTGCAAGTGAAACCTTGTGATTATCCAGACATTAAACATGGAGGTCTATATCATGAGAATATGCGTAGACCATACTTTCCAGTAGCTGTAGGAAAATATTACTCCTATTACTGTGATGAACATTTTGAGACTCCGTCAGGAAGTTACTGGGATCACATTCATTGCACACAAGATGGATGGTCGCCAGCAGTACCATGCCTCAGTAAGTAAACCTCTGAACTGCTATATATATGTATAAAACTTTCAAAGATCGAAGAAAGGAGAGCACATAAGTGATTACACCTGTCTTATGTAACAGAAATAGGGCCAAGAAAAGAGTTGTTCAAGCAAAGTGACCAAAATAGATCTTTTCTATTATGAGGGTTTCTTCTTGAAAATCACAGGAGAAATAAATATAGGGACTTTATGAGAATATCTATATAATTTATACATCTATTAATTATAAAAACTAAAGATAAGTAATATTGAATATTGATATTTCTTTTTGTGCAAACCTTTGTTAGTAACTTTAGTTCGTCTTCAGTTATACATTATTTTTGGATGTTTATGCAATCTTATTTAAATATTGTAAAAATAATTGTAATATACTATTTTGAGCAAATTTATGTTTCTCATTTACTTTATTTATTTATCATTGTTATGGTCCTTAGGAAAATGTTATTTTCCTTATTTGGAAAATGGATATAATCAAAATCATGGAAGAAAGTTTGTACAGGGTAAATCTATAGACGTTGCCTGCCATCCTGGCTACGCTCTTCCAAAAGCGCAGACCACAGTTACATGTATGGAGAATGGCTGGTCTCCTACTCCCAGATGCATCCGTGTCAGTAAGTACACTACTCTGAAATCCTAGCATGTTCATGTCTTTCTAAGTAACATAGATGACATTCTAAGACTCATCTATATTAATTGTGGCAAAATGTTTATGTCACCTTGTTTTACCAATGGACCTATTTAGTTTTTGGTTTTTCAACTGTGTATAAATGAATATACAAATTTCTTGATAAGTACATAGTAAAATAAATTCTCCTATTAATGGGCATTAGTCAAGAATACAGTAAAAGAATTTGAACACAATACTTGTTGGTTAAATGAAGTCGTATTGAAGCGGCATCATTGTCTGGGTAAATATCTGAGGTTCGTTATCTCACACCAAGAAGATTAAGGACGTGGACACACACAAGGAGTGAGTTTAGGAGCACAGGTTTAATAGGCAAAAGAAAGAGAAAGGAGAACAGCTTCCTCTCTTGTGAGAGAGAGCGGCACCTGAAAGTGAATCCCTGCCCCTGGTGGAGTGCACTGGATTTTATAAACGGTCTTGAGGAAGCAGTGTCTGATTTACATAGGGCCCAAAGATTGGTTAAACTAGGTGTGACATTTACATAATATGCCAGGAAGCTGGCCGCCCCACCCTAATCTTATTAATCAAATGGGATCTTTGCCTGGCCAGCGCCATGTTGCTTTCTCCTTACTGTACACGTGGCTGGCAAAGAGAAAGGAAGATGCACCTGCCATATGAACATGCCTAGTCCCAGGTAGCCTTTTCCTATTGGCACAACTGCTGGCATTCACCTTGCAAGCTTCCAGCTTGCTTGTCTATGTTTGCAGTTCGATTTTACAGGCTCCTCTTGTTAGAAAAGAAAATGATTTGGGGGCTGCCTTTCATTAAAAGGAAAAACCTTATCAAGGACTGCTGTACCCTCATTATCTGCCTAAACAATTTTTTCTCAACTCCTATATCAATATTAATATGTACATTGGAATCAATCATTTGACTCAAAATAATTATACAATTATAGTTTAAAATAGAAAGTAAATACGATGATACCCAATAATTCATATATTCAAGCAGTGATATGACATTTTTACAGTAAAGCTATTTGACTTTCTCTAGTATATGTAAGTACAAATGGGTATTCTGAGATCTTGTGCATATTCTACTCTAGAAGGTTTCCTACAGTATTTATTCCAACATACATTTATATCAACAGTTACTTCTTTTTTTACATGTTAATGATTGGTGATGTCACATTTTAATATTTACAAATTGAATGGCTATAAAATGTTATAACATTATAGTGTAAATTTGCATTTCTTTTACCACTAACTGGGTTTAGAATATATATTCACAGTTTAATTGGTATTTAATGCTTCTAATCTTTGGAAATGCAGTTTGATTTTCTTTATTTACCTTTTTGAGAGTTTTGGTATTATTAGTTGGAATCATCTTAACAATTCTGAATATAAAATCTCTTTTAATTATACGTAATGCAAATGTATTCTCTTTGTGGCTAGTATTTTTCTTTCCTTTTTTCTGCATTATGAACATAAGTTGCTCATTCTACTACATAATAGTCAATCTTTTTTCATGATGAATGTTTCTTGTTTCTATTTAAAGGAATACTTCAAAAACATAGAGCCACTATACTATTCTTTATTCTAAAAAGTTATAAGTTACCTTTTCTTTTCATATTTTAAAAATATTTTGTGTTGATTTTATTCATGATAATGGCTGTATTTCATGTTTAAATGAAATATGGTAAACTCAACATTTCCCTAACAATTTTTATAGTACCTTTCTCAAACAGTATATTTTTTATTGTATATTTTGTACATTGTGTGTGTATACACACACACAATAACTATTACTCTGAGTATTCTGCACTATTAGTAAACAATTTTTTAACCAGCATTGCAGTAACCCTCTATTGAATTTTATTTATTTATTTTATTTTGAGATAGAATCTCACTCTGTCACCCAGGCTGGAGTGCAATGTCGCGATCTCGCCTCGCTGCAACCTCCACTCCCTGAATTTTAATTAATATAGGTTTTTAATAAGTATGGATATGACTTTTCACCCTAATCATGACCTTTCACCCAAATCTTTTTGCTTCATCAGTCTCTTTTTTGTCTCATCATTCAGTGTCAGATGATCCCATTACTTTTATTTTTTTCTTCACAGATTAATTGAGGCTAATAATATGCCTTGATTAGATATGCAATTTCTCCTGATATCAAACAACTCAATCAACGTTTATGCCTCTTGGTTTGATTTTGGAGCTGATTGTAGAATCAACTACTTATTTTTTCTCTTTCTTTCCTTCCTTCCTTCCTTTTTCTTTCTTTCTTTTTCTTTTTCTTTCTTTCTTCTTTCTTTCTTTTTCTTTCTTTCTTTCCTTCTCTTCCTTCTTTCTTTTTCTTTCTTTCATTCTTTTTTCTTTCTTCCTTTCTTTGTCTACGTTTCTCCTTCTTTTTCTTTTTTCTCTTTCTTTCTTTCTCTTTCCCTTCCTTTCTTTTTCTTTCTTTCTTTCTTTCTCTTTCCCTTCCTTTCTTTTTCTTTCTTTCTTTCTTTCTTTCTTTCTTTCTTTCTTTCTTTCTTTCTTTCTTTCTTTCTTTCTTTCTTTCTTTCTCTTTCCTTCTTTCTTTCTTCCTTCCCTCCCTCCCTTCCCTCCCTCCCTCTGTCACCTCCCTCCCTCCCTCCCTCCCTCCCTTCCTTCCTTCCTTCCTTCCTTCCTTCCTTCTTTCCTTTTGTCCCAAGTTTGTCTGGCTCAAGTTATTCTTAAGAATGTTACTATTTTACTCTTCATGCTAGACCCTGTACTTTAGTCAGGTTATTTAGCTACTTTACGGTTGTCATATAATTAACAAGTCTTAGCTTCATCTTCAGATTGAGATATCAACGTTATATTTTCATGTACAGTCAATTGTCAGTGAATCACATTGTTTTTCAATTTAATAAAATCTAAATTCCTCATAACCATGTTGTGAGAATATGCAGAAAAAATTAAACATACTTGAGTGAGTACAGTAGATATATATTGGAGTGTATCCTTTATGAATGCAAACTGGCTGTAGTTTCCTTTAAAATAGTCATTTAAATAAAAAATTTGCCAGATAAATCACAGAATATCAATTTCTCTTGACTTGTAAAACTTGAATTACTAGTGCCATCTGAATGATTCTTCTGAAGATAGACAGAGTAGTCTCTACTTACCTGTGAGAGAAAAAAGCTGCACTAGTCCCTCTTATTCATGTGGGATATGTTCCAGGCTCCCCAGTAAATGCCCGAAATGATTAATAGTATAAAACCCAAGTAGACTATGTTTTTCCACCTGATAACTTGGAATACTACTAAGTGACTAACAGGCTGGTGCATACACTAGACGAAGGGAGGATTCATGCTCTGGGCGGGATGGAGCTGAATGGCATAGGATTTCATCAAAGACTACTAAGTGACTAACAGGCAGGTAGTATAAACTGTGGATGCACTAGACAAGAAAGTATTCAGGCTCTGGGGAGAATGGGGCTGAATGGCATAGGATTTCATCACACTACCCAGAACACCTTTTTTTATTGCTAAGTATTATTCCATTATATCATGTATCACGGTCTGTTAATCCATTCATGTGTTGAAGGGCATTTGCATTGTTTTTGGCATTTGTGAATCATGCTGTTAAGAAAAATATTCATCTGCAGTTTTTATATAAACACAAATTTATTCCTCATGGATACATATCTAAGACTGGGTTTGTTAGATAAATGGTGTGTGTGTGTGTGTGTGTGTGTGTGTGTGTGTGTTTTATTATTATTATACTTTAAGTTCTGGGATATATGTGCAGAACGTGCAGGTTTGTTACATAAGTATACGTGTGCCATGGTGGTTTGCTGCACCCATCAACCCGTCATCTAGGTTGTAAGCCTTGCATGAATTAGCTCTTTGTCCTGATGCTCTCTCTCCCCTTTCCCCGCACACCCCAACAAGCCCCGGTGTGTGATGTTCCCCTCCCTATGTCCATGTGTTCTCATTGATCAACTCTCACTTATGAGTGAGAATATGTGGTGTTTTGTTTTCTGTTCCTGTGTTAGTTTGCTGAAGATGATGGTTTCCAGCTTCGTCCATGTCCCTGCAAAGGACACGAACTCATTCAATTTATGGCTGCATAGTATTCCATGGTGTATATGTGCCACATTTTCTTTATCCAGTCTATCATTGATGGGCATTTGGGTTGGTTCCAAATCTTTGCTACTGCAAATGGTGCTGTGATAAACATATGTGTGCATGTGCCTTTATAGTAGAATGATTTATATTCCTTTGGGTATATACCCAGTAATGGGATTGCTGGGTCAAATGGTATCTCTGGTTCTTGATCTTTGAGGAGTTGCCACACTGTCTTCCACTATGGTTGAACTAATTTACACTCCCACCAACAGAGTAAAACTTTCCTATTTCTCCGCATCCTCGCCAGCACCTGTGGTTTCCAGATGTTTTAATGATCGGCATTCTAACTGGCGTGAATTGGTTTCTCATTGTGGTTTTGATTTGCATTTCTCTAATGACCAGTGACAATAAGCTTGTTTTCATGTATTTGCTGACTGCATAAATGTCTTCTTTTGAGAAGTGTCTGTTCATATCCTTCACCTACTTTTTGATGGGGTTGTTTGTTTCTTTCTTATAAATTTGTTTAAGTTCCTTGTAGATTCTTGATATTAGACCTCTGTCAGATGGATAGATTGCAAAAATTTTCTCCCATTCTGTAGATTGCCTATTCACTCTGATGATAGTTTCTTTTGCTGTGCAGAAGCTCTTTAGTTTAATTAGATCCCATTTGTCAATTTTGGCCTTTGTTGCCATTGCTTTTGGTGTTTTAGTCATGAAGTCTTTGCCCATGCCTATGTCCTGAATAACCTACTGCCTAGGTTTTTTTCTATGGTTTTTATGGTTTTAGGTCTTACATTTAAGCCTTTAATACATCATGAGTTAATTTTTATATTAGGTGTAAGGGAAGGGTCCAGTTTCAGTTTTCTGCATATGGCTAGCCAATTTTCCCTGCACCATTTATTCAATAGGGAATCTTTTCCCTATTGCTTGTTTTTGTCAGGTTTGTTGAAGATCAAATGGTTGTAGATGTGTGGTGTTATTTCTGAGGCCTCTGTTCTGCTCCATTGGCCTATATATCTGTTCTGGTACAAGTACCATGTTGTTTTGGTTACTGTAGTCTTGTAGTATAGTTTGAAATCAGGTAGCGTGATGCATCAGCTTTGTGCTTTTTGATTAGGATTGTCTTGGCTAGATGGGACCTTTTTTTGGTTTCATATGAAATTTAAAGCAGTTTTCTTAGTTCTGTGAAGAAAGATAATGATAGCTAGATGGGAATAGCATTGTATGTATCAACTACTTTGGGCAATATGGCCATTTTCATGATATTGATTCTTCCTATCCATGAGGATGGAATATTTTTCTATTTATTTTGGCCCTCTCTTATTTCCCTGAGCAGTGGTTTGTAGTTCTCCTTGAAGAGTTCCTTCGCATCCCTTGTAAGTTGTATTTCTACGTATTTTATTTTCTTTGTGGCAATTGTGAATGGGAGTTCACTCATGATTTGGCTTTCTGTCTATTACTGATGTATAGGAATGCTTGTGATTTTTGCATATTGATTTTGCATCCTGAGACTTTCCTGAAGTTACTTATCAGCTTAAGGAGTTTCTGGGTTGAGACAGTGGGGTTTTCTAAATATACCATCATGTCATCTGCAAAAAGAGACAATTTGACTTCCTCTCTTCCTATTTGAATACTCCTTATTTCTTTCTCTTGCCTGATTGTCTGGTCCAAAACTCCCAATACTATGTCCATCCTAGACAGATCAACGAGACAGAAAATTAACAAAGATATTCCCAATTTGAACTCAACTCTGGACCAACTGGACCTAATAGACATCTACAGAACTCTCCACCAGAAGTCAAGTGTTCTTCTTGGCACTACATAGCACTTATTCTAAGATCGACCATATAATTGGAAGTAAAACACTCCCCAGCAAACGCAAAAGAACAAAAACCACAACAAACAGTCTCTCAGACCACAGTGAAATCAAATTAGAAATCAGGATTAAGAAACTCATTCAAAACTACACAACTACATGGAAACTGAACAACCTGCTACTGAATGACTACTGAGTAAATATTGAAAGTAAGGCAGAAGTAAATAAGTTCCTTGAAACCAATGAGAAGACAGACACAATGTACCAGAATATCTGGGACACAGTTAAAGCAGTCTTTAGAGGAAAATTTATCGCACTAAATGCCCACATCAGAAAGTGGGAAAGATCTAAACTTGACACCCTAACACCTCAATTAAAAGAAATAGAGCTTGATGGGGATGGCATTGAATCTATAAATTACCTTTGGCAGCATGCCATCCCCATCAAGCTACCAATGACTTTCTTTACAGAATTGGAAAAAACTACTTTAAAGTTTATATGGAACCAAGAAAGAGCCCGCATTGCCAAGTCAATCCTAAGACAAAAGAACAAAGCTGGAGGCATCATGCTACCTGACTTCAAACTATACTACAAGCCCACAGTAACCAAAATAGCATGGTACTGGTACCAAAACAGAGATGCAGACCAATGGAACAGAACAGAGCCTTCAGAAATAATGCTACATATCCACAACCATCTGATCTTTGACAAACCTGAGAAAAACAAGAAATGGGAAAAGGATTCCTTATTTAATAAATGGTGCTGGGAAAACAGGCTAGCCATATGTAGAAAGCTGAAACTGGATCCCTTCGTTACACCTTATACTAAAATTAATTCAAGATGGATTAAAGACTTAAATGTTAGATCTAAAACCATAAAAACCCTAGAAGAAAACCTAGGCAATACCATTCAGGACATAGGCATGGGCAAGGACTTCATGTCTAAAATACCAAAAGCAATGGCAACACAAGCCAAAACTGACAAATGGGATCTAATTAAACTAAAGAGCTTCTGCACAGCAAAAGAAACTACCATCAGAGTGAACAGGCAACCTACAGAATGGGAGAAAATTTTTGCAATCTACTCATCTGACAAAGGGCTAATATCCAGAATCTACAATGAACTCAAACAAATTTACAAGAAAAAAACAAACAACCCCATCAAAAAGTGGGTGAAGGATATGAACAGACACTTCTCAAAAGAAGACATTTATGCAGCCAAAAGACACATGAAAAAATGCTCAGCATCACTGGTCATTAGAGAAATGCAAATCAAAACCACAATGAGATACCATCTCACACCAGTTAGAATGGCGATCATTAAAAAGTCAGGAAACAACAGGTGCCGGAGAGGATGTGGAGAAATAGGAACACTTTTACACTGTTGGTGGAACTGTAAACTAGTTCAACCATTGTGGAAGTCATTGTCTAGATCCTCAGGGATCTATAACTAGAAATACCATTTGACCTAGCCATCCCATTACTGGGTATATACACAAAGGATTATAAATCATGCTGCTATAAAGACACATGTACACGTATGTTTATTGCGGCACTATTCACAATAGCAAAGACTTGGAACCAACCCAAATGTCCAACAATGATAGACTGGATTAAGAAAATGTGGCACATATACACCATAGAATACTATGCAGCCATAAAAAAGAAGAGTTCATGTCCTTTGTAGGGACATGGATGAAGCTGGAAACCATCATTCTCAGCAAACTATGGCAATGACAAAAAACCAAGCATCGCATGCTCTCACTCATAGGTGGGAATTGAACAATGAGAACACATGGACACAGGAAGGGGAACATCACACACCGGGGCCTGTTGTGGGGTGGGGGGAGGGGGGAGGGATAGCATTAGGAGATATACCTAATGTTAAATGAAGAGTTAATGGGTGCAGCACACCACCATGGCACATGTATACATATGTAACTAACCTGCACGTAGTGCACATGTACCCTAAAACTTAAAGTATAATAATAATAAAAAAAGAATTAGAGAAGCAAGAGCAAACAAATTCAAAAGCTAGCAGAAGACAAGAAATAACTAAGATCAGAGCAGACCTGGAGATAGAGACATGAAAACCCTTCAAAAAATCAATGCACCCAGGAGCTGGTTTTTAGAAAAGATTAACAAAGTACACTACTAGCCATACTAATAAAGAAGAAAGGACAGAAGAATCAAATAGACACAATAAAAATGATAAAGAGGGTATCACCACTGATCCCAGAGAAATACAAACTACCATCAGAGAATACTATAAACACCTCTACACAAATAAAGTAGAAAATCTGGAAGAAATGGATAAATTCCTGGACACATACACGCTCCCAACACTAAAGCAGAAGAAAGAAGTCAAAACCCTGAATAGGCCAAACACAAGTTCTGAAATTGTGGTAGTAATTAATAGCCTGCCAACCAAAAATAGCCCAGGACCAGATGGATTTACAGCCAAATTCTACCAGAGGTACTAAGAGGAGTTGGTACCATTCCTTTGGAAACTATTTCAAACAATAGAAAAAGAAGGTCTCCTCCTTAACTCATTTTATGGAGCCAGCATCATCCTGATACCAAAACCTGGCAGAGACACAACAGAAAAAGAAAATTTCAGTCTAATATCCCTGATGAACATCAATGCGAAAATCCTCAATAAAATACTGGCAAAGCAAATCCAGCAGCATATCTAAAAGCTTATTCACCATGAGCAAGTCGCCATTATCTCTGTGATGCAAGGCTGTTTCAACATATACAAATCAATAAATGTAATGACAAAAAACACATAATTAACTCAATAGATGCAGAAAAGGCCTTCAATAAAATTCAACACCCCTTCATGGTAAAAACACTCAATAAACTAGGTATTGATGGAACATATCTCAAAATTATAAGAGCTATTTTTTAAAAACCCATAGCAAATATCATACTAAATATGTGTTCATTTTTATAAGAAATAGACAAACTGTTTTCCTGAGCGATCATACATTGTACCTTCACATACTCAGTGTATGTGAGATCCAGTTGTTTCGCAACCTTGCCAGCCTTTGAGATAATGTGTTTTTTTTTCCATTAAATTATCCATTCTAATATGTGTGTGATGGTATTGCATTCCCTAGTGACTAATGCTGCTTAGCATCTTCTTTGTACTTATTTACCATCTATGTACCTCCTTTGGTGAACACTGTCTAAATTTTGCCCACTTTCCATTGAGTTGTTTCTTCCATTACGGAATTTTGAGACTACATGATATATTGTGGCTACAAGCCCTTCACTGAGTAAATATTTTGCAAATATTTTTCTTGCATCTGTAGCTTTACTTTTCTCTCTAATAGTCTCTTTTCATGAGCAAAAGTATGTAATTTTGATGTTATCACATTTTTCATTTATAGATTACGCTCTTTGTGTCATCTAAAATTTCCTTGCCTAAACCAAGGCCATATACAGTTCTAGAAGTTAACATTTTACACTTAGTTATATGAGTTAATTTTTGTATGAGGTATGAGGAATATGTAGAGGGTTATTATTTTGCATTTGGATGCGTTACTGTTCCAGTATCACTTGTTTAAAAGACTATGTTTTCTTTATTGAATTGCCTTTGCTCCTTTTTTAAATTGAAAACATCCTCAAAAAATTTTTAAAAACAGTTAAGGAGGAAAAAGTAAAATTCAACTAGGCTTGTAGGACAATCAATGGTAATCATTAGGCTAGCTTTCCATTGACCCACTTCCTTATAGCTGGTCACTGATTACTAGTCCAGGATAACATAATCTTTGTCACTAGAATCTTTGTTCTTTTTCTGTTCTTTAGTTAAAATTTAAGACAATATGAGATGACAAACTTTCCATTTGAGTTTCTCCTTTAGGTTCTGCATACTAACAAAACTACTGATGCCAGCCATTCTGAAAGGCTTGACAAGAAACTCAACTTAGGGAAGAATGTACTTTCCATATCCTGATGATTTCAGCCCCCTTACCCGAATCAATTGATGACCTCAATTTTCCAGCCACTCCCCCTTCAAAGATTCTTGCCCAGAAAGCTTCAGTGAAATGGGTTTGAGTCTTGAGAATTCTTCTCATGTCCTTGTTTGGTGACCTTGCAATTGGTAAACTCTCTGTTGCAAACTCCACTGTCTTGGTATATTCTGTTGCTGCACAGCAGGCATACAAACCTTACAATCTTATAAAAATTCATGGCAAGCACCCAGACATGATGGCTCACACCTGTAATCCCAGCACTTTAGGAGGCAAAGGAGGGCAGATTACTTGAGGTCAGGAGCTCGAGACCAGGCTGGCCAACATGGTGAAACCCTGTCTCTACTAGAAATACAAAAGTTGCCCAGGCATGGTGGCACATGCCTGTAATCCCAGTTACTTGGGAGGCTGAGGCTGGAGAATCACTTGAACCTGGGAGGCAGAGGTTGCAGTGAGCCAAGATCGTGCCACTGCACTCCATCCTGGGAGACAGATTGAGATTCCGTCTCAAAAAAAAAAAAAAAGAAAAGAAAAAAAAATTCATGGCAAGCCACTCTCCTTGCAGTCATTTACCTACAGTCCAGTGCCCCCATGCCACTGGGGCTGACCCAGAGAGAAGCTCAAGAAGCTGCTTAGTTATGATGAACTAAGGGCCTTAGCTGGGGCCTTCTGTGTTGGCAGGGCAGTGCTGACTTTCAGCACACAACCTTGTCTGCAGCAGAGAAACCATTTCTGGTCTCAGAAGAAGTCTCAGGTGAGTTTTCTCAGAGCAGCTGGCACCCCATTTCCTTCTGTGTGTGTGTGCCTGTTTTCGTCTTAGAGGTCTTGTGGCCTCTTTGAGGTCTTGTTGACACTCCCTAAGTCTAGGTAGGAACTTATTTGAGGAGATCTCCCTTCAGATGGAAAAAGACTAGAGGGCATTGCTTGGGAGAAATGGTCTTGGATTTTGGAATCTGAAACTTTATATGGAAAGGTCTTTTGTTTGTCTTTGTCTTGTTATATGTATTTATGTTTGTGGAGGGGATCCCTGAAGAAATTACTAGTGGAAGAAATTACTAACTCAGGGAACTCTTCTTGTTTGGTCAGTCACATTCAGTTAGTCCTGAAGGAGTTGCTAGTGGAATCTCAGCAAGCCTAACTCAGGGTAATCATCTGCTCTTCAATCTTTCCCAGGCTTTACCCTCTGAACTTCTGATCGAAGGTCATCCCTCTCCAGCTTGAGTGGATCAAAGATGACAAGGGCCAATGGAACCAAGTTTGAGTCTTGCCAGGTCAATACTTGGGTCCTGAGTATGGTGACTAGTATCTGTTTTGTTATGTGTGTATTATTCCAGCCAGAATGGGAAATGCTAATTCAGCTCCTCCAGGCAGCCCAATGGGGCTGGTGGCTTTGAGATTATTAAACTCTTTCTCTGCTGCAAACCCCACTGTCTCAGTGTATTGTTCTGTTGCTGTGCAGCAGGCATACAAATCTGACAATCTCGTAACTATTTGTGGCAAGCCAGGTCGAGGTCACTCTCTTTGAGGGCATTTACTCACTGCCTAGTGCCCCCTTTCCACTGGGACAGACCCAGAGACAAACCCTAGCAGCTTACTTAGCTCTCATGAACTAAGGGCTGTCCCTTAGTTCTCCCAAAGTAACCCACAATGCAACCCTGATGGGCTGCATCTTCCAAAATTGAAAGGCCTTTGTCTATCATTCCATGAAACAAAAAAAGATTATCTTACTTTTTAACATGGCTTAACCTTAATACCCACTGGATTTCGGAGAACAGTGGCCACTGCATGGTTCTCATGCTTACAGTACGATCCTGTAGCTAGATTTGTTTTGTAAGAAGGAAGAGGAATGAGATGAAATACCCTATGTATAATGTTTTATGTTGCTTTGGAAAAGTACAACAATGTAGAAAAAGGTAAAATCATGATAAAGTAAGAAATTAAAGACTGTTTGGACTGATTTACAAGAAAAAGATGATGCTATGATGGTTCAGTTAAAGGAACCTATGACTCACCCCCCTCCACTTTATGGGGGAGCTGCAGCAGCACTACTGGCGCCTCTCCAGAGTCCCCACCACCAAAAAGTCACAAATCCGGGGCAACAGGTATGATCTCTACTTCTTATAACCCAACAGGGGACTCCATTTAGGCAGGGTGTCACTTCTTATACCCAACAGGGAACTCCATTTAGCCGGGGAGTCACTCTGGTTCTGAGAGGCAGTTTCCCCATAACAACTGCTTACAGGAGGTGTTGCTGCCACAGGCCAGCCTATAGGATTTATCTTGGTTTATTCTCTGTTCTCCACTTCCAACCTACTTAATTAGAAAAATAATATGCCTATTTATTGAGAAGATCTAAAGTTTATGGAAGGAACAGGATTGAAAAAAAAAAAAAAAACATCCAAAGCATATGAAGAATCTATTCTCCTCTGTATTTGCCACACAGAACCCTACCTGAGCAGGCACCCCCAATTTGCTCAATATTTTGTTGACTTCAGAGAAACAAAGAATGGTTTTAGAAAAAGCTAAGGAAAAGGCTGATCTTATTCACACTGACTCTCCCAGTAATCCAGTAAGGGCAGCTGCTCAGATTGCAGTTCCCACCTCTGACCTGGGATGGAATATAAACACTGGAGATAGATCTAACCTTGAACACTATCAAAACTGCATTTTGATCAGCCTCTGCAAGGGAGTGCCCAAGCAAAGGAGTCTCAGTAAGGTCCAGGATGGTCAAGCAGAAGCCTAATGAGGGTTGCTTTGGAATTCTTAGAACAAGTCTTTGAAGCTTTCAGAGAATAAATGGATATTGACCCAGAAGCCCCAGAAAATTTGATGATAGCTAACATGATGTTTATCCAACAAAGTGCCCCAGATATTCAGAGAAAGTTACAAAACGTAGCTGAGGCATTGGACATGTTTTTGTCTCAATTAGTGAAGATTGTTTTTAATGTATTTACTGATCACAAGTTTAAAGAGTGGAAAATAAAACACAAGGAATAATGAAAATGGCAAGCTGACTTGTTATCTGTGGCTCTGACCCTAGTAGTCCCTGGACCACAACAAGGGCCGTCATCAGACACTCCATCTATGGTAGAACCACCTGGGCCCCCAAAGGCCAATAAAAACGGACATCCCATTGCAGGTCCCAACCAGTGTGCTTACTGCAACAGGGGGGACACTGAGTGGAAAATTTCTCATGCCCTACAAAGCCTGATGTTAAACAGTCAGCCTTCTGCCCACCAAATGCCTGGGATAGCTGGGGAGCTTGAGAGAGATACTAAAGAAAAAGACCAGAAATGGTAGCACCCAGGGGCTTCTCCTGACCCAGACAACACCCTCCATATTTCCCACATGGGGCTTGAGATCCTGATGATGGTGAGAAATCAGCTTCTGGACTTTCTAGTAGACATGGTGCCATCTATTTGGTGTTAAATATCTGGTGGTCTAAACTTTCCTCAGAAATAATGAAGGTGACTGAAATCTCAGAAAAAATGCTGATGAGATCATTCCTCCAAATTTTGGATTGTCAGCTAGAGTAAGATCATTTAAAGCACAGTTTTTTGCTGGGCGCGGTGGCTCACTCCTGTAATGCCAGCACCTTGGGAGGCTGAGATGGGCAGATCACAAGGTCAGGAGATCGAGACCATCCTGGCTAACACAGTGAAACCCCGTCTCTGCTAAAAATACAAAAAATTAGTCGGGCATGGTGGTGGGCACCTGTAGTCCCAGCTACTCGGGAGGCTGAGGCAGAAGAACGGCGTGAATCGGGGAGGCAGAGCTTGCAAGTGAGCCAAGATCATGCCACTGCACTCCAGCCTGGGGGACAGAGCAAGACTCTGTCAAAAAAAAAAAAAAAAAAAAAAAGACAGAGTTTTTCTATACATCCTTGAATGTCCTATCCCTTTGTTGGGGAAAGTCTTCCTTTTTTGTTGTTGTTTTGTTTTGTTTTGTTTTGAGACAGAGTCTTGCCCTATCGCCCAGGCTGGACTGTGGTGGCACGATTGTGGCTCACTGCAACCTCTGGCTCACTGAAACCTCCACCTCACGAGCTAAAGCAATTTTCCTGTCTCAGCCTCCCGAGTAGCTGGGATTACAGGCGTGTGCCACCACAGCCAGCTAATTTTTATATTTTTAGTAGAGACAGGGTTTCACCATGTTTGCCTGGCTCGTCTTAAACTCCTGACATGAGGTAATCTGCCCTCCTTGGCCTCCCAAAGTGCTGGGAGCTGGGATTACAGGTGTGAGCCACTGCTCCCGTCCTGTTAGGGCAGTACTCTTAACCAAACTAAATGCTAAGATTACTTTTTCTCTGAGATGATTGGACATCCAGGTGCCTTCAGACCAAGCATGTGCTCTGCAGGCCATATTATTACAACTGGAGATCCTTGAAAGTGCCTGCACCCCTGAAGAGATACTCCAAAAGGTTAGTCCGGAAACATGGGCAGATGGGAGGCCAGGGAAAACAAAAACTGCATCTCCAGTACAAGTCAAGTTTTGTGCAGGAGTGGCGCTGCCAAATCTAAAGCAGCGCCCTTTGAGAGAAAAGGCACAGCAATGCATTTAGCCTCTGCTAATGGCCTTCCTGCAATACAGGAAGAATTCCTTGTTTCTCATGTAACATACCTGTCTTGCCAGGACAAAAACATGGAACTGAGGATTATTGGTTTGTACAGGATTTGAGGGCTACTAGGCAAATTTTCAAAGCCATTTATCTGGTGATAACTGATGCTTATACATTATTCATGACTTTAACCAGTGAGTTGTACTGGTGTTCAGTCTTGAATCTGAAGGATGCCTTCATCTGTATTCCCCTGAGTCCAGAGTCCCATGAAGTGTTTGCCTTTGAATAGGAAGACTCTGACACTAAAGCTAAATGATAGTATTGCTGGATGATGCTCCATCAAGGCTTCAAAAACTCACTAACCGTCCGGGGGAAATACATGCTAAGGAGTTTTGGGACCTCCAATTGAAAAATGAGACTTTGCTTATATATGTTGACGGCATATTAGAAGCCAGCACAACTATGGCAAATTGACCAGAATATTATACTGGCTTTACATTTTTTTTTTGTCTGGATGGGGATCCAAAGTATCCAAGAAAAAAATCACAAATATTGAAAAACTCAATTATATATTTTAGGTTTGAATTTTCTCAGGAGCAGAGTAATCTGCTTTCGGACTGGAGAGAAGCTCTTGTCAGGGTGGCCAGACTCAGGACATGGCAGCAGCTGTGAGGGGTTTTTAGGTATGGCTGAATGTTGCCATATTTCATTTTCTTATTTTGGGCTTATAGCAAAATGTCTCTATGAAGCCCTAAGACCAGACACTTGACTTCTAGAATGGACAAGGAATGTCAAAAGGCCTTTCTAACCATTAAGTAAAAATTACTAATGGATCTGGCTACTGAGACCCCCTGAACTAAGAAAGCCATTTGATTTGTTCATACATGAGAGAGAAGGGATGGGTTTAGGAGTAGTAACCCAAGACTTGGGGAATATCATGAGGCCTGTAGCCTACTTTTCAAAACAGCTGGACATTGTTATGATGGGTTGGACTTCTTATCTCTGAGCCACTGGCACCACTTGTGATCTTCTCCAGGAGGCAGAAGAGTTCACTTTGGGTTAACCTAGCACTGTACACACCCCATACTGTGTATGCTATTTGTTGGAACAGAAGTGGAGCTACTGACTTACCTCTAGAAGACTGAATAGGTATCAGGTCATCCTCCTGGATAATCCTAGTGTTACTTTGAGAGCTGTTTCTGCTTTAAATCCTGCTAAATAAACCTATACATGATTGCATATAAATTACTGAGCAAGTGTGTTCTATTCAACCAGACATGACCAAAATTCCCTTTAAAAACCTGGACTTAAAAATATTCACTGAGGAAAGCAGCTTTATGCACCACGGACAACAGAAGGCTGAGTATGCTATTGTAACCCTGTGACAGATCCTAGATGCAGAGACACTCCCTCTGGGTTCATCGGCACAGAAGGCAGAACTTAGAGTCCTAATCAGGGCATCCCAACTAGGTAAAGACTCCTGAGTCACCGATTACTCTGATTCCAGGTATGTTTTTATTGTTGTCCATGCTCATGGGGCCGTTTGGAAAGAAAGCGGGCTCTTAACCTTTGATGATTAAAAAAGAAAAACAATTAAGCATGCTAAAGAAATCTTAGCCTGACTAAAGGCAGTCTTGGTACCCAAGAAAGTAGCTATAATACACTACCATGGACATCAGTGGATGGACAATTTGGTAGCAAGAAAAAAAAAATCACTAGGCAGAGCAGGCCACTAAAGAGGTGAACAGAGAAAAAAATGCCCAAAGCCTTCCTAATGCCATTAATCCCTGAAATAAACTTCAGCCTAAAATCCCTACCTAATGGAAGAAGATGTAAAGAGAGAATTCGATTGAGACTTTGACTCCAATCAAAGAACTCAAAATGAGTGGATATGTGACACGGAAGAAAAGGTTCTGGTGCCCAAGTATCTTGTGACAGATATCATCAAACACATACATGATACCACACAGTATGGCAGGCATGCCACCCTTCAATTGATCCAGGACTATGTCTTTGGGACACACTTAAAGAAGACTATCCAAAAAATAATTTAAAAATACCTACTTGGTGCCCAGAACAATCTTAAGACTGGTCCTCCACCCCCAGTACCAAGGATTCAAGCAAGAGGTGCAGGGCTATTAGAGGACTGGCAAATTGATTTTACCGTGATGCCAAGGGTAGCAGGAAATTTTAAATACTTGCTTGTATTTTTAGATACATTTTCAAGATAAACAAAATCATTCCGCTGCAAGACCAAGAGAATGTCTGAGCTAATGAGAGCCTTGGTAGAGAAGATTACCCTCAGGTTTAGGTGGCCTGTCTCCATCCAGTGTGACCATAGTGCAATTTCTGTAGCCTAGGACACCATATATTCCAGGCCCTCAGCATAATCTGGAATCTTCATACAGCCTGCAGACTGAAGTCTACTGAAAAAACTCAAAAGATAAATCATACTATATAAAACAAAACAAATTTTAGCTAAGATTTGCCAAGAAACTAACAACCTGGAATAACATTCTGTCCATTGCCCTGCTCAGAGTAAGGGTGGTCCCTAAAAGTGGGCTTAAATTAAGCCCTTTAAAAATTTTACATGGGAGATCATTCTTCCGTTACCTTCTCAGACTAAGGAATGCCAATAACATACACATAAATAAATTAGATATTATCAAATATACACAATCTTTAGGTTGTACTTTAACTACTATTCACGAGTTTGTGGTTCCAGCAGATTGTGGTATCCAACTGACATTCTCTTTCATCCCATCCAACCCAGAGACTGGGTTCTGCTCAAGACCAGGAAAAGTCGACATCCTGGGGACCACTTAAAACACAGTGAAAGAGGCCATGCAAAGCATGACTGGTGACCCATTCCTCTGTTCAGCTTGAAGGACTTAGACCCTGGATTCACCACAGCCATATAAAACCCGCCCCGCCAGATTCTTGTCCTATCAAGAAATGTAGAGAGGCCACTTCAACTTCAGAGACTGTCTCAACCCTATCTGAATGGATAAGTAAATCTTTGATGGGCCTCAAATATCTTTTGAGGAAAAATATCAGATAAGTAACTTTAATGAAATTAGACAAAACATATGTCTTCTTGACAACTACAATAGTTACTTTGAGCATAACAGGAATGTTTGTTATTATAATTATTTTATATAAAAAGGTGAGATACCTTCCTGTCTATTCCCTGCCTTACTGAATGCTTAAGCCATATATTTACTTGGTCATTATAATTGCCTAGATAATTACAATTGCTACCCTTATAGACATTACTTCATAATTGCCTTGGTCAATACAATTGTTAGACTTATAGATTTTCTAGACATTCTATGCCATGCTAACATAGTCTCATGCCACTCATTATGTGGACATTCTAAAATTTAGAAATGGTCACTCTTGTTTTAAAACTTCTAATTATACCTCTCCTGTTACTACAGTGCCTAGACAGGCATAGCAACACTGTAGTTCAACTGTTTCAAGGTATTGCCACTGGAAGAAACTTACCAGAATGATGGATCTGTCAGTAACTCCCCCAAACTATTCAAAATAAGCATTTTCTGTTAGTCATACTTGTCACTGACTTTCTGGATGTTCCAAATATGACTACCTATCTGCACCAGCTTCTTTCCATGGCTACTTTCCAGGTCCAAGTAATAGTACACCAAGAAATCACCACCCCATGTGTCAATCTCTCTCTGCCTATCATAAATGGAAAGTCATTCCATTACATAGGCCCTCCATGGCCCATGGCATACTGGGCAGACAAACGCAGCTAGGAGAAGGGAAATAAAACTAAAAGTTTCTCCTTACTATGCCAAAAATATTTACAGTGGGGAATATCACACAAATTCTGGGGAGCCTGTAAAAAAAGATCCCTAGTTCAATTCCATTTGTCTATATTCCCCATGAAAAAATCCATCAATAAATGCACCCTTGAGGGCTTTACCTGTGTGCCCCCTTGGTACATGTTTATTTGTGGCATAGGATCAGACCCTCCTCTGTTAGGGCAAGCCCACTGGTGTCTCAATAACCTGTATATTAAGGGCTCTCACTTACTGAGATACTTCTCAGTCCATCCTAATGACAAAATATTCTGCCCATTTTCCCACCGACTCCAAAAGGGACTGCCAGGCATATATCAATATATCTGGTGGCAGAGCCTTCTAGGCATCACGAGTCCTAGCTATGGAGTATACACTCACTGGGACATGATCAGAAACTTATTGGCAACCACAGAAATAATTGCAAAAGAGGCTGCTAAGAACATTGAGGCTGAGAAAACTCTTCAAATTTACTTGCCCAGATAGTTCTTGACAACGGAACTACACTTGATTTTCTCTTGGCTTTACAGAGAGGAGTCTGTACAGTGATCAATACCACCTGTTGTACTTATATCAATGCTTCTGGTAAAATAAAAACCAAACTAAAGAAAATATTTCAGCAGTCTCGCTGGAGACCATATGTCTCTACCACAGACCCTATGTCTGAATAGTTTTTTGAGCTTTCCGCCTGCATACTCCATGTTTTCCAGTCCATTTTTCAAGGACTCTTGAAGTTCAAGCTCACAATTCTGTTTATAGGGATTATAATTTACATGATTCAATTAAATATTACAATAAAACCATAGACTGAAGTACTAACATGTTCATCCAGCACCCTAAGCTGGGTATAACAGCTTGCAGGTTGTTACAAGACGGTTTCATTCCTCTAATCCTGACTCTCTCTCTGTGCCCCGTGTCAGCAAAAAGAAGCTAGAATGGCCATTGCCCGATTCATACCATATTAGCTTTTACACCTCAGAATTGAGAAGGGATCAAGCCCGGAAGGAACTGAAACTGTCCCTAGGAAAGTTATATAAAATTGATTAAGGGGGAAAAATTCAACTATGATTTCAGGAAAATCAGCAGTAATCACTAAATCAGCTTTCCATTTGTCCAACTTCTCTGTAGCTGGTCATTGATTACTACCCTAGGATAAAGAAGCCCTTGTCACAAGACATTTTGGTCCTTTTCCTTTCTATAGATAAAATCTAAGACATTGTGAGATGATAATCTTTCTGCATGAGTTTCTCCTTTAGGTTCTGCATATGAAAAAAAAACCTAGCAACATACTGGTCAACAAGGCAAAACCTCATTTTCACAAAAAATTAAAAAATTAGCCGGGCATTATGGCACAGGTCTGTAGTACCAGCTGCTCAGGAGATCTGAGGTGGGAGGACCACTTGAGCCTGGGAGGCAGAAGTTGCAGTGAGCTGTGATCACGCTACTGAAATCCAGATGGGCAACAGAGCAAGATCATCTTGCTCAAAAACAAAACACACACACACACACAAACATACACACACAGACACACAGACACACACATCAGCTGGTCTAAAGAGCCCAGCAAAAAGCTGACTCAGGAAATAATGCAGGTTCCACATCCTGGTGACTTCATCCCCCTTACCCTGACCAATTGACAACCCAAATTTTCTAGCCCGTCACCCTCCATGATCCCCTTAAGGTCTCTTGCACATAGCCCCTTCTCAGAACAGATCTGGGGCTTGAGAATCCTCCCAATTCCTTGTTTGGTGCCCTTGTGTTGATTAAAGCCTTTCTTTGCTGCAAACCCTACTGTCTCAGCGTATTGGTCTATTGCTAAACAGTGGGCATGTGAACCTGATAGTCTTATAACAAAATAGAATAGAAGCTATTTATAGGATCGATCCATGCATGTGAGTCTATTTCTGGACACCGTTTTCTCTTCTATTCTTCCACGTGTTTGTCCTTTAACCAGTATCATGAGATCCTTTACTCACTGTAGCTTTTTTTAAGTCTTAAAATTTGGTAATGTGAGTTTTTCAACTTCTCTTATCTTTTGAAGAATTGTTTAGCTGTTTTAGCCCCTTTACCTTTCCATATGACTTTAGAATCAGCATGTTCGTATGTGCAAAACATTGTGCTTGGTTATTCACTAGAACTGGGACACATTCACAGATGAATCTGGGGAGAACTGATATGTAATAGTATTAAATTTTTCAATCCATGAATATTATATATCCTTTGATTTAGTAAGATCATACAGTCTTACCCTAGTTTTTTTTATTTTAAGCATACAGATCCTGTATTTTACTAGATTTATAACTAAATATTTTGTATTTCATCCATCAACGAAAAATTCAATTTGTTTAATAGACAGAATTTATTAATGCTACCTAATCCTTCTTGAGAGAGCCATGATAGTTTGTGGCTTCAGTAATTTTTTAATTCATTCAAGTTCTTGAATTTATTGACATGGCATTATTCAGAATATTTTTTATTTTTCTTTTAATATATGTAAAAACCATAATGATGTCATTTCTGTCATTGCTGTTATAAGCAATTTGTGTTATTTTTTCTGATTTAGTCTGTCTAAAGGTTTCTCAATTATAGAGATCTAAAATAACAAGCTTTTGGTTTCCTTGTTTATATACATATTTACTTCTTTATTATTTCATCTCTGATCTTTATTGTAGTATTTCTTCTGCTTACTTTGAGATTAATTTTTTCTACTTTTACTAATATCTAATGGTAGAGGCTAAGGTTATTGAAGTGGAACACCGTCATTTTCTATCCCAGGTATTTAGTGACACCAATTTATTTCATACTGCTCTAGTGCCATTCCACAACTTTTGATATATAGTATATCAATCAGTGTTTGGCTGGAGTAGGGTGAGTATTCCATAAAAGATTTACTGTGATTTTTGGAGGGAGGTGTGAAGAGGGTATTATTACCAAAATGTGGATTTTTTTTTAACTCCATTCTGTATTTTGGCTAAGAGAAGCAGCTTTGGAACTTCTCAAGTCTGTACATCTGTGAGACCCCAAGGATTACTTGTTTTAATTTTTTTTTAAGTTTAGGTTTGTTTTGGGTCAACTTAGTTCTTTCAAGGCTTATTTTTAAGCTTTTAAAAAGCTTAAAAAACCCCAGAGATAGTTTGTTCAGAATATTAAGCTGCTTCTGATGTCTCTACTACGTGACCTAGATGTTCAAACGAGTCTTTCTACTCTGATTGATTCCATTTAAATGTCTCCCTGTGTTGTGTGTGTGCTCTGGGAATCCTTTACCTTTTTGTTCTCTGGTAGTGTTCTTCATCTGATAGGTATCCTTTGTCCATTCTTGGGGAGTTTTGCTCTACTCTCCAGAGTGTCAATATTCAGCCAAATAATCTAGGGAGTTGCTGTGGAAATTTGTAGAGCCCTTTCACTCCATAGTTTCTTCTTTTCTCACTCTGTTTCCTGCAGATTCTAGTGAACTCATCTTCTTTGGGAACACTGAGTTTTGTTTCTTCTACTCAGCAAGTGTGGCACTTTCTGCTGAATTCTCCTTCTCCATGCTGCTGTTTGGAAAATTTCTCCCAGCATAAAGTCACTTTGATGATGGAACTCATCTCATTGTCACTTTTTCTCTGGAATTAGGTGCTTCCTGCTTTCCAATGTCTGAAAATGTTATTTTCATCTATTTTGTTCCATTTCCTTATTTGTGGCAAGAACTCTGTTTTACTTGATTATTCTTGCCTGGTCTTTTACCTTTTTAAATTGTCTGTACTGATTGTTTTCTATTTGGTTTCTTCTCATATTTGGATTTGTTTCAAAATTTATACTCATGCTGGATTTTGTCTGGTTTCTTTGTTATAATTTATTATAAATAATAATTTATTTTCAGTTTTTATTCTTTTCTTTTATAGCTATATAATGATAAATTTCCCTCTGAGGATTGTTCGAGTGTCATCTCACCAAGTTTAATTTAATATGTTTTTATTATCATTCAATTCAAAATATTTAATGTTTCCTCTTCTGATTTTCTCCTTATCCATGAGTTATTTAAAAATGAAGCTGAGTTCTGGGAAGCAACCTAGTAAACGACAGTAATTTCTTTTTTTGGGTTATTATTATTATTATTATTATTATACTTTAAGTTTTAGGGTACATGTGCACAATGTGCAGGTTAGTTACATATGTATACATGTGCCATGCTGGTGTGCTGCACCCATTAACTCGTCATTTAGCATTACGTATATCTCCTAATGCTATCCCTCCCCCCTCCCCCCACCCCACAGCAGTCCCCACAGTGTGATGTTCCCCTTCCTGTGTCCACGTGTTCTCATTGTTCAGTTCCCATCTATGAGTGAGAACATGTGGTGTTTGGTTTTTTGTCCTTGCGATAGTTTACTGAGAATGATGATTTCCAATTTCATCCATGTCCCTACAAAGGACATGAACTCCTCATTTTTTATGGCTGCATAGTATTCCATGGTGTATATGTGCCACATTTTCTTAATCCAGTCTATCATTGTTGAACATTTGGGTTGGTTCCAAGTCTTTGCTATTGTGAATAATGCCGCAATAAACATACATGTGCATGTAACCGACAGTAATTTCTATCATCAGTTAACAGAAACAGTAACTTCCACTCTTTCAAGTTAAGTTCTACATAATTTGAGGAATCATCATTTTGGCCTTTCAAGATAAATAAATCTGTTACTGTTCCTCGTCTTCTTTGAACTCCACATGTCCATTTACTTTGAAGCACACAATAAGAATGACATTTCAAATTCTTGGAGCCAAAGGCTATGAAAATTATTTTGGCAGATTTTCTAAGATCATCACAGGATCTCAGATACTCCAATTGGCTAAATGAGATTTGGAATTGCCAGAAGATCTACAATAGGCAAGATTAAAAAGTCCTAAGAAATAATACTCATTGTCTATTGAGTTCTGACATGCTGTAGAATTCCAAATCCATTAGACAAACAGATTTCCAATAATTTCTTAGAAATAATTGTAAGTGTCTTAAATAGAGCCTTGTTTTAAAAAGTGATGAAGAGTCTTGATGTAATGTCTTTGGCAACTCTGAGCTTATTTTCCTTGACTTAAGTATTTGAATGCTTATGGTTATCCAGGTTTTCAGTTACAAATGACTCATTATTTTTTATATTTACATATTACTTAAATTCTTATAAAATGTTATTGATCATATGCTTGTCTTTTTCTTATTCTCTTCCCTTTTAGAAACATGTTCCAAATCAAGTATAGATATTGAGAATGGGTTTATTTCTGAATCTCAGTATACATATGCCTTAAAAGAAAAAGCGAAATATCAATGCAAACTAGGATATGTAACAGCAGATGGTGAAACATCAGGATCAATTACATGTGGGAAAGATGGATGGTCAGCTCAACCCACGTGCATTAGTAAGTAATTTATTATGTTTGTATTGATTATCCAGATGATACACAAAAGTTTACTAACTTTAGTCTTTTTGTGGGGGCTGATATAATTTCATTTGAAAAGATAAGAAAAAAAAACCTGCAGGAACAAAGCAGACATCAATTTTTTTTCCTTTTCACATTAATTACTCAGATATTAGTCTGTCTTTCCATTCAGGCTTTTCCTACTCTAAAGCATTCTGTGTTACAGAAACAAGTTAGGGAGCTTTATGTGTATTCTGGTTTAAACTGATTTTGCTTTAGCTGAGACCTTTATGACTGTTAATATATATCTGTTTTATAAGATTAGACTTTTACATCAAATTCTTTACTCCTAGATACAAAAGCAATGTTTTTATTGAAGATATGGATGCCTAGTGCATAACATCAAAATAATTTAAACTCTATAATTTGTAGATTTGACACTGTAGGATATGTCTAATACTGAATATCTTCCCTCTTAGAAATTTTTCATAAATATTTAGGTAGTAGAGAGACAAAATATTCCTAGATGGTACCAATTTCTGCTCTGTTGTATGATTTCCCTACCACACTATCTAGATATTTATGAAGATTTCCCTACCACACTATCTAGATATTTATGAAAATTTTCTGGGAACAATTGGTTCAATTTGTCTTATTTTTTGCAAAACCACTCAGTAATATGTGTGTGTGTGTGTGTGTGTGTGTATACGTATATATGTATATATATATATATATATATATATATATATATAGAGAGAGAGAGAGAGAGAGAGAGAGAGAGAGAGAGAGAGAGAGAGAGAGATGGAGTCTTGCTCTGTCGTCGGCCAGGCTGGAGTGCAGTGGCATGATCTTGGCTCACTGCAACCTCCATTTTCCGTTTTCAAGCAATTCTCCTACCTCAGCCTCCTGAATAGCTGGGATTACAGGCACCCTCCATCATGCCTGCCTAATTTTCGTATTTTTAATAGAGACAGGGTTTTGCCATGTTAGCCAGGCTGGTCTCGAACTCTTAATCTCAAATGATCCTCCTGCCTCTCAGTAATATATTTGAAGTAATATTTAATATACTCATGTTAAGTGAAGTGAATAAGGTATTCATGTATACTGTTTTCATTTTTTAATGTCTGTGCTTAATATGAGGTCTAGTTTACAAAAAATGTTAGTCCTCATAAAAAAGCTAATTTTATACTAAATTTTTATTAATTATTCTTTTAAGATTTTCTTATTATTAAAGAGAAAATGTCTTGTATAACATAGGAATTTATATTTTCAGTCTTTTTCTCCTTTTTACATATGTCTCAACTACGAATTAGTTTGGACTCTTAATTTACAAAATTCTGTTATGATTTTCTTTAAAAAATAATGTATACCTGTAATGGCCTGTTTTATTACTAGCATTGTCATAAATGCTTTAGTATAAATGAATTAAGAAAAATGTTTTTAAAATATATTTTGGGGCTTAAGCAATGAAAAAAAATGTTGTGTAGAAAGATATACTTTCACTTTTGACAACTATTTTACGACAACAAATTCTCACCAGTCATAGATTATTTTTGTACGGTACCTATTTATTAGTAGATCTAATCAATAAAGCTTTTTCTTCTTAGAATGGGAAATACTCAGATTGTTTATTAGATGACATTAGAAATGACATTCTAAATTTTTTATGCACTAGAATCTTGTGATATCCCAGTATTTATGAATGCCAGAACTAAAAATGACTTCACATGGTTTAAGCTGAATGACACATTGGACTATGAATGCCATGATGGTTATGAAAGCAATACTGGAAGCACCACTGGTTCCATAGTGTGTGGTTACAATGGTTGGTCTGATTTACCCATATGTTATGGTAAGTACTGGTTTTTCAGAAATTCATTTTCAAAATGAAAATAAATCTGTTTTCCAATTTTAAAAATTTGAATTATATAGAGGAATTGTTAAGGAATGTTGATTAAAATCAAGATATCTCCTGATTTGACATAAACTGGGAAAAGAAGGGAGTTTTGAAAATATCTCTAAAGTAGTGCATTAAATTAATACTTCCTATGGGCCACCTACCTTCCAGATTTGTGATTATAATATAATTGCTTTTGTTACCCTAAATAAAAGCTTTCAAATTATTTAGAACCTAGCACTTATTACCAAAATTATAGTTGGTTACAACTTCCTCAGCTAATTTGTTTTTTTAATTTCTACTTTACATCTTCTATCTTGTGTGTTAATTTCTGTACTTTCTGAGTGTAGTTCTTTATTTTCTAAATTTGAAAAGTTCTGAAGACCATTACATGAATCTCATTTACGTTTCTCAATCAGCCATCTATTTTTCAGGGTTAGAAGAAGGATTGGCTCTGTGGGAAAACAAGTATATGCAGAGTGTTCCAAGGCAAAGAAAAATATGTGCAAAGCTGTAAAAACAAAACAATATATTTCAAGGTGGTAAAGCAGAGTCTATCCTGCTGAGGCTAGATGGGAGGCAAGGAAACAATTATCCAGATCAGCTCAAGGCATCATATCATTTGGATTCATTTTATGACTAATGAAAACCCATAAAAGAGTTTTAAGAAAAGGAATGGTATAATTTGATTTCTAGTTTTGTTGGATTGTTTTCCTGGATGCTGTACTTTTTGTAGGCAAGAGGCGACACCATGAGTCCAGGTAGGGTGAGAAAGTGTGGGGACTGAGAGAGAGTGATGATAGGGGAGGTGCAGAGCAGAAGGCTGATTTGGAAAACATTTAGGTGATGAAAAGTACAGGTGATGTTACTAAATGTTGGGTGTGAAAAAGAGTGAGATTAAGGGACTCACATGTTTGTTTTCAATTGTTTTCTCACAAGTATGTAGGTAAATGGCAATAACCATTTTGTAAAATGGTACTGACTGGATAGAATGCATTTTGAGAGGGCTTTGCAACTTTTGACTTGGACACATTATGATTGAGTCGCCAATGGAAAATCAAAACTGGATATGTGAAGTGTGGAGTTGGATATGCATCTAGAGAGGAGATATGCATTTCGGAATATCATCATATAAATGATGACGCTAAATTGGATAAGAATACAGAATGAAAAGAGCAAAGAGCTCAAGATGAAGCCCTGAAACATTACCACATTTATATATAAGACAGAAGAGCAATAGATAGTAAAGAAAATGGGGAAAAAAGGAGGACCCAGAGAAACAGGAGAAAAAATCTAGAATGTTGCCATAGACATAAAAATAAGGAAATTATTAATGAAAAGGTAGTGTAACAGATTGCTTAATAAGTCATCCTGTCTGAATTCTAATTCCACTGCTTGCTGGGCATGTATCTTTGGCCAACACAGCAAGTCTATTTGAAGCTTTGTTGACTCTTTCTTGTTGGTAAAATGTCACATATTTACAAACAGTTCTAATATTTCAAAGGATTGTGTTAGTTAGCAGACTAAAATATTTATAAATATTTATTGCCATAGTGCCTTATATAATAAAGTCAAAGAAGTTGTAATTTAATTACCTTAATATCATTATCAAAGTGATAAATATTTCTAATTTAGTTATTATATTCTGTTCAGAAATTGTGATGGATTAGGTAAGGTACAGGCCAATGACAAGTGTAACAAAAATGGATTTTAATAGAGTAGAAGAGACAGACCCTACATAGAATCTGCCAATAAAAATAATGAGCTAGACATTCAATACAGACTGTAGACATAACTCTTTCAAGATTCTGGCTTTGAATCTAATAGGAAGATCAGAATATTGCTTGAGGAAAGTTGTGCACTGAAGGGATAATTAAAAGAAAAAAGATGGAAGACACCAGAGCAGATACAGCAAAAGGGGAGCTGCAAAGGCTGAACACATGACTTACATAGTTGCCCTGAGAAAATGCGAGGGGAAAGGACTCACAGCTACTGTGGAGGTATTGTGCTTTGGTGGCAACAGGACTGCTTACAACCTTGTGACAGGTGGCAACAGGACTGCTTACAACTTTGTGACAGGAGATGGGAAGGAAAATGAGCAGTAACGTTGGAAAATGGTAGAAGCTGATGGATTCTGTTTTGAAGTATGAGACATGGTCATCTGAGATTGAATAGTGTGTGGGCGAAGGAGGAGGAAGAGTACTAGGTAGAATAGAAAAGTTTTGAAATAGTCACAGCTGAGAAAGAGAATGAGTACATTGTAGATGAAAGGCAGTGTCAAAGGTCCAGTTAAATTTGACTCATTCCTGCTGTTGTAAACACCTATCATAGGACAGGAGAAAATGGTGAAAACACAAGCACAGGTCTACTTATCCAGAGATTTTATTCTAATATAAGACAGTGGAAAACTAAAAAGAGATAAGCCAAATATCCAAGTAATAAAAATATTTAAAATATATTTTATGTATCACTGTGTACAGAGAAATAGAAAATCCAATAATTGAGATAGAAAATAGGAGGGAAGGAACTGGAGATCTGTTTTACATAGGAAGTCATCGATGCAAAGAATGGTTGAAAGCCATTTGTTATAGTGAGAAGGGTATGTGCAACAGCTGAGGCAGCGAAGAACTTGACCTTTTTAATAAAATTCAAAGATCATAAAATCTGAATCCTGGATTTAGTGGAGGAGAGAGACATTTGATAACATTGGAAGAGTAGGCATGGATCATAAAGAGGTTGAGTTTTGCTCTAATTGAGAGGGGGAGGCTTAATTTAAGAGACTCATAAATTTCTTTTCTGTGATGATAGGTAAATTTAGGTTTTATGAAGCCAGAAGCTTTTACAATTTTGAGGGGTCTTCTTCAAAAAAGAACACAAAATTGTGAATATATTGCTTCAGTAGTCTTTCCAATCACCAGACATGAAATGAAAACCTAAAGGAGAGAAAGTTGGAGTGGCGGACATAGCAGTAGAAGCTGATGTAGAAAATGTCTTTCTATTGCAAATTGTACAAAGACTTAGGATCATTTGAACACATAACTAGGAATTTGCTAGTATAGTACAGGCCTCCAAACATTAAACGAAGAAATACCAGCTTAGTATTCTTTTCAAATATTCTTCTCTCAGCCATGTAACAGAAAACTGCATGTGGATTGACAGACATCTGAGTATATTTCAAGTGTCCTAGGAGGTCTCTTCTTTGTGGAAAGGTTTCCACAGAATTGTTATTATGGAGCACTTAAGCTAAATAAGGAGTATGTATCTCAGAGTTAAAAATTCATATTAACATTTCACATATCTAGTACTAGGACTTAGGGTTTTGAGTTTTAGATGAAGAAAAATATTTCTAATTCATGGAGTGTCCATTCACATTCTTCTCTAAATCACGTTTTGTAAGTTATTACCTCTATATAAATACAGCATTTGAATAATACCCAATAATCAAGATCTTAACTTTCCTTTTTAAGATAATGCTTTTCACAATATTACAACAGACAGAATTTATATAAAATTAGCACAAAATACGTGAACAAACACACATACAAAAAAAAGAATTGCTATGTAGAAGATTGGTATAGACTTTTAGGAGAGAAATCCCAGTGATTCTCATTCAAGTGTGATTTTCTCAAATAATCTGCAAAACTCATTAAAACAAACACAAAAGCAAATTTTTGTAGTTATTATTTTGTGACATTACTTTTAAGAATAGTTTTAAATCTAATTTTGTAATTGTATTTTAATAATTGAGGTTATGATGTAATTAATTTTCTTTTTAGTATGATTCTAATTTATGAATTCTAGCTTGTACTTTTCTAAGTTAGCAAGAAAGGAGGATTCTGAATAAGAAAAATAATATTTTGGATAATATTTAGTAATGTTGCTGATTTTTAAAAATTATAAACATGTAAGAGATAATTTTACACATTTCTTATCTGAATCAGAATAATTATCAAATTTATTAAACATTGATATAAATAGTACATATAACAAAAATTGTTATATGTTAACATAAATATTCAGGATACCTAGAATTTGCCTTTCCATGTGAACTTGAAAATTTATCTTGGTTTGTTTTCTTTATTTGTAATATATTAATTATGTGTTTTTTATATTTTTTTTAACTTAAAATATATTAGAAATGCTATTTTGGGTTCTTTTTCCTTGATTACATTAAACAAAAATACCAATTTTAATTAATTTCTTAGTGCATATATCTTCACTAATAAATCTTTGATGAGAATTTACCTTTTTGTGATGTATATGTCAGTCATCAAGAATTATAAACATGATGAGACCAGAAATCATTTGAGGTTGTTTAGTTTCAGTTAAATAAAGTTATCATTGACTCTGCAATGACAGATATTATACCATCATTATTCTCGGGATCCTCCCCAGTTCTATTATAAATTTAACTTCTTAAGATATTTCCATGGTGTTTTATGATGTGTTCTTTTATTTTTAAAATTTTAATTTCTATGTTTTATATGTTTAGATGGTCCAAATGCAGTTTTGTTGCATGGATATATTGCATAGTGGTGAAGTCTGTACTTTTAGTGTATTCATCACCCAAATACTGAACATTGCACCCATTAGGTAATTTCTTATTCCTCACCCTCCTGCTATCCTGCCACATTTCTGAGTCTCCAATGTCTGTTACTCAGCACTCTCTGTCCATATGTACGCATTATTTAGCTCTCACTTATAAGTGACAATATGTGGGATTTTACTTTCTGAATCTGAATTATTTTACCTAAAATAATGGCCTTTAGTTTTATACATGTTGCTTCTGAAGGCATGATTTTATTCTTTTTTTTTCTTTTTATTTTTTGTTTTGGCTGAGTAGTATTCTATGGCATATATCTATACCACATATTCTTTATCCAATCATCTGTTGGTGGACAATTAGTTTGATTCCATATTATTGCTACTGTGAGTAGTGAGGCTATAAACATATGAGTCTGGGTATCATTTTGATATGATAATTGATTTCCTTTGGGTAGATACACAGTAGTGGGATTGCTGGGTGAAATGGTAGTTCTGTTTTTAGTTCTTTGGGAAATGTCCATTCTGTTTTCCATAGAGGTTGTACTAATTTACATTCCCACCAACAGCGTATAAGCATTCTTCTTTCTCCTCACTGTCACCAACATTTATTATTTTTTGACTATTTGACAGTGGCCACTGTGTCTAATGTAAGATGATAACTCATTTTTTTAATTCGCATTTCTCTGATGATTACTGATATTGAGTTTTTATTTCATATTTCTTGGTCATTTTCATGTCTTCTTTTGCAAAATATCTCTTCATATCCTTTGTCCACTTTTTCATGGGATTATTATTTTTTTTTCTTGTTGTGTTGTTTCAGTTCTTTGCAGATTCTGGATATTAGCCCTTTTTCAGATTCATAGTTTGCAAATATTTTCTTCCATTCTGAGGTTGTCTGTTTACTCTGTTTATTATTTCCTTTGCTGTGAAGAAAATTTTTAGTTTAATTCACAATCACCCAGAAGCAGGTCATTTAATTTTCATGTATATGGATAGTTTTGAAAATTCTTTATGATATTGATTTATAGTTATATTTCACCAAGTTCTGATAAGATACTTGATATTATTTCTAACCTTTAAAATTTTGGGAACTTGCTTTGTAGCTGTAGCCTAGCATATGGTCTATTTTGGAGAATGTTCCATGCACAGGTGAGAAAAACATATATTCTGAGGTTGTTGGGTGGAATGTCGTTAAAATGTCTGTTAGGTCCATTTGTTCTACAGTCCAATTTAAGTATGAGGTTTCTTTGTTTATTTTTTTGTCCCTGCAATCTGTCTAGTATAGTCATTGGGGGTGTGGAGGTTGCTTGCCCTCATTATATTGCTGTTTATCTTTCTACTTAGCTCTAGTAGCATTTCATTTATGAATCTGAGTGCTGAGGTTTTGAGTGCATATATATTTAGAATTGTTATATCTTCTTGCTTCCTTTATCATTGTGTAATGAACTTCTTGTCTTTTTTTTCTTGTTGATTTGAAATCTTTTTTTATATATAAATATAACTATACCAAATGCTTTTTGTTTCTGTTGTTCAAAATATCTGTCTCCATACCTTTACCATGAGTTTGTATAGGTTTCTCTAAGTTAGGTGGGTTTCTTTTGAGCAGCATGTGGTTGGTTTCTGTTTTCCAAATTTGGTCCACAAATCTATATCTTTTAAGTGGAACATTTAATCTATTTATGTTAAAAGTTAATATTGTCATGTGAGGTTTTGTTCTTGTCATTATGTTAGTTGTTACCTAGCTGGTTTGTAGTCCCAACTGTGTAATTTTTTAATAAGACCTGTGAGTTTTGTACTTTTGCATGTCTTTATGATAGTGAGTATTGACCATCTATTTCCATGTTCAGGACTCCCTGGATCATTTCTTGTGGGGTGAATTCCTAAAGTGGATTTCTAGTGGTGATGAACTTCCTTAGTATTAGCTTGTTTGGGAAAGACTTTATATATTCTTCATTTATGAAGTTTAGTTTAGCAAAATACAAAATATATCTCTAATATATGTTTTTTCAATAAATATGAACTAATCTTTCTTTAAGAACCCTGAAAATAGGACACCAATATCTTCTGGCTTGTACAGTTTCTGCTGAGAAGTCCACTGTTAGTCTTACGAGATTTCCGTTATAGTTGATTAGATGCTTTTCTCTTGCTGATTTTATAATTTTTCCCGTTCACATTGACTTTAGATAGCCTGATGACTATATGTTTGTAGAAGTTCATCTCGCAATGCATCTTCCTGGTGTTATCTGAGCCTCTTGTATAAGGATTTCTATGTCTCTAGCAAGAGGGCAAGAGGAGATAAATTTTCCTCAAAAAGGTTTTTTTAGCTTTTTCTTCTCCCTCAAGAATATCTATAACTCTTAAGTTTTCTCATTTTTTAGAACGTCATTTTTCTCAAAACCTTTGCTCATTAAAAAATGTTATTTGCTCTTTATTTTTGTCTGACAGGGTTAATTGGAAAGACCTGTCTTCAAGCTCTGAGAGCAAGTTTTTCTGCTTGATGTAATCTGTAATTAAATCTTTCAACTATATTTTGTAATTCTTCAATGAATTTTTAATTTCCATAAGTTCTATTTGTTTTTTAAAAAATATTTTTAGTACATTTTTCATTCATATCCTGAGTTTTTTTTCTAATTTCTTTGTGTTGCTTTTCAACTTTCTCTTGGACTCCATTTAGCTACTTTAAAATAAATATTTTAAATTCTTTGGTATTTCAAAGATTTTATTTTGGTTAGGACTTATTGCTGAAGAGTTAGTGTGATCCTTTGCGAGTGTTGTAATACGCTGTTTTAAATCATACTTCCAGAAATGTTTCAGTGGTTTCTTCTCATCCAGATGAACTATCCCTTCTTATTTTTAAGTCCAGTTTCCAACAGACAGGATTTTTTTTTTCCCTTTGAGAATATGACTACGATGTATGTTGTATAGGGCTATTTGGTTTAGGTTCTGGGTTCTTTCAGTGGTAAAGACTCTGTTTGAGTACCTTGGTTAGAGATAACTTTTGTATGATGGCTTTCTTAATTGCTGGTTGTAGTAGTTATGTACTGGGTGTATGACGAGGCTTACTGCCTCCTGAAGGGCTGGTATGGAGGACTACGCAGAAAACTAACCTTGTTCTGCATCATGCCCTAGTGTCAGCATTTTGCACTGGGCTGTGCAGTTCAACATTCAGGACAGTAGGTGGCACGGACAGGTAAGAGCCAGCTGCAGCAGAGGCAGATGAGCCTATGCTTGTCACTGTTTATGGGAGACTCTCTGTTGCCCCAAGGAATGGACTGATCTGTGAAAGGTACAGTGGTCTGAGGAGCTGGGGACAAAGCGGGATAGATCTGTACCACTAAGCTCACCCTTGGATGCTCCAAGGATGAGCACAAGCACCAGCCCTGACAGGGGTGTCAGGGGAAGACCCTGGGGAGATACCCGTAGCTTGTCTTTCTTGCAAGCCTGGCTTCATTGGGCACATGACCAGTGGAGTTGTAGCCACCCCCTAATACCCCTACAATGTCCGTCCTCTGGTGTGTCTACACCAGTCTCCTTTGCGAGTGACCACAGCTATGAACACAGAATTGGATCCACGGGACATGTTCCCCTCTCTACATCCGTGCCCAAGCGCTGGGACCATTGGGCTCCTGGGATGGATCTATACTCCTCCCTTGCAGAGCCAAACACCGCGTCTGCGTGTCTGCTGGAAGTGGCGTAGTCATTTTCAGCCCACAAGCAGGTTGCTCTTGCACACAGGAAAGTGAATGCTACAGTCTTCTTTGCCACAAGGGGTGTTCCTTTGTTGCACTTTCCATTAGGAATAGCCTCCCTGGTGGTTAAACTATTGGGAATGCTGTAACTCCTTTGGGTCCAGCCAGCTATGGGTGACTGCCACATCCAAGCAGGTGACAGGGAATATTTGTGCGGCTCTGGTGTTATGGGGACAGAGGGCTGAGGTTCCTGGGTAGGAAACAGTCCCCACATGAGTGCACTGCAGGCATGAAACCTACCACTGCAGCTCAGGCCCAAGGGGAAGGCAGATGACCCTATTCAACTAGTAGTTTGGTGTAATGCCCTCAAGAAGTTCCCAAATCTCCACTCACACCAGTGTGTGTGTTCACGAAGACAGAAGAGCTCTCTGATGGCTTGGATCCACACGGTGAGCTGCAGGGAGCCCAGAAGACTCCTACCTACACTTTCTATGAGGTCCCACAGGGTCCTAGTCAACCTTTGTCAGGCTCTTGCTTCTGTCTTTTTCCATGCTTTGGCTTCTCTCCATGGTTTCTCTATGACGCTCCTGCACCCTCTCTTAAATATTTTTCAAGTTATGATCATTTACCTGTAACTTTGGTTCTTCTTTCTGAGGAGAACTTGTGTCCAAACTCCTTAGTCAGTCATCTTGTTTTCAAAAAGCCCCAATTCTGGTCTATATGCACTTTTCTTTTTTAATATGAGAGAGTAATTTCATGTTTTGAGTAAAAAAAGTAATATTAAATTTCATTAATGTCAGTGATTAAAACTAGATTCATTGTAAATAAGTTGAATTTACAAATTAATTTTTAGAACAGATATATTTCAATACCATAACATTTATAATAAAGTTCCATTTCAATTTAGACAGCATATAAAACATAATATGTAGCATTCTTTACAGGGAAAAGGATTTATCTGATGCCCCTCTGTATGACCCAATATCAACCTCACTTTATTGTGGCATATGTAAAATTAACTTTGGCAATGATTAATTATATATTCTCATGAAATTATTTTACCTTTTTCAAGAAAGAGAATGCGAACTTCCTAAAATAGATGTACACTTAGTTCCTGATCGCAAGAAAGACCAGTATAAAGTTGGAGAGGTGTTGAAATTCTCCTGCAAACCAGGATTTACAATAGTTGGACCTAATTCCGTTCAGTGCTACCACTTTGGATTGTCTCCTGACCTCCCAATATGTAAAGGTGAATGCTTATCTTACAATTGCTGAAATAAGAATTAGAACTTTGAATACCAACTTTTTTCTTATTAATTTTGTTTGGGCTCCCATTGCCTGTAATCTAATGAATTAAGTCAAATATTTGCCTGTGAAGGACATGTATTGAGTACTGAATACCTGAGATTCAGTCACTTAAGTTAATCTCCACTGTTTCTTGAACGATGTGCTGGAAGTATTCCCAGACACACAGGTGTTGTCGGTCTTAGTCTACTTTAGGTTTATGTTTCTATAAAGGAATAACTGAGTCTGGATGATTTGTAAAAATGTTTTATTTGGCTCACTATACTCATGACTATAAAATTCAAGATCGGGCATCTGCATTCAGTGAGAGCCACAGAATGCTGGTAGAAAGGGAAGAGGAGCCACTGTGTCCAGAGAACACATGATGAGAGAGGAAGCAAGAGAGAGAGCAGGGCAGTGACAGGCTCTTTTTAAGAACCAGCTCTTCCAGGAGCTAATAGAGTGAGAACTCACCCTGAGAGGGGGCATTCATCTGTTCATGAGAGATCCATACCCATGATCCAAACATCTCCCATTAGACCCCACCTGAAACACTGGGGATGAAGTTTCAACATGGGGTTGGAGGTGACAAACATTTAAACCATACTAGTGGCTGACAATGGAGGGATTTCTTTGTTAATTTTCATTTTGCTTGAAATGTCAACATCCATTCTGGACATTTTATATAGTGTGGGCTGCAACTTAAGTTTCACCGGGTGTGTCTAAACAATATTTAAGCAGCTTATATTCAATTCAGTTGCTTGTATTGATTAGTCAAACTTTATGTTGATCAAATGCTTGCCTCAGTTATGATATTTTTCCAAAATGTTATGATAAAATGTTTCCATGAAATGTAAAAATTAACATGATTTTCATAACCACATTTGCTAATTGGTTTTCTTGCATCTTTAAGATATCTAGAAGTCTGAGCATATTTTAACATTTTAATATACCTTCAATATGACAATTTAGTATAAGTAATACAATATGAACACCATTCTTGATTGTTTAGGATGCTATAATAAGTTACATAATGAAGAATACATGAATAAAAGAAGAAAATCTTTCCATTTTACTGAATTTTTATATTGTAAAACAGACAATTTAACCATTATTTACATAGTATTTCTACTATAGAGCAAGTACAATCATGTGGTCCACCTCCTGAACTCCTCAATGGGAATGTTAAGGAAAAAACGAAAGAAGAATATGGACACAGTGAAGTGGTGGAATATTATTGCAATCCTAGATTTCTAATGAAGGGACCTAATAAAATTCAATGTGTTGATGGAGAGTGGACAACTTTACCAGTGTGTATTGGTAATGTATAAAATATTAATATTTAAACTTGTCAAAACTTTTGTATTTTGTATCTAAAACACATACATCATGTTTTCACAATAAACTTTTTTTGTAAAATTTACATAGTGGAGGAGAGTACCTGTGGAGATATACCTGAACTTGAACATGGCTGGGCCCAGCTTTCTTCCCCTCCTTATTACTATGGAGATTCAGTGGAATTCAATTGCTCAGAATCATTTACAATGATTGGACACAGATCAATTACGTGTATTCATGGAGTATGGACCCAACTTCCCCAGTGTGTGGGTGAGAATACCCTTCTTAAATCAACATTTAACAAAGTTTAATATTTTTATTGTAACAACAATAATTGCAACTATATTTTTGAAATTTACAGATATGCCTCAACATTTCCAGTCTTCAATATGAGACCAATCTTTTGCATATTGCTTATAATTCAATATGTGTCTAGAAAGAAAAAATAAAGCTAGTAATATAATTTTATGAATCTTTCTGCGTCTGATAACAGTATTGTTTATATTTAAAAGTGTGAAGCAACATTTTACTTACAAAAATTGTCATGTGAGGCCAGGGTGGTTGCTCACGCCTATAACCTCAACACTTCAGGAGGCCAAGGCAAGAAGATTGCTTGAGGCCAGGAGGTAGACACTAGTGTGGGCAATATAGCAAAAGCCCATCTCTATAAAAAAAATTTTGTAATTAGTTAAGGTGTGGTGGTGCATGCCTGTAATCCAGCTACTTGGGAGGCTGAGGAGGAATGATTGCTTAAGGCCAGGAATTCGAGATTGCAGTGAGCTCTATTGTGCATTCCAGCCTGGGCAACAGAGTAAGACTCTTTCTTTAAAAAACAAAAATATTAAAAAATTATCATATGATTAAATATGAGTACTAATTACTGAGAAATTATAACAGTTTTATATAAAATATAAATATTATTGTTATTGTATGGTATTCCTTTTTAGGCACTGAGAAGCAAAGAAACAAAGTTGACAAAATACCTACTTACTACTCTCCCATAGGATTCTTTTCTCTCTTAAAGCTTCCAAAAGTGATAATTTTTCAGTTTGTTCCATATCAGCCAAAATAAGTGAATGTGCTGCAGGGTTGGTGGGCCACAGGCCCTCTACATCAGTGGTATAGCTGAGTGGCATGAGGTAGTCAGGGACTGAGTCAGGACGTAAATCTCATTGACGGACTTCACACTGTAAATCTCATGTCTTGATCAGCAAGAAGGCAAGGTGATTCACTTACAGTGTGACTTGAGATGTACAATCTTTAAAATCATTTTGCCTCTTTGATGACTAACCGGGAGGATCTTGGGGACCCTCATTCACTTTTCTCTAAACTGAGATTTTTCCTAAAGTTTTCCTGGGTCCTGAATTCTAAGAGTCCTAATGTCCAATCATACTTATTTATCCAATGAAATATCCAATGATATTTTGTATTTCCCAAAGAATAAAATGTCTTCTGATAGGTATCTCTAACATTTCAGCGACAGAATACAGGGCTTATATTTTGACATAATAGCATTTTGATGCAATGTGATCAGGAATAACTTGGTTGGTGAAATTTATAATGATTAAGTCATAATTTTACCATGCTAATACTATTTACTTTATAACTATTTTTATGTAATAGTTGGTTTGATTCCTATCATTTGAATTTTCATAAAAATATATTTATTTTATAGCAATAGATAAACTTAAGAAGTGCAAATCATCAAATTTAATTATACTTGAGGAACATTTAAAAAACAAGAAGGAATTCGATCATAATTCTAACATAAGGTACAGATGTAGAGGAAAAGAAGGATGGATACACACAGTCTGCATAAATGGAAGATGGGATCCAGAAGTGAACTGCTCAAGTAAGCTCTTATTTTGTTTTCAGAAATGTATTCTATTTCTCATTTGGAAAAGTAATAGGTATGTGTGTCTTTTAAAAACTTTAGCTATTTATTATTACAAATGCTACTGAATAAGGCAGGTAAACTAGAAACTAATGAAAACACTGTTCCTAATATTAACTGTGCCCTGTGAATTAGTTACCTTTAGTATAAACACACACACACACACACGCACACACACACACACACACACACACATAAACCAGGCACTACATGTCATCATTACTGTTGGAGGACCAGTGCTTCTCATTCCTTTTCTTGTCAACAAATGTTCCTGTGCCTATACCTCTGTCTATGCCAATAACTACTATGTATCTGTTTGTATATGTCTGTATGCATGTATGTATGTATCTATATCTATTTCTGTTGATTCATTTATTTAATCTATCTCTCTGTCTATTCATCTACCTGTTCATCTACCTAATCATCTATTTATCTATTAATTTATTGTTCATCTATCTTGAAAAGTTAGTCATATTGACACATACAGTTTCACTTGAATAGTGTAGGTTTTATTCCAGTCTTCTCATATTTTATATCTGTATTTTGCTATCCAATTGTGGGTTTCCTTGCCTCACTAACTTCAATATTTTTACCAATGTCTGCCAGTCTAGGATATACAGAAAGCATTGACAACCAATACAAAAACTAATCTGCTATCAACATTTCAATATGTTTAGAGTCCTTAAAGAAGCAAATAATATATATATGCAGTGAAGTGTACATGTTCTACAGTTTTTTCTTGAAGTTTTATAGTTTTAGCCATTCTATATAGATTTATTAAAATGATCGTATAGTTATCGTCCTTTCTGTTAATGGGATGCATCACCTTTACTAATTTGCCTATGTTAAACGACCTTTACATTTCTTGGATTAAACCCATTTGATCATAGTGAATGATCTTTTTAATGTGCTGTAGGATTTGTTTTCCTAGTATAGTGTTGAGGGGTTTTGTACCTATGTTCATCAGGGGATTTTGCCTGTAGTTTTCTTTTTGCGTTGTGTCCTTGTCTGGTTTTGGTTCCAGAGTAATGTTGGGCCACTAGAATGAGTTAGAAAAATGATCTCCTCATCAAATTTTTGGAGTCGTTTTAGAAGAATTGGTATTAGTCCTTTCTAAAATGTTGTTATAATTCAGCAATGAAGCCATCAGGTCTTGGATTTTCTTTGATGGGAAACATTTTATTACTGACTTAATCTGTTGCCTCATGATTACTCTGTTCAGATTTTCTATTTCCTCTGAATTAATCGTCGTAGGCTGTGTGTCTAGAAATTTATCCATTTCTTCTAGGTTATCCAATTTGTTGGCATATAATTGCTAATAACGGTCTCTCATTATACTTTGTATTTTTTTGATATCAGTTGTAATATCACCCTTTTCATCTCCGATCTTGTGTTTCTTTAAGCCGTATCTCTCTTTTTTAGTTATTCTGGTTAAAGCTTTGTCAATTTTTGATTATCTAAAAAAAAACTATTTTCATTGATATTTTGTACTGCTTTGGGGGCTCTATTTTACTTACTTTTACTCTGATCTTTATGATTTCCATCCTTCTACTAATTTTGGAATTGACTAGTTTGTTCATGTTTTTCTGCTTCTTTGAGGTGTACTACTAGACTGTTTATTTGAGTTCTTTCCACTTTCTTGATATAGGCAATTATTCCTAAAAACATCCATCTTAGAACTACTTTTGCTGCATCCCATAAGTTTTGCTACGTTTTGTTTCCATTCTCCTTTACTGAAAATATTTTTAAATTTATTTAAAATGGTTTGACCCTATGATTGTTTCAGAGCATATTGTCTAATTTTCACCTAATTTAAAATTTTCCATAGTTCCTCCTATTATTGATTTCTCATTTCATACCTTTGTTGTCAGAAAAGTGACTTGATATGATTTCAGTCTTCTTGAATTTGATAAGACTTGTTTTGTGGCCTAACATATAACATATTCTGGGGAATATTCTGTGCGCATTTGAGAAGAATATGTGTTTTTTTGTTATGTGGAATGTTCTTTATATGTCTGTCCAATCTATTTGGTATAAATTATTGTTTAAGTTTAATGTTTCCTTATTGATATTCTGTCTGGATGATCTGTCTCAACGTTGAAAGTAAAATATTGATATCCCCTACTATTACTGTGTTGCAGTCCACATCTCCATTCAGATTCCTAAATGTTTCCTTTATATATTTAGTTGCTTTGATGTTGGGTGCATATATAGGTTTATAATAGTTGTATTATCTTGACAAATTGACCCCACTATCATTATATAATAACTTTCTTTGTACCTTTATACAATTTTTCCCTTGTCTATTTTGTCTGAAATGAGTATAACTACCCCTGTTCTCTTTTAGTTTTTATTTTTATAGGTTTTTTTCCATGCCTTCACTGCAATCTGTGAATTTACGTTACAGTGAAGTAAGTCAATTGTAAGCAGTTTATAATTGGATATTAATTTTTGATTTATTTAGTCATTCTATGCCTTTTGATTATAGAATATATTCCATTTCCATTTAAAGTAATTTTAGATAGGTAAGGATTTATAGTGGTAATTTGTTAATTGTGTTCTGGTTGTTTTTAAAATTCTTTGTTTCTTTCTTGCTTGCTTTATTCATGGTTTGATGACTTTCTGTAGCCATATGCTTAGGATTTTTTCTTTTAATCTTTTGTGTATCTATTAGATGTTTTGCTTTTGGCTATCCTTAGGCTTGCATAGCATACCTTATAAAAGGCTATTTGAAGTTGTAGTTATCCTTAGGCTTGCATAACATATCTTATAACAGGTATTTTAAGCTGATAGGAACTGAATTTTGATTACATATAAAATATCTAAATTTTACTCTGCTCCTCCCATGTTTTCTATTTGATCACATGCTTTGCATCTTTCAATAATTCGTATCTCTTAACAAAGTTTGTAGCTTCAGCTGTTCTTACCACTTTTGCCTTTTAACCTTTATGCTAGCTGTATTTACCCATCACTATTACAGTATTAGAGTGTTTGAATTTCATATTGTGCTTACTTTTACTAGTAAGTTTTATACTTTAACATCTTCATGTTACTAATTAGCATCCTCTTCTTTCACCTTCAAGAACTCCCTTTAACATTTCTTGTAAGGCAGGAAAGTGTCCTTATGCTCTCTCAGCTTTTTTTCAATCTCAGAAAGCCTTTATCACTCCTTTGTTTTTAAGACAGAATAGTGGAATCTAGAATTATTCCTTGGCAGTTGTTTTCTTTCAGAATTTTGAGTATATCATTCCACTTCCTTATGGCCTGCAAGGTTTCTGTTGAGTAATCCACTGATAGTCTTGTGGAAATTCCATTTTATGTAACCATTCACTTTTCATTGGCTTTTTTCAATACTTGGTCTATAACTTTTGATAATTTGATTGTGTTATGTCTTAAAGTGACTATCTTTCATTAAACTTATTTGATTTCCTTTGAGATTTCTGGGTGTGGGTTTCTATTTCTTTCCCAGTTGTTGAAAGTTTTCTGTCATTATTTTTTTGAATATATTTTCTGTATCGTTGTGTTTCTTTCTGTTTTTAACATGGTGATAATGCATACGTTATTCCACATGGTAGTATTCCATCTGGATCTTAAGCTATCTTCACTTTTATTTATTTATGTGTTTATTTTGGTTCTCAGATTTGGTGATTTTCAGTAATTTGACTTCAAGTTCACTAATTCCTTCTTCTCCTTCATCTAGTCTGCTGATGAATACCTCTTTAAAACTTTTCCGTTCAGTTATAGTATTCTCAAATTTGTGATTTTTGTTTGGTATTTTAAAAATACTTTCTACCTCTTTGTTGAAGTAGTTAATTTGTTTTTGCATTGCTCTCTTGGTCTCAGTGAGTATCTTTATGACCATTATTTTGAATTCTTTCTTGAGTAAAACACCTATATCCACTTCCCTCAGGTCAATTTCTGGAGACTCATCTTGTTCTTTTGTTTGGAGTTATGATATCTTGTTTCTTTATTTTCTTTAACTCACAGTGTTTCTATGCAATAGATAAGACAATGGCCTTTCTCAGTCTTATCAGACTGGCTTCATATAGGAGAAAGACCTCACTAATTTTTCCAGCCAGAGATTTTCATGTGCCTCTCAAGTCTTTGTGCGGACTGCTGTCTCTTATTTTTTGTGGCCCCCTGGAGGTTAGAATGTGCCACATCTTTTCAGGACCTGGGACCAACAAGTTAGGAGCCAGGAGGTCTAGATGTAGCTGAAAATATTGAAGACTTGGCTGTGTATTTACTTACTTCTATTTTCATAGTGAAAGTGAATGTGCGTGTTTATCTCCCACTCTCTCTCTGTATTACACCAAGTAAAGAATCTGTGGCTAATACCTGTACTAATATTCAGGCTGCATGCTCTGATCCTGAAGAGGTATCTGCTTGAAATGAGTCCATTGTATTACCAGCTTTTTGTATTCTGTGATGTAGGGCCTTTCAGGAATGCAGATCTCTATCATCTCCCAGTGTGAGTTTGTTAAGGAGACGATCTCTTGAGTTGGAGCTATAGAAGTGATGACCTTTGAATGCATGGCTAAACTTGGTCCAGGAAGAATGGATAAATCTGAATTTATCATTGGGGCGAGACTCATGAAGTGCCAAACTTTGGCTTTGGCTGCGGGAAGATTATTTTTTGTTTGCGTCATTAGATACCCTGTGCAAGCTCGATAGAGGCCAGTTCATTAAGTAGCCAGTGGAAGTATGTGCCCTAAGCCCTTTCGACAGAGAAATGGAAATTGAACTTTCTCTTTCCTTTTCTGCACTGCTCCAATTTGGCATAGCGCCTGGAGTTTTTACATAGCATTTTAAGACCATCTATTTGCTTTACGATCTATGGAGACTGGTATTTTTCTAATATCTGCTGTGACAGTTAAGAGTTTTAAGAGGAGTCCTTTTGGAGGTAACTGTAAAGGTTGTAGCACTTGATGGATGACACAAACCTTTTTGAGGATAAACAGGGGAGCTGCATTTTAAAAACCTTTTCTCTGCACTGCTCTTGGGCAATGAAGCTCCTGGAAGTGCTTACACACCCATATAAAACGCCATTTCTTTTTTCAGTGGTCTAGATAGACTCTGGATATATTTTGTGCCCTCTACTCCCAGAACTAAGAGCTTTAGAATACAGTCCCTGAATGAAAGTTGTAAAAGTTAGGGCACTCAAGTTTGTGTGGACAAACTTGTTCTAAGAGTGATTAATGTACCTGGATGTATCACTGGGGTGAGCCACGGGAACCGGCTAGAGAAGTGCCTGATGCAAGTTCATTAGAATCCAGACTGCAAGTTTTTTAGAATTCAGACCTCTAAGTAGCCACAGGAAGAATATATCATAAAACTTCTCGGGAGAAACAGGGGACTGTTTTTTCAGCCCCTTCTCTGAACTGCTATTAAGGAATGAAGTTTCTGGAAGCTCTTCAGCACTTGTATCATACCACCATTTTTCCTGTGATCTAGAGAGACTCTCATGTGTTTAATCTCCTCTGCTTCCAAAATTAGTGAATTAAAGGCCAAAACACAGGATGCTTTATGTGAGATCCAAAAACTTCTCCACAAGGAGAAACTGGGTTTTTGAGATTCCTTTTCTAATTGTGTGGTGCAGTGAACAAGGCTGGGGTCCATGCTCCATTGTGTTGCAACTTTTCTTACTTGTTCAATGTGAATGTTGTCTTTGTTGCCTGTTAAGTAGGAGTCCCTTTACTGGTCTTTCATTTTCTTTCAGGAGGAGTTCATTTATGAATAGATGTTTTTTTAGGACATTCTTGGGTGGAAGAAGAGTCAGGAGCTTCCACTTCTGCCATTTTGCTGACATCACTCCCTGCCTAGCTCTTTATTTTACCCCCAGGAAACTAGAGTATTGCAGGTATCGTTAAGTGCTCCTACACAAGCAAGAGAGAAACCTGTACTTTAGGATGCTCCCCCAAAAGCTAGGATGATAGATGCTTAGTTCACTCTTATCTTTCCTCTCTGAGGGAGAAGCAGTCAAAATATATTGGTCTCTGTTTACTTTAGGGGGTTGCAGGAGGCTTTGAACTGGTTTCTTGATTTCTCATAAAGGGAATTGTTTCCAGTATCGTCATTGAATCAGTGTGCCTGTGGGGGGAAGGGAGAGTGGTGGCTTCCTATACTGGCATCGTGCTGATGTCACTGCCCTCTTTCATCCTCAATATTGATCATTTTTTAAATCTTGATCATTGTTTTTACTTTGTCCTCAATTTTATTAATATTTTCAAAAACCAATTGTAATGCCTTTAAATTTTCTCCATTTGCTCTGTATTTTTTAGTTTTATTATGTTTTACTGATTTTAGCTTTGCTAATTTTCTCCCTTCTCTGTGTTTCTTTGTCCGTTTTCTCTTCTTCACTGATTTTACTGTTTTCTTCCTTCTGATGACTTCAGTTTTAATTTCACTTTTCTCAATCTTAGGGTGAAAAATGAAAACATGGTCATAAACTATCATACTTTGAAAATATAAAACTTTAAAGCTCTATTCTTTTAAGCACTGCTTTAGCTGTGTCCCAGAATGTTACACACGTGTGTGTGTGTATGTTCTATGTGTCGGGAGACAGAGAGAGAGAGTTCATTTTTATTTGATTTGAAATATTTTCTCATTTGTCTTGTGGTTTGTCTGTTGATGATTAATTATATGGAAGTTTATTGTTTAATTTCAAAATATTTGTTTTTTTCTAGATAAGTGATTTTTGCTGGTTTCTAATTTAATTCTCTTGTGAAAGAATACTGGGAAAATTTCAATATTTTGAAACACTCAGTTTTTTAATTGCTCAGCACATAGTCTACCTTGCTAACGGTTCTATTTACAAATAAAAATATGCATACACACTAAATGTAGAATTAGGCTATACTGGGTCACAATGTTCTTCAAATTTATTTGCCATGTCACAAAATGTTAAATAATCTCTTTCTTAATTGTTTACTATCAGCAAATACTTTAAATTAAATAATAATGATTGTGGTACACATTAAAATCAATGGGATACAGCTGAAACAGAGATGTATTTAGCATTATAACATGCATCAGAAAAAACAAATAAAAAAATAAAAGCAACAGGTACTACAATCTAGAAGGTAGACAGGAATGTACACCCAACAAAAATAGAAGGAAAGAATCATTCAAGCATAAATAGTTGACCATTAATCTTAAGAAAAATAAATTGATGAGAATGTTAAAAACATGTCAAAATATTGAAAAACAGAAATAAGCAAAATACTTTTGATAAATATGAAATACTTTATCATAAGCGAAAAAAGAAAACTCGACATTATCAATAACCTTTAATGAAGTTTTGTTCATCCAAACGTCTCCCTGAATTGATAACAAAATGTCAGACACTTAAAATCATTGCCATGATTTCCTATAGTACGATTACATAAAGCTTTAGGTGAAGTAGAGCATACACTATGATAGGAGAAAGGAAAATCAAGGGATTATAGAATGCTCCCAGATGCTTCTAAACTCCCCCGTCAGTCAAACAGGACATGCTTCATTTTCATATTATGAAAAAATGAGATATTTCTGATGTATCGCAGTTTAACAGGAGCTTAGCTGTGAGTTTACAAAGGTGTCTTTATATGTGATTATACAACTAAAGCCAGGCTGTGCAATGCATTAAACTGGGTGCATAACATCCATTTAAATATCCCTAAACAGTACAGGTAAGCTAGTAAATAAAAGCTCTAGGGGAGTTTCAAGTTTTAAATAGCACACTATAAATCACTAGTGATTATATTTAATGCTTATATTGGTCAAGTGTCAGTACCAAATTGATTATTAACTACATATAATTCTACTTCTGGCTAATCAGATTCCATTGGCAGAAAATTTGTGAGTGTTTTAATCCAATCCTGATACATTTGATTATAGATATCAATTTTTATTTAATGCATGTAATTAAGAGTGTGTAATTCCATTAAAACATTCTAAAGGCTCAAAATAATTAAAATCAATATTACATAAATTATGCAAATTTATTAAACAAAGAATATATGAAAAAACTACAAGAAAGTCTATGAGAATACAAGCCAAAAGTTCTATTGTTTAATGTAACTGTTACACAGCTGAAAAGTATAATATTTGCATACAAAAACATCATAATTAATATGTGATAATTTATGAAACAGTTATTGATCTTTCTATTTATTCTATTTTAATCATATAAATTATTTTTCATCAAAAATTCTAATTTTAATATTTTTATTTTTTATTTTTTATTATAACATTAATTATATTTTTAATATTTTTTAGTGGCACAAATACAATTATGCCCACCTCCACCTCAGATTCCCAATTCTCACAATATGACAACCACACTGAATTATCGGGATGGAGAAAAAGTATCTGTTCTTTGCCAAGAAAATTATCTAATTCAGGAAGGAGAAGAAATTACATGCAAAGATGGAAGATGGCAGTCAATACCACTCTGTGTTGGTCAGTAGTGTATAATTTGTTTTACATAATTCTTTCAAATGAGGTTAATATTCTCTTGTGCTTCGTGTAAACAAGAGAGAAGTTCTTTCTCTGTGTCTATTACTTTATCCTGACAAAATAAATTAGGACCTAGGCACATTAATCAATCACCACTCTTTCAGTTTTTTGAACAAAATACAGCCAAAATCTTTGGAATATTATGTAAATGTCAGATAACATTTCCATTCATGCATATTTTAATCCTTGTGATGAACAAGACATGAATGAAGATGATTATTGAACAAGAGGATGGTAACATAGATATGGTGGAGGAATATATCTTTGCGAGTTTCTAATATGTTTTTGTTTTTAAATAATTTTATTTGTTCAAATTATACTCACTTTAAAATCCGAAATAGTATTTAGTTTTATATTTCAATTTAAGTATTTTATTTGTTTTTAACCCTTTGATTTTCATTCTTCATTTAGAAAAAATTCCATGTTCACAACCACCTCAGATAGAACACGGAACCATTAATTCATCCAGGTCTTCACAAGAAAGTTATGCACATGGGACTAAATTGAGTTATACTTGTGAGGGTGGTTTCAGGATATCTGAAGAAAATGAAACAACATGCTACATGGGAAAATGGAGTTCTCCACCTCAGTGTGAAGGTTAGGCCAATATGAATACTCAATTTCTGTTTATAGTAGAATTCATAAAAATAATCTCTTGTTATCAAAGTGAGGGGAATAATTGAGATTACTGCATATATAAAATAATTTATATATTATACCATTAAAATACTTTTTGCATGATTGAATCTATTCTATTTATGTTAATTTTATTTGTTCATGATAGAGTCACTTTGTATTCTGGCATTAAAAAATAATATCTAGTGAAATTAAACCTATCTGTATTATTCTCATGCTGCCATAAAGAACTGCCCAATACTGGATAATTTATACATACAAAAAAAGGTTTAATTGGCTCACTGTTCTGCATGGCTGAGGAGGTCTTAGGAAACTTACAATCATGGTGGAGGGAGAAGCAAACGCATGAAGACAGGAAGGAGAAGTTCTGACCAAAGGGAAAAGGCCCTTATAAAACCATTAGATCTCATGAAAACACACTCACTATCCTGAGAACAGAAGCATGGGGATAACTGCCCCCATTATTCAACTACTTCCTACTGAGTCCCTCCCACAAAACATGGAGATTATGGGAAGTACAATTCAAATTGTTATTTGGTTGGAGATACAGTCAAATCCTATCATTCCACCATGGCCTATCCCAAGTCTATGTCCTCACAATTCAAAACACAATCATGCCTTCCCAACAGTCCTCCAAATCTTAACTTATTCCAGCATTAACTCAAAAGTTCATATCCAAAGTCTCATCTGAGACAAGGCAAGTCCTCTCTGCTTATGAGCCTGTAAAATCAAAAGCAAGTTGGTTATTTCCTAGACACAATGGGGGTACAGGGATTGGGTAAATGCTTCCATTCCAAAAGGGAGGAAATGGCTGAAACAAAGTGGCTATATGCTTGATGGAAGTCTGAAATTTAATAGGGCAGTCATTAAACCTTAAATTTCCAAGATTATCTCCTTTGACTCCATGTCTCACATTCAGGTCATGCTGATGCAAGAGATGGGCTCCCACAGCCTTGTGCAGATGTGGCTTTGTCCCCCTCCTGGTTGCTTTCATGGGCTGGCATTGAGTGTCTGTGGCTTTTCCAGGAACATAGTGCAAGCTATTGATGGATCTACCATTCTGGGGCTTCAATGATTGTGGTCCTGTTCTCACAGCTCCACAAGGCAGTGCCTCAGTGGGGACTCTATGTGAGGGCTCTGACCCCACATTTCCTTTCCTCAATGGCCTAGCAGAGGTTCTCCATGTGGGCTCCCCCCTGCAGCAAACTTCTGCCTGGACATCCAGGTATTTTCATATATCCTCTGCAACCTAGTTGTAGGTTCCCAAACCTCAATTCTTGACTTGTGTGCACCCACAGGCCCAAGACTACATGTAATCCACCAAGGCTTGGGGTTTCACCCTTTGAGGCAATGGACCAAGCTGTTTGTTGGCCCCTTTTAGCCACAGCTGGAGCTGAAGCAGCTGGGATACAGTCCTGAGGCTGCATAGAGCAGCAGGGACCTGATCCAGGTCCATCAAACCATTTTTCCCTCCTGGGCTTCTGGGCCTGTGATGGGTGGGGGTGTCATGAAGGCCTCTGACATGCCCCGGAGATATATTCCCCATTGTCTTGGTGATTAACTTTGGCTCCTTATTATTTTTGCAAATTTCTGCAGCAGGCTTGAATTTCTCCCCAGAAAAATGAAGTTTTATTTTCTATTGCATTTACAAGCTGCACATTTTCCAAACTTTTATGCTCTGCTTCCTCTTGAGCTCTTTGCCACTTAGAAGTTTATTCTGCCAGATACCCTAAATCATCTCTCTCAAGTTCAAAGTTCCACAGATCTCTAAGGCAGGGCAATATGCCACCAGTCTCTTTGCATAGCAGGAGTGACCTTTACTCCAGTTTCAAACAAGTTCCTCACCTCATCTTCATCTGTGACCACCCCATCCTGGACTTCATTGTCCATATCACTGTGAGTATTTTGGTCAAAGCCATTCAACAAGCCTCTAGGAAGTGCCAAACTTTCCCACATCTTGTCTTCTGAGCCGTCCAACTCCCTAGGAAGTTCCAAACATTTTAACATTCTCCTGTCTTCTTCTGACCCCTCCAAATGGTTCTAACCCCTGCCTGTTATCCAGTTCCAAAGCTGCTTCCACATTTTTGGTTATCTTTACAGCAGCACCCTACTCTCTGCAGTACCAATTTACTGTATTAGTCTGTTATCATGCTGCTATAAAGAACTACCCAAGACTGCATAATTTATAAAGGAAAGAGGTGTAATTGACTCACAATTCCACATGGCTGGGAGGCCTCAGGAAACTTACAACCCTGGTGGAAGGGTAAGCAAACATGTCCTTCTTCACATGATGACAGGAAGGAGAAGTGCAAAGCAAAGACAGAAAAGCTCCTTATAAAACCATCAGATCTCAGGAGAACTCACGCAGTATCATGAGAACAGCAGCAGAGGAAAAATCGCCCTCATGATTCAATTTTCTCCCACCAGGTCCCATCCACAACACGTGAGGATTATGGCAATTGCAATTCACGATGAGATTTGGGTGGGGACACAGCTAAACCTGTTCTGCAAGTTGTCATGTTTGCTTTGCCACTATGTTTTAAAACTTCTTTTACATTCTTCCCACAATGCCCCTTCTTATTTCCTACAATATATTATGTTTTACCTGGAATCGTTAACTCTCAATGTGTATCTTATTATCACTAGTAAGTTTACAGAGGCATTGTTTACCAGGCATAGATGATCTCTTTCTGAAATGTATTGCTATTTTTAGTTTCAAGTCCTTCTTCAGTTGGTGACAGTCCGATAGACAGACAGACACCAGAAGGCTAGTTTTAGGAAACATTTGTGTTACTTCTCTGTGATGTCATAGTAGCTCCTGTATTGTTTATTTTCAAATAAAACTACTTAATATTAAAACAGGCATATAAAATTAAATTTATGAGTTAGTGAAACCTGAATTCATTCTTTTTTTTTTAGGCCTTCCTTGTAAATCTCCACCTGAGATTTCTCATGGTGTTGTAGCTCACATGTCAGACAGTTATCAGTATGGAGAAGAAGTTACGTACAAATGTTTTGAAGGTTTTGGAATTGATGGGCCTGCAATTGCAAAATGCTTAGGAGAAAAATGGTCTCACCCTCCATCATGCATAAGTATGGTGCATTGAATTTTATTATATGTATGATAAATATTCTTCATTCAAAGTGTAAGTGGTACCAATAAGAAAGTAAACAGGGACTCTAGAAATTCATAAGGTTTTCTTGAATATTCTGGACTGCTGTGGGAAATTATAGCTGTAGTAATTAAAACATTTGACATTATAAGCCAAATTAGTTCATTTTCACATCATCTTGTGTGAACTTTAAGCATCCTCTGATGTATATTCTCAGACTTCTCATCTCTGTTCTTAGGGCACAGCTGCCTCTACTCATCAATCTCCACATTATTCAATCTTCTGTCAGTTTATCAACAATCTGCCTATAAGTACATTTTCTGAAATATTTTAAAAAATCATTATAAGTATTTCACATTTGATAGAAGCAAAAAATTTGGAAATGCACACACAATATAGGTGGTGTATTATTCCGTTTTCACACTGCTGTAAAGACCTTCCTGAGACTGGGTAATTTATAAAAGAAAAAATTTTAATTGATCACAGTTCCTCATGACTGAGGAGGTGTCATGAAACTTACCATTACCGCTGAAGGGGAAGCAGGCACCTTCTTCACAAGGTGGCAGGAGAGAGAGGAGTGAGTGAAGGAGGAACTTCTAAACAGTTATTAAATCATCATATCTTGTGAGAACTCACTCACCATCGTGAGAACAGCATGTGGGAAACTGCCACCATGATCCAATCACTTCCCACCAGGTCTCTCTCTCAACACCTGGAGATTATTATTCAAGATGAGATTTGGGTGAGGACACAAAGCCTAACCATATCAGGTGGCAAGTATGGACAAAAATAATGTGAACAAAAAAATGTGTAATCTCAATTGCTACGGCTACCAATATTTCTTCAGTCTTCTAATATCATTTCTATCTTGTATTTTTAATAGATTTAGAAGAATTTAATGTAATTAAGACAAAATGGCTAATATATTTTCTCAAGTTATAAGAAAAATGTTGTACAGTATTCATTGATTCTATATATCGCTATTTTAGAATCCATTACATGTATTGTATGTAACCTATTTTTAAAGATTTGCGGAACAAATACATATTTTTCCTATTTCAGAAACAGATTGTCTCAGTTTACCTAGCTTTGAAAATGCCATACCCATGGGAGAGAAGAAGGATGTGTATAAGGCGGGTGAGCAAGTGACTTACACTTGTGCAACATATTACAAAATGGATGGAGCCAGTAATGTAACATGCATTAATAGCAGATGGACAGGAAGGCCAACATGCAGAGGTACTTTGGTGAATTTTCAAAATTTATTTATATAATGTGTGGGCCCAGCCCAGTGGCTGGCGCCTGTAATCCCAGCACTTTGGGAGGCCGAGGTGGGCGGATCACTTGAGGTCAGGAGTTCGAGACCAGCCTGGCCAACATGGTGAAAACCCGTCTCTACTAAAAATACAAAAAAATAGTGGGGCATGGTGACATGCATCTGAAGTCCCAGCTACTTGGGAGACTGAGGCAGGAGAATCGCTTGAACCAGGGAGATGAAGATTGAAGTGGGCCAAGATCGTGCCACTGCACTCCACCCAGGGTGACAGAGTGAGATTCCGTCTCAAAAAAATAAATAAACCTGAAATAAATAAATATATAAGTACAATTTATTTATATAGAGTGTTTTGGGAATAAAATATAGAATTGTCTCTAACATCATTAAAATGGACATAAATTAAGTTTTTACGGCAGGACAAAGTAGTCGTATGCCTAAAAATAAAAAGATGGAACTGAGTATTTGATGATTAATCTTAGCTCAATAGTTCTCAAAGTGTGGTCGCTAAACCGGTAGCATCATCATCTTCTTGGAGATTGTTTGAAATGAAAATAAAATTCCGTAAGCTCATTCTAGACATCCAGAATCAAAAGTCTCAAAGTAAAACCCTGAAACTGTTTTACCAACACCTCCAGGGAATTCTATTTACACTTCCGAGTGAGAAGCATTGCTATAGTCTATTCACTACACATGGATATGAAACTCTCTGATGAATTTTGCATTGTTCAGCATAATATCCTTAATCATTGGCAATTAAATTATCTGAGGTTATTTTTATTATTATAGGCTTTTTAAAAAAATTTTTCCACATCTCCAATTTGGATCCTTTGATTAACCATTCTTCCTCCTTTTAACTTGGGTAATTTTCAAAATGTGTTTTTAATTCTTTGCTTATTCGCTAAGAAAATGCCTATTTGAGTTTATTTTTAAGAGGCTAAAATGTATAAGCAGGATGATTGCAAACAAAAATCTGGTATCACATAATCTATTTATGCTGACTTTTTGCATTTTATAAATTAATGTTAAATAAATAGAACTGGTAATATTTGTTTACTCAAACTCAAAGAGAGATATCCAGGAAAACTTTCGTTTACACTGGCTTCCAGAAGGGAAAAATAAAGGTCTATCAGTGTTCTAGCGAAGGATGAAGAAGAAATTTAAAACATCAACGCTTGTACCTTACAAAAAATAGTTTCATGTCTTTTCCTCAATATTACATTTAAATTTATTAAAATCAACAAAATATTTGATGAGATTGTCTACTTATTTTAAATTCGTCTTGAAATATATTTGTAACTGTTATCAGTTGATTTGCTACTCAAAATGAACACTAGGTGGAACCACTTCTTTTTTTTCTATTCAGACACCTCCTGTGTGAATCCGCCCACAGTACAAAATGCTTATATAGTGTCGAGACAGATGAGTAAATATCCATCTGGTGAGAGAGTACGTTATCAATGTAGGAGCCCTTATGAAATGTTTGGGGATGAAGAAGTGATGTGTTTAAATGGAAACTGGACGGAACCACCTCAATGCAAAGGTAGAGTATTATATTTCTTTTAACATTTTGGGGGAGTATAGCAGGGTTAAAATATGTTGATTTAAACAAAATGAAGTCATTTTTATTAATAGATTTTTCAAATGCAAATAAAATGACTGATGGTGCTTAAAATTCAATTCTTCCTGTGAACAGAACACAAGTAATAGGGTATATTATTTTCCAGAAAGATTCGACCAAATTGAGAGTTGGAACCTGAAAAACAATACTTTTTAAGCATTACAACACTTAGTTCCTTCTCAGGAATACGTGTAATAAAAGATACATTATGTGCATTTGACAGCCATAAGTGATGTGCATTCTAAGATATGGAATAGGCAGTTGAAGAGAGATCATAGACTGTGATATAAATGTGGGCATCTTCAGTATATGGATTATATTTAAAGGTGTGTGACTGACTGTATTTATAAAAAGAAGTCCGAGCACATAGTCCTGGGTCATTCTAATATAAAGAGATGAAATAAGGGAAACCAAAAAAGGAAATTGTATCTTACTCACCTTTATGTTTTAAAATTAATGTTTTTCTGTATTTTTTTTTTCACTATTTTACTTAGACTCTACCTATGTTTATTATTGAAGTGAGTTTTTGTAGACAGCATATAGTTGGGTCATGTTTACATATCCATTCATCCTTTCATGGCCTGTTAACTGGTGCACTTGGACCATTTACACTTAAAATAATTATTGATATATAGGACTTAAATCTCTGTCGTTTATTTGTTTCTGCCTGTTTCCTCTGGGTTTCAGTCCTATTTCCCTATTCCTCCATTCCCTGTAGGGAAATTATTAAGGAGATTAATTTCGATTCATATGTATTGTTTTCCATTCTATCTCTTTGTATAGCTTTTCTCCTCCTTTTAAAAAGTTGTTGCTCTAGCTAATACTATATATGTAATAATATATTACTGTCTACTGGCACTGACATTTAAATCTACAACTGGAATATGGAAACCTTACTTTCATGTAGATCCATTTACACTCTCCACGTTGTAAGTATAAATGCCACTAGTATTTTCTCTGCATACATTGAGCTCCATATTAAACTCACTTGCTTCAAATATCGAACATAATTGAAAAAACTTATGAGGAAAAAGATATCCTGTTATATTGACTCCTCTGTTTATCCATTCTATTTTTCTATTTTTTCAGGATCCTAAAGTCTCAAGCTCTTTCTTTTATCTGTTTTATTTTAATTTGAAGAATTCCTTTAGTTAATCTTTAGGCATAGGTCTACTGGAGACAAATTCCCTTGGTATCCCTTTCTCTGAGAATGTCTGTATTGATCCCCTTACTTGTAAAAGATCGTGTCACTGGATATCAAATTTGGAGTTGACAGTTCTTTGAACACTTGAAAACCGTGCCACATGGTTATAGATGAAAAACTCAGCATCATTTGAATTGTTGATCCCCTCGAGGAAAAGCATAGTTTTTGTCTAGTTGCTTTCAAGGTATTTTTTTCTTTTTTTAAAGTAGTTTTATTTTAATGTATATTGGTATAAATTCCAATGTTTTTATCCTCTTTGGAGTTCACTCAGCTTCTTAAATATAAGTTTATACCTTATGGTCAAAATGGGAAGTTTTCAGGCATCATTTTATTTATTCATTTTTCCAGCCCAATATCCTTTCTCTTCTTTTTCTGCATCGGCATTATTTGTTGTTGTATTTTTCTGAATGTCTCAGTTCAGTTTTTTGTTTTCAGTTTATTTTCAGAGTGGGTAATTTATATTGCTGTATGTTCAAGTTCATGGATTTATTTGTCTGTCAGCTCCCCATGTATTATTAAGTATATTCAGTGTTTTTAAAAAATTTTTGTCATACTTTTCCATTTTATAATTCCTATGGGATTTTTCGAATATGAAATAAGAAACTTCCTTTGTCATAGTTTTCTATGTTTAGCATGTATTCATTCGGAAAGACATTTCTTAATCCTGGTCTACCATAAGCAGCAATATTTGTTAATGTTTTATGTGTTCTTTCAGTACGGAGAAAAGAACTTAAATATATTACTTTCAGTTTAAAGGGTTAAAATTTCTTCCAGGACTCATTTCTTTCACCAGAAATCACAAAACTGTTGATATTATATACAGTGCTGTGTTTGCGTTTGCCTTATTTGAACTTGTATTTTGATTTGCTCTCACAACAAATCAAGTGATGAAATGATGTTTTTTAGATTCTACAGGAAAATGTGGGCCCCCTCCACCTATTGACAATGGGGACATTACTTCATTCCCGTTGTCAGTATATGCTCCAGCTTCATCAGTTGAGTACCAATGCCAGAACTTGTATCAACTTGAGGGTAACAAGCGAATAACATGTAGAAATGGACAATGGTCAGAACCACCAAAATGCTTACGTAAGTACTTTAATATTCACGTGGCTGGAAAAATCTCTGTGATGAGTCTGATATTTCACTGTTTGTAACAAAATACTCACAGATTATTGAACAACCATTCTGCTGAATGCTTGCCTACCAAATATTTCTGTCAGAAAGTAAAGTTTAGAAATTTTTCTCTTTAGGGCTGGGTGCGGTGGCTCACACCTGTAATCCCAGCACTTTGGGAGGCTGAGGCGGGCAGATCACGAGGTCAGGAGATTGAGGACCATCCTGGCTAACACGGTGAAACCCCGTCTCTACTAAAAATACAAAATAATAATAATAACCGGCATGGTGACGGGCACCTGTAGTCCCAGCTAGTCGGGAGTCTGAGGCAGGAAAATGGCGGGAACCCGGGAGGCGGAGGTTGCAGTGAGCCGAGTTCGCGCCACTGCACTCCAGCCTGGGTGACAAAGCGAGACTCCGTCTCAATAAAAACAACAAAAAAAGTAATTTTTCTCTTTATATTTATATTTTATTTTAAAGCATTTAGTTGACAAATAAAAATATATTTTGATGTTTGACAATATGTTGTTTTGATATATTTATGCTACAAAGATTACCACAAATTAATTAGCACATTCTTCATCACCTATGCTTAGCATTGGGTGTAGGTGGGTGTGTGAGTATGTGTGTGTGTGTTTGTGGTGAGGACACTTAAAATCTGCTTTCTTACCAATTTTCAAATAAACAATACAATATTATTAGCTCTAAATATCACTAGATCTCTATGTTTGATTCCAAGTTCTTATTCATATTATAGCTGAAAGTTTGTACTCTTTGACCAATATCTTAATCAAAAGCAGCAATGATAAGTTCTAAAACGCAGGGATCCTAAAATGACAACTGATGTAATGAATCATTGATAATACACCCCTAATTCTCATACATTAAACATCGAACCTCATTTTCACATCGATTACCATTCTAAGTTTATTCAAATCAATATGATGTTTCTACATAGTTGGTTTGGATAGTGTTTTGAGAAATAATTCCTGAACCATCATATAACATTCTACTTGAAAACCTGAAAGTCTATGAAGATTTGCATACTACTTAATGTTTTATGTTTACTGTTTTTTATTTTCAGATCCGTGTGTAATATCCCGAGAAATTATGGAAAATTATAACATAGCATTAAGGTGGACAGCCAAACAGAAGCTTTATTCGAGAACAGGTGAATCAGTTGAATTTGTGTGTAAACGGGGATATCGTCTTTCATCACGTTCTCACACATTGCGAACAACATGTTGGGATGGGAAACTGGAGTATCCAACTTGTGCAAAAAGATAGAATCAATCATAAAGTGCACACCTTTATTCAGAACTTTAGTATTAAATCAGTTCTCAATTTCATTTTTTATGTATTGTTTTACTCCTTTTTATTCATACGTAAAATTTTGGATTAATTTGTGAAAATGTAATTATAAGCTGAGACCGGTGGCTCTCTTCTTAAAAGCACCATATTAAATCCTGGAAAACTAACGGTTGTGTCCAGTTCATAAAATGTTTGTGGCAAGAAATTAGACGCAATTTTTCAGACTTTATTTCTGTTCATCACTCTTAAATCTCCCAAAGCTTTCTCCACAGCTTCTGAGGCTCACTGTTTTACAGAAAATGGAAAGCATATCATTGTCTCTGATTTCAAAATTATATCACTTTACAAAGATGTAAAAACCAAGTCAAGTCTTAACTCATGTTGGTAATGAGATATAAGTAATTACTATTTATCAATACATAAATGCACCAAAAGTGATATCAATACATAAATGCACCAAAACTGATGAAATGTAGATACTTCTACAAGATGTCAATCTAGCACACGTGATAATGCAAACTAATCATAAAGAGGAGTTAAAACGTAATAGGGTATATAAATATTACAACATAAACATACAAAAAATAAAAACACAGTATCAGTTATAACATGCTCACTTGCATGCACTCACTTGCAAACATAGAAACATGATACTTTTGCCCTGATTTAATGTTTATAGAAAAAACATTGCCAGGAAATTCAAAACTATAGATAAATGTGTGTGTGTGTGTGTGTGTGTGTGTATACATGTATATGTATGTGAGTGTGTGCGTGTGTGTGTGTGTGTATTTAGAGATACTAGGGGTAAAAGTTAGGGTTTAATTCTTTTGTATATATCGGTATCCTCTGATTTTTCTACCTTTAACATATATCACTTTGGAAACAAAAGCACAATTTATTTTAAAATAATGATGTCTAACAAGCAAGGCGGTGCATGTTGAGAATGATAAAGATTTCATCAGTAATGATCTTAACATCAAATAGCCTCTTAAGTATTTTTGGAGTAGAAGAGTTTTGGAAATTTCAATAGTAAGGTTCTGAAATGTAATTTTTATATTCATTCTTTTTAATCAGCACTAGTTAGGTAAAATCATTTTTGATTAGGAACATTTTAAACTCATAAAGGAGGTGAAGCCATTATGTGAAAAATAAAGATATCAATAATACAACACAAATATTATTTAATGATACCTTATTACTTCTTACTGTATAAAATCAGGTGGCTTATATACTCAGGCTGTCTCCTTGTTAGTGATCCTGATTTAGATAAATTGCTTGAGTTGAGGAAAGCCAGATTTCAAAAATCTAAAGGACATTTGTTATAATTAGCAACTTATGTTGATAGTAATGTTAACATTTGGGAATATACGTTTATTCCTAAATTGTTTTAGTACATTTGAGCCACTATAAGAAATTACCATAAACTGGCTAGTTTATAAAAAATAGAAATTTATTTCATACAGTTTTAGAGGCTGAGATTTTCCAGCTTAAGATACCAACTGATTTGATGTCTTGTAAGGGCTTGCTCCCTGTTTTGGTGCCTTCCCACTATGGTGCCTTCCTACTATGTCCTTACAATGTGGAAGGGGCAAGGGAGTTCCATGACTCTTCTTTGTAAAAAGACTAATCCAATGTATTAGGGTGGAATCCTCATGACCTAATCACCTAAAAAGTCCTTACTTCCTGATACTATCACCATAGTGATGAGGACGTAACACACATATTTTGAAAGGGTACTACTATGCACACCATAGCACAGCATAGGGATAAACAAATATGTTCCATGTAAATGGAAACCAAAAGAAAGCAGGGGGGCTATACTAACATTAACTAAAATTGAATTTTAAGTCAAATCTGTAAAAAGAAACAAGGAAGGTCATTATACAAAGGAGTCAATTCACAAATAGATTATAACTATTGCAAATATGTATGCACTCAACATGGGAGCAATGAAACTTATAAAGCAAGCATTAATACATCTAAAGGAAGAAATAGACAAAAATGCAGTAATAGTAGGGGACTTCAATAACCCACATTCAACAATGGATAGACAGTCTATACAGAAATCAATAAAAACATTGGACTTGAACTCTATATTAGACCAAATGGACCTATCAGACCTATATAGAACATTCCATTTGACAACAGTAGAATAAACATTCTTCTCAAGCACACAAGGTATAATCTCCAATATAGATCATATGTGGGGCCACAAAACAAGTCTTAAAAAATTTTAAAAAGATTGAAATTACATAAATTTTTTTAACATTGTCATATGAAACTAGAAAACAATAGCAGAAGAAATGTTAGGAAATTCACAAATACATGGAAATTAAACAACATGATCCGGAACAACCAATGGGGCAATGAAGAAATTCAAAGGGAAATTTAAAAATATCTTGAGAAAAACAAAAATGGAAAAGCAACATTCTAAAAAACATATGGTATGCAACAAAAGCAGTATAAAGGGATGTTTAGAGATATGAATGACTCCATGAAGATCCTAATAAAGCAAGTAACTTTGTATCTCAGGAAACTAGAAAATGAAGAAAAAAATTAACCCAAAGCTACTGGAAAGAAAAAAATAGTAAGGTACAGAACAGAAATAAATAAAACAGACTGGAAAAATAATAGAGGATCCACAAAACTAGAAGTTGGCTTTTGAAAATATAAACAAGATTGACAAACCTTTAGCTGAACTAAAAAAGAGAGAAGGAACAAATAAAATTAGAAATGAAACAGGAAACATTGTAACTGATAGCACAGAAATACAAAAAACCAGAAGAGACCGCTATGAACAGTTATATGCCAACATATAACTGTTGGATAACCTAATGGAAACAAATATATTCATAGACATCTACAACCTACCACGATTACTGAAACATAATGAAATACAAAATTAATACAGAACAGTAATGAGTAAGAAAAATGAACAAGTAATAAAAAGTCTCTCATCAAAAAAACAAAACAAAACAAAAAAAACTCATGGCTTCATGATGGATGGAATCCTACCAAACATTTAAAGAATCAACACTAATCCTTCTCAAATTCTGTCAAAAATTTAAGAGTGAACTCTCAGTTTTATTATATGAGGTCAAAAATCATACTGACACCAAAGCCACACATGGACACTACAAAAAACAATTATAGGTCAATATTCTTCATGAATATAGAGGCAAAAATGCTCAACAAAATACTTCCAAAGTGAAGACAACACATTAAAGGAATCATTCGCCATAATGAAAAGTAATGTATATCTGGGATGTAAAGATAGTATATATACACCAATCAATTACTGTTCCACACCGAATTAAAAGAATGAAAAGCAAAAATTGTATATTCATCTCAATAGATACAGAAAAAGCATTTAACAAAATCAACATCCTTTCATGATAAAAAGTCTCAACAAATTAGCCATAAAAGAAATTACCCCAAGACAATAAAGGCTACATATCACAGGCTCACATTTAACATTATACTCAAGAGTGAAAAGTTGAAACATTTTTGTCTATGATCAGAAAAAAAAAAAAAAACAAGGAGGCTCGCTCTCACCACTTATGTTCAACATAGTGCTGGAAATCCTGGCTAGAGCTGTTAGGCATGGAAATTGGAAAAGAAAACAGTTGTCTCTGTTTGCAGATGCCATGATCTCATTATATACATGGAAAACCCAAGGACTTCACCAAACTTTGCTAAAAGTAATAACCAATTCAGTAAAGTTGCAGGGTACAAGATCTACAGACAGAGCCAGTTACATTTCTATACACTAACAGCAAGCTATTGAAATAAGAAATTGAAAACAAACATCTAATTTACAATAGCATCAAAAATAATAAAATACTTGAGACTAAATCAAAGCAAGGAGATGAGAGTTCTGTACTCTGAAAACTATGAAATATTGATGAAAGAAATTGAAGAAAACACAAATAAATGAAAAGATGTCCTGTCTTCAAGGATCAAAAGAATCAATATTATAAAATTGTCTTCAATACCTAAAACTCCAGATTCCATGCAATATTGTCAATATTCTAAACACATCTTTCGCAGAAATGGAAAAAAAATTCTAAAATTAATATAGAACAAGAGACACCAAATAGCTAAAGCAGTCTTACAAGACAAAAAAGGAAGAGACAGCACACTATCATGCTCTCTGGTTTCAAATTACACTACAAATCTATAATAATCAGAACAGTTTAGTCCTGATACAAAAAAGATACATAGACAGAATTAAAAGCTCCGAAATAAAATCATGCATATATAAAGGCACTTCCAAATATTCATGGAAAATTGAATTAAAATAAGAAAATTTTAAAACTACACTTTATTTCTTAACATAAGCTCCATCAAGTTCAACACACTTTTGAAAACAGTGATACAAGCCATTTAGTCCATCCCTAAAGACTCGATGGTTCTGGAACTATATCCATGTTAAGCAGTCTTTTTCACATAATTAACTGAAACAATGGGTACCCTTTGTAAGATTTTTTAAAATTAGGCAAAAGAAAGAAGTCAGGAGAAGGCAAACCAGGACTTTAATGTAGGAATGCTCAAAGATTTCCCATAAAAATTCTCACAAAATTGTTTTTGTCTGTTGAGAGGAATGAGCAGGAGCATTGTTCTGGTGGAGGAGGACTCTCTGATGAAGTTTTCCTGGGCATTTTTCTGCTAAAGCTTTGAAAACTTTCTCAAAACATTCTCTTAAGAAGCAAATGTTTCTCTTTGGCCTTCCAGAACTCAACTAGTAAAATGCCTTGGCCATCTCATAAACTGTTGCCATGATGTTTTCTCCTGACTGGCCTGCTTTTGCTTTCATTGGACCACTTCCACCTTTGGTATGCCATTGCTTTGATTATGTTTTGTATTCAGGATCATACTGATAAACTCATGTTTCAGCTCTTGTTACAAATCTTTGAAGAAATGTTTCAGGTTCTTATTCCCACTTGTTTAATACACTTTCCGTTAAAAACTATTCCCTTGCTGGCCGGGCGCCGTGGCTCACGCCTGTAATCCCAGCACTTTGGGAGGCCGAAGCGTGAGGATCACGAGGTCAGGAGATCGAGACTATCCTGGCTAACACGGTGAAACCCCGTCTCTACTAAAAATAAAAAAAAATCTGCGGGCGAGGTGGTGGGCGCCTGTAGTCCCAGCTACTGGGGAGGCTGAGGCAGGAGAATGGCCTGAACCCGGCAGGCGGAGCTTCCAGTGAACTGAGATTGCCCCACAGCACTCCAGCCTGGGCAACGGAGCCAGACTCAGTCTCAAAAACAAAACACTCTTCTCTTGTCTACTACACCTCATCTGGGTGCAATGGTCTTGGGTCTCACTGAATGGAAATTTTGCTATAACATTGATTTTCCCATCAGAATTTGTAAGATGAACTAATTATGGTGTTGACTATTGATTCTGCTCTTAGTCATCAGTCATCTTTAATCCAGATGTGAGCAAAATTATTTTTTTCTCACAAATTAGTGTGGCTAGTCTGCCGCTGTGGGCTTCATCCTTAACATTGTCTTGCCTCTGCCTAAAATGAGTTATCTGTTTCTAAATGGCTGATTTCTTTTGGGGTGTTGTCCCCATAAATTTTTCAATAATTTCACTGAAGCTCCATGACAAGTGTTGGTTAGGATGTGGAAAAAAGGAAACACTTGTACATTATGGGTGGGAATGTAGATTGTTACAGCCATTGTAGAAAACTATATGGAGGTTCCTCAAAATATTAAACATAGAACTATCGCATGACTCAGCAATTCCACTTCTGGGTGTATAAACAAAGAAAACAAAATCAGTATGTCTAAGAAATATCTGCACTCTCATGTTTTTTGCAGGATTGTTCACAATAGCTATGATATGGAAACAACTTATGTTTCTGTCAAAGATGATTGAATAAAGAAAATGTGGTGCATATATACAGTGGAATACATTAAATTCTGCCTTTAAAAAGAAGGCAAATCTGTCTTTTTTAACAACATTGATAAACATGGCAGATATTAAGTAAGTGAAGTAAACCAGACACAGAAAGACAAATGCTGCATGATGTCATTTATATTTGGAATCTAAAAAACACCTGAGCTCATAGATATGGAGAGTAGAAGTATAGTTACCAGGGGTTGCACAGTGGGAGAAATAGAGAGATGTCAGTCAGAGGATACAAGTTTTAAGACAAATAATTTCTGGAGACCTAGTGTAAAGCATGATGACTATAGTTATTAATAATATATTATATATTTGAAATTACAAAGACAATAGTTCTTAAGTGTTCTGATGTCATTCATACAAAAGGTAACAAGGTGAGATATTGGATATTTGATTAGCTTCATTATGATAATCATTATAAAATGTTATGTATATCAAAATAATATGTTGTATAACGTGAATATAAAAATTTGTATTTGCCAATGATACTTTTATAGGGGTGAAAAAATTGATTACATTAATCAGTAAAAATGGAAGTTAATGGACCAAAATATTACTTCTAGGTTTTGAAATATAAATATGTCTTTTTGTAAAAACAGAAAGGTTTTTTGTTTGTTGTAGTTGTTTGTATCACCTTGGAGTCGTGTATTTTGATTTATTCAATCTGGATATCTCTGGAAACTGGCTCCTCATTGCTTCTCATGTGCCCTAATTTTATCTGAGTATTTCTCTCTTTTTTTTTCAGCATAACATGTTCTAAGTTCACTTTATATTTCCTCTGCCCAACATTCAAAATCATACACCTTTCCTAGAAAGTCTGATTATTTTTAAAGCAGAATAAAATTTAGAACTCAAGAACCATGAAGTATTGGTAATAGATGGGAATGTCCAATACTTTGGAAATATAATTATTTTCAGGGATTTTTGGTGGTAAAATCTTTGAAATATAAATAAAATATAAAAGTTTGTTGTTCTCACTGGATTTTACAATTCAAATTTAATAATACATCTGTGAAAACAACTTTAGTATATACATGTTTTCATTTTTGTGAGTATATGGTACGTCTATGTATGTATGAGGTACATAAAATATTTTGATACAGGCATACAAGGTGTAATAATCACATCAGGGTAAATGAGGTATTCATCATCTCTAGCATTTATACTTTCTTTGTGTTACAAACAATCCAATTATCCCTCTTATTTTAAAATGTGCAATAAATTACTTTTGACTATAGTCACCCTGTTGTGCTATCAAATACTAGATCTTATTTATTCTATCTAACTATATGTTTATGCTCATTAAATATATTCTTCTCTCATTTGTCTTTACTGACTCATTCATGAAAATGTCAAAAGTGTAATGAAACGTTGCTATTAGTAGTTAAACTACTAAGTGAAAATTAAAATTTCTTTGTGTTTATTTTGCCCCTAGATAGTTGACTCTGAGTGTGAATCTTCTTTTCAAAAATGATTTAAATACTTCTTATCTCTGGTTCACCCTATTACCGAATCCATAGAGTTGTATATTAATTTTCACTTGTGTTCTTCATGCTTAGATTTTGCTTTTTTCTTTCTTATATACTAACAATAAACTGTCTGAAAAAGAAATTTAAAGATCTATTCCTTTTCTGATAACACCAAAAAATAAAATTAGGAGTAAATTTAACCAAGGATCTCAAAAATCTATATATTTTAAACAATACAATATTGATGAAACAAATTGAAGAAGACACACATAAACAGAAAAATAGCCCATGTTCAGGGACTGCAAGATTTAATATGGATAAAATGTTCATATTACACAAAAAGATGTAAGGATTCAATGCAGTCCCCATCAAAATTCTAATGTCATTTTTCACAGAAAAATGAAAAACAGTTCAAAAATATGTATGAAATGACAAGAGATCCCGAAGGTCAAAGTAATTTTGATTAAAAAGAACAAAGCTGGAGGCATTACACTTCTAAATTTTGAATTATGATATAATGCTATTATAGGCACGATAGCATGACATTGGCATAAAACAAGACACCAATAAAACAGAATAGAATTCAATATATTTTCAATAAAGATGACAAGAACTCACATAGGGAAAATAATAGTCTCTTCAATACATCTTGCTGGGAAAATCGGATATTCACACATAGAAGAATGTAATTGATCCACTGTTTCACACTACATAAAACTACTCAGAATATATGTAAGACTGACATGTAAAGCTTGAAACTATAAAACTGCTAGAGGAAAATAAAAGAGAAAAAAATACATGACATTGGTCTGGGCTATGATTTCTTGGATTGGTTCCCCAAGCATAGGCAACAAAAGGAAAAATACACACATTGTATTACATCAAACTAAAAAGCTTCTGCACAGCAAAGTAAACAATGCCCAGAGTGAAGAGACAACTCATGAGTTGGAAAAATATTTGCAAGCCATATATCTGATAAAGCGTTAATATTCAAAATATATAAGGAACTCAACTCAATGGCTAATAAAAAGGAATTAACCAATTTAAAAATAGGCAATGTACCTGAATGGACATTTCTCAAAAGAAGACGTACCAATGGCCAACAAGTATTATTATCAACAATACAAAAAAACATCAAGTGTTATCAAACATGTGGAGAAAAGGACACACTTGCACATTGTTGATGGAAATGTATATTAGTATAGCCATTATGGAAAATACTATAGAGTTTGTCAAAAATGAAAAGCAGAACATATAATCAATCCAGTAATCCTACTACTGAATATATGTACAAAGAAAAAGGAATCAGTATGTCAAAGAGTTATCTGCATTCCCATCTTCATTACAGCATTATTTATAATAGCCAAAATATGGAATCAACTTAAGTATCCATTACAGATGAATAGATAAAGAAAATGTGGTCTATATACACAATGTAATACTATTCAGCTTTGAAAAAAGGAAATCCTGCATTTTCAAGAACATAGAATAAACAGGGAGGACATTAAGTTAGGTGGAATAAGACAGACAAAACCACATGATTGCACTTATACATGCAATCCGTTGTAAAATATGGTGACTTTAGTTAACAATAATATGTTGTATTCTTGAAAACTACTTAGTGTAGATTTTAAGCAGTCTCACCACACACAAAAATGAGAAGTATGTGAAGGAAAGCATATATTTATTAGCTTGATTTAGCCACTATCTAATGTATACATATTTCAACACAATATGTTTTACATAATAAATATATGCAATTTTATTTGCCAATAAAAAATAAATGAAAATGTTTACAAAAAGAGAATATGTGGTATAGATACACAGTAGAATACTATACAAACTAAAAAGAAGACAATTTTGTCAATAGGGAAAACGTGGATGAATCTAGTGGACATTATGCTATCTAAAATAAAGTCAACACAAAGAAAAATCCTGCATGATCTTATTGATATGTGGAATCTAAGAAATTCAAATTTACAGAAGGTGAGAGTAGAGTGGTGGTTACCAGAAGCTGAAGGGATGGCGGTGTTTCTAGGAGGTGTTGGTCAAAGGGTATAAATTTTCAGTTAGACTAGAGGAATACATTTTACTATCTATTTCACAGCATGGTGTTCACACTTAATAATAATAATAATAATAGTGATAATATTATATATTTCAATATTGCTGAGTACATATATTCTATTTAATATATTTAAGCCTAGCCTTTCTAACTACTACAGAAAGAGAAGCTAAATGTCTTTTGTAAGTATGCTTATCTTACAAAAAATAAGTTCATTTGACATTCATGTAATAAATCTAATCTTTGTTTTATTGATTTTCAGATTAACAAAGACCTTATCTGAATACTCTTTACAACTTTTATGTAAATCTAAAATTATTCCATAGGAGAAATTTTATGTAAAAAAAGATAAAAGTATGAAGCATGTTTCAGTTTGGGTATTTCACTTTGTATTCACTGAATATTGAAAAAATTAAAATACTATCAACTAATACATAAAGTCATATAAACTCCTAAATAACCGCTGAGGAACCTACTTACTTTTGTGTGTCATTTTGGATAGTCAAGGTTTTTTGCTATGCTATACTTTAAAAAGTAATTAATGAAGGGGCTGACTCTTTTTTTGTTAATAGCACACTTAACAATATTAGTGGATTCCTGGTGTTCTTCACTAAGGTCCTTGGTCAGTAATTTCTGATTATATTTTATGCAAAGAACTTTGAAAACACCTTGTGCTGTATTTTAAAGTTTATTATCATCCATATTTCTGACCAATCACAGATGTTGCAAAAGGTTGGGACACTTGGAAAAATAAAATTATTTTCAAAAAGATTATTTTTTTATAGAATTTCAAAAACAACCATCTTTAAAATACTAACAATAGTTTTAAAAATTACAATACTTTTATAAAGTTTTTACGAACACTACTTACAGATAGAGTAAAATTTCATTATAACTGAAAATGTTTTCAGTAACCTGTTATACTTGGCTAAGTGTCATTATTCAACTGAAATTCCACCTCTCTTCAACATTTACGTATATATTTTCCTGAAGATTTTTGTCTTATGTTTTGCAGTTATTTTAAAGTTATGGAGGAGGTTTTGCTTATTTTACTATATTTACTATATGGTTTGTCTTTAGCATTATTGATAGATCTTTTTCTTCTAAATATGGGCCGTATTTTCTGCTTCTTTACATATCTAGTAGTGTTTTATTCTACTCTGGTCAATGCCAATAACACATTGTGATGACAGCCATGGAATATAAAAGTTACCTATGGGTTTGTCATATATGCTATTTATGGTATTGGGGTACTTTTCTTCTATACATATGTTTTTAAATTTTCCTGTGCACATCATAGGTGTACAGTAGGTGTATGTATTGATGGAGTACTTAGAATGTTTTGATACAGGCATACAATGTGAAATGAGCACATCATGGGGAATGGGGTATACATGCCCTCAAGTATCTTTCCTTTGAGTTCCAACCATCCAATAATACTGTATAAGTTATTTTAAAATGTACAAGTAAGTTATCATTGACTATAGCCAACCGATTGTGCTGTCAAATAGATGGACTTATTTATTTTTTCTATTTTTTTTCGTACACATTGACCATCCCCATCTCCCCTCTAGCCCTATACCACCCTTCACAGTCTCTAGTAACCATCCTTCAACTTTCTATGTCCAAGAGTTCAATTGTTTTGATTTTTAGATGCCACAGATAAGTGAGAACATGTGAGGTTTGTATTTCTGTGCCTGGCTAATTTCACTTAAAATAATGATCTCCAGTTCCATCCATGTTGTTGCAAATGATTGGATCTCATTCTTTATTATGGCAAAGTAGTACTCCATTGTGTATGTGTGCCACATTTTATTTATTCATTCATCTGTTGATGGACACTTTGGTGGCTTCCAAATCGTAGCTATTGTATACAGTGAGGCAACAAACATAGGTGTGCAGATACCGCTTCCATACACTGATTTCCGTACACTGCTGTTGTATACACAGCATTAGGATGGCTGGATCATAAGGTAGCTCAATTTTTAGTTTTCTAAGAAACCTCCAAACTGTTCTCCATAGTGGTTGTATTAATTTACATTCCCACCAACAGTGTACAAGATTTCCCTATTCTCCACATCCTCATTAGCATCTGTTATTTTCTCTCTTTTCCATATAAGCCATTTTCACTGGAGTGAGATGATATCTCACTGTAGTTCTGATTTGCATTTCTCTGATGATCAGTTATGTTGATCATCTTTTCACATGTCTGTTTTCCATTTGAATGTATCCTTTTAAGAAATCTATATTCAGATCTTTTGCCCTTTTTTGATCTGATTATTAGATGATTTCTGATAGAGTTGTTTGAGCTCTTTAATTATTCTGGTTATTAATCCCTTGTCAGATGGGTAGTTTGCAATATTTTGTCCCACTCAGTGTTATTTCTTCACTTTGTTCATTGTGTCCTTTGCTGTGCAGAACATTTTTAACTTGATGTGATCTCATTTGTCCATTTCTGCTTTGCTTGCCTGTGCTTGTGAGTTATTGCTGAAGAAATTTTTGCCCAGAACAAAGTCCTTGAGATTTTCCCCAATGTTTTCTGGTAGAAGTTTCATAGTTTGAGGTCTTAGACTTAAGTCTTTATCCATTTGATTTGATTTTTGGATATGGTGAAACATAGAGGTCTAGTTTCATTCTTCTGCATATGAAAATCCAGTTTTCCTAGAACCGTTAATTGAAGAGACTGTCTTTTCCACAACGTCCCTTTGTCAAAAATGCATTCACTGTAGATGTGTAAATTTGTTTCTGTGTTCTCTATTCTGTTCCATTAGACTGTATGTCTGTTTTTATGCCAGTACTATGCTGTTTTAGTTACTACAACTCTGTAGTATAATTTGAAGTCAGGTAATGTTATTCCTTCAGTTTTGTTTTTATTGCTTAGGATAGCTTTAGCTATTTTGGGTACCTTTAGCTTTTGTGGTACCATAAAAATTTTAGGATTGTTTTTCTCTATTACTGTGAAGAATGTCCCTGGTATTTTCATAGTGATTTCTTGAATCTGTAGATTGCCTTGGGTAGTATGGACATTATAACAATATTGATCCTTCCAGTCCATGATCATGAAATATCTTTTTTATTTTTGGTGTCCTCTTCAACTTCTATTTTTAGTGTTTTACTGTTTTTCTTATAGAGATCTTTGACTTCTTTGGTTAATATCTAATTATTTATTTTTATCTGTGGTTACTGTAAATGGGATTACCTTTAGGATTTTTTTCAGATTGTTTGCTGTCAACATATACAAATGCTACTGGTTTTTTATGTTGATATTATATCTTGCACCTTTACTGGATTTGTTTATCAGTTCTAATAGTTTTCTGGTGATTACCTTACGTTTATCGAAAAAAACTTATACCATCTGCAAACAAAGATAATTTGGCTTCTTTCTTTTCAGTTTGGATACCTTTATATCCCTCTCTTGTCTAACTGCTGTAGCCAGGACTTCCAGTATTATGTTGAATAACAGTGGTGAAGTGGGTATCCTTGTCATGTTCCAGTACTTTGAGGAAATTATTTCAGACTTTCTCCATTCAGTTTGAGAGTAGCTGTGTGTCTGTCAAATGCAGCTTTGATTATGTTTGGGTGTGTTCCTTCTATCTTCAGTTTTCTTTAGTGTTTTATCATGAAGGATTTTGAATTTTATCAAATGCCTTTTTGGAATCAATTGAAATAATCATGTGGTTTATATCCTTCATTGTGTTGGTATGATGTATTACATTGATTGAGTTGTATATGTTGAGCCATCTTTGCATCTCAAGGATAAATCCCATTTGGTCATGTTGAATGATCTTTCTAGTATGCTGTTAAATTTGTTTGCTATTCTTTTGTTGAGAATTTTTACAATTACATTTGTCAGAGATATTGACCTGTAGTATTCTTTTTTTAATGTGTCTTTGTCTGATTTTCTTTTCAGGGTAATATTAGCCTCACATTGGAAGTATTTGCTCCTCCTCCTCCTCTATTTTTCAAAATAGTTAGAGTAGAATTGGTACTAGTTCTTCTTTAAATGTTAGGGAGAATTCAACAGTGAAGCCAATATGTCCTGAGCTTTTCTTTACTATGAGACTTTTTATTCTGGCTTTGATCTCATTACTTGTATTAATAATTGATCTGTTCAGGTTTTGGATTTCTTTCTGCTTCAATCTTAGTAGGTTTTATGTGTCTAGGAATTTGTCCATTTCTTCTAGATTTTCCAATTTATTGGAATATCATTCCACATAGTGGCCAATAATGATTCTTTGAATTTCTCCAGGATCAGATGTAATGTTTCCTTTTCATTTCTGATTTTATTTATTTGAATTCTCACTCTTTTTCTCTTAGTCTGGATAAAGGTTGATCAGCATGTTTAATATTTTAAAATAACAACTTATGTTTCATTGATCTTTGTATTTTATTCATTTCAATTTCAAGTTTATCTGCTGTGATATTTATTATTTATTTTCTTCTAATAATTTTGGATTTGGATTGCCCTTCCTTTTCTAGTTCTTTAACATAAATCACCAAATTGTTTATTTGAAGTTTTTCCTTTCTTTTTTATGTAGTCACTTATAGCTATAAATTTTTCTCTTGGTACTAAAACTGCTATATCCCATAGGTTTTGTGTTTCCATTATCATTTGTTTCACAAAATATTTTAATTTCTTCATTGATCCACTGTGCATTCAGGGGCATATTCTTTAATTTCCAGATTCTTTAATTTTTTGTTTCAACTTGCCATAAGGATTGCAAATACTATCTTATAACCAGAAAACAACTTAACACTGTTTGCATAAACAAACAAGCCAAAGAAAACTCATAAATACTCTCCACCTTAATTTTCCCTTCTGCTTTCAAACTTTTTGTTGTTTCTATTTTTATCTTATTGTACAGACTATGTCTTGAAAATCTGTAGTTATTATGTTTCATTAGTTCATTATTTAGTCTTTCTACTTAGGATATTAGCTTACACAACCCAGTTGCAGTGTTTTAATATTCTGTATTTTTCTATGTACTTACTATTACCAGTGAGATTTGTGTCTTCAGGTGATTATTGTTCATGAATTTAATTTTTTGATTGAAATATTCCCTTTAGCATTTCTTGTAGGACAGGTCTGGCATAATAAAATTCCTCACCTTTTGCTTATCTGAGAATGTCTTTATTTCTTCTTTATGTTTAAGGGATATTTTCACCAGATATTCTACTCTAGGATAAACGTTATTTTTCTGTCAGCATGTGTCATATCACTCCTGTAAGGATTCCTCTAAAAAGCCTGCTACCAGATGTATTGGTGCTCCATTGTATGTTATTTATTTCTTTGTTCTTACTGATTTTAGAATAGTCTCTTTATCCTTGACCTTAGAGAATTTGATTATTAAATGAGTTGAGGTAGTCTTCTTTGGGTTAAATCTGCTTGGCATCCTATAACCTTCTAGTACCTGATATAGATATCATTCTCTAGGTTTGGGAAGTTCTTTGTGATTATCCATTTGAATAAACTTTCTACTCCTATCTCGTTCTCTACTTCTTCCTTAAGGTGAATACTCTTAGATTTGCTTTTTGGAGGTTATTTTTTAGATCCTGTAGGCATACTTCATTGTTTTTAATTCTTTATTTTTTTGTCTCCTCTGACTGTGTATTTTCACATAGCTTGTCTTCAAGCTCAACAATTCTTTCTTCTGCTTGATCTATTCTGCTATTAAAGAATAGCACGTGTAATATCTTCTTCAGTATGTCAATTGCATGTTTCGGCTCCAGAATCTCTGCTTGATTTTTTAAAATTATTTCAATCTCTTTGTTCAATTTATCTGATAGAGTTCAGAATTCCTTCTCTGTGTTATCTTGATTTTCTTTGAGTTTCTTCAACAAAACTATTTTGAATTCGTTGTTTGAAAGGTGACATAACTCAGTTTCTCTAGGATTGTTCCCTGGTGCTTTGTTTAGTTCATTTGGTGAGGTCGGGTTTTCCTGGATGGCGTTAATGCTAGCAGATATTCTTCTGTGTCTGGGCACTGAAGAGTTAGGTATTTATTGTTTTCTTCACTGTCTGGGCTTAATTGTAACCATCCTTCTTGGCAAGATGTTCCACATGTTTGAAAGGACTTGGGTGTTGTGACCTAAGCTGTAACTTCTTTACAGGGTGTCAAAATCCCACCAATGCAGTGGTTCTTGCAGACTTCTGGGGGTACTCTATTGATGGTCTTGCACATGATCTGAGAGAATTCAGAGTGATGAGGGCCCCTGGACCAGGGTGGTTTCCAGGGGACCAGTTTCAAAAACCTTAGATGTCTGCTTGATGTTATATGGTACTGTATCTGGGCTGGCAGTCATATTGCAAGTTAAAATGTTGTGGGGTGGGGTGGGGGGAGGGGGGAGGGATAGCATTTGGAGATATACCTAATGTTAAATGACGAGTTACTGGGTTCAGCACACCAACATGGCACATGTATACATAGGTAACTAACCTTCACGTTGTGCACATGTACCCTAAACCTTAAAGTATAATAATAAAAAAAAATCCTCCTCACTGTTCCCTCCCCTTTCCAAAGTCAGAGGAGCCTCACCCTATGGTCTAACACCACTCCAGGCCATGAGGAGTACTGCCAGACAACTGCTGATGTTCCCTTAAGGTTTAGGTGCTCCTAAGTCAGTTTGTGGTGAATGCTGGCTAGCCTAGGATTCACCCTTCTGGGAACTGGGCTCCCATCTGGTCCATGGTATGTCCAAAAATGCCACCCACCAGTCAAGTCCAGGAACTGGGGACCCTGGGAGCCCAGGTGGTTCTCTATCCCCTGTGGCCATGCTGGTACCTGAAGCCAGCAAGTCTCAGAGGCTCACCTAAGGCCCTCAACATAGTATCTGGGTATCACTGCAGGTTATTGAGGGCCAAGGGCTCTTCAGTTAGGCTGGGTGAATGCTGCCAGGACTGCATCATTTCCTTCAGGGCATTGGGTTCCCTTTTGGTTCAGGGTATGTCAAGAAATGTCATCTGGGAGCTAGGGCTTAAAGCAGGGGCCTCATTCCTTTGACAGTTGCCCTATCCTGCTTTGTCTGAGCTGATATCCAAGATGTAAGACAAAGTCTTCCCCGTTCTTCCCTCTCCTCTCCTCAAGCAGAAGGAAGGGGTTTCTTTTGGAGCTGTGAAATGTGAAGCCTGGGGTTAGGGGTTGGGTGATGCCAGCATGCTCTTGGCTGCCTCAGCTGGTGCAGTTGGTGTCTCTGAATATTCTGTGTCTTCCCCCAGTCCATAGTCTCTGAGCCTAGTTCAGCACTAAGACTCACATATGTGTGCAGTCCTTATGTCCTAGACTGTCTTTCTAGTTTATTTAGAGACACAATGCATGGTAGGTAGCCCTAGGTGGCAAGATTTGTGGGAACTTGATTTCAGACCCCTGCGGTCAGCAATACCGTCATGGCTAGCATTGGTTTAAATACTCCCTCCATGGGAAGGGGTTAGCTGAGTTTGGTTTGGCTTTCCTTTCTGCTCTAACAGCACAGCATTTTGTTCAATGCCTCACAATTGCTATGTTCTCCCTCCCTCAGTGCCTAGAGCAAGGCTCTGTACATCATGGCACAGCTGCAAGTGTGGGGAGAGGGGAAAGGGTAGTGTCAGTGACTCAAGATTGTCTGACCTATCTCTTACGTGCCTCTTTCAGGGATATGAAGTTAAAACCATGTACTATGAGTGCTAATCTGATAATGTTTTCATTTTATGAAGGTGTTTTTTTTTTTTTCTGTGTACATAGTTGTTAACTTGGTATCTTTGAAGGGGAATGGTTGGTGTCTCCTATTCCACCATCTGGCTCTGCTCTGCCTAATTTGTGGAGACTCTTTATCATGAAGAAATGTCAAAGTTTCTCAAATGTTTTTAGTACTTCTATGAAAATGATCATATAGTTTTGTTGATTCTGTTATTGTGATATGTTACATCTATTGGTTTGTGTATGTCTGCTCATCTTTATTTTATGCATAGTTTGAAAAAAAATACTACCAGTTTTTTATACTGTTTGGTTGAATTCAGCAGTGAAGATAACAGGCGTTGGGCTTTTTTGATAGGTGAATTTTATTACTGATTTAATCAACTTACTCATTATTTGTTTGTTTTGATTTTCTATTTATTCCTAATACGATCTGTATTAGGAATTTTTATTTTAATTTGTATTTGTATTTTACAAGCTATTTTATTTTTAGCTTGTATTTGTATTTGTAGCTGTATTTGTATTTTAGCTTGCTTCTCCCTTAGATTCCCCCATGAGATGTACCTAAAGAAAACTTGGACCAAGTGAAAGGCAAGGCATTATCTGGTAGCAGCTGCTGGTAGCAGCTGAGATCACCAACAGTAGCTTTCCTTGCTTCTGGAAGTTTTCCTAAGAAACATCCACTGCAGTACAATGGATAATTAGTGGGGCATCACTAAGATTCCTGAACTTCGGAATTTTCTGGAAATAGCATTTATGACCTTTGTTCCCTCAGTTCTTCCAGTAGTTGCAGAAGCCTTTCGTTCCCTTTATTGATACTCTCTTTACTCAAAAAATGAGAGATAAAATAAATTAATGTTTTATATTACTTTTGGATTCAGTCCATTACTGTCCCTAAATAATATTTTACAAGTACATTTCAGGGAATCAATTCCACAGATGGTTGTGAAACCACTAACTGGAATTATTGAAGCATTTTGCAAAACTCTCTGAACTTTGATATTTACTAAGTGACCTTAAAGGCCTAGCTTCGTGGTAGTTTCCTCAAATTCGGAATCACCCTTGGTAACTAATAATGAAAGATTTCAAACTCCAAACAGTACAACTGAAACTTTTGCATTACTATACTACTGAGAATATCTAACATGTTGTTACTAATTAATGTCATTCTAACCTTGTGGGTTTCCTATGCTAATGGACAAGGTAAATTGAAAGAGATCTAAACACTCAGCTCCCATCTTAAATGTAACTTCATGTAATATCTAGCTTCCTATGTCTCCATGTCTACAATTTTTTATGAACCAAAGAGGATTTATTCACTATGCTAGTAGAAATAGCATATTTTGTAAGACTATAACAGAAATTAATTTTATGAAATATTATCTCATTTTAACTTAAACAATGAATAATATTTTCTTTGTTTTATAAGTTCTACAGTGTAAAAGACATTTAATATTGATTATGGAGATATGTGAATATACTCATGAAACTTTAAGTAGGAAACATGTCACTAGACAGATTCTAACCTTAAAATGTTCAGAAGTTTCTTATTTGTAATGCAAGGGGAGTGACTGATATTTTCATAATCTTACAGATGGTGATTTTTTATAGATTCATATATCAAAACATCAAATAATACATTTTAAATTCTGCAGTTTCTTTTATTTCTATAATACCTTAAGAAAGCTGCTAAAATGAATTAACATTAATATGAACTTAATATTTCAACAAGATTAGCAACATGTAAATCACAACATGTAAATCACAACATGAATATAATCAAAAAGTAGACTATATGCTTAACTTACTTTTAAATGACAGTAAATTTTGCATTTCTGAGCTCACTAGCAAATGTTCAATAAATAAATACATAATTATTTTTTATAGCTTTATGTTATTGTTCACTGATTTGTTTTCTCCTCAACAGTCATATATTTTCTATATTAACTACCTTTTTGAATGCAGGCCTTGCATATTAAAGAACTATATCGTAACATTAGCAGTGGAACCACATGGGTCAAATGTCATGGACAATCAAAGGTTTGTGGCCATTAATGAAGAATACAAATTTTGTAATTATCCAAAACTTCATAATATTTCAACAAATGTAGTGGAGGGTAATACTGGAAATCCAATTATCAATTTATGAGAGTATCTTTTCCCTCAGCCTCTCTTCTCAAAGCTATGCCACTTTATTTGATTCTAGGTAAAGAGCTTTAGGTTTTACAGTATTATCTATCACATGATTTGCTAGTTTTATTTGTTGTGCAAAATCAAACTTGATCTGTGCTAAAATGGAAAAAAAAGGAAATTCTCCTGTTATTTCCTTTGTTAACTGAACTGATACAGGTACATTTTTTTCAAATAAAGATTAAATAGATTAAAGTAGAATGAAAAGAAGAAAAGTAGTACCATTCTGAAATGACTGGAATTAGAAAAGCATATGCACTATACTTTCTTACTTACTTTCTTAAAAGCACTATAGAAAAGAATGATGACAAATTCTTCCTTATCTGATATTCCAGTTGAAAACTTGTCTCCTCCAATGAACTCTTTGTAAGAGTAAACTTGAGCAAAATGTCTTGTAAATTTGGGTCGCACCTATATTTCTCAAAGGAGAAAGTAACTCATTGGGTTACTTTCAAAGTCTTGGTTAGAGAGAAACATCTTTGTGTATTCAGTAGCATTGGCTCAATTGCATCCCGCCAAAATTCATTTGTTAAAGTCCAAATTCCCAATACCTGAGAATGTGACTGCATTTGGAGAAGGAGTGCTTAAAGATGTAATTAAGTTAAAGGCCAATGATTCAGGTGGGTCCTACTCCAGTATAACTGGTGTCTATATAGGAAGAGAAAATAAGAACACACCATATAGAGAAAGATCACGCAAGGCATAGAAAGAATACAACCATTTACAAGGCAAAGGAAGAGGTCTCAGAAGAATCCAATCCTGTTGACAGCTCTATCTCAAACTATTAGCCTCCAGAACTGTGAGAAAATAAATTTCTATGAAATCAGTGGTACTTTGTTATGGTAGCTCTAGCAGATGAATACCATGATATTTACACAATTTATTAAAAGAACATTAATAACTAAAAATAATTTTTTACTTTTTACTCAAGAATATATATATATATATGTAGCCACCACACAGATTTTAGAGGCTATTCATCAGAATTTGGTAATTACATCTTGGGTGTATTTTCCTGCTGATTTTTGTCTTGTTGAATACTTTATGTGTATATATATCTGTATTCATCTATATTCAGAATCTAGTAAATCAAATCTAAGAAAGATTTTTCATATCATTAATGAAGGACATACTTTGTGAATTGCTTATGCTAATAAAATTTTTTTAATGGTAGTTGATATTTCAGTTCTGAACAATAAAATCGGCACACCAATTCTTTTGGAAACCACGCTATTTGAAAGACAAACTTGACAGAAAATTTGTAATTGTAACCTATTATAATGTTCATTGAATTTGTATTGGCCATTATTTCTTCCATCAAGTCATAAGTTATTTATACTTATTTAAAAATAGGTTGTCAATAACATTATTTTTAATTATGAATATCCTTTCAGAATTGTATAAATTTTATATTCATCTACTAGAGTTGCCATAACAAAGTGTCAAGAGTGACAATTAACATTGTAGAGCAGGGTTGCTTTTAAATCCCTTTTAAACTGATCATTACAGTACCAAATGCATTACAGTTAATTGCCATTGTACTTCTTTGGGATGCTGAAATTTGTTTCACATCTCACTAAGAAGATGGCTTCTGTGTATATTTCATGTGCCCCCATTAAGCTTTGGCATAACATAAGAGCCCATACTTTCCTTGACTTTTCCTACTACAGACTAAGTTTCAATAATTTCTCTATGAAATTCCAGTGCCTTTTAGTGGGAAGAACGATTTTTAGAAACAAACCTAAACCATGAAAAACTCACTTCAGGTTCGAAATTATCGTTGACTAAGAAAAATAATTTTTGGCCGAGCAGGATGGCTCACACATTAATCCCAGCACTTTCGAGGGCCAAGGCGCGCAGATCACTTGAGGCCAGGAGTTGGCCAACATGATGAAATGCTGTCTCTACTAAAAGTTTAAAAAAATAGCTGGATGTGGCGGCACACACCTGTAATTCCAGCTTCACAGGAGACTGAGGCAGGAGAATCACTTGAACCCGGGAGACAGAGGTTGACGTGAGCCAATATAGTGCCACTGCACTCTAGCTTTGGAGACAGAGCAAGACTATTAAAAATAAAAATAAAAATGAAGAAAAAAAGAAAGATTTAAATGATTTCCTTTAGTTTATGTCCCTTTCTACCTCGGACTAAATATCCTGCAATCATAAGAAAATGTAAGAGTATCTCAGGAGGTTACACAGGGCCGGGAAGTTTCGATTTTCCAATACGGAGGAGACACTCAGCAGAAAACTGTGCATCCATGCTTGAGGGACTGGGTCAGAGAAGGTGTCATGCGTCGCCCAACAAGCCTCTGGATCCAGTTCTGTAACTAGCAAACGCTTCCCTCAAAGTAAAGATGTCACTTCTCTGAACTTAGTCTTCTCATCTGCACACTAAAGCTGTTGTGCCACTAGCGTCTTTCTAGTTCTCTCTGGTTTATGATGATTCAAACTTAACTTTTATTTAATTATATTCTTAAGTTTTCATAACAAATAGAATGTAAATACTATTTTCTATCACTTGTTCCATAATTATAGAGTAAACATAAATGATATGCTATTTAAATTGTGATGTTGTTCAACATTCTATAGGTATACATACCTATAGAATGTAAGAATATATACATATTTGTACATTCGTCTATGCACTTATTTTTTATGTCAATAATATATCTTATCTGACACATGAATTCTAACTATGGTAAGAATGCATGCCATCGCATACAAACAAAATGCCACAAAACTAAACAAAATGTTTTATATCTGGAGATAATTTGCTACATATCAGATTTTTTATGTTACAGTCATATTTCTTGTCTCTCTTTTCCAAAAAACAATCATTGCTAATGCGTGCACCCTGAACTGGCAGCTTGAGCTTAACTTGGTATAGTTGTAGATAAGCTCAGTTTAAATTAATGCTGATAAAACCTCCAGAATTGCTGAAGAGACCATACTATGTTAGTAGAAGTAGAGAAAGTGAAATGAGGTTCTTGTCCTGTTAGCTGACTTGAGATCCATTAAAGATTTTAAGTGGAGAAATAAAATGACCAGATGAAAGGTCATTAATTTATACACAGGGAAATAGATTACAAAGATGAGAGGTCAGGATCAGGAAACTAGTTATGATTGCTGCAATCTCAGAAGAAAATGGTTGAGAGACGATGTTTATCAAAGGTTATTGCCAGGGTTTTTTTGCGCCTGTTTGTTTGTTCGTTTTGACAGAAAAAAATTGAGTGAAAGGGAACACCACAATTGCAGAAGTTCAGTTATTATTGAGAGAGGTAATGAGAATGATTGACATGAATTTCCCCCAAAAAATGTTCTGTCAATAATTACTATATTATGAACAAATAGAGCATGGAATATTTTTATAGCTGACTCAGCGAAAATAGCTATTACAGCAAACCTATGTCTATACTGAAATTCACATATACATTCAAAGAATATTACTCTATACCATTTATCTCAAGAGAACTAATCTTCAAAGCAAAAGAAATCAGCAACATGTTTTTAATTAAAATTTTAACTTCCTTCAAAAATGTCTTTTTGGCCGGGCACAGTGGCTCACACCTGTAATCCCAGCACTTTGGGAGGCCGAGGAGGGCGGATCACGAGGTCAGGAGATCAAGACCATCCTGGCTAACAGGGCGAAACCCCGTCTCTACTAAAAAATATACAAAAAAAATTATCTGGGCGTGGTGGCGGGCGTCTGTAGTCCCAGCTACTCGGGAGGCTGAGGCGGGATTATTGCGTGAATCCAGGAGGCAGAGCTTGCAGTGAGCGGAGATCGAGTCACTGCACTCCAGCCTGGGCAACTGAGCAAGATTCTGTCTCAAAAAAAAAAAAAAGTCTTTTTTATTTATCTGTTAAGAACAGATAAATCATTCATGAGGCATTCAAGTCAAAAAAGAATTTTTATTTTTTTGTTGGCAGATTTACTTAGTGGAAACAACATTTGTATTTAGCTTTAAAAGTAAATTAAGTGGAGGAAAATGAAGATTTTCATTAATAACCCTAATATTAATAGACAATGGTGGTACTGAGGAGAACATCTATCTCTTTCAGGCTTCATGAGGAAATGATGTTTTTCAGTGTCAACAAAGTACTCTCAACTGTGTGGTTTGCCCACCAAATATCATGTCTGTAATAATATACCGTACTTAGCCTACCACGTTTTAAAATGATTGGTTTCCAACTATCATGGCATAGAAGAGAATATATAGATAGTTGAAGAGTTAAAGAAATTATAGCATAAGAAGCATGCAAAAAGATAGAGTTATAGCATTATAATGACTGTCTTGAGATATTTCAAAACATTTATGAGGGGGAGTAAGTTAGCTTTTGATGAGGACTGTCACAGTCAGTGAAGCAGGTAACAGTATTATCCAACATCGAATCAGAGGTCAAGTGATTTTCTAAAAGTGTGACCTATACGGATATTGCCCTATGTCGGGGGTGGGGGTAGAAGAGTTGATCTCTTCTGAGCCCTCCACGTTTTAAGTTGTATGATTCAACATTGTACATACAAACCTTGTTTTAATTATACTCTATTTTTAAAAACTGCAGTTAGCTTTTGAGTTAGCTGGGTGTGTTGACCCAGGCCTATAGTCCCAGCTACTCTGGAGGATGAGGTGAAAGGATTGCTTGAGCCCAAGAGGTCGAGGATAGAGCCAGCCAGGATGGCACCCCTGCGTTCCAACCGGGCTGACAGAGAGAGACCTCTTCTCAAAAACAAACAAACAAAGGAACAGAAATTCACTTTTTTGTGTATTTTATTAAGAATTTTAACACCTCTGTTCAACAGGGACATCAGCCTGTAGTTTTCTTTTTGTGTTGTTTCCTTGTTTGGTTTTGGTATCAGGGCAATGCTGGCATGCTACAATAAGTTGGAAAAATTCCATTTTCTTTGCTTTTGGCATAGTTTGAGAAAAATTACTCTGAGTTTTTTTTTTTTTAATATTTGGTAGAATTCAGCAGTGACGATAACAGGTTTTGGGCTTTTTTGATGGGTGAATTTTATTACTGATTTAATCAACTTACTCATTATTTGTCTGTTTAGATTTCTATTTATTCCTAATTCAATCTTGGTATGTTGTATGTGTCCAAAAATTTGTCCATTTCTTCCAGGTATACCAATTTATTGGCAAACAATTGTTCCTTATAGTTTTTATGATCCTTTGTGTTTCTGTAGAACCAGATGTAATGTCTCCCTTTTCCTCTCTGATTTTATTTATTTGGATCGTCTCCCTTATTTTTCTTAGTCTAAGAAAATGTTTGTCAATTTTTTTTAAAATCTTTGCTTTACTGATTTTGTCATACTTACATTTAGTCTCTGCGTTGTTTGTTTCTGCTCTGATCTTTATTATTTCTTTTTCGACTTGTTTTTAGTAATGTTGTTCTTAAATTTTTAGCTCCTTAAGGTGCAATGTTTGGTTGTTTATTTGAGAGATTTATTCTTTTTGATAAGGCATTTATTGTTATAAAATTTCCTCTTAGAACTGGTTTTGCTGTATCTCATCTATTATAGTATGCTGTGCTTCCATTGTCATTTGTCTCAAAAACTTTCCAAATTTTTTTTAGTTCCTTCATTGAGCCATTGGTTTTAAATGTACATGTTGTTTAATTTCCAAGTGTTTGTAAAGTTTCCAAGTTTTATTCTGATGTTAATTGTTGTATACCATTATGATCAGAAAAGATTCTTGATATAATTACTATTTTTTTCAACCTGTTACAACTTGCTTTATGACCTAACTTATGATCTATTCTGGAGAATATTCTATGTGCAGTTAAGGAGAATGTGTTCTGCAGCAGTCGAATGAAGTATTCCGAAAATGTCTGTTAGATCTATTTGGTCTAGAATGTTCTTTAAGTCCAATGTCTTTTTGTTGATTTTCTGTGGGAATTATTTTTCCATTGCTGAAAGTGGGGAGTTGAAAACTCCTACTATCATTGTATTGCAATCTCTCTCTCTCTTTAGAGCTATTAATATTTACTCTCTCTCTCTCTCTCTCTCTCTATATATATATATATATAGGTGCTCTAATGTTGAGTATATATATATATATATATGTTTACAATTCCCATGGGTATATGCTGATTTGATGCCTTTATCATTATATAATGACTTTCATTGTTTCTTTTTCTGTTTTTAGTTAAAGTCCATTTTATCTCATTTACATATTTCTGCTCCTGCTCTTCTTTTCCAACAGCATGGAATATCTCTTTCTCTCCTTTTACTTTCAGACTATGAGTCCTTAGAGGTATCATGTGTCTCTTGTAGCAAGCATAGAGTTGAGTGTTTTCTTTTTAATCCACTAACCGACTCTATGTCTTTTAATTGAATAATTCAATCCATTGACATTCAAGGTAATTATTGATAGATAAAGATTAACTATTGCCATTTGGTAATTATATTCTAGTCATTTGGCAGATTTTTTTTCTTCCTTTCTTCTTCACTCTTTTGTGGTTAAATGATTTTTTTCTATCAGTGTTGTTTGACTCTTCTCTTTTTACTTGTAGTGCAATTATTATGGATTTGTGCTGTGGTTATTCTGAGGCCCACAAAATTCTTATATTTATAACAGCTTATTTTACCAGATAACAACTTGTGATTCACTTTTTAAAAGAAAAAAACAACTCTACATTTTTACTCTACCTTATCACACATTTTGAATTTTTGATGTTACAACTCACAACTTTTTAAATTGCATACTCTCTAACCAATTTTGTAGCTATTATTTTTAATTGTTTGCTATATTATAGCTTCATTTCTAAGTTCTAGGATATTCAGGGTGGTAATCTTGGCTCTCAGTGGTTGCTTTTAAGTTTCTGTAGGAGGGAGAGAAGCTGGAGAACTCCTACACTGCAGTTTTGCTGATGTTATTCTCTCCATGATTCTCTTATTTTAATGAACAGTATCTTAAACCACGGCAAGTATAGTAATGTAAAATAAAGAATAAACAGAAGAAGTCAATGAGAGAACATGTGTGGACTTGAGTTATATTCTTCCAACAAAACAGAAAATTTTATATATATATATATATATATACATATATATATATATATATATATATGAATGTATTGTACTAAAAATAAAAGATACCCCAAAACACAACTTTAAAAACATTTAAATATCAAGAATATGCTGAAACTTTTGTACTCAGTATGATCTATTGTGAGTTCTGAAAATCAGTATGCTACTCTAAACACATAAAAATACAGAGAGTGGAATGGGATCCAGACACACCGGTTTGTTTTCATACAACCTTATGTAATTAAGTTGGGTACTGGAAAGCAAAGGACAACAGAAAATTTTAGAGACATGGACCCTGAGAGTTACTCATTAATGATTCATCTGTATGTGGAAGAAACTCACCTATTTTCCAGTGTTTAATTTTAAAATTAGTGTTCTCATTTTAAGAAGAGTATGTGGGATAAGAGTATTTTGACCATTTGTGGGGGGGGGGAAAAAAACCTTGCCATGCCAAACAGCAGGATTTTCACGAGATGAGTGTGCCAGATGTTTATTTTCAACTTGAAATCAACCCAGTTCCTATCTTCATTTTCTTCTGCATTGCAGAAGATCAGCCTGAAACTACAGTTTCTGAAGTTCCTTTCTCCATAGCTTGCTTCTCCCTTAGATTCCCCCATGAGATGTACTTAAAGAAGACTTGGAAGAAGAGAAAGACAAGGGATTATCTGGTAGCAGCTGCTGGTAGCAGCTGAGATCACCAACAGTAGCTTTCTTTGATTCTGGACGTTTTGCTGAGAAACATCCACTGCAGCACCATAGATAATTAGTGAGGGCATCACTAAGACTCTTGAACATCAGAATTTTCTGGAAATAGCATTTTTGACCTTTGTTCCCTCAGTTCTTCCAATAGTTGCAGAAGCCTTTCGTTCCCTTTATGGAAACTCTCTTTACTCAAAAAATGAGAAATAAAGTAAATTAATGTTTTATGTTACTTTTGCATTCAGTCCATTACTGTGCCTAAATAAAATTGTACCAGTACATATCAGGCAATCAAATCCACAGATGATTGTGAAACCACTAACTGGAATTATTGAAGCATTTTGTAAAACTCTCTGAACTTTGATATTTACTAAATGACCTTAAAGCCCCTAGCTTCATGGTAGTGCACTTAAATTCAGAACCACACTTGGTAACTAATAATGAAAGATTTCAAACCCCAAACAGTGCAACTGAAACTTTTGTATTAGCATACTACTGAGAATATCTAACATGTTGTTACTAATCAATGTCATTCTGACCTTGTGGGTTTCCTGTGCTAATGGACAAGGTAAGTTAAAAGAGATCTAAACACTCAGCTTCCCTCTTAAATGTAACTTCATGTAATATCTAGCTTTGTATGTCTATAATTATTTTATGAATCAAAGAGGATTTATTCACTATGCTAGTAGAAGTGACATATTTTGTGAGAGTATAACAGAAATTAATTTTATAAAAAATTATCTCATTTTAACTTAAAGAAAAAATGAATAATGTTTTATTTGTTTTCTAAGTTCTACAGTGTAAAAGGCATTTAATATTGATTATGGAGATATGTGAATATACTCATGAAACTTTAAGTAGGAAACATGTCATTAGACAGATTCTAAGCTTAAAATGTTCAGAATTTTCCTATACGTAATACAAGGGGAACATTGGGAGTGACTGATGTTTTCATAATCTTACATATGGTGATTTTTATAGATTTATATATCAAAAAATCAAATAATACATTTTAAATTATGCAGTTTCTTATATTTCTATTATAGCTTAAGAAAGCTGCTAAAACTAATTAACATTAATATCAACTTACTACGTCAACAAAATTAGCAACATACATATATAATGAAAAAATAGAATATAAACTTACATTGGAAAGATAGTAAGTTTTGATTGGCATTTCTGAGTTCACTAGCAAATGTTCAATAAGTAAATATACAGAAAATACTTTTCATAGCGTTATGTCATTGTTCACTGATTTCTCCTAGATAGTCATATATTTTCTGTATTAATTATCTTTTTGAATGCAGGCCTTGCATATTAAAGAACTATATGGTAACATTAGCAGTGGAACCACATGGGTCAAAAATCATGGACAATCAAGGGTGTGTGTCCATTAATGAAGAATACAAATTTTGTAATTATCCAAAACTTCATATTTCAGCCAATGTAATGGAGGGTAATACTGGAAATCCCATTATCAATTTATGAGACTATCTTTTCCCTCAACCACTCTTCGCGAAGCTATGCCACTTTATTTGATTCTAGGGAAAGAGCTTTAAGTTTTATAGTATTATCTATCACATGATTTGCTAGTTTTATTTGTTGCGCAAAATCAAACTTGATCTGTGCCAAAATGGAAAAAAAAAGGAATTTCACCAGTTATTTCCTTTTTTAACTGAACTGTTACAGGTACATTTCTTCAAATAAAGACTAAATAGATTAAAGTAGAATGCAAAGAAGAAAATACTACTATTTTGAAATGACTGGAATTAGAGAAGCATATGCACTATATTTTCTTACTTACTTTCTTAAAAGCACTATAGAAAAGAATGATGACAAATTCTTTCTTATCTGATATTCCAGTGGAAAACTTGCCTCCTCCAATGAACTCTTTGTAAGAGTAAACTTGAGCAAAATGTCTTGTAAATTTGGGTTGCACCTATATTTCTCAAAGGAGAAAGTAACTCATTTAGTGGAATAACATCTTGGGTAGAGAGAAACATCTTTGTGAATTCAGTAGCATTGGCTCAACTGCATCCCGCCAAAATTCATTTGTTAAAGTCCAAATTCCCAATACCTGAGAATGTGACTGCATTTGGAGAAGGAGTGCTTAGCGATGTAATTAAGTTAAAGGTCAATGATTCAGGTGGGTCCTACTCCAATATAACTGGTGTCCATATAAGAAGAGAAAATAAGAACACACCGTATAGGGAAAGATCACGCAAGGCATAGAGAGAAAACAACCATTTACAAGGCAAAGGAGGAGGTCTCAGAAGCATCCAATCCTGTTGACAGCTATATCTCAAACTAGTAGCCTCCAGAACTGTGAGAAAATAAATTTCTATGAAATCAGTAGTACTTTGTTATGGTAGCTCTAGCAGATGAATACTATGATATTTACACAATGTATTAAAAGAATATTAATAATTAAAAATAACTTTTTACTTTTTACTCAAGGATATATATATATATATACCCACCAACACAGATTTTAGAGGGTATTCATCAGAATTGGGTAATTATATCTTGGGTGTATTGTCCTTGCTGATTTTTGTCTTGTTGAATACTTTGTGTTTACATATTATCTGTATTCATCTATATTCAGAATCTAGTAAATCGAATCAGCAAATATTTTTCATATGATTAATGAAGGATATACTTTGTGAGTTGCTTATGCTAAGAATTTTTTTTTAATGGTGGTTGATGTTTCAGTTCTGAACAATAAAATCAGCACACCAATTCTTTTGGAAGCCACGCTATTTGAAAGATAAACTTGACAGAAAATTTGTAATTGCAACCTATTATAATGTTCATTGAATTTGTATTGACCAATATTTCTTCCATCAACTCATAAGTTATTTACACTTATTTAAAAACAGGTTGTCAGGAAAATTATTTTTAATCATGAATATCCTTTCAGAATTGTATAAACTTTATATTCATCTACTAGAGTTGCCATAACAAAGTGTCAAGGGTGACAATTAGTAATGTAGAGTAGGGTTGCCTCTAAATTCCTTTTAAACTGATCATTTTCAGTACCCAATGCATTACAGTTAATTGCCATTGTACTTCTTTGGGACGCTCAAATTTATTTCAAGTTTAACTAAGAAGCTGGCTTCTGTGTATATTTCACGTGTCCCCATTACACTTTGGCATAACAAAAGGTCCCAGGATTTCCTTGACTTTTCCTACTACAGACCAAGTTCCAATAATTTCCCTATGAAATTCCAGTGCCTTTTAGTGGGAGAAACGATTTTCAGAAACAAACCTAAACTATGAAAAACTCACTACAGTTTCGAAATTATCACTGACTAAGAAAAGTAATTTTTGGTCGAGCCGGGGGGCTCCTGCCTTAATCCCAGCACTTTCGGGGGCCAAGGCGCGCGGATCACTTGAGGTCAGGAGTTGGAGACCAGCCCGGCCAACATGATGGAACGCTGTCTCTACTAACAATTCAAAAAATTAGCCGGAGTGGCGGCACACACCTGCAATCCCAGCTACTCAGGAGACTGAGGCAGGAGAATAACTTGAACCTGGGAGGCAGAGGTTGCAGTGAGCCGAGATGGTGCCACTGTACTCTAGCCTTGGTGACAGAACAAGACTGTTAAAAAAAAAAAAAAAAAAAAGAAAAGAAAGAAAAATTAAAATGATTTCCTTTAATATATGTCCCTTTCTTCTTCAGACTAAATAGCCTGCAATCATAAGAAAATGTAAGAGTATCTCAGGAGGTTACACAGTGCAGGGAGATTTAGATTTTCCAATATGGAGGAGACACTCAGCAGAAAACTGTGCATCCATGCTTGAGGGACTGGGTCAGAGAAGCTGTCATGCGTCACCCAACAAGCCTCTGGAGCCAGTTCTGTAACTAGCAAACACTTCCCACAAAGTAAAGATGTCACTTCTCTGAACTTAGTCTTCTCATCTGCACACTAAAGCTGTTGTGCCGCTAGCCTCCTTCCCGTTCTCTCTGATTTATGATGATTCAAACTTAAAGATTTTTCCTTAGTGATATTCTTAAGTTTTCCCAATAAATAGGCTGTAAATATTATTTTCTATCACTTGTTCCAGAATTATAGAAGAAACATAAATTATATGCTATTTAAATTATGGTATTGGTCAACATTCTATATGTCTACATACATATAGAATGTAAGAATATATATATATTTGAACATTCGTGTATGCACCTATTTTTTTATGTCAATAATATATCTCATCCGATACATGAATTCTAACTATGGTAAGAATGCATGCCATCGAATACAAACAAAATGCCACAAAACTCAAGAAAATGTTTTATTTCTGGAGATAATTGGTACATTTCTGATTTTTTTTAATGTTTAGAGTCATATTTCTTGTTTCTCTTTTCCAAAAAACAATTATTGGTAATGTGTGCACCCTGAACTGACAGCTTTAGCATAACTTGGTATAGTTCTAGATAAGCTCAGTTCAAATTAATGTTGATAAAACCTCCAGAATTGCTAAAGAGACCATACTACATTAGTAGAAGTAGAGAAAGTAGAATGAGGTTCTTCTTGTCCTGTTAGCTGATTTGGGATCCATTAAGGATTTTAAGTGTAGAAATAAAATGACCAGATGAAGGGTTATTAATTTATACCCAGGAAAACAGATTATACAGATGAGAGGTCAGGATCAGGAAACTAGTTATGGTTGCTGTAATTCCACAAGAAAATGTTTGAGAGAAGGTGATATCAAAATTTATCTCTAATATGATTTATTACAGTAAAAATTATTTATACTTTTTTGTTTGTTTTTTATTGCAAGTGAAACCTTGTGATTTTCCAGACATTAAACATGGAGGTCTATTTCATGAGAATATGCGTAGACCATACTTTCCAGTAGCTGTAGGAAAATATTACTCCTATTACTGTGATGAACATTTTGAGACTCCTTCAGGAAGTTACTGGGATTACATTCATTGCACACAAAATGGGTGGTCACCAGCAGTACCATGTCTCAGTAAGTAATCCTCTGAACTGCTACACATGTATAAAACTTTAAAAGATTAAAGAGAGGAGAGCACATAATTGATTACTCTTGTCTTATGTAACAGAAATAGGGCCAAGAAATGAGTTGTTCAAGCAAAATGACCAAAATAGATCTTTTCTATTATGAGGAGTTCTTGAAAATCATATGAAAAATAAATATAGAGACTTTATGAGAATATCTATATAGTTTATACATATTTTAATTATGAAAACTAAAGAGAAGTAATATTAAATATTGACATTTCCTCTTGTACAACCTTTGTTAGTAATTTTGGTTCATACTAAGTTGTACATTATTTTTGGATGTTTATGCGATCTTATTTAAATATGGTAACAATAATTTTAATATACTTTTTGTGCAAATTTATGTTTCTCATTTACTTTATTTATTTATCATTGCTATGTCCTTAGGAAAATGTTATTTTCCTTATTTGGAAAATGGATATAATCAAAATTATGGAAGAAAGTTTGTACAGGGTAACTCTACAGAAGTTGCCTGCCATCCTGGCTACGGTCTTCCAAAAGCGCAGACCACAGTTACATGTACGGAGAAAGGCTGGTCTCCTACTCCCAGATGCATCCGTGTCAGTAAGTACACCGCTCTGAGATCCCAGCATGTTCATGTCTTTCTAAGTAACACGGACGACAGTCTCAGACTTGTCTATATTAACTGTGGCAAAATGTTTTTGTCAACTTGTTTTGCCAACGGACCTATTTAGTTTTACTTTTTTAATTGTGTGAATATACAAATTTCTTGATAAGTACATAGCAAAATAAATGCTCCTATTAATGGGCATTAGTCAAGAATACAGTAAAAGAATTAGAACACAATACTTGTTGGCTAAATAAAGTCATATTGAAGCGGCATTAATGTCTCGGGTAAATACCCGAGGTTCGTCATCTTGCACCAAGAAGATTAAGTACAAATGGGTATTCTGGGATCTTGTACATATTCTACTCTAGAAGGTTTCCTACAGTATTTATTCAAATATACATTTATATAAACAGTTCCTTCTTTTTTCACATGTTGCTAATGATTGGTGATGTCACATTTTAATATTTACAAGTTGAGTGGCTATAAAATGGTATAGCATTGTAATGTAAATTTGCATTTCTTTTACTACCAGCTGGATTTAGAATACATGTTCACAGTTTAATTGGTATTTAATGATTCTAAAATTTGGAAATGCAGTTTGATTTCTTTTATTTATCTTTTTGGGAGTTTTGGTTGTTATTAGTTGGAATCATCTTAATAATTCTGAAGGTAAAATCTCTTTTAATTATATGTAATGCAAATGCATTCTCTTTGTGGCTAGTATTGTTCTTTCCTTTTTTCTGCATTATGAACAAGTTGCTCATTTTACTAAATAATTGTCAATCTTTTTTCATGATGAATGTTTTTTGGTTCTTTTTTTATATTTTATTATTATTATATTTTAAGTTTTAGGGTACATGTGCACAATGTGCAGGTTAGTTACATATGTATACATGTGCCATGCTGGTGTGCTGCACCCATTAACTCATCATTTAGCATTAGGTATATCTCCTAATACTATCCCTCCCCCCTCCCCCCACCCCACAACAGTCCCCAGAGTGTGATGTTCCCCTTCCTGTGTCCATGTGTTCTCGTTGTTCAGTTCCCACCTATGAGTGAGAACACGTGGTGTTTGGTGTTTTGTCCTTGTGATAGTTTACTGAGAATGGTGATTTCCAGTTTCATCCATGTCCCTACAAAGAACATGAACTCATCATTTTTTATGGCTGCATAGAATTCCATGGTGTATATGTGCCACATTTTCTTAATCCAGTCTATCATTGTTGGACATTTGGGTTGGTTCCAAGTCTTTGCTATTGTGAATAATGCCGCAATAAGCATACGTGTGCATGTGTCTTTATAGCAGCATGATTTATAGTCCTTTGGGTATATACCCATTAATGGGATGGCTGGGTCAAATGGTATTTCTAGTTCTAGATCCCTGAGGAATCACCACACTGTCTTCCACAATGGTTGAACTAGTTTACAGTCCCACCAATGGTGTAAAAGTGTTCCTATTTCTTCACATCCTCTCCAGCACCTGTTGTTTCCTGACTTTTTAATGATTGCCATTCTAACTGGTGTGAGATGGTATCTCATTGTGGTTTTGATTTGCATTTCTCTGATGGCCAGTGATGGTGAGCATTTTTTCATGTGTTTTTTGGCTGCGTAAATGTCTTCTTTTGAGAAGCATCTGTTCATGTCCTTTGCCCACTTTTTGATGGGGTTGTTTGTTTTTTTCTTGTAAATTTGTTTGAGTTCATTGTAGATTCTGGATATTAGCCCTTTGTCAGATGAGTAGGTTGCAAAAATTTTCTCCCATTTTGTAGGTTGCCTGTTCACTCTGATGGTAGTTTCTTTTGCTGTGCGGAAGCTCTTTAGTTTAATTAGATCCCATTTGTCAATTTTGGCTTTTGTTGCCATTGCTTTTGGTGTTTTAGACATGAAGTCCTTGCCCATGCCTATGTCCTGAATGGTAATGCCTAGGTTTTCTTTTAGGGTTTTTATGGTGTTAGGTCTATCATTTAAGTCTTTAATCCATCTTGAATTAATTTTTGTATAAGGTGTAAGGAAGGGATCCAGTTTCAGCTTTCTACATATGGCTAGCCTGTTTTCCCAGCAACATTTATTAAATAGGGAATCCTTTCCCCATTACTTGTTTTTCTCAGGTTTGTCAAAGATCAGATAGTTGTAGATATGCAGCGTTATTTCTGAGGGCTCTGTTCTGTTCCATTGATCTATATCTCTGTTTTGGTAGCAGTACCATGCTGTTTTGGTTACTGTAGCCTTGTAGTATAGTTTGAAGTCACGTAGTGTGATGCCTCCAGCTTTGTTCTTTTGGCTTAGGATTGACTTGGTGATGCGGGCTCTTTTTTGGTTCCATATGAACTTTAAAGTACTTTTTTCCACTTTGGTGAAGAAAGTCATTGGTAGCTTGATGGGGATGGCATTGAATCTATAAATTACCTTGGGCAGTATGGCCATTTTCATGATATTGATTCCTCCTACCCATGAGCATGGAATGTTCTTCCATTTGTTTGTATCCTCTTTTATTTCCTTGAGCAGTGGTTTGTGGTTCTCCTTGAAGAGGTCCTTCGCGTCCCTTGTAAGTTGGATTCCTAGGTATTTTATTCTCTTTGAAGCAATTGTGAATGGGAGTTCACTCATGATTTGGCTCTCTGTTTGTCTGTTATTGGTGTATAAGAATGCTTGTGATTTTTGTACATTGATTTTGTATCCTGAGACTTTGCTGAAGTTGCTAATCAGCTTTAGGAGATTTTGGGCTGAGACAATGGGGTTTTCTAGATATACAATCATGTCACCTGCAAACAAGGACAATTTGACTTCCTCTTTTCCTAATTGAATACCCTTTATTTCTTTCTCCTGAAGGAGATCCCTGGCCAGAACTTCCAACACTATGTTGAATAGGAGTGGTGAGAGAGGGCATCCCTGTCTTGTGCTGATTTTCAAAGGAATGCTTCCAGTTTTTGCCCATTCAGTATGATATTGGCTGTGGGTTTGTCATAGATAGTTCTTGTTATTTTGAGATATGTCCCATCAATATCTAATTTATTGAGAGTTTTTAGCATGAAGCGTTGTTGAATTTTGTCAAAGGCCTTTTCTGCATCTATTGAGATAATCATGTGGTTTTTGTCTTTGGTTCTGTCTATATGCTGGATTACATTTATTGATTTGCGTATATTGAACTAGCCTTGCATCCCCGGGATGAAGACCACTTGATCATGGTGGATAAGCTTTTTGATGTGCTGTTGGATTCGGTTTGCCAGTATTTTATTGAGGATTTTTGTATCAATATTAATCAAGGATATTGGTCTAAAATTATCTTTTTTGGTTGTGTCTCTGCCTGGCTTTGGTATCAGGATGATGCTGGCCTCATAAAATGAGTTAGGGAGGATTCCCTCTTTTTCTATTGATTGGAATAGTTTCAGAAGGAATGGTACCAGTTGCTCCTTGTACCTCTGGTAGAATTCGGCTGTGAATCCATCTGGTCCTGGACTCTTTTTGGTTGGTAAGCTATTGATTATTGCCACAATTTCAGAGCCTGTTATTGGTCTATTCAGAGATTCAACTTCTTCCTGGTTTAGTCTTGGGAGAGTGTATGTGTCAAGGAATTTATCCATTTCTTCTAGATTTTCTAGTTTATTTGCGCAGAGGTGTTTGTAGTATTCTCTGATGGTAGTTTGTATTTCTGTGGGATTGGTGGTGATATCCCCTTTATCATTTTTTATTGTGTCTATTTGATTCATCTCTCTTTTTTTCTTTATTACTCTTGCTAGCAGTCTATCGATTTTGTTGATCCTTTCAAAAAACCAGCTCCTGGATTCATTAATTTTTTGACAGGCTTTTTGTGCCTCTATTTCCTTCAGTTCTCCTCTGATTTTAGTTATTTCTTGCCTTCTGCTAGCTTTGAATGTGTTTGCTCTTGCTTTTCTAGTTCTTTTAATTGTGATGTTAGGGTGTCAATTTTGGATCTTTCCTGCTTTCTCTTGTGGGCATTTAGTGCTATAAATTTCCCTCTACACACTGCTTTGAATGTGTCCCATAGATTCTGGTATGTTGTGTCTTTGTTCTCGTTGGTTTCAAAGAACATCTTTATTTCTGCCTTCATTTCTTTATGTACCCAGTAGTCATTCAGGAGCAGTTTGTTCAGTTTCCATGTAGTTGAGCAGTTTTGAGTGAGTTTCTTAATCCTGAGTTCTAGTTTGATTGCACTGTGGTCTGAGAGACAGTTTGTTATAATTTCTGTTCTTTTACATTTGCTGAGGAGAGCTTTACTTCCAACTATGTGGTCAATTTTGGAATTGGTGTGGTGTGGTGCTGAAAAAAATGTATATTCTGTCGATTTGGGGTGGAGAGTTCTGTAAATGTCTATTAGGTCCGCTTGGTGCAGAGCTGAGTTCAATTCCTGGGTATCCTTGTTGACTTTCCATCTCGTTGATCTGTCTAATGTTGACAGTGGTGTGTTAAAGTCTCCCATTATTATTGTGTGGGAGTCTAAGTCTCTTTGTAGGTCACTCCAGACTTGCTTTATGAATCTGGGTGCTCCTGTATTGGGTGCATATATATCTAGGATAGTTAGCTCTTCTTGTTGAATTGATCCCTTTACCATTATGTAATGGCCTTCTTTGTCTCTTTTGATCTTTGTTGGTTTAAAGTTTGTTTCATCAGAGACTAGGATTGCAACCCCTGCCTTTTTTTGTTTTCCATTTGCTTGGTAGATCTTCCTCCATCCTTTTATTTTGAGCCTATGTGTGTCTCTGCACATGAGATGGGTTTCCTGAATACAGCACACTGATGGGTCTTGACTCTTTATCCAATTTGCCAGTCTGTGTCTTTTAATTGGAGCATTTAGTCCATTTACATTTAAAGTTAATATTGTTAAATGTGAATTTGATCCTGTCATTATGATGTTAGCTGGTTATTTTGCTTGTTAGTTGATGCAGTTTCTTCCTAGTCTCGATGGTCTTTACATTTTGGCATGATTTTGCAGTGGCTGGTACCAGTTGTTCCTTTCCATGTTTAGTGCTTCCTTCAGGAGCTCTTTTAGGGCAGGCCTGGTGGTGACAAAATCTCTCAGCATTTGCTTATCTGTAAAGGATTTTATTTCTCCTTCACTTATGAAGCTTAGTTTGGCTGGATATGAAATTCTGGGTTGAAAATTCTTCTCTTTAAGAATGTTGAATATTGGCCCCCACTCTCTTCTGGCTTGTAGAGTTTCTGCTGAGAGATCTGCTATTAGTCTGATGGGCTTCCCTTTGTGGGTAACCCGACCTTTCTCTCTGGCTGCCCTTAACATTTTTTCCTTCATTTCAACTTTGGTGAATCTGACAATTATGTGTCTTGGAGTTGCTCTTCTCTAGGAGTATCTTTGTGGCGTTCTCTGTATTTCCTGAATCTGAATGTTGGCCTGCCTTGCTAGATTGGGGAAGTTCTCCTGGATAATATCCTGCAGAGTGTTTTCCAACTTGGTTCCATTCTCCCCGTCACTTTCAGGTACACCAATCAGATGTAGATTTGGTCTTTTCACATAGTCCCATATTTCTTGGAGGTTTTGTTCATTTCTTTTTGGTCTTTTTTCTCTAAACTTCCCTTCTCGCTTCATTTCATTCATTTCATCTTCCATCACTGATACCCTTTCTTCCAGATGATCACATCGGCTCCTGAGGCTTCTGTATTCTTCACGTAGTTCTCGAGCCTTGGCTTTCAGCTCCACCAGCTCCTTTAAGCACTTCTCTGTATTGGTTATTCTACTTATACATTTGTCTAAATTTTTTTCAAATTTTTAACTTCTTTGCCTTTGGTTTGAATTTCCTCCTGTAGCTTGGAGTAGTTTGATTGTCTGAAGCCTTCTTTTCTCAACTCGTCAAAGTCATTCTCCGTCCAGCTTTGTTCCGTTGCTGGTGAGGAACTTTGTTCCTTTGGAGGAGGAGAGGTGCTCTGCTTTTAGAGTTTCCAGTTTTTCTGCTCTGTTTTTTCCCCATCTTTGTGGTTTTATCTACTTTTGGTCTTTGATGATGGTGATGTACAGATGGGTTTTTGGTGTGGATGTCCTTTCTGTTTGTTAGTTTTCCTTCTAACAGACAGGACCCTCAGCTGCAGGTCTGTTGGAGTTTGCTAGAGGTCCACTCTAGACCCTGTTTGCCTGGGTATCTGCAGCAGTGGCTGCAGAACAGCGGATTTTCATGAACCGCGAATGCTGCTGTATGATGGTTCCTCTGGAAGTTTTGTCTCAGAGGAGTACCCGGCCGTGTGAGGTGTCAGTCTGCCCCTACTGGGTGGTGCCTCCCAGTTAGGCTGCTCGGGGGTTGGGGTCAGCGACCAACTTGAGGAGGCAGTCTGCCCGTTCTCAGATCTCCAGCTGCGTGCTGGGAGAACCACTGCTCTCTTCAAAGCTGTCAGACAGGGACATTTAAGTCTGCAGAGGTTACTGCTGTCTTTTTGTTTGTCTGTGCCCTGCCCCCAGAGGTGGAGCCTACAGAGGCAGGCAGGCCTCCTTGAGCTGTGGTGGGCTCCACCCAGTTCGAGCTTCCTGGCTGCTTTGTTTACCTAAGCAAGCCTGGGCAATGGCAGGCCCCCCTCCCCCAGCCTCGCTGCCGCCTTGCAGTTTGATCTCAGACTGCTATGCTAGCAATCAGAGAGACTCCGTGGGCATAGGACCCTCTGAGCCAGGTGAGCGATATAATCTCCTGGTGTGCCGTTTTTTAAGCCCGTGGGAAAAGCGCAGTATTAGGGTGGGAGTGACCCGATTTTCCAGGTGCCGTGTGTCACCCCTTTCTTTGACTAGGAAAGGGAACTCCCTGACCCCTTGTGCCTCCCAAGTGAGGCAATGCCTTCCCCTGCTTTGGCTCACGCACGGTGCGCTGCACCCATTGTCCTGCACCCACTGTCTGGCACTCCCTAGTGAGATGAACCCAGAACCTCAGATGGAAATGCAGAAATCACCCGTCTTCTGCGTCGCTCACGCTGGGAGCTGTAGACCAGAGCTGTTCCGATTTGGCCATCTTGGCTGCCCTCTATGATATCTATTTTTTAGTTAGTGCTCTGTTGCTTTAAATTAAGGCTCATCTTCAGTTACAGCTGACTTTTACTTTTTAAGTAAAGGGGACTCTGAAAATTGTTTGTGTGTATTGTTTGCAATTTACAAAACATTCCATTATAGAAACCGCATAATAATTATGGAATAATTGAGACGAAAGATAATGGGAATCTTCCTACACCATTATAGGAGCAACTGTCCTCAACAATAGCCTAAGCCCCTGAAAGAAAAGTCCCTTTTTCTCCTGCCATAAGCACCAACTCTATCATTAATCCACCTAATAAATATTGTTGTGTGTCAAGCACTTTGTAGGTATTGAAAATAAAGCTGTTTACAATAGAAACTGAACATTGTAGTTTAGAGGCTGGAGGAGATTAATAGGAAAGTAGGCAAGAATAGATCAGAAAACTCATGATTATGACAAATGCTATATTATAAATATGCATCATCTTTAACATGATTTCTTTTTCTTTCAGATAGTAAAATTGGTCCATTTACATTTGTTTTTGAATTACTAATTAGAAAAGAACATATACATTACTAATATCTTAAAACATATGCGTTACTAAAATAATTACTACCTTGTACATATACCCATTAGTAATGTATAGAACACATACATTACTAATATATAAAGAACAAATACATTGCTAATATATTAGAACTTATTTTTGCTATCTTGCTTGCTTTCTTTTTTCTGCTTACATTTCCACATGCCTCTCAAACACCACGTCTATATGGGTTTAAGCACCCACTTAAGATGACAACCATTTTAAATTCTTGGAGACAAAGGATTTACAAAATTACTTTCTTGCCTATGGTAGCAGGGTGTACCGTATCTTTGCCTGGGAAATGGCATTTGACTTAATGAGGTTTAAGACCCCTTAATAGTACCAAAAATACTCAGGTTGTTGCAAAGTAGCCAGAAAGTCTTCCAAAATTTCATTAGGGACTGGAGAGTCTCCTAGATCTGCACTCCTCAAGGACTGCCAGAGCTCTGTTGACAGTCTCAAGGATTCTTTGCTTTCATTCTGCCCTTCCCTGTGTTCAACATTTCCTTCAGAAATTCGTGGTTTCCTTTAAGAACACGGATGTCTAGGAAACTTCCAGTTTTGCTGTTTTCAATTCATTAACAAATGTTTCATTGTTTCGCCATATTGCCATGTTTTTACTTGTTCCCTCCTATAAAAGAACTATTCAACTAATATTTACTTTTTTCTTGACTTTTTCTATTTTAGGAACATGCTCAAAATCAGATATAGAAATTGAAAATGGATTCATTTCCGAATCTTCCTCTATTTATATTTTAAATAAAGAAATACAATATAAATGTAAACCAGGATATGCAACAGCAGATGGAAATTCTTCAGGATCAATTACATGTTTGCAAAATGGATGGTCAGCACAACCAATTTGCATTAGTAAGTGATTTACATATTCCCATTCAGTTTCTGTCAACTTCGTTCCTCTCTTTGAGATGATAGTGTTTTACTTAAAAATATAGAAAACAATTTTAGGAGTAAAGAGATACAAATACTTCTAAAACCATTCAACATTCTGTGCCAAATTAAGTCTTTTGCATGTTTAGAGTAATGGCTACTTGGGAAGATGATCATTTCATCTCTTACAACTCAATCTGCCTTTACATAAAAGCAATCTTATCATGTACAGACTAGTTAGGGAGCTGCATGAGAGTATCAGCAAAATATGTTAGTTGCCAATAAAAACTTTGTTGTCTTCCCTTTCTTTGTATTTCAAAATTATCAGCTGCTTGTATTGCATTCCGTGCTCACGCTCAGAAAAGTTGTACATGTCGGGGGAGAAATGAGTGCTTAATTCTGAATTTCTGCTAGCGTCAGGAGAATCAGACCTTAATAATTTGTATCAATGATGCTACTGAGGATATCCAATCAAAAAATTATCTCTACCCTATTGTTTACTACAGAGAAAACAAGTAAAGGAAAAGGGTAAGTGGGTGGGCTGAATGTTTACAAACCTCATACTTGCCAATGGATTCTTTACATGTAAAGTTCTCTGAACGTGCTCGACCTTTACTTAGTATGATAAAGAGAATGCATAATGAACAAAGGAAATCTTTCAGTGGCAAAAGTTGATTTTTTTTCTTTCCTCTTTATATATTCACAAAGAGTTTTAAAGATAAATTGCTGAATGTATTTTTAACCCAAATACTGTTGTATAATTTACATACTCCCAAATCCACTTCATTTTCAAGGGTACAATTCAACTATTTTTAGTCATGAGATAATATGGAACCTTGATACATAATACAACATGGAAGACTCTCAAAAATATTAAGCTAAGAGAGAAAAAAGATACACTTACAAAGTGATTATCTCAATGTTATCATGAGTTTTGGGGGTTATATGAATTCCTACATTTCTAGAATACTGTTTTCAATTTCTATACTTATCAAGGGCTCTGTGTAAAGAAAAAGGTGTATACTTCAATTTTACTCAGCTTTGATAAATGATCTACTTTAAAACTTGTGAAATAAAAGACAGGATGCTTCATAAATTTTATAGAACTTATATCCAATTAATATAATTTTTATCTAATATATACACCCTTACTGTTAGTAAATCGTTACATAACTACATAAATGGTTACATTAACTTTTAAATTCACAAATTTAAAAGCGGTTTAAGCTCCGTGACACATTGGACTACGAATGCTACGATGGATATGAAATCAGTTATGGAAACACCACAGGTTCCATAGTGTGTGGTGAAGATGGGTAGTCCCATTTCCCAACATGTTATAGTAAGTATTTTATTCAAGTATTTTTTATTAGAATTAAATAAAATAATAAATAGACACCTACATATGTATATGTACACATATGTGTGTACATATATGTACATATATATGTAGTCCTCCTATGAGTGTGAATTATCTTGAGACTTAAAAAGAAAAAACAACGTTGAAAATGCAGATGTCTTCCTAAGAAATCAAATAAGATACAGTTAAGAGTATATAAAAAGCTTTATTTAGAAAGTTTCCAATAAGACTATTGATTTTTCCCCACATATAAAGTATTTTTTTTCAGATTCTTCAGAAAAGTGTGGGCCTCCTCCACCTATTAGCAATGGTGATACCACCTCCTTTCTACTAAAAGTGTATGTGCCACAGTCAAGAGTCGAGTACCAATGCCAGCCCTACTATGAACTTCAGGGTTCTAATTATGTAACATGTAGTAATGGAGAGTGGTCGGAACCACCAAGATGCATACGTAAGTTCTTAAAATTCTAGATCCTGAGAAAATCAGAGTAATAAGTTTGATATTTGCTTTTTTATACTAGAATTTTTATGGGTTATTACCCTAGAACTGTGTTCACAAACAGCTATTCTGCTGAATGTTTGCCTTTCAGATCTTAATATATAAGTGTATAAGCTTGGAAAATTCCATGTAAACAATGACCAAGTTTCTTTTTTAAAACAGGAATGTCGGCCTGGGGTGGTGGCTCACGCCTGTAGTCCCAGCACTTTGGAAGGCCGAGGCAGGCAGACCATGAGGTCAGGAGTTCGAGATCAGCCTGACCAACATGGTGAACCCCGTATCTACAAAAAATACAAAAATTAGCCAGGCATGCTGGCATATGCCTGTAATCCCAGCTACTCAGGAGGGTGAGGCAGGAGAATCATTTGAACCCGGGAGGCAGAGGTTGCAGTGAGTGGAGATTGCACCATTGCCCTCCAGCCTGGGCGACAGAGGGAGACCCCATCTCCAAAAATAAAAAAATAATAAATAAATAAATAAATAAATAAATAAATAAATAAATAAATAAAACAGAAGAAGAAGAAAAGAAAAAGAGAAAAAGAAAAAACCAAGAATGTTCAGAGTCTTCAATTTGTTAATGGATACAATGAGTCTTCAAGAATGACAACCATTTATTGCGCACATATGAAATATGGCATCTCAGCTTAACACCAGTAATCATTTTCACATTATTAACACTTAGGTAAAGAGTTTTCAAACAGTTCTGAAAACATTGTTTCAAAAAACCACAAACTATTAAACCCTACTTGAACACATGAAATTTTTCCTGATAGAACACATAGCTGGTTAACACTGAGAAGTTCTTTCTCTGATTATTATTCTTACTTATATTTTATCAGTATTCCTAGCAAGCAACAAAGAAATTAACGAAACTTCAGCCATTTCCATAACCCATTGCTTTTCCATTTTTACCTTATTCTCCTCTTCCCTTATACCAGAATCAAAATGAATACACTAAAAACCCCTCAAGCCAGTAATATAGGTATACTTCCAGAATTTTGTCCCCCAAGTACTATGAACTTGAAGCAACACAACTCAAAAAATATAAGCCACAATGATTATGGCAACAACAAGAAAACCTAAAAGAAAATTTGCCACAAGTTTCTACTAGCCTATGAGGTAGAGCCCTGGGACACCCATCAGTCCTTGAATGTCAGATAACCTATTCCTATCACAGCTCTTAAACTGTAAGTTCATGAGTTTTTCAAGTGCTCAAGTTCCTAAGTACAGGATGATACAAGCAGTTGTTTTCTGTGATGTGACTCATTTCCTTTATTTTGATGCTATGCTACCTTTTACCTTTCATATTGACTGATGACGCTGATATTTTGGCTGATCTTACAATGGGCTAAACCTTAATTATTGTCCCCTACTTAAGTATCCACTTCTGTAGATGATCATGTCCAAGTTTGAGCTCCAAACTATGCAAGTGGTAAGACTGAAGAAGAAATTAGTATCCTCAAATCAAAATAGTTTACAAGTATCTTCAAACTTGATTTCATAGAAAAGTGTTAGGTTTCAGAGATAAATTCTGAGTCTTAAATTTGATTGACTGAGGAGATGGACACTCCTAAGATGGGTTTCACAGCAAAAGCATTACCTCTTCTCACAATCAAGAACAGGAAAGGATTATAATTATCTGAAGATATAAGATCAGTTCTATGATACAAGCAAGACTTTCAGTCTTCAAAACTAAAGAAGCAAAGAGCATTCAAGCACAGAATTCTAGGGAAAAAGGCAACCTTATGGAAAAGATTACATATACATATGGCATATTAAAGCAATGAGGAAAATTTTCCCAGGCAGCAGGAAACTTTAGAAAGTTTTGGAAAATATGTTTGGAGAAGTATTTAGAGTTCAAACAATATTTATTTTTGAATTGTAAACAGCCCCTGAATGTATTGAAGAGCTCTTAAAATTTTTTGGATTTCAAAAGTGATATGTACTATGTTAAGAAATTTATTTAAGTAAGTACTTGAAAGATGTATTAAAATATGATTGGGGAAATTTCTAAAGAAATGCTAATGCTAATAAGGGCTAAACTAGAATGCAGAATACTTGAGTCAAAAGAAGAGATAGGTGAGTGAATGATATCATCAAAAGTGAAAAGCTTGCTATGTAAGAACTGACATTTTTATCATGTAAGTACTAGGCTTAATACCTGGGGTATGGGTTGATAGGTACAGCAAACCACCATGGCACACATTTACCTATGGAACAAACCTGCACATCCTGCACATGTACCCTGGAACTTAAAAAAAAAATTATAAATTTTTTTACAAAAGAATTTTATAAAAGAAAATCCATATGTGGAAGTAACATTATCTTACTGATTTTACAGATGAAGGCATAGTGAGACAGAGTAATTTGTCCATAATCATGTAGGGATTCATATTAACTCTGTGTGCTTATCCTTGCCTCTCTTTAAAATAGAAAATGAAGATGACAGGGATAGATGATGTTGATAGAGAGAGAGATAACTGATAGATATTGAGGTATATTTATGTATGTATGTATGTATGTATATATAGTTTCATTTTAACAGATGACTATTAGAAAGATTATACCTTTCTACAGTTCTGTTTCTACATTGTGGGCATAAGAGAAAAATATAAACATAGAATTAAATTAGCAAAATGTGAGTACATTTGGAGTGCTTGTAGTCACGGCTTGTCGAATGGGGGAAAGGAGGATAAGTAACCATGACTCCAATGGAACATGTTAGCATAATCCTTTTTGATATGAAGTCACTAGGGTGGACACAACATATTTTAGGAAAGAAGAGTTCAGGCTCTAGAGAAAGACTGCCAGGGTTCACGTTTATCACCTCACCTGATGATCTCTGCTGTGATGTTGGGGAAGTGCAACTGAACTTATTATATTTTTGAAATGCTAACGTCAGTATGTAGCACAAGTTAATAACTATTAACTATTTGGATTATTTTATAATTTTATTTTATCCTAAACTACTCATTAGGATGCATTTTATTTGCTCATGAAAGAGAAAATTATGATTGTTAATTGTTTTTTTCTGCTTTCAGATCCATGTATAATAACTGAAGAAAACATGAATAAAAATAACATAAAGTTAAAAGGAAGAAGTGACAGAAAATATTATGCAAAAACAGGGGATACCATTGAATTTATGTGTAAATTGGGATATAATGCAAATACATCAATTCTATCATTTCAAGCAGTGTGTCGGGAAGGGATAGTGGAATACCCCAGATGCGAATAAGGCAGCATTGTTACCCTAAATGTATGTCCAACTTCCACTTTTCCACTTCTCACTCTTATGGTCTCAAAGCTTGCAAAGATAGCTTCTGATATTGTTGTAATTTCTACTTTATTTCAAAGAAAATTAATATAATAGTTTCAATTTGCAACTTAATATATTCTCAAAAATATATTAAAACAAACTAAATTATTGCTTATGCTTGTACTAAAATAATAAAAACTACTCTTATATTGGACTTCTTATCAATGAATTAGTAAGTATAGAGACAGACAGCTGAATGGCTTTCTGCATATTGTATAGTATACCTAGACATAGAAACAAAATGACTTTAGATTTTATTTGGGGAAGTAATAATACCATAAAATTAGATATTAAAATTGTAAGTGAAGATAAACACACTATAGTATTCCCTTATTGTAGCCATGGTCCTCTAGATGCAGTTAACCAAATAGGGTCATTTTTATTAAAAGTAGTGTTTCCTGGCAAACACTGACATTACATCATTATCATGATTTAAAGGAAATAGTACTAGAGAAGGTGAATTATTATCATTTTCCTGTGAAAAAAGAAAAGAGGTTTTGCTAACCCTTTCAGAGCATTGGGAACACAGCCAGAAGTGCATTAAATGTATATATTAACTTGGGCAATGTTGACACTTTAGGATGCTGAAGCCAGGTGCAGTGGCACACGCCTGTAATCCTAGCACTTTGAGAGGCCAAGCTGGCAATCATCAGAGGTCAAAAGTTCAAGACCAGCCTGTTCAACACGGTGAAACCCTGTCTCTACTAAAAATAGAAAAACTAGCTCGGCATGATGGCGTGCACCTGTAGTCCCAGCTACTCAGGAGGCTGAGGTGGGAGAATCACTTTAACCAGTGGGGCAGAGGTTGAACTGAGCCAAGATAGTGCCACTGCACTCCAGCCTGGGCAATAGAGTGAGACTCTGTCTTAAAAATAAATAAATAGGATGCTGAAAATTCCTATTTAAGGAAATAATTCTTTTTCTGATTTATTTAAGGCTACATTTGTATTTTCTTAATACAAATATTTTGAAAGTTTCTTCATATATGGTTTTTTGCATTTCTTATTAAGTTTTGCTTCAGATTTTTTTTTGTCTTTTCTCCTGTTAATTGCCTTCACTCTCTTTCTGTTCTGTACTTTTCTTTGTATATAAGGATTTTTTGAAAAGATTGTATATCCCTGTTAACAAATTGAAATCTCTATTCACTTTAATAGATTTTTACCCCCAGTTAGCATATGGTTAGTGAGAAGTTGCAGGGTAAGAAGAAAACAATGTTCCCTTTCCCAACACTTTTCCTGATTATAGAGAAAAAAGCATGAACTTGTATAATGATCTAGTCCTGTACAGAATGAGAAATATTAATTGCTAGACTGAGAATGTTTTGGTGGCTAAAGCTAGGAATAACTTTTTAAGACTGAAGAATGATATAAGCTATCAAATCTAACTCAGTTTTCAAATAACAGGTTTGCAGAGACTGGAGAATAAAAAGTAAAAAATTGTTTTATTAATTCCAGTGACTAATTCTACTTCATCAACATACATCATAAATAAAATTTCAAAAATAATTGCTGATATGGTTTGGCTGTGTCCCACCCAATTTTCACCTTGAATTATATAATCACCATGCATCAAAGGTAGGGCCAGGTGGAGATAATGGAATCATGGGAGCAGTTTCCCCATACCCCACTCATGGTAGTAAATACATCTCATGAGATCTAATGGTTTTATAAATGAAAGTTCCCCTGGACAAGTTCTCTTGCCTGCCACCATGTAAGATGTACCTTTGCTACTCATTCACCTTCTGTCATGATGGTGAGGCCTTCCCAGCAATGTGGAACTGTGAGTCCATTAAACCTCTTTCCTTTATAAATTACCTAGTCTCAAGTATGTTTTTATTAGCAGTGTGAGAATCAACTAATACAGTAAATTGGTATTACACAGTAGAGTGGGGTGCTGCTGTAAAGATAACCAAAAATGTAGAGTGACTTTGGAACTGGGTAACAGACAGAGGTTGGAACAGTTTGGAGGACTCAGAAGAAGGCAGGAAGATGTGGGGAAGTTTGGAACTTCTTAGAGAGACTTGTTAAATGGCTTTGACCAAAATGCTGATAGTGATTTGGAAAATGCAATCTAGGCTGAGGTGGTCTCAGCTAGAGATGAGAAACTTGTTGGGAACAGGAGCAAGGTGATTGTCGCTATGTTATAGCTCAGAGACTGGTGGCATTTTGCCACTTCCCTAGAGATGTGGAACTTTGAACTTGAGAGATGATTTAAGGCATCTGGCGGAAAAAATTTCTGAGCAGCAAAGCATTCAAGAGATGACTTGGGTGCTGTTAAAAGCATTCAATTTTATATATTCACAAATATATGGTTTGGAATTGGAAATTATGTTAAAAGGGAAGCAGAGCATAAAAGTTCAGAAAATTTGCAGCCTGATGATTTGATAGAAAAGAAAAACCCATTTTCTGGGGAGCAATTTAAGCTGGCTGCAGAAATTTGCACAAGTAATGAGAAACCAAATGTTAATCACCAAGACAATGGGGAAAATGTCTCCAGGGCATGTCAGAGGTCTCCAGGGCATGTCAGAGGTCTTCAGGACAACCCCTCCCATCACAGGCCCAGAGGCCTAGGAGAAAAAAATGGTTTTGTGAGCAGGGCCCAGGACCATGCTGCTTTTTGCAGTTTCAGGAGTTGGTGCCCTGCATCCCAGCAGGGGCTAAAAGGGGCCAACATAGAGCTCAGACCATTGCTTTGGATGGTGCAAGCCCCAAGCCTTGGTAGCTTCCATGTGATGTTGAGATTTTGGTTCACAGAAGTCAAGAATTAAGGTTTGGGAACCTCTGCTTAGATTTCAAAGGATGTATGGAAATGCCTGGATGTCCAGCAAATGTTTGCTGCAGGGGTGGGGCCCTCATGGAGAACCTCTGCTATGGCAGTGCAGAAGGAAAATGTGGGGTGGGAGCCCCCACACAGAGTCCCCACTGGGGCACTGCTTAGTGGAGCTGTGAGAAGAGGCCCACTGTACTCCAGACCCCAGAATGGTAGTTCCACCGACAGTTAGCATCGTGCACCTGGAAAAGATGCAGACAATGCCATCCCATGGAAGCAGTCAGGAGGGAAGCTGTACCCTGCAAAGCCACAGGGGTGGAGTTGCCTAAGACCATGGGAACCCATCTGCTGCATCAGCGTGACCTGGATGTGAGACATGGAGTCAAATGAGATCATTTTTGAGCTTTAAGATTTGACTGCCCTGCTGGATTTTGTACTTGCATGAGACCTGTAGCCCCTTTGTTTTGGCCAATTTCTCCCATTTGGAACAGGTTTACTTACACATTGTCTGCACCATTGTCTGTACCATTGTATCTAGGAAATAACTAATTTGCTTTTGATTTTACAAAGGGACTTGCCTTGTCTCAGATGAGACTTGAGACTGTGGACTTTTGAGTTAATGCTGAAATGAGTTAAGACTTTGAGAGGCTTTTGGGAAGGCATAATTGGTTCTGAAATGCAAGGACATGATATTTGGGAGGGGCCAGGGTGGAATGATATAGTTTGACTCTGTGTCTCTGCTCAAATCTTACCCCATGTTAAGGGCAGGGCCATGTGGAGATAATTGAATCATGGGGACTATTTCCCCATATTGTTCTCATGGTAGTGAGTAAGTCTCACAAGGTCTGATGGTTTTATAAATGGGAGTTCCCCTGCACAAGCCCTCTTGCTTGTCACCATGTAAGATGTGACTTTGCTCCTCATTTACCTTCCACCATGATTGTGAGGCCTCCCCAGCCATGTGGAACTGTGAGTCAATTAAACCTCTTGTTTTAATAAATTACCTAGTCTCAGGTATGTCTTTATTAGCAGCATGAGAACAGACTAATATGATTGCCTTAGTTTCCTAAAATGGTACAAAAATAAATGGCAGGAAACCACAACTGTAGGAGCAACAAACAATATCATCAGGAAGAGGAAAATAAAATGTGATATAAAAGCATCAGTGGGGTTATTAAAGAGTAGAGTATGCACCTAGCAAAGTGAATTGGTGTGACAGATAAGAAATTTGGTGTAGTGGGTTTTAAAAGGGAAACCATAGAGGAATGATTACAGAGATTATTAATCTGGAGAATAAACCATAAAAATCTAAGTCTAGGGAAGAAACCAGTACAATTGCAATAAGTACAATCATCAAAATGTTCTTACATTCCTTTCTAAACAATTATTCCTAGTGTATAGCTTAATGTGGTTCCAGGCAAAGTGAGAGATAAAATCTCACAGAAACATTATCTAGCCAATTGTTTTTTAATTATAAGACTAATGAACAAATCTTACAAATCTTTAGGCAGGAAAATAAAAATGACTGAAAATGAAATCTTAGGGAAAATAGAATGGTTGTTATATTAAAATGTAAATATACTTGGTGTGATATTTATCAAGCAAAATAGCTGTTTATGGGCCAGACATAGTGGATCAACCTGTAATCCCAGCACTTTGGGATGCTGAGGTGAAAGGGTTGCTTGAGGTCAGGAGTTTGTGATCAGCCTGGGAGTCACAGCAAGATCCTGTGTATAAAAACAAAGAAAACTAATTAGCTGGGCTTGGTGGTGCATGCCTGTAGTCCCAGCTACTACAGGAGGATGAGGTGGGACAATTGTGCCACTGCACTCCAACCCAGCGACAGAGCCAGTCCCTGTCTCAAAACGAAAATAAAACAAACCCCCCCATTTATTAGTTCATTAATTTGTGCCTAGAAACCAATTGTTTTAACACATCCATTAAGAATCATTATATGCCAAGCCTTTTATCTAGATAGGAAGCACATTTTGAATTTGAAAATACTATTGCTTGATATGAAGTTAATTATAACTTCTTTGAAGATACAATGCAAACACAAAATTCAGAATACAAAAGTATGTAGACAGTATGTTGTTAACAATAAGGGAAGAAAATATAGCGGGGAGATTGGCAGGAAAAACAAGACATTTTGATTTTATCACTTTGAGGTTTCTTCTACTTTACAGTTATTTTATTTATTTATTTATTTTTAATTTTGTGGGTACACAGTAGGTATATATATTTATGGGGTGTATGAGGTATTTTGATACAGGCATGCAATGTGAGATAAGCACATCATGGAGAATAGGGTATCCATCCCCTCAAGCATTTATCCTTTGAGTTACAAACAACCCAATTACACTAAGTTATATTTAAGGTATACTATTAAATTATTGTTGACTATAGTAGCCTTATTGTGCTATCAATTAGTAGGTCTTATTCATTCTTCTAATTATTTATTTGTACCTATTGAAAATAGGTACCCACCTCCTCTCTGACACCCCCAACCACTGCCTCCCACCACTAGCCCCTTGCTACAGTAGCCCATTCATCTACTGTCTATGTCCATGAGTTCAATTGTTCTTATTTGTAGATCCCACAAATAAGTGAGAATATGTGAAGTTTGTCTTTCTGTGCCTGGCTTATTTCACTTAACATAATGATCTCCAGTTCCATCCATGTTGCTATAAGTAACTAGATCTTATTCTTTTTTATGGCAGAATACTACTCCATTGTATATACATACCATGTATATACATGGATTTTCTTGATCCATTCATCTGTTGATGGACACTTAGGCTGCTTACAAACCTTAGCTATTGTAAACAGTGCAGCAACAAACATAGGGATGCAGATGTCTCTTCCATATACTGATTTCCTTTCTTTTGGGTATATGCCCTGCAGTGGGATTGCTGGATCATATGGTAGCTCAATGTTTAGTTTTCTGAGGAACCTCCAAACTGTTCTCCATAGTGGTTATGCTAACTTGCATTCCCACCAACAGTGTACAAGTGTTCCCTTTTCTCCATATCCTCCCAAGCATTTATTACTGATTTTTGGATATAAGCCATATTAATTGGAGTTAGATGATATCACACTGTAGTTTCGATTTGCATTTCTCTGATAATCAATGATATTGAGTACCTTTTCATATGCTTGTTTGCCATTTATATGTCTTTGTTTGAGAAATGTCTATTCAAATCTTTTGCACGTTTTTAATTGGATTATTAGAATCTTTCCTATAGCGTTGTTTGAGCTCCTTATATATTGCGGTTATTCATGCCCTGTCAGATGGGTACTTCACGAATATTTTCTCCCGTTCTGTGGGTTGTCACTTCTCTTTGTTGTTTCTTTTACTGTGCAGAAGAAGATTTTTAACTTTATGTAATCCCATTGGTTCATTTGTGTTTAGGTTTCCTGTGCTTATGGGATATTGCCCCCAAAATTTTTGAACAGACCTATATCCTGGAGATTCTCTGCAATGTTTTCTTGTAGTAGTTTCATAGTTTGAGGTCTTAGATTTAAGTCTGTAATCTACGTTGATTTTTTTTTATATGGTGAGACATAGGGTCTAGTTACATTCTTCTGCATATGAACATCCTGTTTTCCCAGCACCATTTATTGAAAGACAGTCTTTTCCCCAGTGTACATTCTTGGCACTCTTGTCAGAAATGAGTTCACTGTAGGTGTGTGGATTTACTTCTGTGCTCTCTATTCTGTTCCATTGGTCTATGTGCCTGTTTTTATGCCACTATTATGCTGTTTTGATTACTATAGTTGTGTAGTATAATTTGAAGTCAGGTAATATGATTCCTCTAGTTTTGTTCTTATTGCTTAGGATAGCTTTGGCTATTCTGGGTCTTTTGTGGTTCCATATAAATTTTAGAATTGTTTTTTCCTACGTCTGTGAAGAATGTTATTGGTATTTTGACAGTGATTGCACTGAATCTGTAGATTGCTTTAGGTAGTATGGACATTTTAACAATGTTGATTCTTCCAATCCATAAACATAAAATATCTTTCCATCTTTTTGTATCCTTTTCAATTTCTTTCATCAGGCTTTTATAGTTTTCATTATAGAGCTCTTTAACTTCTTTATTTAATTCCTAGGTATTTAACTTTATTTGTGGCTACTGTAAATGGGACTACTTTCTTGATTTCTTTTTCACATTGTTCACTGTTGACGTATAGAAATGCTACTGATTTCTGTATGTTTATTTCATACCCAGCAAATTTACCAAATTTATCAGTTCTAATAGTTTTCTGGTTGAGTCTTTAGGTTTTTCCAAATATAAGATCATATCATCTGCAAACAAGGATAACTTGGTTTCTTTCTTCCCAACTTGGATGCCCTTTGTATTCTTCTCTTGCCTGATTGCTGTAGCTAGGACTTCGTGTATTATGTTGAATAACTATGTAACAGTGGGCATCCTTGTCATGTTCCAGTCCTTTGAGGAAAGGATTTCAGTTTTTCTCCATTCAGTATGATACTAACTGTGTATCTGTTGAATACAGCTTTTGTTACTTTGAGGTGTGTTCCTTCTATCCCCAGTATTTGAGGGTTTTCATCATGAAGGATATTGAATTTTATCGAATGCTTTTTCAGCATCAACTGAAATGATCGTATGGTTTTTATCCTTCATTCTGTTAATATGATGTATCACATTGATTGACTTGTGTATATTGCACCATCCTTGCATCCCACAGGTAAACCCCATTTGGTCATGATGAATGATCTTTCTAATGTATTGCTGAATTCAGTTTGCTAGTATTTTGTTGAGGATTTTTGTATCGATATTTATTAGAGATTTTAACCTGTAATTTTCTTTCTCTTTTTTGGGTGTGTCTTTGTCTAATTTTGGCATCAGGGTAATACTGGCCCCATATATTCCGCCAGCATCTGCCATACCTCAGTACCATATCAGAAAGAAGGAGCCTAGAGTATTATTCTGTTTCTCTGGGATGTTCTCTCACATACATGCATTCCCTCATCATTGGTCACACTTTTTGCCATTTTCTGTTTACTATCAATCTTAACCAAGCTTAGCATCTGTGGATGGAAGTCCATAGGTGAGCTATAATACCCACCCATAGAGTGCAGCAATAGCCCCTTGCATCAATAGCCTTTCCAGAACTTCCCTCTATGAACATTCCCAATAAGAAAAAGTACAGTTACAAATATAAAATATGGCAGGAGTATCTCTACCACTAGTCAGGGGGCAGCATCTAGGCAGTCTTAGTTTAGTGAGAGAAATAATCATTCCTCAGCCCGTTGTCCCTTTAGTAATGTACACTTAAATTCAGAGGACTTGAAGTAATGTTTTCAGCTGCAATGACTTCTTGTGGTAAAATCTACAGCTGTAATTCTAAATTGGTAAAAATGGATCTGGCAAAACAGAAACAGTTTACGGGGTTGGAAATATGTACGAGCTGACCATTCATGACATTTGCCATAATCCATGTGTCTGTACATCTGTAAGCATTGCCTTTGGGATAACCACTCAATTCTTTCAAACTTCCAGATATATTGCTTTCAATGTTATTTACCACGAATCTTGCCTTGTAATCTAGATTTTATTATCTACAAGGTGATTGCTTCACTCAAATTGGGACGTGCTGTCAGAAAAACAGACAGATTGCTTTGCACAAGGAGAAGAAGAATCACAGAGTTTAGACCATTTCAAAAAAGGAGCCAGAAGTTCTTTTGTGGATTATATCATTGGTCAAAAATGCTGGCTGCAAACTGCTTATGAATGTAACATACACCAAGAGCAACCACCAGTGGAGAGTTGCTGCATGTGTCATTTCCATATTATTAGTTTTTCTAAACTGTTCCATGCTAATTGGAATGTTTGTCTGATATTACCTATGAAATAATAGGCATTTTGAGTTTTAGATTTATTAACCACAATGGTGAGGGCTATCTTCATCAAAGCTCAGTAATGAACAAGGAATTGTCTTTTAATCCCCCTTTAAAAATTCACAAATAATAACCATACATATTTATGGGGTGCATAGTAATGTGTGTGTGTGTTTGTGTGTGTGTGTGTGTGTGTGTGAGTGTATATATATATATATACACACACATATATATACACACACATATATACACACACACATATATATACATATATATATACACATATATATATAATGTATAGTAATCAGAGTAATTAGCATCTCCATTATCTCAAACATTTATCATTTCTTTCTGTTGGGAACACTGAATATTCTCCTTCCAGCTATTTGGTACTATCTAGTATATTCTTGGTAACTGAAAAAAAATTACATCTAAGTGTTAACCTCAGGTATCTTGAAATGCCAACTCCTAACAGTCATAGCCTGGGAGTTCATGTTAGCCTTCTTGCAACTATGCATATCCACATAATTAATCAAAATCATTTGTGTTTTGGTGAGAATTAGCATCTGCAATGGTGAGTTTTATGTGTCAGCTTAGCTAGGCTATCAATCCAAGTTATTTAATCAAATATTAATCTAAGTGTTGCTGTGAACAAGGTATTTTATAGATGGAGTTAATAACATCTACAATAAGTTGCCTTTAAGTAAAGATTACCCTTGATAATATGGGCGGGTCACATTCAATCAATTGAAGCAGTAAGAGTCAAAACTTCGGCTTCCCAAAGAAGAAATTCTACCTTAAGACTGTAACATCAACTCTTCTCTGAGTTTCTACTCTATTAACCTGCCCTGTGAATTTTGGACTTGCTTATACTCACAAATCAAGTAAACCAATTGCATAAAACAAATCTCTATCTCATCTATCTATACACACCTCACACTATACATTCTGTTTCTCTGGAAAACACTAATACATCATCTTACCACTTCACATTTTTAAGCAATTAAAATCTCTCACTATCTTCCCAAGATTTGGTATTACTTAATATTCACTAGAGAGGCTGGTTTGACCGATTATAAAATTCCCATTTAACAAGAATAACTAAGACCAGGTGAAGAGAGCCCTTTTCCAAAATCTGACTATAAGTCGGTAATTGAATTCACTACCAAATTACAAACCATTTATTTCAAGGACTCTGTGGAAAGATTAATCTGGCAGGCACCGATACTTCTCTGTTTTGCAAAACAGACCACATATTTAATGTTATTTCTCTAGTATTGATGGTCATTTGGTCTTTAAATCCTGGCGCTTGGAAGGTAGGATCTGTTGATGAAGGGTCAGAGTGAAGGAGTGCCATGATTTAACCTGTATCTCCCCAAGTCTCCATCAAAACCTTTGTCACACATGAAGCCAATTATATTTGGTTCAGATATTTATCTCAATATTGCTGGGGTTGAATGTTCATTTGCTTTACTTTCCACCATGAGATGTTTTAATATCACCAAACTTGCTAGCAGCAACCAAGAAAATGTATTTCTAGTAATTTCTCCATCATTTTGTATCACATTCTAAATACATATATATATATATATATATATATATATATATATATATATATATATATAAAACAAACTCTTGAGTCAAAGTCATATACTCCAAACTACACTCCTACAATTCATTCCAGATAATCTTCCTCTGAGGATTTTCCCTTCAGACAAAGAGTGGATTGGTAACACCCTGGCAATAAACATTTGTCATACCCTTCATCCTATCCTCCTTAAATTTCATGGTGCCTTTGCCATATCATGAAGAAGGAAAGAAGCTCAGTGTCCACTTCTGATACCACTCTGCCACTCCTACACTGCTAAGCTAACAGCAGTGATCTTGCTTTCAGAACTAGCAATTCACATTTTTACCTATCATTATGTTAACTGCTGAAAATTATTTAACACAGCATTAATGTCAACAGCATAGTGAGAATTGTGACTCTTATGTGTAGTGTCTGATTATCCTAATCTTCACCTTGAATTCATATGTTTAAGGGAGATGACTCAATGAGTGTCTGTGACCTCTGAAGTTCTTCCATCTCCTTTCCTTTATTAGTTGATGAGCTCCCTCAGCTGCATCTTATGAAATCCAGTTATTTATTATACTTATTTTAGATGAACAACCTAAAAAATGTGATTTGAGCACTTAACTCAGATTCTTATTTATCTTCAATCTGGTGTACACCTAAAGATTCTCTTGCAAGAATTTTAACAAGGGTCAAATTATCAGTCTTCTATGAAATTACAGAAAATATCACAGACTTGTTTTTAAAACTTTTCTTAAAGAAACAGGCAGAAAACTGTCAAAAACATGGGTGAGCGCTACCGAGGTAGAGAAATAAAACATTACTCTTTCATTAGATACAATTAAACTTTGAAAACACATTTAAATATGATTTCTAAAATAGGTAAGACTTGGTTACATTTGATGACACCAATAAAGATGAACTAGGTAAGTAATCATAATGGAGTACATTCTTAAATGCAATTATTTTTATGACACATACGTACCTCAGAGTGGAGATAAATTAAAATATTAGTATGTAATGTATCATAGTTACTATGTTTTGCAGATTAAAGATGTCCACAAATAATTTGAAAATCCTCTGATTAAGTGACCTATTTCCCCATCATCTTGAACTTGTGCTAACCCATGACTTTTCTGACCAATAGGATATGGTATAAGTATCTCTATGCCAGTTACGGATGTAAGCTTTAAAAAAATAGCAGCTTCTGCCTTGGTGTCTTGTAGCTTCTAATCAGCATGAGAGAATTCTGGGTACCCTGTAGAGAGGCCCTGAGAGTGACAGGAGTCACCTAAACCCCAAATTTCACTTGTTGCTGGCAAAGCACCAAATATGTGACTGAAGACATATTGAACCCTCCACCGCAGAAGATTAACCAGATGAATAACAATGAATGTCTCCATTAATACACAGAAAATAAAAGATTTATCCATTTGATCCCCACCAAAATTCTATGCCCCATAGAATTGTGAGATGTCATTAAATGGTATATTAGAAAAGAAGAAATATCTCAAAACACTAACCTAAGTTCCAACTTAAGAAGGTAGGAAATCATGAATATTAGTGTATAAATCAATGAAGCAAGTGCAATATAGAAAAAACTGTTTTCTTAATCTTCTCAAAGAATGAATAAAACCAATCAAAGTTAGTTCTTTGAGAAGAATAAATGATATATTTCTAGCAAGAACAATGAAGAAAAAAAGAAGAAACAAATTACCTGTCATTTGGCATAGTATAGGGCATTGACTGACATGGTTCCAATAGTTGAAGGGTATACAATTATTTTAACTTCTGAAATGTCCAAAGTGTCAGGGTTTTGTCTGAAAAACACACCAAAAAAAAGAGAATACCCAAAAGAGTTCCATTATTAAATGGAAATTTTATATGAAGGAAAATTCTACAAGAAGGTACAGCAATGGCCTTGGTCATATTCATGAGCAAATACCTCCTCTTTTTCTGGGACTCACTCTAGAGACTGCTGAAGCTCTGTCTTAGGCTACTGAAGGAAAAGTTTAAAGGGATTCTCCATTAGAACACCTGCTGCCAGAGGCTAGATGATTATCCTGTCTTTCTGATGGCAGTTCATAAATGAATGGTTACTACTCTACCTGGAAAGTTGTGGCAGATCCTCATGGGTAAATATAAGACTAAAGGAATTCAATAGGGTAAACTTTAATGTGTTTTCTCGCTATTATGGAAGACATTGAGGACATAAAAGGCCAGATCACATGGGTTGATACCAATTCATGACCAGTGATTAATTAATGCAAAAATAGTTGATTCAAGTACTTGTTGCCCGAGATACTACCTTTATGGGAATTAAAAAGACAAATCAAACTGGGACAAGCTGATGCCCACCAAAATAAAAACTCTACCAGGATTGGAAAGCGACTGGAGTCAACAAATAGGTATTTCGGTTCATTACCTAGAAGTAACTACTTATATACATGAAAGGAATGGTCACAGAAGGACCTAAACCAACAGAAGCACCAGAAAAGGTATAAATTGTTTACCATAATGGTCCAGTTTCTTAGCAAGATAGGTAAGATTTAAAAATTCATTAGGACATATCCACTGGGGTGATGGCCCAGCATACAGCTAGTAAATAGATTATATTTGATGTTCGTTCTTAACACCAGGAAGATTTAAGCAAGCTTTGAAGGCCACTAAAACGTATTTGAGACTTGGTTTTTTTCATGGAAGTTAAATCTAACGTATGAAAATTAAATAATCTGAATTGTTTTTGCCCACCAAGTTATATTCTTCTGATCAAGGAAGCTATTTTACAGCACGTGATATACAACAATGGGCAAATAAACACCACATCGAATATATATATCATATCCTTTATCTTCTGCAGAGTAGTGGAAATATTTGAAATCATTAATTGAAATACCTGCCAAAAATAAAGACTGGGGCAGATAGGTCAGTAATAAAGGATGAAAGAGCTGGTTTACTTGTTTTCAAGTTGTGCATTAAAATTAAACATGAGATAATCATGTGGTTTTGTTTTTAGTTCTGGTTTCTGTGATGAATAACATTTATTGATTCATGTTTGTTGAGCCAACCTTGCACCACAGGAATAAAGCCTACTTGATTGTGGTGTATTAGCGTTTTGATATGCTGCCAGATTCAGTTTGATCAGATTTTGTTGACTATTTTTGCATCTATGTTCATCAAGGATATTGACCAGAAGTTTTCCTTTTCAGCTGTGTCTCTGCCAGGTTTTGGCATTAGGTGATGCTGGCCTCATAGAATGATTTAGGAAGGAGTCCCTCCTCCTCAATTTTTTGGAATAGTTTCAGTAGGAATGATACCAGCTCTTCCTTTCATATCTGGTAGAATTTGCCTGTGAATCCGTCTGGTCCTGGGCTTTTGCTGGTTGGTAGGCTTTTAATTACTGATTCAATTTTGGAACTCATTTTTGCTTGGCTTGGAGATTGAATCTAAATGTCCATCAACGGTAGATTGGATTTTTAAGATGTGGTACACATTTACCATGGAATACTGTGCAGCCGTAAAATATAGTGAGATAATGTCCTTTGCACGAACAGAGATGGAGCTGGAGGCCGTTATCTAAGCAAACTAACACAGGAACAGAAAACCAAATACCGTATGTTGTCACTTATAAGTGAAAGCTAAACACTGAGTACATATGGATACCAAGAAGAGAACAACAGATACTTGAGGGTGGAGGATGGGAGGAGAGTGAAGATTTAACAAGCCACCTTTTGAGTACTATGCTTATTACCTAAGTGACAAAATAATTTGCACACCAAACCCCTCTGACATGCCATTTACCTATGTAGCAAACCTGCACATGTGCTCCTGAATCTAAAATAAAAGTAAAACATAAAATTAAAATAAAAAGTTAAACATGGGAGAAACCAAAGATGATTTACTATTAGATAAATTTCCTAGATAGAGTGGTAGAAGTAAGAACGATTTGGGGATGAAACCGGCACTTATCTACAAGTCTTTTCAAACACAGCACAATTTTCTTCTTTTCTGCCTTACCCCATAATTTCTGAGTCCAGTTTAAAATGAACAGTTCTTGACACATCACTCATATTTAAACAGGAGTTACTGTCTATAGTTTTTAATTTAAATGAATTCAGAAGGGATTGGTGGGCCAGATGAAGGACTGGCAAATGACAGTCATGGGGAACTGTGGCCTGCTGCCTATTTTTGTAGGGCTCTGACTACAATGGTTTTTACATTTTGACATCTTTTTAAAATTAAAGTAAGAAAAATCATTTGATAATTAAAATATTCATAAAATTTATATGAAATTTACATATTTGTGTCCATAAAGTTTTATTGGAACACAACCATGTTCACTAGTTTACGTATTCCCCATGTTACACTATCAGGGCCAACAGAGTAGTTGCAACAGAGATCACAGAAGCTAGAATGTCCCGTCCTCTCACCTGGCCTAACCGGGCCTTCAGGTGGAAATGCTTTGTTACCAAGTAGAGGTAACAGGCCAGTAAGTTTGTACATTTCTAATCCTATCCCATGTGAATGAAAATAAACCAAGAAAGAAGCCTTAGCAAGATTGTTATTTCCAGTGAATAGGTTAACTCCATGGTCAAACCTGATATTTCTTTTTGGAGAGGAAAGTTTGGGTTAAAATAAGTGATAGATAAAAAGAAGGTGACATAATTGCCTAAATAAGAGATCTAACAAATATACTATTTAAAGGGAAAAATCAAACATAACTTTGCTTCTAGAGAGTCTTACAGCAAAAAAATAATTTTCTCTCTTACCTTTTAGTCTGATGTCTGTTACAGTGAAATACCTTGTCTCACAAAGACCCTACTGAGAGGCGACAGTGTGCTGGCAGCCCTCGCAGCCTTCACTCGCTTTTGGTGCCTCCTCGGCCTCGGCACCCACTCTGGCCGCTATTGAGGAGCCCTTCAGCCCACTGCACTGTGGGAGCCCCTTTCTGGGCTGGCTGAGGCCAGAGCTGGCTCCCTCAGCTTGCGGGGAGGTGTGGAGTGAGAGGCCCGGAGGGAGAGACATGGGCAGGAACCCGGGCTGCCCACAGAGCTTGTGGGCCAGGAGGACTTCCAGGTGGGTGTGGGATCTGCAGGCCCACACTTGGAATGGCCGGCCAGCACAGCCAGCCCGGGCAGTGAGGGGCTTAGCACCCAGGCCAGCAGCTGCAGAGGGTGATCCGGGTCCCCCAGCAGTGCCAGCAGGCCAGCGCAGAGCTCGAACTCTCACCAGGCCTCAGCTGCCTCCCTGTGGGGCAGGGCTTGGGACCTGCAGCCAGCCATGCCTGAGCCACCCCGCTGCCATGGGCTCCTGTGCAGCCAGAGCCTCCCTGACGAGCACTGCCCGCTGCTCCGCAGCGCCCGTTCCCATTAACCGCCCAAGGGCTGAGGAGTGCGGGTGCAGGGTGCAGGACTGGCAGGCAGCTCTGCCTGCAGCCAGCTGTGGGATCCACTAGGTGAAGCCAGCTGGGCTCCTGAGTCTAGTGGGGACTTGGCGAACCTTTATGTCTGGCTAAGGGATTGTAGATACACCAATCAGCACTGTGTGTCCAGCTCAAGGTTTGTAAATGCACCAAGCAGCACTCTGTGTCTGGCTCCAGGTTTGTGAATGCACCAATCAGCACTCTGTATGTGGCTAATCTGGTGGGGACTTGGAGAACCTTTATGTCTAGCTAAGGGATTGTAAATAAACCAATCAGCACTCTGTGTCTAGCTCAAGGTAAACGCACCAATCAGCACCCTGTCAAAACAGACCAATCAGCTCTCTGTAAAACAGACCAATCAGCTTTCTGTAAAATGGACCAATCAGCAGGATGTGCGTGGGGCCAGATAAGGGATAAACGCAGGCTGCCCCAGCCAGCAGTGGCAACCCTCGGGGGTCCAGTTCTACACTGTTCTTTCCCTCTTTGCAATAAATCTTGCTGCTGCTCACTCTTTGGTTCCACACTGCATTTATGAGCTGTAACACTCACTGCAGAGGTCTGCAGCTTCACTCTTGAGGCCAGCCAGTGAGACCACGAACCCACTAAGAGGAACGAACAACTCCAGATGGGAGGAACGAACAACTCCAGATGGGAGGAACGAACAACACCAGACATCCCACCTTAAGAGCTGTGACACTCACTGAAGGTCTGCAGCTTCACTCCTGAAGCCAGTGAGACCACGAACCCACCAGAAGGAAGAAGCTCCAAACGTGTGAACATCAGAAGGAACAAACTCCAGATGCATCACCTTTAAGAACTGTAACACTCACCGCGAGGGTCCGCGGCTTCATTCTTGAAGTCAGTGAGACCAAGAACCCACTAATTCCAGACACACTACCATTACTAAAACAAAATGCCATGGATCTGGGAAGCAGCAGGCTTGAGCAACATCATTACTGGAGTGATGTATAGCATATGCTTCAGTGAAACAAAGGAAATTCAGGTTTCTCACACACACACATGCTGATGTGGTTTGTATCTGTAGAAAAAATGCATCCTGTATGACCCAGTGGTGGTAGGACAAAGAAGTCTGCGTGTGAGTTCTATGGATGGATCCCTCAACGAACAACCCTCTCCTACTGCTGCTGTGCCCTTTGCCTGTGATACAGCCTTTTTGTGAGCATAAGTTGTTTGAGTCCTGTGAATTCCTTCAGCAATCCAACACCAACATTCTTACCACCTGGTAAGACTAAACAACTTAATATATATAAAAGCAAATAAAATACTTCTACATGAAAACTATCCCAATAAATGTCTATGTCTTTCATTAAATACTGCTTCAGTCATTAAATAATGTATATTTGTAGGAGTACATCTGCATCTCTGAGTTTCATCTGCAAAATGGAGATGACATTTTTGAAATCAGAATTTAATTCACAAATGTATGTAAATAGGTTTTAGTATACTGGGCATTTAACAATACTTATAACCATATAGTAAGTATTCAATAAATCGAAGCTACTGTTATCATTTATATTATTCAAAGGAAAACAGAGTTGGTCAGTAGAAACCTACTTTTTCTTTTTGCATCAGCCTATGTAACAAGAAATTTTTTCTCCTGCAACTTGATCACACAGGTCAGCAGCAGTGAGTTAAAGGCAGCTTATAGATATAACAGATACAAAATCCCACATATAAAAACTATAACAATATAATAAGCACATTAATAGAAAAAGATGAAAGACACTACAAGAATTTAGACAAAAAATAAACACCCTCTTGGAGGCCAGGAAATAGATCTGAAAGGAGATGATATTTCATGTGAGGTTCAAACTTGCATATAATTTTGGTAGGTAGATGCGGAGAAAATCAATACTTAGGAGAAACAGAATGTGAAAGACCAACAACAAGATAAAGAAAAAACATAATTGGGAAGTTTCAAAAAGTTAGCATGACTAAAACTCAGGGTATTCACTGTGATGAGTGATGTGAGGTATGGAATCAGAAAAGATTTTAAGATTTTATAGACCTGACAAGAAGACTGAACTTTACTCAGAGAGTGATCAGGGAGCCATGGATGGATTTTAAGCAAGTGAGATGCATAGACAGACGGACCACGGTTTCATGAGCGTGGAGACTGAATTACAGTCAGGAAGTCAGGAGTTAACAATATAGAATGTTCAGATAGGAGCAGCACTATTTGAGACATCAGTTTCTACCGTGTGTGATTTGTAATATCCAGTACAATATCTATGCAAAATGAATTTGACATTTATTGAGACATAAGAAATACTTTTTTTAAGTATCAGGTTTCTTACTTCATAAAGGTGAAATACTAAAATATTTGAGAATACAAAAATGGGCATTTGTAGCCCCAATAAACATCAAATTCAAGAAGAAAATTAATTGGAAATTCCATGCAAATCATGTACAATAAAAAATTATAATATTAAAAACTGATTCAATTTACTGAGAAAATCAGTGATGTTCCAGTAGAAAGGTACAGGCATAAATAATTCATACAGTTAAAGCAAAATAGTAAACAAGTAAATGGAAAGTGTTCAAAAAATGTAAATACTTTTGTAAAAAACAGTAGAATGTTTTATTATAAAATTAGTAAGATTAAATATTTAAGCCTATACAGTTATGGTAGAAACAGTTTACATATACATAGTTTGAGTCAGCATAAACAGATATGTATAGGTTTATAAACAACATGCTAGGGTTTAACCAGAACCTAAAAAAATGCACCAATATTTTGTCTTTTCCTTCCCACTACTCAAAATTTACGTAAATAACTTTTTAAAATATTATTTACAAACAATTTTTCTGCAACTTCACTATAACCAGAAAAACTGAGAGCACTCTTATTACCCAAAAAGAAATATTAAATTATATGACAGGAGTTGTAAATACTTAAGCTTACATTAAAATAAAATCATATTAATGGTTTTAAATATAACATGAAATGTAAAATCTCTATACTGTTCTTAAATGATTTTAAAACTATCCACAAATATGCAAGAAAATAGAAAATCCTTGAGAGTGGTTGACAGACAAACAAGAAAGATACTGAAGTGTAAAGCTTGACTGTTTTGGGAACAAAAAGTTATCCTGATTGAGTTGAAAAAAGGCTGAAGAAGGAAATGAAGGTGTTTTCCATTAGCAACCATTCATAAATTACTTTCAGGGCACCAAACATGATATAAAACATCTGAGAGCATTTTTAGTAAACTTGCACAATTCTGCTATGAGACATATTTTTCTAAAATGGTTTGGTCTTGAGCATCAGTAGGAAGAATATGTCCTGTAAGTAAAGGATGGGATGTATAGGAAGGACTTTATGGAGTACAGCTGGAGAATGCTGGAGCTCTTAGCAACGGAGGAAGCTATGGATTAGGTAAACTCTTGCATGATCAGCTTACATGATCCCTGGAGGAAAATAGCATGAGTAGGACATCACAACCTGTTCTCATTTCTTTGCTCAGTTAGTAGGTAAAAGTCAAGTCATTATCCATTAAAACTTATCAACTGATGGAACACAATGGGCACCGAAAACAGAGAACACAAAACAAATAAAAAAGATGAAAATAAAATGTGTTGAAGTTTGTAAAATTATACAGGATTTTAGAAATAAATTAATGTTTGTACTTTATATGTGCATAAATAAATCAATTAAAAGTTTTTCAGTTTTTTTTGAGACAGGGTCTCACTCTGTGCTGATGTCAATTCCCTGGTCTCAGTTATTGTACTTGATAATACATGGGAGGGCATAATCTACTGAAATTACTTAAAATAAGAAACAGAAAAACAAAAGGAAAATCTAAGTTTCCAAATTAGAAGAATGGAAGAAATATTCAGCAAAAAAATTGGAAAATAATTGTTGAGTACTGCTTCAAAAAAGAATAGACAAGAGAAGATACTGTTAATTCAACTAAAAATTGGCACTAGCTCTGTGAAAATTAACTCTGTGCTCATAAATAAATGATAACATCCCCTAGATTCAGACAAGCCAGTATTTAAATGTCAGAGAGTTTAGAAGAAGCCATCAAAACATTGACATGGTGAAGCCTTTCAGACAGAAGAGAAACCAGGAGAATGTGTTGTTCCATAGACCATGTGAAGCAGGTATTTCAAAATGGAAGGATGGGAAACTCATGTGAATTTTTGCTGATTATTCAGTTTCAACCAATGGATTTGATTACAAAGAAGATATTGATGACTGTTACAAGAGAGGTTTAAGTGTAGTGGTGGGAATGAAAAAATGAAATGAGGCAGAAATTGTAGCTAATACATTGGAGTCATTGTATTATAAAATGAGAAGAGAATTGGGAGCTTACTAGAAAGAGATTTGGTTCCACAAAGGATTTTTTGAGCTTTTTTTGTTGTTGTTGCTCTTTAAGATGGAAGATGTTTGGTATTTTCGCATATTGGCAGAAATAATTTGAAAAATGGAGAAATTAATGATAACAGTTGAGAGGGAATAATTGAAAGAGCAAAATCCTTGCATAGAAAAGAGGGGATCAAATCTGGTAGAGACCATAACAGGATAGGAGTAAGGATCAACATCCAGTGAAACAGGAGACAATGCAAAAAAGGATGTGTGTGAACAGCAGGTAGTTTTCTTCTGATTGCTTCTATATCTAGATGAAAAAAATAAATAAAGTCATTAGCAAAGTACAAGGTGAGGACTGATGGTTAAGGAGGGAGATAATAAAACAGAGGAGGAGAAAGGAAGTGTCAAAATCATTTAGGCCTATGATCATTAATTTAAAGCAAGGCAAGTCAGCACCGTTGCATTTGGTTTTTTTTTTCAACTCTTCATAATGTAAACCTTTATTTATTTATTTATCTTTATTATTATGCTTTAAGTTCTAGGGTACATGTGCACAATGTGCAAGTTTGCTACATAGGTATAAATGTGCCATGTTGGTTTGCTGCACCCATCAACTCGTCATTTACATTAGGTATTTATCCTAATGCTATCACTCCCCCTGCCCCCCACCCCATGATAGGCCCTGGTGTGTGATGTCCCCCGCCCTGTGTCTAAGTGTTCTCATTGTTCAATTCCCACCTATGAATGAGAACATGCGGTGTTTGGTTTTCTGTCCTTGTGATAGTTTGCTGGGAATGATGGTTTCCAGTTTCATCCATGTCCCTTCAAAGGACATGAACTCATCCTTTTTATGGCTGCATAGTATTCCATGGTGTATATGTGCCACAGTTTCTTAATCCAGTCTACCACTGATGGACATTTGGGCTAGTTCCAAGCCTTTGCAATTGAGAATAGTGCCATGATAAACATACGTGTGCATGTGTCTTTATAGTAGCATGATTTATAATCCTTTGGGTATATATACCCAGTAATGGGATGGCTGGGTCAAATGGTATTTCTAGTTCTAGATCCTTGAGGAATTGCCACACTGTCTTCCACAATGGTTGAACTAATTTACACTCCTAGCAACAGTGTAAAAGTGTTCCTATTTGTCCACATCCTCTCCAGCATTTGGTGTTTCCTGACTTATTAATGGTCGCCATTCTAAATGGTGTGAGATGGTATCTCATTGCCATTTTGATTTGCATTTCTCTGATGACCAGTGATGATGAGCATTTTTTCATGTGTCTGTTGGCTGAATAAATATCTTCTTTTGAGAAGAGTCTGTTCTTATCCTTTGCCCACTTTTTGATGGGTTTGTTTTTTTCTTCTAAATTTGTTAAGTTCTTTGTAGATTCTGGCTATCAGCCGTTTATCAGATGGGTAGATTGCAAAAATTTTCTCCCATTCTGTAGGTTGCCCGTTCACCCTGATGGTAGTTTCTTTTGCTGTGCACAAGTTCTTCAGTGTAATTAGATCCCATTTGTCTATTTTGGCTTTTGTTGCCATTGCTTTTGGTGTTTTAGTGATGAAGTCCTTGCCCGTGCCTATGTCCTGAATGGTATGGCTTAGGTTTTCTTTTTGGGTTTTTATGGTTTTGGGTCTAACATTTAAGTCTTTAATCCATCTTGAATTAATTTTTGTATAAGGTGTAAGGAAGGGATCCAGTTTCAGCTTTCTATATATGGCTAGCCAGTTTTCCCAACACCATTTAAGAAATAGGAAATCCTTTCTCCATTTCTTGTTTTTCTCAGGTTTGTCAAAGATCAGATGGTTGTAGATGTGTGGTGTTATTTCTGAGGCCTCTGTTCTGGTCCATTGGTCTATATCTCTGTTTTGGTACCGGTACCATGCTGTACCATGCTGTTTTGGTTACTGTAGCATAGTTTGAAGTCAGGTAGCTTGAAGCCTCCAGCTTTGTTCTTTTTGCTTAGGATTGCTTTGGTAATGAGGGCTCTTTTTTGGTTCCATATGAACTTTAAAGTAGTTTAGTCCAATTCTGTGAAGAAAGACATTAGTAGCTTGATGGGAATGGCATTGAATCTATAAATCACCTTGGGCAGTATGGCCATTTTCACAATATTGATTCTTCCTATCCATGAGCATGAAATGTTCTTCCATTTGTTTGTGTCCTTTTTTATTTCGTTGAGCAGTGGATCATAGTTCTCCATGAAGAGGTCCGTCCTTCACATCCCTTGTAAGTTGGATTCCTAGGTATTTTATTCTCCTTGTAGCAATTGTGAGTGAGAGTTCACTCATGATTTGACTTTCTGCTTGTCTGTTATTGGTGTGTAGGAAAGCTTGTGATTTTTGCACATTGACTTTGTATCCTGAGACTTTGCTGAAGTTGCTTACCAGCCTAAGGAGATTTTGGGCTGAGACGATGGGGTTTTCTAAATACACAATCATGTCATCTGCAAACAGAGACAATTTGACTTCCTCTTTTCCTAATTGAATACCCTTTATTTCTTTCTCTTGACGGAAATCCCCGGCCAGAACTTCCAAAACTATGTTGAATAGGAGTGGTGAGAGAGGACATCCCTGTCGTGTGTCAGTTTTCAAAGGGAATGCTTCCAGTTTTTGCCCATTTAGAATGATATTCGCTGAGGGTTTGTCATAAATAGCTCTTATTATTTTGAGATGCATTCCATCAATACCTAGTTCCCCGAGAGTTTTTAGCATGAAGGGCTGTTGAATTTTGTTGAAGGCCTTTTCTGCATCTATCGAGATAATCATGTGGTTTTTGTCTTTGGTTCTGTTTATGTGGTGGAGTATGTGTATTGATTTGCATATGTTTAACCAGCCTTGCATCCTAGAGATGAGGCCGACTTGATCGTGGTGGATAAGCTTTTTGATGTGCTGCTGGATTCCGTTTGCCAGTATTTTATTGAGGATTTTCGCATCAATGTTCATCAGGGATATTGGTCTAAAATTCTATTTTTTTGTTGTGTCTCTGCCAGGTTTTGGTGTCAGGATGATGTTGGCCTCATAAAATGAGTTAGGGAGGAGTCCCGCTTTTTGTATTGATTGGAATAGTTTCAGAAGGAATGGTACCAGCTCCTCTTTGTACCTTTGGTAGAATTCAGCTGTAAATCCATCTGCTCCTGGACTTTTTTTGGTTGGTAGGACATTAATTATTGCCTCAATTTCAGAACCTGTTATTGGTCTATTCAGACATTCAAATTCTTCCTGGTTTAGTCTTGGGAGGATGTATGTGTTCAGGAATTTATCCATTTCTTCTAGATTGTCTAGTTTATTTGCATAGAGGTGTTTATAGTATTCTCTGATGGTAGTTTGTATTTCTGTGGGATCGGTGGTGATATCCCCTTTATCATTTTTTATTGCATCTATTTGATTCCTTTCTCTTTTCTTCTTTATTAGTATTGCTAGGGGTATATTAATTTTGTTGATTCTTTCAAATTTTCAGCTTTTCTGCTCTGGTTTCTCCCCATCTTTGTGGTTTTTACCTACCTTTGGTCTTTGATGTTGGTGACCTTCAGATGGGGTTTTGGTGTGGATGTCCTTTTTGTTGATGTTGATGCTATTCCTTTCTGTTTGTTAGTTTTCCTTCTAACAATCAGGTCCCTCAGCTGCAGGTCTGTTGGATTTTGCTGGAGGTCCACTCCAGACCCTGTTTCCTGGGTATCACCAGCAGAGGCTGTAGAATAGCAAATATTGCAGAACAGCAAATATTGCTGCCTGATCCTTCCTCTGGAAGCTTTGTCCCAGAGGGGCACTTGCCTGTATGAGGTGTAAGTCGTCGCCTACTGGGAGGTTGTCTCCCAGTTAGGCTACATAGGGGTCAGGGACCCACTTGAGGAGGCAGTCTGTCTGTTCTCAGAGCTCAAATGCCATGCTGGGAGAACCACCTCACTCTTCAGAGCTGTCAGACAGGGACGTTTAAAGTTTGCTGCCTTTTGTTTAGCTATGCCCTGCCCCCAGAGGTGGGGTCTACAGAGGCAGCAGGCCTAGCTGTGCTGCAGTGGGCTCCACCCAGTTCAAGCTTTCAGGCCACTTTGTTTACCTACTCAAGCCTCAGCAATAGCGGATGCCCCTCCCCCCACCAGGCTGTTGCCTCACAGGTTGATCTCAGACTGCTGCACTAGCAGTCAGCAAGGCTCCGTGGGTGTGGGACCCACCGAACCAGGAGCAGGAGAGTGTCTCCTGGTCTGCCGTTTACTAAGACCCTCGGAAAAGTGCAGTATTTGGGCAGGAATGTCCCATTTTTCCCAGGTGCAGTCTGCCATGGCTTCCCTTGGCTAGGAAAGGGAAATCCCCTGACCCCTTGCACTTCCAGGGTGAGGCAATGCCCCGCCCAGTTTCGGCTCCCCCTCCATGTGCTGTACCCACTGTCCAACCAGTCCCAATGAGATGAACCAGGTACCTCAATTGGAAATACAGAAATCTCCCATCCTCTGCGCTGGTCACGCTGGGAGCTGCAGACCAGAGCTGTTCCTATTCAGCCATCTTGGAGCGGTGACCGCATTTGTTTTTCTTGTAGACACACTCTGCTGCTTCAGTTCAGAGACAGGGCAGGCAGAGAATTTATTTGCAAAGGTTTGAGGTTTTCTAAAACTTGGATTACAGATAGAAAGAAAGGAATGGGCAGGAGAGTGTGTGCAAGGGATTGACTTACAGTGATGAACCATTGAATCTAATTTGGGTATGGTGGGAAGAGAGAAAGTGAAGGGAAAAGAATAGTGAAAAAGCATCAGTGTCATTGAATGGTTGGAACAAATTTAGTAGAGTAAGTGAGCTAAAAAGATTGTTGAAATGGTCTAGAGTGTGACACTTTAGATAATTTAGGTAGTTTAATTGGAAATGATAAGGTTTAGATAGACTAGAATCAATAGTGGAGACTAGTAGCTCACAGAGACTTCTCTGGTTTCTTGATTGAACATAGCTATATGCATTCCCATTGACTTCTGAACCACCATCAGTAAGTTTCATCTTAGTGGAAGTCCTTAGGCTGTCCCTTTCTCCAAATTTTGCCATTAAATTTTTGACTGACTGGCCACTTTGTTGCTTGCCCCAGCTAATATCCTCTACACATACTAATCTTCTCTACTTGCTTCCCACTGTAACCTCTTTATATTCAATAGGATCCTTGGGCAGGGAATTTTCCACGCTATAAAGTCACTCCCCTCCAGTGGAGCAGCAGAGTTTCCAGTCCACACAGACTGCTTGCCTACCCAGGGTTCAACTTCTGAGCCACAGAACTGAGCTGTGAGACAAAGGTGGATAAAAGCATCCACTCTTTTTTACTGAGATTTATGTGGACTTTCTGGAATAAATATTTCCCAACAGTATGCTCTTTGGCCAATTTCTAGAGATTATTTTTATAATTTTATCCAGTTTTATTGCTGCCTTTTGGTGGTGAGTGAATATACCAAGACCCAGAAATACCCATTCTCAAAGTCCCATCAGAACAAAATTATTTTGAAGTAAAATTTGTTCAACAATTTTGGGAACCATTACATACCAAAAATTATTCTTGATTTGACTTTTTATAGTCTAAAAATATGAAAACTATTAAGAAGTTACCTCATTCTTTTTTTTTTTTTTTTTTTTTTGAGACGGAGTCTCGCTCTGTCACCCTGGCTGGAGGGGAGTGGTGCGATCTCAGCTCACTGCGAACTCCGCCTCCCGAGTTCACGCCATTCTCCTGCCTCAGCCTCCCAAGTAGCTGGGACTACAGGCACCTACCACCACGCCCAGCTAATTTTTGTATTTTCAGTAGAGATGGGGTTTCACCATGTTAGCCAGGATGGTCTGAAGTTACCTCATTCTTAATACCAGTTTTAAGTGGAATTTATAACTAGAACAGTGATGCTGTTATGTTAAGATGAGGACTGATCACCTTCACTTGCTTGCCTACTGATGTAGCTGAACTCTTGGCTAGAAAAAAGAAGGGGCTTCCTCTTTCCTCTTCAATGGCCCATTTCTGAATATTCCAAACTCAGAGACTCAGGGACCACAACAAGGAAATTGAACAGCTTTTATTTTGCTCAAGTTAATATTACATGATAAACTCAGAGTATTATTGTGAAAACACTGATTAGACACTATTTGCTTATTTTGCACAACCCTCCATGAACTTTGATGTTTACCACAAAGGACTTTACTAAACTAGCTTCCAGTTAGTACACTGAAATTCAAAGTCATGCTCATAACTGTTAATGAAAGCAGATTCAAAGCAACACCACCACCACTGAAGTATTTTTAGTTATATAAGATTGGAACTACCAAGCATGTGGCTCCTGGTCAGTGTAATTCTAATCTCACGGATATCCTCTGTTGGGGGAGAAGGTAAGTTCAAAACAGACCTGAATATTTAGTTCCTTTTTCAGATACATTTATCGGTTTTTGTGTGTATGCTTACATATTTTTAAATGAATAAATGGATGAAAATATTTTAAATGAGTTATAATATTAATCTATTTTATGGAAATACTTTCTAACATGCAATTAGCAGGAAAATAGAATAAAATTAGTTCTCTCCATCCTCTAAGTTGCAAAGGTAAATGGCCACCAAATAGAGAATGTAAAGAGGAATTAAATGAGGGAAAACCTGCTATACTAACGGTGGCAAGGTGAAGTATTAGTGTAATTCTGCATACACTCTGCAATGCCACTAACTAGAACAATCAATCTCAAAAAGATTTGGCCACCTTCAAAATGCTTTTTGGATTTTAGTTTCCTAGATTTGATCATTTAAATTTTAAAGGTCATTAAAATGGAGGAATTCCCATTTCAATTGAATTATCCTTCAACAGAGGGAAATATATTTTACTGAAACAATAGAAAATATCATTTATATATAAACCAGTGAACTGTCAAGAAATTGCTTCTTCTGAGCTCTTAAATGTTGAGAATGAAGTAATGTATCACCTCTTTATTAATACTACAAACTGCTTCTTATGATATTTTATAAACGGTCCCATTTTATTTCATGTTGAAATTAAGGCCACCATATCAAAGGAATTGCAAACAAAATCTCTACCAAGGTCTAGGATACTAATTAAACTATGTCTGTACATGGAGTTTCGATCATTATGCTTTACCCTTTGATTTCCAAAAAGTTTTTACTTTACTGTTTGGCTGTTTCCTAATGTTTCCAGACCTTTGAACTTTTATTTGAACAGTTTCTCATCAGTCCTGACATAACAGAACAACATGAACAATAACATGCTTTCCTTTAAATATTTGCCCTTAGAAATGTTGCAAAATATTATTTCTATTGCTTGAAATTCATTTTTTTTTGAGATGGACTTTCACTCTTGTTTCCCAGGCTGGAGTGCAATGGTGTGATTTCGGCTCACCACAACTTCCATCTCCTGGGTTCAAGCAATTCTCCTGCGTCAGCCTCCCAAGTGGCTAGGATTACAGGCATGCACCACGACGCCTGGCTAATTTTGTATTTTTAGTAGAGATGGGGTTTCTCCATGTTGGTCAGGCTGGTCTCGAACTCCCGACCTCAGGTGATCTGCCCGCCTCGGCCTCCCACAGTGTTGGGATTGCAGGCATAAGCCACCACGCCTGGCCCTTGAAATTCGTTTTATTTTGTTTTCACTTTTAGTGCTGAGTTGTAATCACAGGAGTGTGATTGTATGAGTGTATTTGATTTTTCTTAAGTCTGTGTTTATGGTATTTATTAAGTGGCTTATACACCTATTACACATGGCATTACATGAGGATTTCTAAATAGGGGGGTAGCAGAGGAAAATAAGTGAAAAATATGAGAGAAATATGTAGAATTTTGACAATTCCTAACCCTCCTCCCACCAAAAAAAAGTTCAAGCTTCAATCCAGTCTCTGGGAGAAACTTCAGTGAAATTCTATCTAAAGGTTGCCTAGATGTTAAATGATCTGTAAGTGTGTGTTACACTGTCATTTAGGTGTCTACTGAGAGACCTGCCAAACAGCAAAAACAACACACTGAAGCAACACATTTGTATACATAGAAAGCTGCATGCTTCCAGTAGCAAAATATTTATCAAGCACTATGTTGTGCTTCATGTAGCAAAGAAGCTGGAAGAAAATGACAACCCTAACCACACCTCACTGCAACTTACAGTGTCCTAAAGAAAAGCAAAATGTAAATAGGCAAATAAATTGCAAGGCTATATATAGGTGACTGTGAGTGAGTGTGTGTGTGTGTGTGTGTGTGTGTGTATAAACAGTCATGCATCACTTAATGATAGGGACACTTTCTGAGAAGTGCGTCCTTAGGCGATTTCCTTCTTATTCAAACATTATAGAGTGGACTTACACAAACCTAGGTTTTATAGCCTACTAGGTAACTAGGCCATATGGTATAGCCTGTCGCTCCTAGGCTGCAAACCTGTACAGCATGTTACTGTACTGAATACTGTGGGCAACTGTAGCACAATTGTAAGTATATGTTTATCTCAATATAGAAAAGTACAATAAAAATACAGTATAAAATATTAAAAACGGCAGACTTGTATAGGGCTTTTACCATGAATAGGGTGTGCAGGACTGAAAGTTACTCTCAGTAAGTCATTACATGAGTGGTGAGTGAATGTGATGGCTTAGAACATCACCATACACTACTAGAGGTGGTATAAACACTGTATACTTAGGCTAAACTAATTTATTTTATTTATTTATTTACTTGAATAGTTTTGGGGGAGCAGGTGGTTTTTGGTTACATGGATAAGTTCTTCAGTGCTAATTACTGAGCTTTTGATGCACCCAGGATAGACTAAATTTATTTTAAACTTTTCTTCGATAATAAATTAACCTTAGTTTATGTTAACCTTTTTACTTCATCAACTTTAATTTTTGTGTCTTTCGAGATAATATTTAGCTTAAAAAACATTGTAGAGATGTACAAAAGATTTTTTCTTTCTGTTCTTGTGCTATAAGCTTTTATCTTTTAAATATTTTACTTATTTATTTACTTTTTAAACCTTTTTGTTAAAAACAGACACAAACACACACATTAACCTCGGCCTACAAAGAGTCAGGATCATCAGTATCACTGTCTTCTTCCCCCGCTCTTGTCCCACTGGAAGGTCTTCACGGCAGTAACAGGCATGGAGCTGTCCTCTCCTATGATAACAAAGGTTTCTTCTAGAATAGTTCCTGAAGGACCTGCCTCAGGAAACATTAACTGTTTTACAGTTAATTTTTTTAATCAATAGAAGAAGTTAACTATAAAATACTAATAACAATTATACTATATGAAATACATTAACCAGTAACACTTCTATATTATCATCATCAAGTATTACGTACTGTACAAAATTGTGTGTGGCATATTTTTATGTGACTGGCAATGCTGTAGGTTTGTTTACCCCCGGCATTGCCACAAATATGTGAGTAATATATTGCACTGCAATGTTACGATGGCTATTAGGTGATAGGAATTTTTCAGCTACACTATAATCTTATGGGTCCACTGTCATATAAGTGATCAGTCATTGACCAAAATGTCATTATGTGGTGAATAACTGTACGACTGTATATATATATATATATATGTGTGTGTGTGTGTGTGTGTGTGTGTGTGTGTATCCCAGAAGAAATGTATTCACAATATTCTATCAAAATATTGAGACAATAAAAATTATTTTCTACTTTTGAAATTGGTGGTTGTGTAAAGGAGGCTTGCAAGAAGACATTAACACTCCTAGCTAGCACCATTGCAGATATGCACAATGAATACTTGATGAATGTCATAGAATTCTTTCTGAAGCATAGGTACAATATAAATGGTTGATGAAAACCAAGTTATTCTGGATAGCAAAGAATATGTAGGTACAAATGTATGAAAATAAACTACTATAATTTTGGAGGAGTGAAGGATAATTGAAAGAGTTATGGTAGGTTAATACTATCAAGACGGGAGTCTTTCCCTCAACACCTTTACCAAAACTATCTAATGTCAAATTTTAAACAGTTAGATAATCAATTTCAGGTTTCACAAGGTGAAAATATTTCAAATATTGTGCAACATTAAACATTACTTCTAGATAGATGAAAAAGAGAAATTTCTCTTGATTTGTCAGCTTAATTTCTGCACACATCTTTCAAATAAGGTGAAAAATAAAATTATTTCTTATGCAGCAGTACTATATTGCAAAAATATCTTGACATAAAAACAAAGAGCAGTATTATATTGAGGAAATATCTTGAGCTAAATACGTACTCAAAGATAAAGCATATCAAACCCATAGAACGTACAACATCAAGAGTGAACCCCAACATAAACTATGAACTTTGGGTGGTAATTATATTGACAGTGAGGGAGCTTATGCATGTGGTAGGGAAGAGGAAGTGGTATATAGGAAATCTCTACCTTCCACTCAATCTTGCTGTGAAAAACCTGTAAATAAAGTATAAAGTCTAATAAAAAATATGTGTGTATATATATGTATGTGTACACAAAAAAAGAGTAAAAAGTATGAAGATTTCACCCATTTTCTACATTGTTTTAATATATCTTGCACCATAGTGTGTATGGATGTATTTATACATATATACAGTAGTCCTTTAGCATCCTCAAGGAATTGGTTCCAGGACGCTACCCACCCCCAGCAGATACCAAAATCCAAGGATACTCAAGTGTCTAAGAGAGAATGGTGTAGTATTTGTACATAACCTGTGCATATCCTCCCATACAATTTATTTTATTTTATTTTAATTTTTTTTGAGGTGGAGTCTTGCTCTGTCGCCCCCAGGCTCGAGTTTAGTGGCATGATCTCCGCTCACTGCAACCTCCCCCTCCTGGGTTCAAGTGATTCTTCTGCCTCAGCCTCCCAGGTAGCTGGGATCACAGGCGTGCACCACCACACCTGGCTAATTTTTGTATTTTTAGTAGAGATGGGGTTTCACCATGTTGGCCAGGCTGGTCTCAAATTCCTGACCTCAAGTGACCCACTCACCTCAGCCTCCCAAAGTGCTGGGATTACAGGCATGAGCTACCACACTCAGCCCTCTCATACAATTTAAGGAATCTCTAGAGTATTTATAATACCTAATACAATGTAAATGCTGTAAAAATAGTTGTTATATTGTATCTTTAATTGCATTATTTTTATTGTTTTATTATCTTTATTGTTTTTTTCAAATATTTTTGATCTGCAGTTGGTTGAATCAGACGAAGTGAAACGAGTGGGGCTGACTGTATATATATATATATATATATATATATATATATGTGCGTGTGTGTGTGTGTTCACAAGTATAAATATATAAATACAAATATACAAATACATATTTGTATATACAACATTAACCAGAATTTAGCTCTAACTTTATCTTGATTGAGTTGTTCTTAGTGATTTTCTTATATTCCCTAAATTATTTCCACTGAAACTATATTAACTTTGTAACCAGAAAATATTCAAAATGATATTAATAAACAAAAAACAAAACTACATATCCAACATCTTTACTGCACCAGAAAAAAAAATAGGACAGAGTTTCTGGCAGAGACACCTATGGCAGTCAATGAGAATAGAGAAAATAAGTAAATTGAGAGCTAAGAACAACCCTATCACTTTTCTACTGTATACTATGTAGATCAGGAAGATTTGCTACTCTTACACTCTGTCTTCATTCTTAAATTGTTGTGTGTGGGTTTTATTCTTGAAGACAATGCAGGAGAGTTCATATTTCATATCACTCCAAAATATAAATTTTATATTCATTAACAATTACCTCCTCAAATAGTCATGTACTCCTAGTTAGTGATGCTTTTCATTCCTAATTTGTACACTGGAAAGCATTTAAGCTAAAGGCATTTAAGCTAAATGAAAGAAAAACACTATAAGTGAGATGATTAAAATATAATCTAGTGATTTATTTATGTAACTTATTATGTAATTCTTCAGTTTTATGTTATTTTCCCAGCAACATTTTGTGATTTTCCAAAAATAAACCATGGAATTCTATATGATGAAGAAAAATATAAGCCATTTTCCCAGGTTCCTACAGGGGAAGTTTTCTATTACTCCTGTGAATATAATTTTGTGTCTCCTTCAAAATCATTTTGGACTCGCATAACATGCACAGAAGAAGGATGGTCACCAACACCAAAGTGTCTCAGTGAGTAAATGCTCTGTTCATTAAATGGATGTCATTCAGTGAATAGAGAAGGATATGCCAGACAAGATCATAAGGTCTTGATAATCACAGGGACAGTGACCAAAGAAGCTGGAAAGATGGGAGATGTAGTCCCCCTATTTTGAGATGCCTCCTATAAGAATCAATGAAGAATAAATATGTCAACTGTCTTGTGTTACCTGGAAATGCTCTACGTGTTGAAATATATTAATTTTTTTAAACTGATCTTTAATATATTTGACTGCTAATATTTCTTTACTAATATTCATTTCGCAGCAGCCTGATCAAAGTTTTCCTTTTAAATGTCATTTTTATACATATTCTGTTTTGAATTTACCATTCTTTAGCATATTGAAAGGAGGTTTAGCATTTTCACTTTTATATTTCAATAAATAATTTCTTTGGTCCTTCACAGTGTAGCTATATTAATTCTCCAATAAATGTAGAGAGCAGACTCCAATGATAACAGGTGTATTAAAAGAAAAAAAAATTGGGAGACAGATACATGAGGCAACAAAGGAGATAGCAATGATCTTTCTCCTAAGAAACATTTATGAGAGTTAAGAGAGAAATAGATATATGAAGAGGTTCTTTTGTCCCTAAAAGGTTGACAAACATAAAATATTTCATTATAAAAACCATAGAGCAAGAAAATGAAATATTTTCTTCTATATATACATATAAAAGAACCAAAAATATGTTTCATCATATATATAGTAGCATGAGTTAACTTCTTTTGAAAGTGTTTATATTTGATTTCAGCTTTGAAAGCTTTCCTTTTTAATTTTTTTTGTTCGTTTGTTTGTTTTGTTTTGTTTTTGAGCCATCTCAACTCACTGCTACCTCTGCCTTCTAGATTCAAGTGATTCTCCTGTCTCAGCCTCCAGAGTAGCTGGAATTATAAGTGCGCACCACTATGCCCGCTAATTTTTGTATTTTTACTAGAAACAGGGTTTCACCATGTTGGCCAGGCAGGTCTCGAACTCCTGGCCTCAAGTGATCCACTCGCCTCAGCCTCCCAAAGCGCAGAGATTACCAGAGTGAGCCACTTCACCCGGTTTATTAAAATATTTTAAAATGCAGTTGTACTTTTTCTTTGCTACTTCCATCTTGTACATTAATCCGTTTTTGGTCCTTAGGACTGTGTTTCTTTCCTTTTGTGGAAAATGGTCATTCTGAATCTTCAGGACAAACACATCTGGAAGGTGATACTGTGCAAATTATTTGCAACACAGGATACAGACTTCAAAACAATGAGAACAACATTTCATGTGTAGAACGGGGCTGGTCCACCCCTCCCAAATGCAGGTCCACTGGTAAGTACAATGCTGTTCTCTCATATGCTGTTATCTATTATAAAGTTTGAGAGAAATAAATCTTTTTTACAGGTTAAATATAGGTTTTGCCACATACTTTTATCTTTATTCATTTGATTTTCAGTTCCAATTGTGTCCAAGTGGATGTTGAATAACATAGTTTGCCTACCTATATAAATCAAATGTTCTCAAAGTGTGGTCGCTAAACCGGTAGCATCATCATCTCCTTGGAGATTGTTTGAAATGAAAATACAATTCCATAAGCTCATTCTAGACACACGGAATCAAAAATGTCGAAATAGAACCCTGAATCTGTTTTACCAACCCCTCCAGGGAATTCTATGCACACTTCTGTGTGAGAAGCATTGCTATAGTCTATTATCACTACACATGGACCTGAAACTCTCTGATGAATTTTGCATTGTTCAGCATAGTATCCTTAATCATTGGCAATTAAATTATCTGAAGTTATTTTTATTATTATAGACTTATTTTCTTTTATTTTTCCACATCTCCAATTTAGATCCTTTGATTAACCATTCTTCTTCTCTACTAACTTGGGTAATTTTCAAAATGTGTTTTTAAATCTTTGCTTATTCACTAAGAAAATGCCTATTTGTGTTTATTTTTAAGAGGCTAAAATGTATAAGCAGGATGATTGCAAACAAAAATCTGGTATCACATAATCTATTTATGCTGACTTTTTGCATTTTATAAATTAATGTTAAATAAATAGAACTGGTAATATTTGTTTACTCAAACTCAAAGAGAGATATCCAGGAAAACTTTCGTTTACACTGGCTTCCAGAAGGGAAAAATAAAGGTCTATCAGTGTTCTAGCGAAGGATGAAGAAGAAATTTAAAACATCAAAGCTTGTACCTGACAAAAAATAGTTTCATGTCTTTTCTTCAATATTACATTTAAATTTATTAAAATCAACAAAATATTTGATGAGATTGTCTACTTATTTTAAATTCGTCTTGAAACATATTTGTAACTGTATTAGTTGATTTGCTACTCAAAATGAACACTAGGTGGAACCACTTCTTTTTTTTCTACTCAGACACTTCCTGTGTGAATCCGCCCACAGTACAAAATGCTCATATACTGTCGAGACAGATGAGTAAATATCCATCTGGTGAGAGAGTACGTTATGAATGTAGGAGCCCTTATGAAATGTTTGGGGATGAAGAAGTGATGTGTTTAAATGGAAACTGGACAGAACCACCTCAATGCAAAGGTAGAGTATTATATTTCTTTTAACATTTTGGGGGAGTATAGCAGGGTTAAAATATGTTGATTTAAACAAAATGAAGTCATTTTTATTAATAGATTTTTCAAATGCAAATAAAATGATTGATGGTGCTTAAAATTCAATTCTTCCTGTGAACAGAACACAAGTAATAGGGTGTATTATTTTTGAGAAAGATTCGACCAAATTAAAAGAGTTGGAACCTGAAAAACAATACTTTTTAAGCATCACAACACTTAGTTCCTTCTCAGGAATACGTGTAATAAAAGATACATTATGTGCATTTGACAGCCATAAGTGATGTGCATTCTAAGATATGGAATAGGCAGTTGAAGAGAGATCATAGACTGTGATATAAATGTGGGCATCTTCAGTATATGGATTATATTTAAAGGTGTGTGACTGACTGTATTTATAAAAAGAAGTCCGAGCACATAGTCCTGGGTCATTCTAATAAATAGAGATGGAGTAAGGGAAACCAGAAAAGGAAATTGTATCTTACTTACCTTTATGTTTTAAAATTAATGTTGTCCTGTGTTTTTTTTTTTTTTTCACTATTTTACTTAGACTCTACCTATGTTTATTATTGAAGTGAGTTTTTGTAGACAGCATATAGTTGGGTCATGTTTACATATCCATTCATCCTTTCATGGCCTGTTAACTGGTGCACTTGGACCAATTACACTTAACATAATTATTGATATATAGGACTTAAACCTCTGTCATTTATTTGTTTCTGTCTGTTCCCTCTGGGTTTCAGTCCTATTTCCCTATTCCTCCATTCCCTGTAGGGAAAATTATTAAGGAGATTAATTTTGATTCATATGTATTGTTTTCCATTGTATCTCTTTGCATAGCTTTTCTTCTCCTTTTAAAAAGTTGTTGCTCTAGCTAATACTATATATATGTAATAATATATTACTGTCTACTGGCACTGACATTTAAATCAACAACTGGAATATGGAAAGCTTACTTTCATGTAGATCCATTTATACTCTCCACATTGTAAGTATAAATGCCAGTCGTATTTTCTCTGCATGCATTGAGCACCATATTAAACTCATTTGCTTCAAATATCAAACATAATTGAAAAAACTTATGAGGAAAAAGATATCGTGTTATATTGACTCCTCTTTTTATCCATTATATCGTTCTATTTTTTCAGGATCCTGAAGTCTCAAGCTCTTTCTTTTATCTGTTTTATTTTAATTTGAAGAATTCCTTTAGTTATCTTTAGGCATAGGTCTACTGGAGACAAATTCTCTTGGTTTCCCTTTCTCTGAGAATGTCTATATTTACCCCTTTACTTGTAAAAGATCGTGTCACTGGATATCAAATTTGGAGTTGACAGTTCTTTGAACACTTGAAAACTGTGCCACATGGTTATAGATGAAAAACTTACCATCATTTGAATTGTTGATCCCCTCAAGGAAAAGCATAGTTTTTGTCTAGTTGCTTTCAAGGTATTTTTTTCTTTTTTTAAAGTAGTTTTATTTTAATGTATATTGGTATAAATTCCAATGTTTTTATCCTCTTTGGAGTTCACTCAGCTTCTTAAATATAAGTTTATGCCTTATTGTCAAAATGGGAAGTTTTCAGGTATCCTTTTATTTATTCATTTTTCCAGCCCAATATCCTTTCTCTTCTTTTTCTGCATCTGCATTATTTGTTGTTGTATTTTTCTGAATGTCTCAGTTCAGTTTTTTGTTTTCAGTCTATTTTCAGAGTGGGTAATTTATATTGCTGTATGTTCAAGTTCATGGATTTATTTGTCTGTCAGCTCCCCATGTATTATTAAGTATATTCAGTGTTTTTAAAAAATTTTTATCATACTTTTCCATTTTATAATTCCTACGGGATTTTTAAGAACCATCATCAATTTCAAAACCCGTGTCCTCTTAGTGTTACTCCAAAGAATGTTGAATATGAAATAAGAAACTTTCTTTGTCATAGTTTTCTATGTTTAGCATGTATTCATTCGGAAAGATATTTCTTAATCCTGATCTACCATAAGCAGCAATATTTGTTAATGTTTTATGTGTTCCTTCAGTAAGGAGAAAAGAACTTAAATATATTACTTTCAGTTTAAAGGATTAAAATTTCTTCCAGGACTCATTTCTTTTACCAGAAATCACAAAACTGTTGATATTATATAAAGTGCTGTGTTTGTATTTGCCTTATTTGAACTTGTATTTTGATTTGCTCTCACAATAAATCAAGTGATGAAATGATGTTTTTTAGATTCTACGGGAAAATGTGGGCCCCCTCCACCTATTGACAATGGGGACATTACTTCATTCCCGTTGTCAGTATATGCTCCAGCTTCATCAGTTGAGTACCAATGCCAGAACTTGTATCAACTTGAGGGTAACAAGCGAATAACATGTAGAAATGGACAATGGTCAGAACCACCAAAATGCTTACGTAAGTACTTTAATATTCACGTGGCTGGAAAAATCAGTGTGATGAGTCTGATATTTTGCTGTTGGTAACAAAATAATCACAGATTATTGAACAACCATTCTGCTGAATGCCTGCCTACCAAAAATTTCTTTTAGAAAGTAAAGTTTAGAAATTTTCTCTTTAGGGCTGGGTGTGGTGGCTCACACCTGTAATCCCAGCACTTTGGGAGGCCGAGGCGGGCAGATCACGAGGTCAGGAGATTGAGACCATCCTGGCTAACATGGTGAAACCCCGTCTCTACTAAAAATACAGAATAATAATAATAACCGGCATGGTGACGGGCACCTGTAGTCCCAGCTAGTCGGGAGTCTGAGGCAGGAAAATGGCGGGAACCCGGGAGGCGGAGCTTGCAGTGAGCCGAGTTCGCGCCACTGCACTCCAGCCTGGGCGACAGAGCGAGACTCCGTCTCAATAAAAACAACACAAAAAAGTAATTTTTCTCTTTATATTTATATTTTATTTTAAAGAATTTAGTTGATAAATAAAAATATACTTTCATGTTTGACAATATGCTGTTTTGATATATTTATGCTACAATGATTACCACAAATTAATTAGCACATTCTTCATCACCTATGCTTAGCATTGGGTGTAGGTGGGTGTGTGAGTATGTGTGTGTGTGTTTGTGGTGAGGACACTTAAAATCTGCTTTCTTGCCAATTTTCAGATAAACAATACAATATTATTAGCTCTAAATATCACTAGATCTCTATGTTTGATTCCAAGTTCTTATTCATATTATAGCTGAAAGTTTGTACTCTTTGACCAATATCTTAATCAAACAAAAGCAGCAATGATAAGTTCTAAAATGCAGGGATCCTAAAATGACAACTGATGTAATGAATCATTGATAATACACCCCTAATTCTCATACATTAAACATAAAACCTCATTTTCACATCGATTACCATTTTAAGTTTATTTAAATCAATATGATGTTTTTACATAGTCGGTTTGGACAGTGTTTTGAGAAATAATTCCTGAACCATCATATAACATTCTACTTGAAAACCTGAAAGTCTATGAAGATTTGCATACTACTTAATGTTTTATGTTTACTGTTTTTTATTTTCAGATCCGTGTGTAATATCCCGAGAAATTATGGAAAATTATAACATAGCATTAAGGTGGACAGCCAAACAGAAGCTTTATTTGAGAACAGGTGAATCAGCTGAATTTGTGTGTAAACGGGGATATCGTCTTTCATCACGTTCTCACACATTGCGAACAACATGTTGGGATGGGAAACTGGAGTATCCAACTTGTGCAAAAAGATAGAATCAATCATAAAATGCACACCTTTATTCAGAACTTTAGTATTAAATCAGTTCTTAATTTCATTTTTAAGTATTGTTTTACTCCTTTTTATTCATACGTAAAATTTTGGATTAATTTGTGAAAATGTAATTATAAGCTGAGACCGGTGGCTCTCTTCTTAAAAGCACCATATTAAAACTTGGAAAACTAACTGTTGTGTCCAGTTCATAAAATGTTTGTGGCAAGAAATTAGATGCAATTTTTCAGACTTTATTTCTGTTCATCACTCTTAAATCTCTCAAAGCTTTCTCCACAGCTTCTGAGGCTCATTGTTTTACAGTAAACGGAAAACATATCATTGTCTCTGATTTCAAAATTATATCACTTTACAAAGATGTAAAAACCAAGTCAAGTCTTAATTCATGTTGGTAATGAGATATAAGTAATTACAATTTATCAATACATAAATGCACCAAAAATGATATCAATACATTAATGCACCAGAACTGATGAAATGTAGATACTTCTACAAGATGACAATCTAGCACACATGATAATGCAAACTAATCATAAGAATTAAAACGTAATTGGGTATATAAATATTACAACATAAACATACAAAAAATAAAAATACAGTATCAGTTATAACATGCTCACTTGCATGCACTCACTTGCAAACATAGAAACATGATACTTTTGCCCTGATTTAATGTTTATAGAAAAAATATTGCCAGGAAATTCAAAACTATAGTTAAATGTGTGTGTATATATATATATTTATATGTATGTGTATGTGTGTGTGTGTATGCGTGTGCGTGTGTGTGTGTGTGTTTAGAGATAGTCGGGGTAAAAGTTAGGGTTTAATTCTTTTGTATATATCGGTATCCTCTGATTTTTCTACCTTTAACATATATCACTTTGGAAACAAAAGTACAATTTATTTTAAAATAATGATGTCTAACAAGCAAGGCGGTGCATGTTGAGAATGATAAAGATTTCATCAGTAATGATCTTAACATCAAATAGCCTCTTAAGTATTTTTGGAGTAGAAGAGTTTTGGAAATTTCAATAGTAAGGTTCTGAAATGTAATTTTTATATTCATTCTTTTTAATCAGCACTAGTTAGGTAAAATCATTTTTGATTAGGAACATTTTAAACTCATAAAGGAGGTGAAGCCATTATGTGAAAAATAAAGATATCAATAATACAACACAAATATTATTTAATGATACCTTATTACTTCTTACCATATAAAATCAGGTGGCTTATATACTCAGGCTGTCTCCTTGTTAGTGATCCTGATTTAGATAAATTGCTTGAGTTGAGGAAAGCCAGATTTCAAAAATCTAAAGGACATTTGTTATAATTAGCAACTTATGTTGATAGAAATGTTAACACTTAGGAATATATGTTTATTCCTAAATTGTTTTAGTACATTTGGGCCACTATAAGAAATTACCATAAACTGGCTAGTTTATAAAAAATAGAAATTTATTTCATACAGTTTTAGAGGCTGAGATTTTCCAGCTTAAGATACCAACTGATTTGATGTCTTGTAAGGGCTTGCTCCCTGTTTTGGTGCCTTCCCACTATGGTGCCTTCCTACTATGTCCTTACAATGTGGAAGGGGCAAGGGAGTTCCATGACTCTTCTTTGTAAAAAGACTAATCCAATGTATTAGGGTGGAATCCTCATGACCTAATCACCTAAAAAGTCCTTACTTTCTGATATTATCACCATAGTGATGAGGATGTAACATACAAATTTTGAAAGGGTACTACTATGCACACCATAGCACAGCATAGGGATAAACAAATATGTTCCATGTAAATGGAAACCAAAAGCAAGCAGGGGGGCTATACTAACATTAACTAAAATTGAATTTCAAGTCAAATCTGTAAAAAGAAACAAGGAAGGCCATTATACAGTAATAAAGGAGTCAATTCACAAATAGATTATAACTATTGCAAATATATATGCACTCAACATGGGAGCAATGAAACTTATAAAGCAAGCATTAATACATCTAAAGGAAGAAATAAACAATGCAGTAATAGTAGGGGACTTCAATAACCCACATTCAACAATGGATAGACAGTCTATACAGAAATCAATAAAAACATTGGACTTGAGCTCTATGTTAGACCAAATGGACCTATCAGACCTATATAGAACATTCCATTTGACAACAGTAGAATAAACATTCTTCTCAAGCACACAAGGTATAATCTCCAATATAGATCATATGTTGGGCCACAAAACAAGTCTTAAAAAATTTTAAAAAGATTGAAATTACATAAATTTTTTTAACATTGTCATATGAAATTAGAAAACAATAGCAGAAGAAATGTTAGGAAATTCACAAATACATGGAAATTAAACAACATGATCCTGAACAACCAATGGGGCAATGAAGAAATTCAAAGGGAAATTTAAAAATATCTTGAGAAAAACAAAAATGGAAAAGCAACATACTAAAAAACATATGGTATGCAACAAAAGCAGTATAAAGGGATGTCTAGAGATATGAATGACTCCATGAAGATCCTAATAAAGCAAGTAACTTTGTATCTCAGGAAACTAGAAAATGAAGAAAAAAATTAACCCAAAGCTACTGGAAAGAAAAAAATAGTAAGGTACAGAACAGAAGTAAATAAAACAGACTGGAAAAATAATAGAGGATCCACAAAACTAGAAGTTGGCTTTTGAAAATATAAACAAGATTGACAAACCTTTAGCTGAACTAAAAAAGAGAGAAGGAACAAATAAAATTAGAAATGAAACAGGAAACATTGTAACTGATAGCACAGAAATACAAAAAAACAGAAGAGACCGCTATAAACAGTTATATGCCAACATATAACTGTTGGATAACCTAATAGAAACAGATACATTCATAGACATCTACAACCTACCATGATTACTGAAACATAATGAAATACAAAATTAATACAGAACAGTAATGAGTAAGAAAAATGAACAAGTAATAAAAAGTCTCTCATCAAAAACAAAACAAAACAAAAAAAAAACTCGTGGCTTCATGACAGATGGAATCCTACCAAACATTTAAAGAATCAATCCTAATCCTTCCCAAATTCTGTCAAAAATTTAAGAGTGAACTCTCAGTTTTATTATATGAGGGCAAAAATCGTACTGACACCAAAGCCACACATGGATACTAAAAAAAACAATTAGAGGTCAATATTCTTCATGAATATAGAGGTAAAAATGCTCAACAAAATACCTCCAAAGTGAACACAACACATTAAAAGAATCACTCGCCATAATGAAAGGGGATGTATATCTGGGATGTAAAGATAGTATACATACACCAATCAATTACTGTTCCACACCGAATTAAAAGAATGAAAAGCAAAAATTGTATATTCATCTCAATAGATACAGAAAAAGCATTTAACAAAATCAACATCCTTTCATGATAAAAAGTCTCAACAAATTAGCCATAAAAGAAATTACCCCAAGACAATAAAGGCTACATATCACAAGCTCACATTTAACATTATACTCAAGAGTGAAAAGTTGAAACATTTTTGTCTATGATCAGAAAAAAAAAAAAAAAACAAGGAGGCTCACTCTCACCACTTCTGTTCAACATAGTGCTGGAAATCCTGGCTAGAGCTATTAGGCATGGAAATTGGAAAAGAAGACAGTTGTCTCTGTTTGCAGATGACATGATCTCATTATATACATGGAAAACCCAAGGACTTCACCAAACTTTGCTAAAAGTAATAACCAATTCAGTAAAGTTGCAGGGTACAAGATCTACAGACAGAGCCAGTTACATTTCTATACACTAACAGCAAGCTATTGAAATAAGAAATTGAAAACAAACATCTAATTTACAATAGCATCAAAAATAATAAAATACTTGAGACTAAATCAAAGCAAGGAGATGAGAGTTCTGTACACTGAAAACTATAAAATATTGATGAAAGAATTGAAGAAAACACAAATAAATGAAAAGATGTCCTGTCTTCAAGGATCAAAAGAATCAATATTATAAAATTGTCTTCAATACCTAAAACTCCAGATTCCATGCAATATTGTCAATATTCTAAACACATCTTTCACAGAAATGGAAAAAAAATTCTAAAATTAATATAGAACAAGAGACACCAAATAGCTAAAGCAGTCTTACAAGACAAAAAAGGAAGAGACAGCACACTATCATGCTCTCTGGTTTCAAATTACACTACAAATCTATAATAATCAGAACAGTTTAGTCCTGATACAAAAAAGATACATAGAATTAAAAGCTCCGAAATAAAATCATGCATATATAAAGGCACTTCCAAATATTCATGGAAAATTGAATTAAAATAAGAAAATTTTAAAACTACACTTTATTTCTTAACATAAGCTCCATCAAGTTCAACACACTTTTGAAAACAGTGATACAAGCCATTTAGTCCATCCCTAAAGACTCGATGGTTCTGGGACTATATCCATGTTAAGCAGTCTTTTTCACATAATTAACTGAAACAATGGGTACCCTTTGTAAGATTTTTTAAAATTAGGCAAAATAAAGAAGTCAGGAGAAGGCAAACCAGGACTTTAATGTAGGAATGCTCAAAGATTTCCCATAAAAATTCTCACAAAATTGTTTTTGTCTGTTGAGAGGAATGAGCAGGAGCATTGTTCTGGTGGAGGAGGACTCTCTGATGAAGTTTTCCTGGGCATTTTTCTGCTAAAGCTTTGAAAACTTTCTCAAAACATTCTCTTAAGAAGCAAATGTTTCTCTTTGGCCTTCCAGAACTCAACTAGTAAAATGCCTTGGCCATCTCACAAACTGTTGCCATGATGTTTTCTCCTGACTGGCCTGCTTTTGCTTTCATCGGACCACTTCCACCTTTGGTATGCCATTGCTTTGATTATGTTTTGTATTCAGGATCATACTGATAAACTCATGTTTCAGCTCTTGTTACAAATCTTTGAAGAAATGTTTCAGGTTCTTATTCCCACTTGTTTAATACACTTTCCGTTAAAAACTATTCCCTTGCTGGCCGGGCGCCGTGGCTCACGCCTGTAATCCCAGCACTTTGGGAGGCCGAAGCGTGAGGATCACGAGGTCAGGAGATCGAGACTATCCTGGCTAACACGGTGAAACCCCGTCTCTACTAAAAATAAAAAAAAAATCTGCGGGCGAGGTGGTGGGCGCCTGTAGTCCCAGCTACTGGGGAGGCTGAGGCAGGAGAATGGCCTGAACCCGGCAGGCGGAGCTTCCAGTGAACTGAGATTGCCCCACAGCACTCCAGCCTGGGCAACGGAGCCAGACTCAGTCTCAAAAACAAAACACTCTTCTCTTGTCTACTACACCTCATCTGGGTGCAATGGTCTTGGGTCTCACTGAATGGAAATTTTGCTATAACATTGATTTTCCCATCAGAATTTGTAAGATGAACTAATTATGGTGTTGACTATTGATTCTGCTCTTAGTCATCAGTCGTCTTTAATCCAGATGTGAGCAAAATTATTTTTTTCTCACAAATTAGTGTGGCTAGTCTGCCGCTGTGGGCTTCATCCTTAACATTGTCTTGCCTCTGCCTAAAATGAGTTATCTGTTTCTAAATGGCTGATTTCTTTTGGGGTGTTGTCCCCATAAATTTTTCAATAATTTCACTGAAGCTCCATGACAAGTGTTGGTTAGGATGTGGAAAAAAGGAAACACTTGTACATTATGGGTGGGAATGTAGATTGTTACAGCCATTGTAGAAAACTATATGGAGGTTCCTCAAAATATTAAACATAGAACTATCGTATGACTCAGCAATTCCACTTCTGGGTGTATAAACAAAGAAAACAAAATCAGTATGTCTAAGAAATATCTGCACTCTCATGTTTTTTGCAGGATTGTTCACAATAGCTATGATATGGAAACAACTTATGTTTCTGTCAAAGATGATTGAATAAAGAAAATGTGGTGCATATATACAGTGGAATACATTAAATTCTGCCTTTAAAAAGAAGGCAAATCTGTCTTTTTTAACAACATTGATAAACATGGCAGATATTAAGTAAGTGAAGTAAACCAGACACAGAAAGACAAATGCTGCATGATGTCATTTATATTTGGAATCTAAAAAACACCTGAGCTCATAGATATGGAGAGTAGAAGTATAGTTACCAGGGGTTGCACAGTGGGAGAAATAGAGAGATGTCAGTCAGAGGATACAAGTTTTAAGACAAATAATTTCTGGAGACCTAGTGTAAAGCATGATGACTATAGTTATTAATAATATATTATATATTTGAAATTACAAAGACAATAGTTCTTAAGTGTTCTGATGTCATTCATACAAAAGGTAACAAGGTGAGATATTGGATATTTGATTAGCTTCATTATGATAATCATTATAAAATGTTATGTATATCAAAATAATATGTTGTATAACGTGAATATAAAAATTTGTATTTGCCAATGATACTTTTATAGGGGTGAAAAAATTGATTACATTAATCAGTAAAAATGGAAGTTAATGGACCAAAATATTACTTCTAGGTTTTGAAATATAAATATGTCTTTTTGTAAAAACAGAAAGGTTTTTTGTTTGTTGTAGTTGTTTGTATCACCTTGGAGTCGTGTATTTTGATTTATTCAATCTGGATATCTCTGGAAACTGGCTCCTCATTGCTTCTCATGTGCCCTAATTTTATCTGAGTATTTCTCTCTTTTTTTTTCAGCATAACATGTTCTAAGTTCACTTTATATTTCCTCTGCCCAACATTCAAAATCATACACCTTTCCTAGAAAGTCTGATTATTTTTAAAGCAGAATAAAATTTAGAACTCAAGAACCATGAAGTATTGGTAATAGATGGGAATGTCCAATACTTTGGAAATATAATTATTTTCAGGGATTTTTGGTGGTAAAATCTTTGAAATATAAATAAAATATAAAAGTTTGTTGTTCTCACTGGATTTTACAATTCAAATTTAATAATACATCTGTGAAAACAACTTTAGTATATACATGTTTTCATTTTTGTGAGTATATGGTACGTCTATGTATGTATGAGGTACATAAAATATTTTGATACAGGCATACAAGGTGTAATAATCACATCAGGGTAAATGAGGTATTCATCATCTCTAGCATTTATACTTTCTTTGTGTTACAAACAATCCAATTATCCCTCTTATTTTAAAATGTGCAATAAATTACTTTTGACTATAGTCACCCTGTTGTGCTATCAAATACTAGATCTTATTTATTCTATCTAACTATATGTTTATGCTCATTAAATATATTCTTCTCTCATTTGTCTTTACTGACTCATTCATGAAAATGTCAAAAGTGTAATGAAACGTTGCTATTAGTAGTTAAACTACTAAGTGAAAATTAAAATTTCTTTGTGTTTATTTTGCCCCTAGATAGCTGACTCTGAGTGCGAATCTTCTTTTCAAAAATGATTTAAATACTTCTTATCTCTGGTTCACCCTATTACCGAATCCATAGAGTTGTATATTAATTTTCACTTGTTTTCTTCATTCTTAGATTTTGCTTTTTTCATTCTTATATACTAACAATAAACTGTCTGAAAAAGAAATTTAAAGATCTATTCCTTTTCTGATAACACCAAAAAATAAAATTAGGAGTAAATTTAACCAAGGATCTCAAAAATCTATATATTTTAAACAATACAATATTGATGAAACAAATTGAAGAAGACACACATAAACAGAAAAATAGCCCATGTTCAGGGACTGCAAGATTTAATATGGGTAAAATGTTCATATTACACAAAAAGATGTAAGGATTCAATGCAGTCCCCATCAAAATTCTAATGTCATTTTTCACAGAAAAATGAAAAACAGTTCAAAAATATGTATGAAATGACAAGAGATCCCGAAGGTCAAAGTAATTTTGATTAAAAAGAACAAAGCTGGAGGCATTACACTTCTAAATTTTGAATTATGATATAATGCTATTATAGGCAAGATAGCATGACATTGGCATAAAACAAGACACCAATAAAACAGAATAGAATTCAATATATTTTCAATAAAGATGACAAGAACTCACATAGGGAAAATAATAGTCTCTTCAATACATCTTGCTGGGAAAATCGGATATTCACACATAGAAGAATGTAATTGATCCGCTGTTTCACACTACATAAAACTACTCAGAATATATGTAAGACTGACATGTAAAGCTTGAAACTATAAAACTGCTAGAGGAAAATAAAAGAGAAAAAAATACATGACATTGGTCTGGGCTATGATTTCTTGGATTGGTTCCCCAAGCATAGGCAACAAAAGGAAAAATACACACATTGTATTACATCAAACTAAAAAGCTTCTGCACAGCAAAGTAAACAATGCCCAGAGTGAAGAGACAACTCATGAGTTGGAAAAATATTTGCAAGCCATATATCTGATAAAGCGTTAATATTCAAAATATATAAGGAACTCAACTCAATGGCTAATAAAAAGGAATTAACCAATTTAAAAATAGGCAATGTACCTGAATGGACATTTCTCAAAAGAAGACGTACCAATGGCCAACAAGTATTATTATCAACAATACAAAAAATCATCAAGTGTTATCAAACATGTGGAGAAAAGGACACACTTGCACATTGTTGATGGAAATGTATATTAGTATAGCCATTATGGAAGATACTATAGAGTTTGTCAAAAATGAAAAGCAGAACATATAATCAATCCAGTAATCCTACTACTGAATATATGTACAAAGAAAAAGGAATCAGTATGTCAAAGAGTTATCTGCATTCCCATGTTCATTACAGCATTATTTATAATAGCCAAAATGTGGAATCAACTTAAGTATCCATTACAGATGAATAGATAAAGAAAATGTGGTCTATATACACAACGTAATACTATTCAGCTTTGAAAAAAGGAAATCCTGCATTTTCAAGAACATAGAATAAACAGGGAGGACATTAAGTTAGGTGGAATAAGACAGACAAAACCACATGATTGCACTTATACGTGCAATCCGTTGTAAAATATGGTGACTTTAGTTAACAATAATATGTTGTATTCTTGAAAACTACTTAGTGTAGATTTTAAGCAGTCTCACCACACACAAAAATGAGAAGTATGTGAAGTAAAGCATATATTTATTAGCTTAATTTAGCCATTATCTAATGTATACATATTTCAACACAATATGTTTTACATAATAAATATATGCAATTTTATTTGCCAATAAAAAATAAATGAAAATGTTTACAAAAAGAGAATATGTGGTATAGATACACAGTAGAATACTATACAAACTAAAAAGAAGACAATTTTGTCAATAGGGAAAACGTGGATGAATCTAGTGGACATTATGCTATCTAAAATAAAGTCAACACAAAGAAAAATCCTGCATGATCTTATTGATATGTGGAATCTAAAAAATTCAAATTTACAGAAGGTGAGAGTAGAGTGGTGGTTACCAGAAGCTGAAGGGATGGCGGTGTTTCTAGGAGGTGTTGGTCAAAGGGTATAAATTTTCAGTTAGACTAGAGGAATACATTTTACTATCTATTTCACAGCATGGTGTTCACACTTAATAATAATAATAGTGATAATATTATATATTTCAATATTGCTGAGTACATATATTCTATTTAATATATTTAAGCCTAGCCTTTCTAACTACTACAGAAAGAGAAGCTAAATGTCTGTTGTAAGTATGCTTATCTTACAAAAAATAAGTTCATTTGATATTCATGTAATAAATCTAATCTTTGTTTTATTGATTTTCAGATTAACAAAGACCTTATCTGAATACTCTTTACAACTTTTATGTAAATCTAAAATTATTCCATAGGAGAAATTTTATGTAAAAAAAGATAAAAGTATGAAGCATGTTTCAGTTTGGGTATTTCACTTTGTATTCACTGAATATTGAAAAAATTAAAATACTATCAACTAATACATAAAGTCATATAAACTCCTAAATAACCGCTGAGGAACCTACTTACTTTTGTGTGTCATTTTGGATAGTCAAGGTTTTTTGCTATGCTATACTTTAAAAAGTAATTAATGAAGGGGCTGACTCTTTTTTTGTTAATAGCACACTTAACAATATTAGTGGATTCCTGGTGTTCTTCACTAAGGTCCTTGGTCAGTAATTTCTGATTATATTTTATGCAAAGAACTTTGAAAACACCTTGTGCTGTATTTTAAAGTTTATTATCATCCATATTTCTGACCAATCACAGATGTTGCAAAAGGTTGGGACACTTGGAAAAATAAAATTATTTTCAAAAATATTTATTTCTCCTTTTTATAGAATTTCAAAATCAACCATCTTTAAAATACTAACAATAGTTTTAAAAATTACAATACTTTTATAAAGTTTTTACGAACACTACTTACAGATAGAGTAAAATTTCATTATAACTGAAAATGTTTTCAGTAACCTGTTATACTTGGCTAAGTGTCATTATTCAACTGAAATTCCACCTCTCTTCAACATTTACGTATATATTTTCCTGAAGATTTTTGTCTTATGTTTTGCAGTTATTTTAAAGTTATGGAGGAGGTTTTGCTTATTTTACTATATTTACTATATGGTTTGTCTTTAGCATTATTGATAGATCTTTTTCTTCTAAATATGGGCCGTATTTTCTGCTTCTTTACATATCTAGTAGTGTTTTATTCTACTCTGGTCAATGCCAATAACACATTGTGATGACAGCCATGGAATATAAAAGTTACCTATGGGTTTGTCATATATGCTATTTATGGTATTGGGGTACTTTTCTTCTATACATATGTTTTTAAATTTTCATGTGCACATCATAGGTGTACAGTAGGTGTATGTATTGATGGAGTACTTAGAATGTTTTGATACAGGCATACAATGTGAAATAAGCACATCATGGGGAATGGGGTATACATGCCCTCAAGTATCTTTCCTTTGAGTTCCAACCATCCAATAATACTGTATAAGTTATTTTAAAATGTACAAGTAAGTTATCATTGACTATAGCCAACCGATTGTGCTGTCAAATAGATGGACTTATTTATTTTTTCTATTTTTTTTTCGTACACATTGACCATCCCCATCTCCCCTCTAGCCCTATACCACCCTTCACAGTCTCTAGTAACCATCCTTCAACTTTCTATGTCCAAGAGTTCAATTGTTTTGATTTTTAGATGCCACAGATAAGTGAGAACATGTGAGGTTTGTATTTCTGTGCCTGGCTAATTCCACTTAAAATAATGATCTCCAGTTCCATCCATGTTGTTGCAAATGATTGGATCTCATTCTTTATTATGGCAAAGTAGTACTCCATTGTGTATGTGTGCCACATTTTATTTATTCATTCATCTGTTGATGGACACTTTGGTGGCTTCCAAATCGTAGCTATTGTATACAGTGAGGCAACAAACATAGGTGTGCAGATATCGCTTCCATACACTGATTTCCATACACTGCTGATGTATACACAGCATTAGGATGGCTGGATCATAAGGTAGCTCAATTTTTAGTTTTCTAAGAAACCTCCAAACTGTTCTCCATAGTGGTTGTATTAATTTACATTCCCACCAACAGTGTACAAGATTTCCCTATTCTCCACATCCTCATTAGCATCTGTTATTTTCTCTCTTTTCCATATAAGCCATTTTCACTGGAGTGAGATGATATCTCACTGTAGTTCTGATTTGCATTTCTCTGATGATCAGTTATGTTGATCATCTTTTCACATGTCTGTTTTCCATTTGAATGTATCCTTTTAAGAAATCTATATTCAGATCTTTTGCCCTTTTTTGATCTGATTATTAGATGATTTCTGATAGAGTTGTTTGAGCTCTTTAATTATTCTGGTTATTAATCCCTTGTCAGATGGGTAGTTTGCAATATTTTGTCCCACTCAGTGTTATTTCTTCACTTTGTTCATTGTGTCCTTTGCTGTGCAGAACATTTTTAACTTGATGTGATCTCATTTGTCCATTTCTGCTTTGCTTGCCTGTGCTTGTGAGTTATTGCTGAAGAAATTTTTGCCCAGAACAAAGTCCTTGAGATTTTCCCCAATGTTTTCTGGTAGAAGTTTCATAGTTTGAGGTCTTAGACTTAAGTCTTTATCCATTTGATTTGATTTTTGGATATGGTGAAACATAGAGGTCTAGTTTCATTCTTCTGCATATGAAAATCCAGTTTTCCTAGAACTGTTAATTGCAGAGACTCTTTTCCACAGCGTTCCTTTGTCAAAAATGCATTCACTGTAGATGTGTAAATTTGTTTCTGTGTTTTCTATTCTGTTCCATTAGACTGTATGTCTGTTTTTATGCCAGTACTATCCTGTTTTAGTTACTACAACTCTGTAGTATAATTTGAAGTCAGGTAATGTTATTCCTTCAGTTTTGTTTTTATTGCTTAGGATAGCTTTAGCTATTTTTGGTACCTTTAGCTTTTGTGGTACCATAAAAATTTTAGGATTGTTTTTCTCTATTACTGTGAAGAATGTCCCTGGTATTTTCATAGTGATTTCTTGAATCTGTAGATTGCCTTGGGTAGTATGGACATTATAACAATATTGATCCTTCCAGTCCATGATCATGAAATATCTTTTTTTTTTTGGTGTCCTCTTCTACTTCTATTTTTAGTGTTTTACTCTTTTTCTTATAGAGATCTTTGACTTCTTTGGTTAATATCTAATTATTTATTTTTATCTGTGGTTACTGTAAATGGGATTACCTTTAGGATTTTTTTCAGATTGTTTGCTGTCAACATATACAAGTGCTACTGGTTTTTTATGTTGATATTATATCTTGCACCCTTACTGGACTTATCAGTTCTAATAGTTTTCTGGTGATTACCTTACGTTTATCGAAAAAAACTTATACCATCTGCAAACAAAGATAATTTGGCTTCTTTCGTTTCAATTTGGATACCTTTATATCCCTCTCTTGTCTAACTGCTGTAGCCAGGACTTCCAGTATTATGTTGAATAACAGTGGTGAAGTGGGTATCCTTGTCATGTTCCAGTACTTTGAGGAAATTATTTCAGACTTTCTCCATTCAGTATGATAGTAGCTGTGTGTCTGTCAAATGCAGCTTTGATTATGTTTGGGTGTGTTCCTTCTATCTTCAGTTTTCTTTAGTGTTTTATCATGAAGGATTTTGAATTTTATCAAATGCCTTTTTGGAATCAATTGAAATAATCATGTGGTTTATATCCTTCATTGTGTTGGTATGATGTATTACATTGATTGAGTTGTGTATGTTGAGCCATCTTTGCATCTCAAGGATAAATCCCATTTGGTCATGTTGAATGATCTTTCTAGTATGCTGTTAAATTTGTTGCTATTCTTTTGTTGAGAATTTTTACAATTACATTTGTCAGAGATATTGACCTGTAGTATTCTTTTTTTAATGTGTCTTTGTCTGATTTTCTTTTCAGGGTAATATTAGCCTCACATTGGAAGTATTTGCTCCTCCTCCTCCTCTATTTTTCAAAATAGTTAGAGTAGAATTGGTACTAGTTCTTCTTTAAACGTTAGGGAGAATTCAACAGTGAAGCCAATATGTCCTGAGCTTTTCTTTACTATGAAACTTTTTATTCTGGCTTTGATCTCATTACTTGAATTAATAATTGATCTGTTCAGGTTTTGGATTTCTTTCTGCTTCAATCTTAGTAGGTTTTATGTGTCTAGGAATTTGTCCATTTCTTCTAGATTTTCCAATTTATTGGAATATCATTCCACATAGTGGCTAATAATGATTCTTTGAATTTCTCCAGGATCAGATGTAATGTTTCCTTTTCATTTCTGATTTTATTTATTTGAATTCTCACTCTTTTTCTCTTAGTCTGGATAAAGGTTGATCAGCATGTTTAGTATTTTAAAATAAGAACTTATGTTTCATTGATCTTTGTATTTTATTCATTTCAATTTCAAGTTTATCTGCTGTGATATTTATTATTTATTTTCTTCTAATAATTTTGGATTTGGATTGCCCTTCCTTTTCTAGTTCATTAACATAAATCACCAAATTGTTTATTTGAAGTTTTTCCTTTCTTTTTTATGTAGTCACTTATAGCTATAAATTTTTCTCTTGGTACTAAAACTGCTATATCCCATAGGTTTTGTGTTTCCATTATCATTTGTTTCACAAAATATTTTAATTTCTTCATTGATCCACAGTGCATTCAGGGGCATATTCTTTAATTTCCAGATTCTTTAATTTTTTGTTTCAACTTACCATATGGATTGCAAATACTATCTTAAAACCAGAAAACATAACACTGTTTGCATAAACAAACAAGCCAAAGTAAACTCATAAATACTTTCCACCTTAATTTTCCCTTCTGCTTTCAAACTTTTTGTTGTTTCTATTTTTATCTTATTTTACAGACTATGTCTTGAAAATCTGTAGTTATTATGTTTCATTAGTTCATTATTTAGTCTTTCTACTTAGGATATTAGCTTACACAACCCAGTTGCAGTGTTTTAATATTCTGTATTTTTCTATGTACTTACTATTACCAGTGAGATTTGTGTCTTCAGGTGATTATTTATTGTTCATGAATTTCGTTTTTTGATTGAAATATTCCCTTTAGCATTTCTTGTAGGACAGGTCTGGCATAATAAAATTCCTCACCTTTTCCTTATCTGAGAATGTCTTTATTTCTTCTTTATGTTTAAGGGATATTTTCACCAGATATTCTACTCTAGGATAAACGTCATTTTTCTGTCAGCATGTGTCATATCACTCCTGTAAGGATTCCTCTAAAAAGCCTGCTACCAGATGTATTGGTGCTCCGTTGTATGTTATTTATTTCTTTGTTCTTACTGATTTTAGAATAGTCTCTTTATCCTTGACCTTAGAGAATTTGATTATTAAATGAGTTGAGGTAGTCTTCTTTGGGTTAAATCTGCTTGGCATTCTATAACCTTCTTGTACTTGATATAGATCTCATTCTCTAGGTTTGGGAAGTTCTTTGTGATTATCCATTTGAATAAACTTTCTACTCCTATCTCGTTCTCTACTTCTTCCTTAAGGTGAATACTCTCAGATTTGCTTTTTGGAGGTTATTTTTTAGATCCTGTAGGCATACTTCATTGTTTTTAATTCTTTATTTTTTTGTCTCCTCTGACTGTGTATTTTCACATAGCTTGTCTTCAAGCTCAACAATTCTTTCTTCTGCTTGATCTATTCTGCTATTAAAGAATAGCACATGTAATATCTTCTTCAGTATGTCAATTGCATGTTTCGGCTCCAGAATCTCTGCTTGATTTTTTAAAATTATTTCAATCTCTTTGTTCAATTTATCTGATAGAGTTCAGAATTCCTTCTCTGTGTTATCTTGATTTTCTTTGAGTTTCTTCAACAAAACTATTTTGAATTCGTTGTTTGAAAGGTGACATAACTCAGTTTCTCTAGGATTGTTCCCTGGTGCTTTGTTTAGTTCATTTGGTGAGGTCGGGTTTTCCTGGATGGCGTTAATGCTAGCAGATATTCTTCTGTGTCTGGGCACTGAAGAGTTAGGTATTTATTGTTTTCTTCACTGTCTGGGCTTAATTGTAACCATCCTTCTTGGCAAGATGTTCCACATGTTTGAAAGGACTTGGGTGTTGTGACCTAAGCTGTAACTTCTTTACAGGGTGTCAAAATCCCAGCAATGCAGTGGTTCTTGCAGACTTCTAGGGGTACTGTATTGATGGTCTTGCACATGATCTGAGAGAATTCAGGGTGATGAGGGCCCCTGGACCAGGGTGGTTTCCAGGGGACCAGTTTCAAAAACCTTAGATGTCTGCTTGATGTTATATGGTACTGTATCTGGGCTGGCAGTCATATTGCAAGTTAAAATGTTGTGGGGTGGGGTGGGGGGATGGGGGAGGGATAGCATTTGGAGATATACCTAATGTTAAATGACGAGTTACTGGGTTCAGCACACCAACATGGCACATGTATACATAGGTAACTAACCTGCACGTTGTGCACATGTACCCTAAACCTTAAAGTATAATAATAAAAAAAAATCCTCCTCACTGTTCCCTCCCCTTTCCAAAGTCAGAGGAGCCTCACCCTATGGTCTAACACCACTCCAGGCCATGAGGAGTACTGCCAGACAACTGCTGATGTTCCCTTAAGGTTTAGGTGCTCCTAAGTCAGTTTGTGGTGAATGCTGGCTAGCCTAGGATTCACCCTTCTGGGAACTGGGCTCCCATCTGGTCCACGGTATGTCCAAAAATGCCACCCACCAGTCAAGTCCAGGAACTGGGGACCCTGGGAGCCCAGGTGGTTCTCTACCCACTGTGGCCATGCTGGTACCTGAAGCCAGCAAGTCTCAGAGGCTCACCTAAGGCCCTCAACATAGTATCTGGGTATCACTGCAGGTTATTGAGGGCCAAGGGCTCTTCAGTTAGGCTGGGTGAATGCTGCCAGGACTGCATCATTTCCTTCAGGGCATTGGGTTCCCTTTTGGTTCAGGGTATGTCAAGAAATGTCATCTGGGAGCTAGGGCTTAAAGCAGGGGCCTCATTCCTTTGACAGTTGCCCTATCCTGCTTTGTCTGAGCTGATATCCAAGATGTAAGACAAAGTCTTCCCCGTTCTTCCCTCTCCTCTCCTCAAGCAGAAGGAAGGGGTTTCTTTTGGAGCTGTGAAATGTGAAGCCTGGGGTTAGGGGTTGGGTGATGCCAGCACGCTCTTGGCTGCCTCAGCTGGTGCAGTTGGTGTCTCTGAATATTCTGTGTCTTCCCCCAGTCCATAGTCTCTGAGCCTAGTTCAGCACTAGGACTCACATACGTGTGCAGTCCTTATGTCCTAGACTGTCTTTCTAGTTTATTTAGAGACACAATGCATGGTAGGTAGCCCTAGGTGGCAAGATTTGTGGGAACTTGATTTCAGACCCCTGCGGTCAGCAATACCATCATGGCTAGCATTGGTTTAAGTACTCCCTCCATGGGAAGGGGTTAGCTGAGTTTGGTTTGGTTTTCCTTTCTGCTCTAACAGCACAGCATTTTGTTCAATGCCTCACAATTGCTATGTTCTCCCTCCCTCAGTGCCTAGAGCAAGGCTCTGTACACCATGGCACAGCTGCAAGTGTGGGGAGAGGGGAAAGGGTAGTGTCAGTGATTCAAGATTGTCTGACCTATCTCTTACGTGCCACTTTCAGGGATATGAAGTTAAAACCATGTACTATGAGTGCTAATCTGATAATGTTTTCATTTTATGAAGGTGTTTTTTTTTTTTTTTTCTGTGTACATAGTTGTTAACTTAGTATCTTTGAAGGGGAATGGTTGGTGTCTCCTATTCCACCATCTGGCTCTGCTCTGCCTAATTTGTGGAAACTCTTTATCATGAAGAAATGTCAAAGTTTCTCAAATGTTTTTAGTACTTCTATGAAAATGATCATATAGTTTTGTTCATTCTGTTATTGTGATATGTTACATCTATTGGTTTGTGTATGTCTACCCATCTTTATTTTATGCATAGTTTGAAAAACAGTACTACCAGTTTTTTATACTGTTTGGTTGAATTCAGCAGTGAAGATAACAGGCGTTGGGCTTTTTTGATAGGTGAATTTTATTACTGATTTAATCAACTTACTCATTATTTGTTTGTTTTGATTTTCTATTTATTCCTAATACGATCTGTATTAGGAATTTTTATTTTAATTTGTATTTGTATTTTACAAGCTATTTTATTTTTAGCTTGTATTTGTATTTGTAGCTGTATTTGTATTTTAGCTTGCTTCTCCCTTAGATTCCCCCATGAGATGTACCTAAAGAAAACTTGGACCAAGTGAAAGACAAGGCATTATCTGGTAGCAGCTGCTGGTAGCAGCTGAGATCACCAACAGTAGCTTTCCTTGCTTCTGGAAGTTTTCCTAAAAAACATCCACTGCAGTACAATGGATAATTAGTGGGGCATCACTAAGATTCCTGAACTTCGGAATTTTCTGGAAATAGCATTTTTGACCTTTGTTCCCTCAGTTCTTCCAATAGTTGTGGAAGCCTTTCGTTCCCTTTATTGATACTCTCTTTACTCAAAAAATGAGAAATAAAATAAATTAATGTTTTATATTACTTTTGGATTCAGTCCATTACTGTCCCTAAATAATATTTTACAAGTACATTTCAGGGAATCAATTCCACAGATGGTTGTGAAACCACTAACTGGAATTATTGAAGCATTTTGCAAAACTCTCTGAACTTTGATATTTACTAAGTGACCTTAAAGGCCTAGCTTCGTGGTAGTTTCCTCAAATTCGGAATCACCCTTGGTAACTAACAATGAAAGATTTCAAACTCCAAACAGTACAACTGAAACTTTTGCATTACTATACTACTGAGAATATCTAACATGTTGTTACTAATTAATGTCATTCTCACCTTGTGGGTTTCCTATGCTAATGGACAAGGTAAATTGAAAGAGATCTAAACACTCAGCTCCCATCTTAAATGTAACTTCATGTAATATCTAGCTTCCTATGTCTCCATGTCTACAATTTTTTATGAACCAAAGAGGATTTATTCATTATGCTAGTAGAAATAGCATATTTTGTAAGACTATAACAGAAATTAATTTTATGAAATATTATCTCATTTTAACTTAAACAATGAATAATATTCTCTTTGTTTCATAAGTTCTACAGTGTAAAAGACATTTAATATTGATTATGGAGATATGTGAATATACTCATGAAACTTTAAGTAGGAAACATGTCACTAGACAGATTCTAACCTTAAAATGTTCAGAAGTTTCTTATTTGTAATGCAAGGGGAGTGACTGATATTTTCATAATCTTACAGATGGTGATTTTTTATAGATTCATATACCAAAACATCAAATAATACATTTTAAATTCTGCAGTTTCTTTTATTTCTATAATACCTTAAGAAAGCTGCTAAAATGAATTAACATTAATATGAACTTAATATTTCAACAAGATTAGCAACATGTAAATCACAACATGTAAATCACAACATGAATATAATCAAAAAGTAGACTATATGCTTAACTTACTTTTAAATGACAGTAAATTTTGCATTTCTGAGCTCACTAGCAAATGTTCAATAAATAAATACATAAATAATTATTTTTTATAGCTTTATGTTATTGTTCACTGATTTGTTTTCTCCTCAACAGTCATATATTTTCTATATTAACTATCTTTTTGAATGCAGGCCTTGCATATTAAAGAACTATATCGTAACATTAGCAGTGGAACCACATGAGTCAAAAATCATGGACAATCAAGGGTTTGTGGCCATTAATGAAGAATATAAATTTTGTAATTATCCGAAACTTCATAATATTTCAACAAATGTAGTGGAGGGTAATACTGGAAATCCAATTATCAATTTATGAGAGTATCTTTTCCCTCAGCCTCTCTTCTCAAAGCTATGCCACTTTATTTGATTCTAGGTAAAGAGCTTTAGGTTTTACAGTATTATCTATCACGATTTGCTAGTTTTATTTGTTGTGCAAAATCAAACTTGATCTGTGCCAAAATGGAAAGAAAAGGAAATTCTCCTGTTATTTCCTTTGTTAACTGAACTGATACAGGTACATTTTTTTCAAATAAAGATTAAATAGATTAAAATAGAATGAAAAGAAGAAAAGTAGTACCATTTTGAAATGACTGGAATTAGAGAAGCATATGCACTATACTTTCTTACTTACTTTCTTAAAAGCACTATAAAAAAAGAATGATGACAAATTCTTCCTTATCTGATATTCCAGTTGAAAACTTTTCTCCTCCAATGAACTTTTTGTAAGAGTAAACTTGAGCAAAATGTCTTGTAAATTTAGGTCGCACCTATATTTCTCAAAGGAGAAAGTAACTCATTGGGTTACCTTCAACGTCTTGGTTAGAGAGAAACATCTTTGTGTATTCAGTAGCATTGGCTCAACTGCATCCCGCCAAAATTCATTTGTTAAAGTCCAAATTCCCAATACCTGAGAATGTGACTGCATTTGGAGAAGGAGTGCTTAAAGATGTAATTAAGTTAAAGGTCAATGGTTCAGGTGGGTCCTACTCCAATATAACTGGTGTCTATATAAGAAGAGAAAATAAGAACACACCATATAGAGAAAGATCACGCAAGGCATAGAAAGGATACAACCATTTACAAGGCAAAGGAAGAGGTCTCAGAAGAATCCAATCCTGTTGACAGCTCTATCTCAAACTATTAGCCTCCAGAACTGTGAGAAAATAAATTTCTATGAAATCAGTGGTACTTTGTTATGGTAGCTCTAGCAGATGAATACCATGATATTTACACAATTTATTAAAAGAACATTAATAACTAAAAATAACTTTTTACTTTTTACTCAAGAGTATATATATATATATGTAGCCACCACACAGATTTTAGAGGCTATTCATCAGAATTTGGTAATTATATCTTGGGTGTATTTTCCTGCTGATTTTTGTCTTGTTGAATACTTTATGTGTATATATATCTGTATTCATCTATATTCAGAATCTAGTAAATCAAATCTAAGAAAGATTTTTCATATCATTAATGAAGGACATACTTTGTGAATTGCTTATGCTAATAAAATTTTTTTAATGGTAGTTGATATTTCAGTTCTGAACATTAAAATCGGCACACCAATTCTTTTGGAAACCACACTATTTGAAAGACAAACTCGACAGAAAATTTGTAATTGTAACCTATTATAATGTTCATTGAATTTGTATTGGCCATTATTTCTTCCATTAAGTCATAAGTTATTTATACTTATTTAAAGATAGGTTGTCAAGAGCATTATTTTTAATTATGAATATCCTTTCAGAATTGTATAAACTTTATATTCATCTACTAGAGTTGCCATAACAAAGTGTCAAGGGTGACAATTAGTAATGTAGAGCAGGGTTGCTTCTAAATCCCTTTTAAACTGATCATTTTCAGTACCCAATGCATTACAGTTAATTGCCATTGTACTTCTTTGGGATGCTCAAATTTGTTTCAAATCTCACTAAGAAGCTGGCTTTTGTGTATATTTCATGTGCCCCCATTAAGCTTTGGCATAACAAAAGGTCCCATGCTTTCCTTGACTTTTGCTACTACAGACTAACTTTCAATAATTTCTGTATGAAATTCCAGTGCCTTTTAGTGGGAAAAACGATTTTTAGAAACAAACCTAAACTATGAAAAACTCACTTCAGGTTTGAAATTATCGTTGACTAAGAAAAATAATATTTGGCCGAGTGGGGTGGCTCACACCTTCATCCCAGCACTTTGGAGGGCCAAGGCGCGCAGATCACTTGAGACCGGGAGTTGGAGACCAACCTGGCCAACATGATGAAATGCTTTCTCTACTAAAAATTCAAAAAATTAGCAGGATGTAGTGGCACACACCTGTAATTCCAGCTTCTCAGGAGACTGAGGCAGGAGTATCATTTGAACCCAGGAAGCAGAGGTTGAAGTGAGCTGAGATCGCGCCACTGCACTCTAGCCTTGGCAACAGAGCAAGACTGTTAAAAATAAAAATAAAGAAAGATTTAAATGATTTCCTTTAATTAATGTCCCTTTCTTCCTCGGACTAAATATCCTGCAATCATAAGAAAATGTAAAAGTATCTCAGGAGGTTACACAGGGCACGGAAGTTTCGATTTTCCAATACGGAGGAGACAGCAGAAAACTGTGCAGCCATGCTTGAGGGGCTGGGTCAGACAAGCTGTCATGCGTCACCTAACAAGCCTCTAGGGCCAGTTCTGTAACTAGCAAACGCTTCCCTCAAAGTAAAGATGTCACGTCTATGAACTTAGTCTTCTCATCTGCACACTAAAGCTGTTGTGCCACTAGCTTCCTTCCCGTTCTCTCTGATTTATGATGATTCAAACTTAAAGATTTTTCTTTAGTTATATTCTTAAGTTCTCATAACAAATAGAATGTAAATACTATTTTCTATCACTTGTTCCATAATTATAGAAGAAACATAAATTATATGCTATTTAAATTGTGGTGTTGTTCAACATTCTATAGGTATACATACCTATAGAATATAAGAATATATATATATTTGTACATTCGTCTATGCACCTATTTTTTATGTCAATAATATGTCTCATCTGATACATGAATTCTAACTATGGTAAGAATGCATGCCATCGCATACAAACAAAATGCCACAAAACTAAACAAAATGTTTTATATCTGGAGATAATTTGCTACATTTCAGATTTTTTTATGCTACAGTCATATTTCTTGTCTCTCTTTTCCAAAACACAATCATTGCTGATGTGTGCACCCTAAACTGACAGCTTGAGCTTAACTTGGTATAGTTGTAGATAAGTTCAGTTTAAATTAATGCTGATAAAACCTCCAGAATTGCTGAAGAGACCATACTATGTTAGTAGAAGTAGAGAAAGTGAAATGAGCTTCTTGTCCTGTTAGCTGACTTGAGTTCCATTAAAGATTTTAAGTGGAGAAATAAAATGACCAGATGAAAGGTCATTAATTTATACACAGGAAAATAGATTATAAAGATGAGAGGTCAGGATCAGGAAACTAGTTACGGTTGCTGTAATCTCAGAAGAATTTGGTTGAGAGACGATGATATCAAAGGTTATTGCCAGGGTTTTTTTATGCCTGTTGTGTTTATTTGTTTGTTTGTTTTGACAGAAAAAAATTGAGTGAAAGGGAATACCACAATTGCAGAAGTTCAGTTATTATTGAGAGAGGTAATGAGAATGATTGACATGAATTTCCCCCAAAAAATGTTCTGTCAATAATTACTATATTACGAATAAATAGAGCATGGAATATTTTTACAGCTGACTCAGAGAAAATAGCTATTACAGCAAACCTATGTCTATATTGAAATTCATATATACATTCAAAGAATATTACTCTATACCATTTATCTCAAGAGAACTAATCTTCAAAGCAAAAGAAATCAGCAACATGTTTTTAATTAAAATTTTAACTTCCTTCAAAAATGTCTTTTGGGCCAGGCGCGGTGGCTCACGCCTGTAATCCCGACACTTTGGGAGGCTGAGGAGGGCGGATCACGAGGTCAGGAGATTGAGACGATCCTGGCTAACACGGTGAAACCCCGTCTCTACTAAAAAATATACAAAAAAAATTAGCTGGGCATGGTGGCGGGTGCCTGTAGTCCCAGCTACTCGGGAGGCTAAGGCTGGAGCATTGCGTGAATCCAGGAGGCAGAGCTTGCAGTGAGCGGAGATCGAGCCACTGCACTCCAGCCTGGGCAACTGAGCAAGACTCTGTCTCAAAAAAAAAAAAAAAAAAAAGTCTTTTTTATTTATCTGTTAAGAACAGATAAATCATTCATGCGGCATTCAAGTCAAAAAAGAATTTTTTGTTGTTGGCAGATTTACCTAGTGGAAACAACATTTGTATTTAGCTTCTAAAGTAAATTAAGTGGAGGAAAATGAAGATTTTCATTAATAACCTTAATATTAATAGACAATGGTGGTACTGAGGAGAACATCTATCTCTTTTAGGCTTCATGAGGAAATGATGTTTTTCAGTGTCGACAAATTAATTTCAGCTGTGTGGTTTGCCCACCAAATATCATGCCTGTAATAATATACTGTACTTAGCCTACCATATTTTAAAATGATTGGTTTCCAACTATCAAGGCATAGAAGAGAATATATAGATAGTTGAAGAGTTAAAGAAATTATAGCATAAGAAGCATGCAAAAAGATACAGTTATAGCATTATAATGACTGTCTTGAGATATTTGAAAACATTTATGAAGGGGAGCAAGTTAACTTTTGATGAGGACTGTCACAGTCAGTGAAGCAGGTAACAGTATTATCCAACATCGAATCAGAGGTCAAGTGATTTTCTAAAAGTGTGACCTATACGGATATTGCCATATGTCGGGGGTGGGGGTAGAAGAGTTGATCTCTTCTGAGCCCTCCACGTTTTAAGTTGTATGATTCAAAATTATACATACAAACCTTGTTTTTATTACACTCTATTTTAAAAACTGCAGTTATCTTTTGAGTTGATTTTATAATTTATTTTTGTTTTAATTGCTAATGAGCTCAGAAGCAGTTCCTTGGAAAATATATTTCACTACACAATTCAGATATCTTCACTTGTAAGCACTGTTAAGAAAAATATGTTAGACAGAAGTTAATGAGGTTAAAGAGTCACCACTTTCTTTCTCCAGGCTGCGTAGATGACATCTATGAAATGCGTTTGCCTTGCAGTTCCCTGTCAAATTTCTTCTATGTGGAGCCGCCTCCCTCAGCTCAAAACACACATTTCAGCTCTCCTGCTCTCTCCTACAGGAACACTGCTGTTCTGTGTAAAGAGGAGGTAGGGCCTTGTCTTTCACGCAAGCCTGGCTCAATTGGGCACCTCACCACTGGGGTTGCAGCCACCGCTAATCCCCCTAGAATGTCTGTCCTCTGGTGTGTCTGCACCAGTCTCCTTTGCGAGTGACCACAGCTATGTCCACAGAATTGGGTGCAGGGGAGATGTCCCCCTCTCTACATCTGTGCCCAAGCACTGGGGCCACCTGTCTCCTAGGATGGATCTATACTCCCTTGCAAGGCAAGCACGGTGCCTGTGTGCCTGCTGAAAGTGGTCTAGTCACTTTCAGCCCACAAGCAGGTTTCTCTTGCACACAGGAAAGTGGAATGAACAAAATTAGGAATCAACAAAAAAAGTTTATCATAATCTTAACTATTTGGATATTAAGAAATATTCCTAGTCTATTTCTGCGGTTTAATAAACACTGGAAATCTTGGCTCAGTGACTTGTTTGAGGCGTGAATTAGCTGTGTTATTTTTCTGTGCGGTATTATCAAAGAAAAATTTTTGTGTTCCTCAATATGTTTATATTGTCCAGTAATTAGAAAAGAGCCTAGTGAATTTATTTGTTTTCTATTTTTATTTTTATTTTTTGAGATGGAGCCTCACTCTGTCACCCAGACTGGAGTGGAATGGCGCAATCTCAATTCACTGCAAACTCTGCCTCCTGGGTTCAAGCGATTCTCCTGCCTCTGCCTCCTAAGTAGCTGGAATTACAAGGGCGCACCACCAGGCCCAGCTAATTTTTTTTGTATTTTTAGTAGAAACGGGTTTCATCATGTTGGCCAGGCTGGTCTCGAAGTCCTGACCTCAAGTGATCTGCCTGCCTCAACCTCCCAAAGAGCTGGGATTATAGGCATGAGCCACCGTGCGCAGCCCATGAATTTAATCCAAAACAATAAAAACCTTAAATCCCTCAAAATACTACCTCCTTACATTGAATTTTTCTGAGAAGAAAATACAGGGCTCTGTTTACTGATGACAGTAGAAAAGAAAAAAAAAAGGAATACCTGAGCTAAGTGATAAAATTGACATATTTCTCAACCAAAAAGCTCATTTAATTAGCCAGAGGTAGGGTATATGTACTCAAGGGGAATACATTAAATAGGTTTGTACATTTTTCCTTCTAGAGAGCCTTCCTACAAATTTATGCATCACGTGATCCACAAGACATAATCTCATCTTCATTAGCAAAGACCTTCTCGTCACATATCTTAGTCATCTGAGTTCTATCATTTGTTTTGACCTAGAAACCCTAATGGAATGTGTAATTATTCTAAGAAGAGAATATAATTCAGTGATAAAAAAATTTATCTCTAATATGATTATTTATTACAGTAAAAAGTATTCATACTTTTTTTTGTTTTTTATTGCAAGTGAAATCTTGTGATTTTCCAGACATTAAACATGGAGGTCTATATTATGAAAGTATGTGTAGACCATACTTTCCAGTAGCTGTAGGAAAATCTTACTCCTATTACTGTGATGAATCTTTTGAGACTCCTTCAGGAAGTTACTAGGATTACATTTATTGCACACAAGATGGGTGGTCGCCAGCAGTACCATGTCTCAGTAAGTAAACCTCTGGACAGCCATATATGTATAAAACTTTCAAAGATTGAAGAGAGGAGAGCACATAAGTGATTACACTTGACTTATATAACAGAAATAGGGCCAAGAAAAGAGTTGTTCAAGCAAAATGACCAAAATAGATCTTTTCTATTATGAGTTCTTAAAAATCACGAGAAATAAATATAGAGACTTTATGAGAATATCTATATAATTGATACATATTTTAATTATAAAAACTTAAGTAGTATTAAATATTGATATTTCTTTTTGTACAAACCTTTGTTAGTAATTTTAGTTCATATTCAGTTATACATTGTTTTTGGATGTTTATGCAATCTTATTTAAATATTTTAAAAATAATTGTAATATACTATTTTGAGCACATTTTTGTGTCTCATTTACTTTATTCATTTATCATTGTTATCGTCCTTAGGAAAACGTTATTTTCCTTATTTGGAAAATGGACATAATGAAAATTACGGAAGAAAGTTTGTACAGGGTAACTCTGTAGAAGTTGCCTTCCTTCCTGGCTGTGGTCTTCCAAATGAGCAGACCACAGTTACATGTATGGAGAATGGCTGGTCTCCTCCTTGCAGATGCATCCGTGTCACTAAGTACACTACTCTGAGATCCCAGCAAGTTCATGTCTTTCTAAGTAACACAGATGACATGCTAAGACTCATCTATATTAACTGCGGCAAAATATTTATGTCAACTTGCTTCGCCATCGGACCTATTTAGTTTTATTTTTTCAATTCTGTATAAACAAATATACACATTTCTTGATAAGTTCATAGTAAAATAAATGCTCCTATTATTGGGCATTAGTCAAGAATACAGTAAAAGAGTTTGAAAACAATACTTGTTGGTTAAATTAAGACATATTGAAATGGCATCATTGTCTGGAGTAAATACCCGAGGTTTCTCATCTGGCACTGAGAAGATTAAGGACATGGACACACACAAGGAGTGGGCGTAGGATCGCAGGTTTAATAGGCAAAAGAAAGAGAAAGGAGAACAGCTCTGTCTCTTGTGAGAGAGAGGGGCACCCAAAAGTGAATTCTGGCCCCGGCTGGGGTGCACTGGATTTTATAAACAGGCTTGAGGAAGCAGTGTCTGATTTACATAGGGCCCAAAGATTGATTGGACCAGGTGTGATATTTACATAATGTGCTAGGAAGCTGGCTGCCCCACCCTAATCTTATTATGCAAATGGGATCTTTGCCTGGCCAGCGCCATGTTGCCTTTTCCTTACTGTACACGTGGCTGGCAAAGAGAAGGGAAGATGGAGTTGCCATATGAACATGCCTAGTCCCAGGTAGCCTTTTCCTATTGGCACAACTGCTGCCATTCACCTTGCAAGCTTCCAACTTGCTTGTCTATGTTTACATCTCTGTTTTACAGGTTCCACTTTGTTAGAAAAAGAAATGATTTGGGGGCTCCTATTATTAAAAGGAAAACTTTACCAAGGACTCCTGTACCCTCATTATCTGCCTAAATAATTTCTTCTTAACTCGTGTATCAATATTAATATGTACTTTGGAATCAATCATTTGACTCAAAATGATTATACATTTATAGTTTAAAATAGAAAGTGAGTACAATGATAGCCAATAATGTCATTCATACATTCAAACAGTCATAGGTCACTTTTACAATAAAGTTATCTAACTTTCTCTATTATATGTAAGTACAAATGGATTTTCTGGGATATTGTGCATATTCGACTCTAGAAGGTTTCCTATATTATTTATCCCAATATACATTTATATCAACAGTTCCTTCTTAGGTGTTTTACATGTTAATGATTGGTGATGTCACATTTTAATATTTACAAATTGAGTGGCTATAAAATGTTTTACCATTGTAGTGTAAATTTGCATTTCCTTTATTACTAATTGGGTTTGGAATATATATTCACAGTTTAATTGGTATTTGATTGTTCTAATCTTTGAAAATGCAGGTTTTTTGACTTACCTTTTTGGGAGTTTTGGTATTTATTAGTTGGAGTCATCTTACTAATTCTGAATATAAAATCTCTTTTAATTATATGTAATCCAAATGCATTCTTTTTTGTGGCTAGTATTTTTCTTCCCTTTTTTGTGTATTATGAATATAAGTTGCTCGTTTTACTAAATAATCATCAATCTTTTCTTATGATGAATATTTTTTGTTTCTATTTAAAGGAATACTTCAAAAACACAGAGCCATTATACTATTTTTATTGTAAAAATTTACATGCTACCTTTTTTCATATTTTAAAATTGTGTGTTGATTTTATTCATGATAATAGCTATATTTTATTTTTAAATAAAATATGGCAAACTCAACATTTCCCTAACAATTTTTATAGTACCTTTCTCATACAGTATATGCTATATTGTATATTTTGTCCCCTCCCCTCCCCTCCCATCTTCTTTTTCTCTTTCACAGTGTGTCCCCTCCCCTCCCCTTCCCTCTTCTTTTTCTTTCTTTCTTTCTTTCTTTCTTTCTTTCTTTCTTTCTTTCTTTCTTTCTTTCTCTTTCTTTCTTTCTTTCTTTCTTTCCTTCCTTCCTTCCTTTCTTTCCTTCCTTCTTTCCTTCCTTCTCTCTTTCTTTCCTTCTTTTTCTTTCTTTCTTTCTCTTCCTCTCTCTTTTTTTTTCTTTCTTCCTTTTTGTTCTCTTTTTTCTCTTCCTTTCTTTCCTTTCTTTCTCTTTCTTTTGTTTTTTCTCTTTCTTTCTTTCTGCTGTTAAGAGTGAACTACTTTTTTCCCCTTTCCTTTCCTTTCCGTTCTTTTCTTTCTTTCTCTTTCTTCTTTCTTTCTTTCTTTTTTTCCTTTCTTTCCTTCTTTCTTTCTTTCTTTCTCCTTCCTTCCTTTCTTTTTTCTTTCTTCTGGCTAATAATATGCTTTGATTGAATATGCAATTTCTCCTGGTATCAAACAACTCAATCAAGGTTTATGCCTCTTGTTTTGGATTTGGAGTTGTTTGAAGAATCAACTACTTATTTTCTTTCTTTCTTTTTCTTTCTTTCTTTCTTTCTTTTCCTTTCTTTCCTTTCTTTTCTTTCTTTCTGTCTTTCTTTCTGTCTTTCCTTCCTTCCTTCATTCCTTTCTTTCTTTTTTTTCTTTTCTTTCCATTTTCTTCCTTTCTTCCTTCCTTTCCTTTCTTTATTTCTTTCACTATCCCAAGTGTGCCTGGCTCAAGTTATTCTTGAGAATGTTACTGTTTTACTCTTCATGCTAGACCCTGTACTTTAGTCAAGTTATTTAGCTACTTTATGGTGGTCATATAATTAACAAGTCTTAGCTTCATCTTCAGATTGCGATATCAACATTGTATTTTCAATGTACAGTCAATTGTCAGTGAATCACAGTACTTTTCAATTTAACAAAATCTAAATTCCTCATAACCATGTTGTGAAAATAAGCAGAAAAATTTAAATATACTTGTGCGAGTACAGTAGACAGATATTGGAGTGTGTCCTGCATGAGTGCAAACTGGCTGTGGTTTCCTTTAAAATAGTCACTTAAAGAAAACATTTGCCAAATACATCACAGAATATCAATTTTTCTGGACTTGTAAAACTTGAAATACTGGTGCCTTCTGAATGATTCTTCTGAAGTTAGAGTAGTCTGTCCTTATCTGTGGGAGACAAAAGCTGCATTAGTCCCTCTTATCCACGTGGGGTATGTTCCAAGCCCCCCAGCAGATGCCTGAAATAGTTAATACTATAAAACCCAAGTAAGCTACATTTTTCCATCTGATAACTGTGAAGACTACTAAGTGACTAACAGGCGGGAAGTATAAAATGTGTCTACACTAGACAAAGGGAGGATTCATGCCCTGGGCAGGATAGAGTTGAATGGCAAAGGATTTCATCACACTACCTAGAATATTTTTTTTTATTGCTAAGTATTATTCCATTGTATCATAGGTCACAGACTGTTAATCCATTCACTTGTTGAAAGGCATTTGCATAGTTTTTGGCATTTGTGAATCATGCTGGTAAGAAAAATATTCACCTACAGTTTTTATATAAACACAAATTTATTCCTCATGGCTTCATATCTAGGAGTGGCTTTGTTGGATAAATGGCATGTCTCTGTGTGTGCTTTTTTTATTACTATACTTTAAGTTCTGGTTTATATGTGCAGAATCTGCAGATTTGTTACATAGGTATATATACATGTGCCATAGTGGTTTGCTGCACCCATCAACCCATAATCTAGGTTGTAAGCTCCACATGCATTAGCTATTTGTCCTAATGTTATCTCTCCCCTTGCCTCCCATGTCCCAACAGGCCCCAGTGTGTGATGTTCCTCTCCCTGTGTCCATGTGTTCTCATTGTTCAACTCCCCCTTATGAGTGAGAACATGCAGCATTTGGCTTTCTGTTCCTGTGTTAGTGTGCTGAAGATGATGGTTTCCAGCTTCATCCATGCCCTGCAAGGGACGTGAACTCATTCTTTTTTATGGCTGCATGGTATTCTATGGTGTATATTTGCCACATTTTCTTTATCCAGTCTATCATTGATGGGCATTTAGGTTGGTTCCAAGTCTTTGCTGTTGTAAATAGTGCTGCAATAAACATGCGTGCATGTATCTTTATAGTAGAATGATTTATAACACTTTGTGTATATATTCAGTAATGGGATTGGTGGGTCAAATGGTATTTCTGGTTCTGGATGCTTGAGGAATTGCCACTCTGTCTTCCACAATGGTTGAACTAATTTGCACTCCCACAGACAGTGTAAAAGTATTCCTATCTCTCCACACCCTCGACAGCATGTGTTGTTTACAGACGTTTTTACAATCACCATTCTAACTAGTGTGAGATGGTATCTCATTGTGGTTTTGATTTGCATTTCTCTAATGACCAGTGATGATGAGCTCTTTTTCATGTATTTGTTGGCTGCATAAATGTCTTCTTTTGAGAACTATCTGTTCATATCCTTGACTACTTTTTGATGGGGTTGTTTTTTTCTTATAAATCTGTTTAAGGTCCTTGTAGATTCTGGATATTAGCCCTTTGTCAGATGGATAGATTGCAAAAATTTTCTCCCATCCTGTAGATTGCCTGTTCACTCTGATGATGGTTTTTTGTTTTTTTCTTTTTGTGCTGTGCAGAAGTTCTTTAGTTTAATTAGATCCTATTTGTCAATTTTGGCTTGTGCAGCAATTGCTTTTGGTGTTTTAGTCATGAAGTCTTTGCCTGTGCCTATGTCCTGAATGGTACTGCCTAGGTTTTCTTCTAGGGGTTTTATGGTTTTAGGTCTTAAAACCACCTTGTGTTAATTTTTGTATTAGGTGTAAGGAAGGGGCCCAGTTTCAATTTTCTGCATATGGCTAGCCAATTTTCCTAACACCATTTATCCAACAGGGAATCCTTTCAACATGGCTTGTTTTTGTCAGGTTTGTCAAAGTTCAGATCGTTGTAGATGTGTGGTGTTATTTCTGAGGCCTCTGTTCTGTTCCATTGGTCTATATATTTGTTTTGGTACCAGTACCATGTTGTTTTAGTTACTGTAGCCTTGTAGTATAGTTTGAAGCCAGGTAGCATGATGTTTTCAGCTTTGTGCTTTTTGCTTAGGATTGTCTTGGCTATATGGGATCTTTTTTGGTTCCATATGAAATTTAAAGTAGTTCCTTCTAGTTCTGTGAAGAAAGTTAATGATACCTTGATGGGAATAGCTTTGAATCTATAAATTACTTTGGGCAGTATAGCCATTTTCACGATATTGATTTTTGCTATCCATGAGGATGGAATGTTTTCTCATTTGTTTGTGTCCTCTCTAATTTCCTTGATCAGTGGTTTGTAGTCCCCCTTGAAGAGGTCCTTCACATCCTGTGTAAGTTGTATTCCTTGGTATTTTATTTTCTTTGTAACAATTGTGAATGGAAATTCACTCATGATTTGACTCTCTGTTTGTCTATTATTGGTGTATAGGAATGCTCGTGATTTTTGCACGTTGATTTTGTATCCTGAGACTTTGCTGAAGTTGCTTAAGAACTTAAGGAATTTTTGGGCTGAGACGATCGGGTTTTCTAAATGTAGAATCATGTCATCTGCAAACAGAGACAATTTGACTTCCTTTCTTCCTATTTGAATACGTTTTATTTCTTTCTTTTGCCTGATTGCCCAGGCCAGAATTTCCAATACTATATCAATACTAGACAGATCGGCAAGACAGAAAATTATCAAGGATATTCAGGACTTGAACTCAGCTTTGGACCAGGTGGACCTAATAGACATCTAGAGAACTCTCCACCCCAAATCAACAGAATATACATTCTTCTCAGCACTACATAGCACTTATTCTAAAATCAACCTCCTAATTGGAAGTAAAAAACTCCTCAGCAAATGCAAAAGAAAGGAAATCATAACAAACCTTCTCTCAGACCACAGTGCAATAAAATTAGAACACAGGATTAAGAAACTTACTCAAAACCACACAACTACATGGAAACTGAACAACCTGCTCCTGAATAACTACTGGGTAAATAACAAAATTAAGGCAGAAGTAAATAAGTTCCTTGAAACCAGTGAGAAGGAAGACACAACATACCTGAATCTCTGGGACACAGCAAAAGCAGTGTTTAGAGAGCAATTTACAGCACTAAATGCCACATCAGAAAGTTGGAACGTTCGAAAATCGACCCCTAACATCACAATTAAAAGAACTAGAGAAGCAAGAGCAAACAAATTCAAAAGCTAGCAGAAGATAAGAAGTAACTAAGAACAGTGCAGACCTGAAGGAGATAGAGACACAAAAAACCCTTCAAAAATCAATGCATCCAGGAGCTGGTTTTTTGAAGATTAACACAATAGATAGACCACTAGCCATACCAAAAAAGAAAAAAAGAGAGAAGAATCAAATAGACACAATAAAAAATGATAAAGAGGATATCACCACTGATTCCACAGAAATACAAACTACCATCAGAGAATATTATAAACACCTCTACACAAATAAACTAGAAAATCTGGAAGAAATGGATAAGTTCCTGGACACATACACCCTCCCAAGACTAAACCAGGAGGAAGTCGAATCCTTGAATAGCCCAACAACAAGTTCTAAATCTGAAGCAGTAATTAATAGCCTACCAACCGAAAATAGCCCAGGTCCAGATGGATTCACAGACAAATTCTATCGGAGGTACAAAGAGGAGCTGGTACCATTCCTTCTGAAACTAATCCAAACAATAGAAAAAGAAGGATTCCTCCTTATTTTATGAGGCCACCATCATCCTGATACCAAAACCTGACAGAGACACAACAGAAAAAGAAACTTTTAGGCCAATATCCCTGATGAACATCGATGCGAAAATCCTCAATAAAATACTGGCAAACTGAATCCAGCAGCACATCAAAAAGCTTGTCCACCACGATCATCCTTGGGATGCAAACTGGCTTTATCCCTGGGATGCAAACTGGTTCAACATGCAAATCAATAAATGTAATCCACCGCATAAATCAAACCCATGACAAAACCACATGATTATCTCAATAGATACAGAAAAGGCTTTCGATAAAATTCAACACCACTTCATGCTAAAAACACTCAATAAACTAGGTATGGATGAAACATATCTCAAAATAGTAAGAGCTATTTATGACAAACCCATAGCCAATATCATACTGAATGTGTGTGTTTATTTTTATAAGAAATAGACAAACTGTTTTCCTGAGTGATCATATATTCTACCTTCACATACTCAGTGTATGCGAGTTCCAATTGTTCTACAACCTCACCAGCCTTTGAGATAGTGGTTGTTTTTCCATTAAGTTATCCATTCTAATATGCGTGTAATGGTATCACATTCCCTAGTGACTAATGCTGCTGAGCATTTTCTTTGTACTTATTTACCATCTATGTACCTCCTTTAGTGAGGTACCTCCTTTAGTCCAAATTTTTTGCCCATTTTTCATTGGGTTGTTTGATTCTTTACTGAATTTTGAGACAACTTAATATATTGTGGCTACAAGTCCTTCACTGAGTAAATATTTTAGAAATATTTTTCTTGCATCTCTAGCTTTACTTTTATTTCTCTTAGCAGTCTCTTTCAATGAGCAAATGCATTTAATTTTGATGTTATCCAGTATATCAAATATTTCATTTATGGATTATGCTCTTTGTACCATCTAAAATTTCCTTGGCCTAAACCAAGGCCATGTACAGTTCTAGAAGTTAACATTTTACACATAGTTATATGATCGTTTTGAGTTAATTTTTGTATGAGGTATGAGAAATATGTTGAGGGTTTTTATTTTGCATTTGGATGCCTTACTATTCCAGTATCCCTTGTTTAAAGGATTGTGTTTTCTTTATTGAATTGCCTTTGCTCCACTATTAAATTGGAAACATCTTCAAGAAAATCTTGTAAAAACAGTTAAAGAGGAAAAAGTGAAATTCAATTAGGCTTGTTGGACAATCCATGGTAGTCATTAGGCTAGCTTTCCCACTGGCCCATTTCCTTATAGCTTGTCACTGATTACTAGTACAGGATAACATAATCTTTGTCACTAGAATCTTTGTTCCTTTTCTGTTCTTTAGATAAAATGTAAGACACTACGCGATGACAATCTTGCCATTTGAGTTTCTCCTTTAGGTTCTGCATACTAACAAAACTACTGATGCCAGCCATTCTGAAAGTCTTGGCAAGAAACTCACTTAGGGAGGACTGTAGTTTCCATATCCTGATGATTTCAGTCCCTGACCTGAATCAATTGATGACCTCAATTTCCAGCCCCTCACCCTTCAAAGACTCTTGCCCAGAAACCCTTAATGAAATGGGTTTGAGTTTTGAGAATTCTTCCCAAGTCCTTGCTTGGTGACCTTGCAATTAGTAAGTTCTTTCTCTGTTGCAAACCCCACAGTCTCGGTGTATTGTTCTGTAGCTGTGCAGCCGGCATAGAAACCTGACAGTCTTGTAAAAATTCATGGCAAGTGGCCAGGTATGGTGGCTCACACCTATAATCCCAGCACTGTGGAAGGCCAAGGCGGGCAGATCACTTGAGGTCAGGAATTCAAGACCAGCCTGGCTAACATGGTGAAACCCTGTCTCTACTAGAAATACAAAAATGTATCTAGGCATGATGGCATATGCCTGTAATCCCAGCTTCTCAGGAGGCTGAGGCTGGAGAATTACTTGAACCTGGGAGGCGGAGGTTGCAGTGAGTTGAGATCGTGCCACTGCACTCCAGCCAGGGAGACAGAGTGAGACTCCGGCTCAAAAAATAAATAAATAAATAAAAATCATGGCAAGTCACTCTCCTTGTGGTTATTTATCTACAGTCCAGTGCCCCCCATGCCACTGGGGCTGACCCACAGACAAGCCCAGGCAGCTGCTTAGCTATGATGAACTAAGGGCCTTTGCTGGGGCCTTCTGTGTTGGCAGGGCAGTGCTGACTTTCAGCACATAAACTTGTCTGCAGCAGAGAAACCATTTGTGGTCTCAGAAGAAGTCTCAGGTGAGTTTTCTCAGAGCAGCTGGCACCCCATTTCCTTCTGTTTTTTTTTTGTTGTTGTTGTTGTTTGTTTTTGTTTTTTCATCTTAGAGGCCTTGTGACCTATTTTGAGGTCTTGTTGATCCTCCCTAAGTCATAGGTAGGGCCTTATTTGAGGAGACCTCCCCTCAGATGGAAGGAGACTAGAGGGCATTGCTTGGGAGAAATGCTCTTGGATTTTGGAATCTGAAACTTTATATTTAAAGGTCTTTTGTTTGTGTTTGTCTTGTTATAGGTATTTATGTTTGTGGAGGTGTTCTCTGAAGAAATTACTAGTGGAAGAAATTACTAACTCAGGAAACTCTTCTTGTTTGTCTGGTCATTTATATTCACTTAGTCCTGAAGGAGTTGCTAGTGGAATCTCAGCAAGTCTAACTCAGGGTAACCGTCTGCTCTTCAATCCTTCCCAGAGTCCACCCACTGAACTCCTGACTGAAGGTCATCCCTCTCCAACTTGAGTAGATCAAATATGATGAGGGCTAATGGAACCAAGTTTGAGCCTTGCCAGGTCAATACTTGGGTTCTGAGTACGGTGACTAGTATCTGTGTTTGGTTACATGTATATAATTCCAGCCAGAATGTGAAATGTTAATTCAGTTCCTCCCTGCAGCCCAGTGAGGGCTGGTGGCTTTGAGATTATTACTCTTTCTCTGCTGCAAATCCCACTGTCTCAGTGTATTGTTCTGTTGCTGTGCTGCAGGCATACAAATCTGACAGTCTTGTAACTATTTGTGGCAAGCCAGGTCGAGGTTACTCTCCTTGAGGGCATTTACTCACAGCCTAGTGCCCCCTTGCCACTGGAGCAGACCCAGAGACAAGCACTAGCAGCTGCTTAGTAGTTCTGATGAACTAATGGCTGTCCTTTAGTTCTCCCCATGTAACCCACACTGTAATTTTGATGGGCTGCATCTTCCAAAATTGAAAAGCCTTTGTCTATCATTCCATAAAGCAAAACAAGATTATCTTATTTTTTAACATGGCTTGACCTCAATACCCATGGGGTTTGGGAGAACAGTGGCCACTGCATGGTTCTCATACTTACAGTACCATCCTGTAGCTAGATTTGTTATGTATGAAGGAAGAGAAATGGGATAAAATCCCTTATGTATAATGTTTTATGTTGCTTTGGTAAAGTAGATCAATGTAGAAAAAACGGAAAAATTATGAATTAGCAAGAAATTAAAACCTGTTTGGATTGATTTACAAGAGAAAGAACTTATGGAGGAGCTGCAGTAGCACTACTGGCACCTAAGCCAGAGTCCCCACCACCAAAAAGTCACAAACCCAGAGCAACAGGAATTTTTTTTTTTTTTTATGGAGTCTTGCTCTGTCGCCCAGGCTGGAGTGCAGTGGCACGATCTTGCTCACTACAACCTCAACTGCCTGTGTTCAAGAGATTCTCCTACCTCAGCTTCCTGAGCAGCTGGGACTACAGACACGTGCCACCAAGCCCAGCTCATTTTTGTATTTTTAGTAGAGATGGGGTTTCACCATACTGGCGAGCCTGGTCTCGAACTCCTGACCTCAGGTGAACCACCCCCCCCCTTGGCCTCCCAAAGTGCTGGGATTACAAGCGTGAGCCACCGTGCCCGGCCTTTATCTCTGCTTCTTCTACCCAACAGGTGACTCCTTTTAGCTAGGGTATCACTTATACCTAACAGGGGACTCAATTTAGCCAGGATTTCACTCTGGCTCTGAAAGGCAGTTTCCCCTATAACAACTACCTATAGGAGGTGATGCTGCCACAGCCCAGCCTATAGGATTTATGTGGGTTTATTCTCTGTTCTCCACTACCCACCTATTTAATTAGAAAAATAATATGCCTATTTATTGAGAAGATCTAAAGTTTATGGAAGAAAAAGGATAAAAAAAAAATCCAAAGCATATGGAGAATCTATTCTCCTCTGTATTTGCCACCCACAATCCTACCTGAGCAGATACCTAAAATTTGCTCAATATTTTGTTGAGTTCAGAGAAGCAAAGAATGGTTTTAGAAAAAGCTAAGGAAAAGGCTGATCTTATTCACACTGACTCTCCCAGTAATCCAGTAAGGGCAGCTGCTCAGATTGCAGTTCCCACCTCTGTCCTGGGATGGAATATAAACACTGGAGATAGATCTAACCTCGAACACTATCAAAACTGCATTTTGGCCAGCCTCTGCAAGGGAGTGCCCAAGGAAAGCGGCCTCAGTAAGGTCCAGGAGATCAAGCAGAAGCCTAATGAGTGTGCCTTTGGAATTTTTAGAACAAGTCTTTGAAGCTTTCAGACAATAAATGGATATTGACTCAGAAGCCTCAGAAAATTTAAAGTTAGCTAATACGATGTTTATCCAACAAAGTGCCCCAGCTATGCAGGGAAAGTTACAAAATGTAGATGAGGCTTTGGACATGTTTATGTCTCAATTAGTGAAGATTGTTTTTAATGTATTTACTGATCACAATTTTAAAAAGTGAAAAATAAAAACACAAGGAATAATGAAGAGAAAAGCTGACTTGTTAGCTGTGGCTCTGACCCTAGTAGTCCCTGGACCACAACAAGGGCCCTCATCAGATGCTCCATCTAAGGTAGGACCACCTGGGCCCCCAAAAGCCAAAAAAAAGGGACATCCCATTGCAGGTCCCAAGCAGTGTGCTTACTGCAACAGGGGGGACACTGAAAGGAAAATTGCCCATGCCTTACAAAGCCTGATGTTAAACACAGTCAGTCTTCTGCCCACCAAATGCCTGGGATAGCTGGGGAGCTTGAGAGAGATACTGAAGAAAAAGACCAGAAATGATGGCACCCAGGGGCTTATCCTGACTCAAACAACACCCTCCATATTTCCCACATGGGGCTTGAGATCCTGATGATGGTGAGAAATCAGCTTCTGGACTTCCTAGTAGACATGGTGCCACCTATTTGGTGTTAAATATCTGGTTGTCTAAACTTTCCTCAGAAACTATGAAGGTGACTGAAATCTCAGGAAAAATACTGATGAGATCATTCCTCCCAATTTTGGATTCTCAGCTAGAGTAAGGTAATTTAAAGCAGTTTTTCTATACATGTGTGAATGTCCCATCCCTTTGTTGGGGCAAGTCCTCTTAACCAAACTAAATGTTAAGATTACTTTTTCTCTGAGATGATTGGACATCCAGGTGCCTTCAGACCAAGCATGTGCTCTGCAGGCCACATTATTACAACTGGAAGTCCTTGAAAGTGCCCTCATCCCTGAAGAGATACTCCAAAATGTTAGTCCGGGAGCATGGGAAATGGAAGGCCAGGGAAAACAAAAACTGCATCTCCAGTACAAGTCAAGTTTTGTGCAGGAGTAGCGCTGCCAAATCTAAAACAGTATCCTTTGAGAGAAAAGGCACAGCAATGCATTTAGCCTCTGCTAATGGCCTTCCTGCAATACAGGAAGACTTCATCATTCCCCATGTAATGTCCTAAAGACACAGTCCTGGGTCAATTGAAGGGTGGCATGCCTGCCATACTGTGTGGTATCATGTACGTGTTTGATGATATCTGTCGTGAGATACTTGGGTACCAGAACCTTTTCTTCTGTGTTACATATCTACTCAGGAATATTGATTCATACAGGATTTGAGGGCTACTAGCCAAATTTTCAAAGTCATTTATCTGGTGGTACCCGATGCTTATACATTATTCATGACTTTAACCAGTGAGTTGTACTGGTGTTCAGTCTTGGATTTGAAAGATGCCTTCATTTGTATTCCTCTGAGTCCAGAGTCCCATGAAGTGTTTGCCTTTGAATATGAAGACACTGACACTAAAGCAAACCAACAGTATTGCTGGACAATGCTTCCTCAAGGCTTCAAAAACTCACTAATTGGTTGGGAGGAAATACGTGCTAAAGAGTTTGGGACCTTCGATTGAAAAATGGGACTTTGTTTATTTATGTTGATGACATATCCATAGCCCCCAAAACTAAGGCAAACTGACCAGAATACTATACTGACTTTACATTTCTTGTCTGAATTGGGATCCAAGGTATCCAAGAAAAAGGCACAAATCTTGAAACCCTCAGTTACATATCTTGGATTTGAACTTTCTCAGGAGCAGAGCAATCTGCTTTCGGACTGCAGAGAAGCTCTTGTCAGGGTGGCCAGACTCAGGACATGGCAGCAGCTGTGAGGGGTTTTTAGGTATGGCTGGATGTTGCCTTATTTGATTTTCTTATTTTGGGCTTATAGCAAAATCTCCCTATAAAGCCCTAAGACCAGACAGTTGACTTCTGGAATGGACCAAGGAATGTCAAAAGGCCTTTCTAACCATTAAATAAAAATTGTTAATGGCTCTGGCTACTGGTACCCCCTGAACTAAGAAAGCCATTTAATTTGTTCATATATGAGAGAGAAGGGGTGAGTTTAGGAGTACTAACCCAAGACTTGGGGAATATCATGAGGCCTGTAGCCTACTTTTCAAAACAGCTGGACATTGTCCAAAACTGGGTTGGACTTCTTGCCTCTGAGCCATTGGTACCACTTGTGATCTTCTCCAGGAGGCAGAAGAGTTCACTTTGGGTTAACCTAGCACAGTACACACCCCACACTATGTATGCTCTTTGTCAGAGCAGAAGTGGATCTACTGACTTAATTCTAGAAGACTGAATAGATATCAGGCCATCTCCCTGCATAATCCCAGTGTTACTCTGAGAGCTGTTTCTACTCTAAATCCTGCTAACTAAATCTATACATGATTGCTTATAAAGTATTGAGCAAGTTTATTCTATTCAACCAGACTTGACCAAAATTCCCTTTAAAAACCTGGACTTAGAAATATTCACTGAGGAAAGCAGCTTTATGAACCACAGACAACAGAAGGCTGAGTATGCTATGGTAACCCTGTGACAGATCCTAGATGCAGAGACACTCACTCTGGGTTCATCAGCACAAAAGGCAGAACTTAGAGTCCTAAACAGGGCATCCCAACTATGTAAAGACTCCTGAGTCACCATTTACTCTTATTCCAGGTATGCTTTTATTGTTGTCCATGCTTATGGGGCTACTGGAAAGAAAGGGGATTCTTAACCTTTGGTGATTAAAAAAAAATGATTAAGCATGCTAAAGAATCTTAGCCTGACTAAAGACAGTCTTGGTACCCAAGAAAGTAGCTATACTACACCACCCTGGACATCAGTGGATGGACAATTTGGTAGCAAGAAAAAAATCACTAGGCAGACCAGGCCACTAAAGGGATGACCAGAGAAAAAGTACCCAAAGCCTTGCTAATGCCATTAATCCCTGAAATAAACTTCAGCCTAAAATCTATACCTATTTGGAAGAAGATCTAAAAGCACTTGATTGAGGCTTTGACTCCAATCAAAGAACCCAAAATGAGTAGATATGTAACACAGAAGAAAAGGTTCTTGTACCCAAGTATCTTACCACAGATATCATCAAACACATACATGATACCACGCAGTATGACAGGCATGCCACCCTTCAATTGATCCAGGACTACGTCTTTGGGACACACTTAAAGAAGGCTATCCAACAAATAATTCTAAAATACCTACTTTGTGCCCAGAACAATCTTAAGACTGGTCCTCCACCCCCAGTTCCAGGGATTCAAGCAAGAGGTGCAGGGCAAATAGAGGACTGGCAAATTGATTTTAACGTGATGCCAAGGGTAGCAGGAAATTTTAAATACTTGCTGATATTTGTAGATACATTTTCAAGATAAATGAAAGCATTCCCCTGCAAGACCAAGAGAATGTATGAGGTTATAAAAGACTTGTTAGAGAAGATTACCCTCAGGTTTAGATGGCCTGTCTTCATCCAGTGTGACTATAGTGCAACTTTTGTAGCCTAGGACACCATATATTCCAGGCCCTCAGCATAATCTGGAATCCTCATACAGCCTGGAGACTGAAGTCTACTGAGAAAACTGAAAAGTTAAATCATACTATAAAAAACAAAACAAACTTTTGCTAAGATTTGCCAAGAAACTAACAACCTGGAATAAAATTCTGTCCTTCTCCCTGCTCAGAGTAAGGGTGGTCCCTAAAAGTGGGCTTAAATAAGCCCTTTATAAATTTTATATGGGAGATTATTCTGTTCTCTTCTCAGACTAAGGAATGCCAATAATATACACATAAAGAAATTAGATATTATCAAATATATACAATCTTTAGGTCACACTTTAATTACTATTTATGAGTTTGTGGTTCCAGCAGATTGTGGTATCCAACTGACATTCTCTTGCGTCGCATCCAACCAAGAGACTGGATTCTGCTCAAGACCAGGAAAAGTCAACATCCTGAGGACCACTTGAAAACACAGTGAAAGAGGCCATACAATGCATGACTGGTGACTCATTCCTCTGTTCGGGTGAAGGACTTAGACCCTGGATTCACCACAGCCATATAAAACCCACCCCGCCAGACTCTAGTGCTATCAAGAAATGTAGAAAGGCCAACCCTATCTGAATGGATAAGTACATCTTTGATGGGCCTCAAATATCTTTTGAAGAAAAATATCATATAAATAACAAACTTAAAGAAAATTAGACAAAACACATGTCCTCTTGACAACTACAATAGTTACTTTGAGCATAATAGGAATTTTTGTTATAATTATTTTACATAAAAAGGTGAGATACCTTCCTGTCTATTCCGTGCCTTACTGAATGCTTAACCCATAGATTTACCTGGTCATTATAATTGCCTTGGTCATTACAATTGCTACACTTATAGATTTTACTTCACAATTGCCTTGGTCATTACAATTGCTAGACTTACAGATTTTCCAGGCATCCTATACCATGCTGACTTAGTCTCCTGCCTCCCATTATTTGGACATTCTAAAATTTAGAAATGGTCACTCTTGTTTTAAAACTTCTAATAAATTTCCTTTTACTGCAATGCCTAGACAGGGATAACAACACTGTAGTTAAACTGCTTCAAGGTATTGCCACTGGAAGAAACCTACCAGAATGATGGATCTGTCAGTAACTCCCTCAAACGATTCAAAATAAGCATGTTCTGTTAGTCATACTTGTCACTGACTTTCTGTCCCAAATACGACTACCTATCTGCAACAGCTTCTTTCCATGGCTAATTTCCAGGTCCAACTGGTAGTACACCAAGAAATCACCACCCCACATCTCAATCTCTCTCTATATATCATAAATGGAAAGTCATTCCATAACATAGGCCCTCCACGGCCCATGGCATAATGGGTAGACAAATGCAGCCAGGAGAAGGGAAATAAAATTAAAAGTTTCTCTTTGCTGCACCAAAAATATTTACAGTGGGGAATATCACACAAATTTTGGGGAGCCTGTAGAAAAGGATCCACAGTTCAATTCCATTTGCCTATATTCCCCATGAAAAAAACCATCAATACATGCATCTTTGAGGGCTTCACTTGTGTGTCCCCTTGGCAAATGTTTATTTGTGACACAGGATCAGAACATCCTCTGTTAGGACAAGCTCACTGGTGTCTCAATAACCTGTATATTGAGGGCTCTTACTTATTGGGACACTGGTCAGTCCATCCTAATGACTAAAGATTCTGCCCATTTTCCCACGGACTCCAAAAGCCACTGCCAGGCATATATCAATATATCCGGTGACAGGGCCTTCTTGGGCATCACAATTCCTAGCTATGAAGTATACACTAACTGGGCCATGATCAGAAACTTACCGGCAACTTTAGAAATAATTGCAAAAGAGGCTGCTAAGAACATTAAGGCTGAGAAAACTCTTTACATTTACTTACCCAGATAGTTCTTAACAATGGAGCTACACTTGATTTTCTCTTGGCTTTACTGAGGGGAGTCTGTACAGTGATCAATACCACCTGTTATACTTATATCAATGCTTCTGGTAAAATAAAAACCAAGCTAAAGAAAATATTTCAGCAGTCTCGCTGGAGACCATATGTCTATACCACAGACCCTAAGTCTGACTAGTTTTTTGAGCTTTTCCCCTCGATACTCCACGTTTTCCAGTCCATTTTCCAAGGGCTCTTAAAGTTCAAGCTCACAATTCTGTTTATAGGGCTTACAGTTTACATCATAGGCTGCTATTCAATTAAATATTACAATAAAACCATAGACTGAAGTACTAACATGTTCATGCAGCACCTTCAGCTGGGTGTAACGACTTGCAGGTTGTTACAATACGGTTTCATTCCTCTAATCCCGACTCATTCTCTGACTGTGCCCCTTATCAGCAAAAAGAAGCTAGAGTCGTCATTGCCTGTTTCCCACCATATTAGCTGTTACACCTCAAGATTAAGAAGGGATCAAGCCTGGGAGGAACTGAAACTGTCCCTAAGAAAATTACATAAAATTGATTAAGGGGGGAAAATTCATCTACGCTTTCAGGACAAGCAGCAGTAATCATTAGGCCAGCTTTCCCTTTGTCCTACGTCTTTGTAGCTGGTCATGGATTACTACCACCCTAGGATAATGTAGCCCTTGTCACAAGACCTTTTGGTCCTTTTCTTTTCTACAGATAAAATCTAAGACATTGTGAGACTATAATCTTTCTGCATGAGTTTCTCCTTTAGGTTCGGCATACCAAAAAACCTATCAACATACTCGTCAACAAGGCAAAACCACATTTTCACAAAAAATTAAAGAAATTAGGTCAGGCATCATGGCACAGGTCTGTAGTACCAGCTGCTCAGGAGATCTGAGGTGGGAGGACCACTTGAGCCTGGGAGGCAGAAGTTGCAGTGAGCTGAGGTCACGCTACTGCAGTGAGGTCACGCTACTGAAATCCAGTTGGGCAACAGAGCAAGACCATGTCTCAAAAACAAAAAACAAATATACATACACACACACACACACACACATACACACATCAGCTGGTCTAAAGAGCCCAGCAAAAAGCTGACTCAGGAAATAATGCAGGTTCCACATCCCACATCCCGGTGATTTCATCCCCCTTACCCTGACCAATTGACAACCCAAATTTTCTAGCCCCTCACCCTCCATGATCCCCTTAAAGTCCCTTGCCCAGAACCCCTTCACAGAACAGATTTGGGGCTTGAGAATCCTCCCATTTCCTTGTTTGGTGCCCTTGCATTGATTAAAGTTTTTCTTTGCTGCAAACTCTACTGTCTCAGTGTATTGGTCTATTGCTAGACAGTGGGCATGTGAACCTGATAGTGTTATAACAAAATAGAATAGAAGCTATTTACAAAATCGATCCATGCATGTGAGTCTATTTCTGGACACCATTTTCTCTTCTATTCTTCTGTGTGTTTATCCTTTCACCAGTGTCAGGAGATCCTTTTACTCACTGTAGCTTTTTCTAAGTCTTAAAATTTGGTAATGTGAGCTTTTCAACTTCTCTTATCTTTTGAAGAATTGTGTAGCTATTTTAGTCCCTTTGCCTTTCTGTATGACTTTAGAATCAGCATGTCCATATGTGTAAAACATTGTGCTTGGTTATTCACTAGAAATGGGACACACTCATAGATGAATCTGGGGAGAACTGACATGTAACAGTATTAAATTGTTCAGTCCAGGCCGACCGCGGTGGCTCACGCCTGTAATCCTAGCACTTTGGGAGGCTGAGTCGGGTGGATCACGAGGTCAGGAGATCGATCGAGACCATTCTGGCTAACTCGGTGAAACCCCATCTCTACTAAAAATACAAAAAATTAGCCAGGGGTAGTGGCGGGCGCCTGTAGTCCCAGCTACTCGGGAGGCTGAGGCAGGAGAATGGCGTGAACCCGAGAGGCGGAGCTTGCAGTGAGCCGAGATTGCGCCACTGCACTCCACCCTGGGCGACAGAGCGAGACTCTGCCTCAAAAAAAAAAAAAAAAAAATTCAGTCCATGAGCATTATATATCCTTTGATTTAGTAAGATCATACATTCTTACACTAGTTTTTTTTGTGTGATTTTCAGCATACAGATCCTGTATTTTATTAGATTTATCACTAAATATTTTGTTTTTCATGCTTCAGCTACAAATTCAATTTGTTTAATAGATATTATTTATTAATGCTACCTAATCCTTCTTCAGTGAGCTGTGACAGTTTGTGGCTTTAGTAAGTTTCTAGTTCATTCAAGTTATTGAATTTATTGACATGGCATTATTCAGAATATTTCTTTATTTTTCTTTTAATATATGTAAAAACCATAATGATGTCATTTCTGTCATTGCTGTTATAAGCAATTTGTGTCATCTTTTTTTCTGATTCAGTCTGTCTAAGGTTTCTCAATTATAGAGATCTAAAATAACAAGCTTTTGGTTTCCTTGTTTATATACATATTTACTTATTATTTCATCTCTGATCTTTATTGTATTATTTCTTCTGCTTACTTTGAGATTAATTTTTTCTACTTTTTCTAATATCTAATGGTAGAGGCTAAGGTTACTGAAGTGGAACACTGCCATTTTCTGTCCCAGGTATTTAGTGACACCAATTTATTTCATACTGCTCTAGTGTCATTCCACAACTTTTGATATGTAGTTTGGCTGGAGTAGGGAGTTTGGCTGGAGTAGGGTGAGTATACCATAAAAGATTTACTGTGTTTTTTGGAGGCAGGTGGGGAGAGGGAATTATTGCCAAAAGGTGGGTTATTTTATGTATTTATTTTTTTAACTCCACTCTGTATTTTAGCTAAGAGAAGCAGCTTTGGAACTTCTGAAGTCTGTACATCTCTGTGGCCCCCAAGGATTACTTGTTTTAAATTTTGTTTTAATAGTCTAAGTTTATCATGGGTCAACTTGATTCTTTCAAGGCTTATTTTTAAGCTTTTAAAAGGCTGGTTTAGCGGCTGCCTGGAGCGGAGCGCTGCGAGAGCTGCGCGGCGCGCCCAGGTTCCAGCCGGCTCCGCTCCGGGTCCCCCAGTGCTCGCTGGCTCCCCGCTTGAGCCAGCCCGCCCGCCCAGCGCTAGGGGCCAAGGAGCGAACCGCACCTGCGATCCGATTGTCCGGGGCACGCCGTAGAGGATGGGAGGACCCATGAGGCGCTAGCCTGCGAAGGTGGCGGTGCTGCTGCTCCGGCTGCTCTTGGAGTTGCATGTACACGACGTGGCAGACTTTCCAATGGGAGGATTGTGGATTCTGATGACATAGGAAACTTCATCTTCCAGACATTGCCACAGAAAGCACACAGACTTTGGAAACCAGCAGACCTGAAGTCAAATGTCGACTTTCAGCTTGCTCCTGTGTCACCTTTGTAAGTTAATTCACCTCTCTGAGACTTTAGTTTGCTCATTTATAAACCACCTAACTCCCAGGGTTCTTATGATGTTAAGTGAGATTTCATATGAAAAGCACCTAGTGGATTACAGGCATTCCATGTATGGCAACTACTGTTTTTGCCTTCTGAATGAGCTGGAATTAAAAGAGTCTCTACATCATTGGACATTTAGGGAAATGCCAATTAAAATCACGATGAGCTACCAGTACAGCATCAGATGGCTAATATCAAAAAACAGATAATAAGTGTTAGTGACGATGTAGAGAGACCGGAGCCCTCTTACATTGTTGATGGGAATGTAAAGTAATGCAGCTGCCTTGGAAAACAGTTTGACAGTCTCTCAACAAGTTAGGTAAGGAGTTACCGTGTGACCTGGCAGTTCCACTCCAGGTCTTGGAGTGGTCTTGGAGTGGCATGTACCCATTCTGCTTTTCTTGGTATGTACCCAAGAAATTAAGACATTTGTCCATGCGAAGATCTGTATGCAAATGGATGTAGCAGCCTTATACATAATAGCCAAAATGCAGTATCAACCCAGATGCCCATGAGCTGGAGAATGGATAAACAAAATGTGGTGTCTTCATAGAATATTGCTCAACACTAGAAAGGAATGAATTTCTGGTATATGCAGCAACATACAATCCAGACATAAGAGACTATAAGTTGTATGATTTTCTTTAATTGAACCATATAGCAAAGGCAAGACTATGGATAAAGATACAAAGCAGATCAGTATTGCTTGCGGGCTGGGATAGGAGTTGGAATTGACTGCAGAACAACATGAGGGAACTCTGTGAAGTGAAGGAAGGGTTCTGAAGTTGGATTGGGGTGTTGGAGGCACAGCTGTATACATTTCCTAAAACACATCAAACTATACCTTGAAAATGGGTGGTTTTAGAGTGTATAAAGTAAACTGAGCTAGAACTTGGATCACCTGATCCAAGTATCATAAATTGTGATTTATATTGATAATTATGTTTAAAAGATACCATGGTTTTCAGAATGCTTGTGCTCAGTGGGCATGAGTAGGAGCTCCTGAGTGCCCGTGTGTGTTGGGTATTGCAGTTAATCCAGTCCTTTGCACTCATTGAGGACTCTTACGTGTCCCTTGTCTCTTGCCACAACAGCCTCTATCACCAGAAATGAAGGCTTCAGTAGAGAGATATTTTAAAAAGAAATCACACCATCCAAATACAACACTGTGAATTTAGGCTTATGCTGTTACATTCTTTCTCCTATGAATATGTTTATTTTTACGTTGTTGAAATTAAATATACATAATGTGTTTTAAATTAACTATATGCAATAAACATTTTCCAGGATGTTAAAAAAATAAAAATATATTGATTCTTCCTATCCAAGAGCATGGAATGTTCTTTCATTTGTTTGTGTCCTCTTTTATTTTGTTGAGCAGTGGTTTGTAGTTCTCCTTGAAGAGGTCTTTCACGTCCCTTGTAAGTTGGATTCCTAGGTATTTTATTCTCTTTGAAGCAATTGTGAATGGGAGTTCACTCATGATTTGGCTCTCTGTCTGTTATTGGTGTATAAGAATGCTTGTGATTTTTGCACATTGATTTTGTATCCTGAGACTTTGCTGAAGTTGTTTATCAACCTAAGGAGATTTTGGGCTGAGACGATGGGGTTTTCTAGATATACAATCATATCATCTGCAAACAGGGACAATTTGACTTCCTCTTTTCCTAATTGAATACCCTTGATTTCTTTCTCCTGCCTGATTGCCCTGGCCAGAACTTCCAACACTATGCTGAATAGGAGTGGTGAAAGAGGGCATTCCTGTCTTGTGCTGATTTTCAAAGGGAATGCTTCCAGTTTTTGCCCATTCAGTATGATATTGGCTGTGGGTTTGTCATGAATAGCTCTTACTATTTTTAGATACGTCCTATCAATACCTAATTTATTGAGAGTTTTTAGCATGAAGGGTTGTTGAATTTTGTCAAAGGCCTTTTCTGCATCTATGAGATAATCATGTGGTTTTTGTCTTTGGTTCTGTTTATATGATGGATTACGTTTATTGATTTGCGTATGTTGAACCAGCCTTGCATCCCAGGGATGAAGCCCACTTGATCATGGTGGATAAGCTTTTTGATGTGCTGCTGGATTCGGTTTGCCAGTATTTTATTGAGGATTTTTGCATGGATGTTCATCAGGGATATTGGTCTAAAATTCTCTTTTTTTGTTGTGTCTCTGCCAGGCTTTGGTACCAGGATGATGCGAGCCTCAAAAAATGAGTGAGGGAGGATTCCCTCTTTTTCTATTGATTGGAATAGTTTCAGAAGGAATGGTACCAGCTCCTCCTTGTACCTCTGGTAGAATTCGGCTGTGAATCTGTCTGGTCCTGGACTTTTTTTGGTTGGTAAGCTATTAATTATTGCCTCAATTTCAGAGCCTGTTATTGGCCTATTAAGACACTCAATTTCTTCCTGGTTTAGTCTTGGGAGGGTGTATGTGTGGAGGAATTTATCCATTTCTTCTAGATTTTCTAGTTTATTTGCGTAGAGGTGTTTATAGTATTCTCTGATGGTAGTTTCTATTTCTGTGGGATTGGTGGTGATATCCCCTTTATCATTTTTTATTGCATCTATTTGATTCTTCTCTCTTTTCTTCTTTATTAGTCTTGCTAGCGGTCTATCAATTTTCTTGATCTTTTCAAAAAACCAGCTCCTGGATTCATTGATTTTTTGAAGGGTTTTTTTGTGTCTCTATCTCCTTCAGTTCTGCTCTGATCTTAGTTATTTCTTGCCTTCTCCTAGCTTTTGAATGTGTTTGCTATTGCTTCTCTAATTCTTTTAATTGTGATGTTAGGGTGTCAATTTTAGATCTTTCCTGCTTTCTCTTGTGGGCATTTAGTGCTATAAATTTCCCTCTCCACTGCTTTAAATGTCTCCCAGAGATTCTGCTACATTGTGTCTTTGTTCTCGTTGGTGTCGAAGAACGTCTTTATTTCTGCCTTCATTTCATTATGTACCCAGTAGTCATTCAGGAGCAGGTTGTTCAGTTTCCATGTAGTTGAGCGGTTTTGAGTGAGTTTCTTAATCCTGAGTTCTAGTTTGATTGCACTGTGGTCTGAGAGACAGTTTGTTGTAATTTCAGTTCTTTTACATTTGCTGAGGAGTGCTTTACTTCCAACTATGTGGTCAATTTTGGAATAGGTGCAGTGTGGTGCTGAGGAGAATGTATATTCTGTTGATTTTGGCCATAATGCCCAAGGTAAATTATAGATTCAATGCCATCCCCATCAAGCTACCAATGACTTTCTTCACAGAATTGGAAAAAATTACTTTAAAGTTCACATGGAACCAAAAAAAATCCCGCATTTCCTAGTCAATCCTAAGACAAAAGAACAAAGCTGGAGGCATCACGCTACCTGACTTTAAACTATACTGCAATGCTACAGTAACCAAAACAGCATGGTACTGGTACCAAAACAGAGATACAGACCAATGGAACAGAACAGAGTCCTCAGAAATAATACCACACATCTACAACTATCTGATCTTTGGCAAACCTGACAAAAACAAGAAATGGGGGAAGGATTCCCTATTTAATAAATGGTGCTTGGAAAACTGGCTAGCCATATGTAGAAAGCTGAAACTGGATCCCTTCCTTACACCTTATACAAAAATTAATTCAAGATGGATTAAAGACTTAAATGTTAGACCTAAAAACCATAAAAACCCTAGAAGAAAACCTAGGCGATACCATTCAGGACATAGGCATGGGCAAGGACTTCATGTCTAAAACACCAAAAGCAATGGCAACAAAAGCCAAAATTGGCAAATGGGATCTAATTAAACTAAAGAGCTTCTGCACTGCAAAAGAAACTACAATCAGATTGAACAGGCAACCTACAGAATGGGAGAAAATTTTTGCAATCTACTCATCTGACAAAGGGCTAATATCCAGAATCTACAAAGAACTCAAACAAATTTACAAGAGAAAAACTACCCCATCGAAAAGTGGGCAAAGGATATGAACAGACACTTCTCAAAAGAAGACATTTATGCAGCCAACAGACACATGAAAAAATGCTCATCTTCACTAGCCGTAAGAGAAATGCAAATCAAAACCACAATGAGATATCATCTCACACCAGTTAGAATGGGGATCTTTAAAAAGTCAGGAAATAACAGGTGCTGGAGAGGATGTGGAGAAATAGAAACACTTTTACACTGTTGGTGGGACTGTAAACTAGTTCAACAATTGTGGAGGACAGTGTGGTGATTCCTCAGGGATCTAGAACTAGAAATACCATTTGACCCAGCCATCCCATTATTGGGTATATACCCAAAGGTGTGAAGAGGGTATTATTGCCAAAATGTGGATTTTTTTTTTTTAACTACACTCTGTATTTTGGCTAAGAGAAGCAGCTTTGGAACTTCTCAAGTCTGTACATCTGTGAGACCCCAAGGATTACTTGTTTTAATTTTTTTTTTAAGTCTAAGTTTGTTATGGGTCAACTTAGTTCTTTCAAGGCTTATTTTTAAGCTTTTAAAAAGCTGGTTTAGGGAGGCTAGAACTGTGTCCCAGTTCTAGCCTCTGGGTAAACCGCAGAGATAGTTTGTTCAGAATATTAAGCTGCTTCTGATGTCTCTACTAAATGACCTAGATGTTCAAACGAGTCTTTCTACTCCGATTGATTCCATTTAAATGTCTCCCTGTGTTGTGTGTGCTCTGCGAATCCTTTACCTTTTTGTTCTCTGGTAGTGTTCTTCATCTGATAGGTATCCTTGGTCCATTCTTGGGGAGTTTTACTCTACTCTCCAGAGTGTCAATATTCATCCAAATAATCTAGGGAGTTGTTGTGGAAATTTGTAGAGCCCTTTCACTCCATAGTTTCTTCTTTTCTGACTCTCTTTCCTGCAGATTCTAGTGACCTCATCTTCTTTGGGAACATTGAGTTTTGTTTCTTCTACTCAGCAAGTCTGCCATTTTCTGCTTGAATTCTCCTTCTCCGTGCGGCTGTTTGGAAATTTTCTCCCAGCATAAAGTCACTTTGATGATGGAATTCATCTCATTGTCACTTTTTATCTGGAATTAGGTGCTTCCTGCTTTCCAATGTCTGAAAATGTTATTTTCATCTATTTGGTTCCATTTCCTTATTTGTGGCTGGAACTCTGTTTTACTTGATTATTCTTGCCTGAGCTTTTACCTTTTTAAATTGTCTCTACTGTTTGTTTTCTATTTGATTTCTACTTATATTTGAATTTGTTTCAAAATTTATACTCATGCTGTATTTTGTTTGCTTTCTTTGTTATAATTTATTATAAATAATAATTTATTTTCAGTTTTACTCTTTTCTTTTATAGCTATGTAATGATAAATTTCCCTCTAAGCACTATTTGAGTGTCATCTCACCAAGTTTTATTTAATATGTTTTTATTATCATTCAATTCAAAATATTTGATGTTTCCTCTTCCAATTTTCTCCTTATCCATGAGTTATTTATAAATGAAGCTGATTTCTGGGAGGCAACCTAGGAACCAACAGTAATTTCTATCATCAGTTTACAGAGACAGTAATGTCCACTCTTTCAAGTTAAGTACTACATAATTTGAGGAATCATCATTTTGGCCTTTCAAGATAAATAAATCTGTTACTGTCTCTCATCTTCTTTGAACTCCACATGTCCATTTACTTTGAAGCACACAGTAAGAATGGCATTTCAAATTCTTGGAGCCAAAGGCTATGACAATTATTTTGGCAGATTTTCTAAGATCATCACGGGATCTCAGACACTCCAATTGGTTAAATGAGTTTTGGAATTGCCTAAAAGATCTAAAATAGGCAAGATTAAAAAGTCTTAAGAAATAATACTCATTGTCTATTGAGTTCTGACATGCTGTAGAATTCCAAATCCATTAGACCAACAGATTTCCAATAATTTCTTAGAAATAATTGTAAGAGTCTTAAATAATGCCTTGTTTTAGAAAATGATGGAGAGTCTTGATGTAATGTCTTTGGCAACTCAGAACTTATTTTCTTTGACTTAAGTATCTGAATGCTTATGATTATCCAAGTTTTCAGTTACAAATCACTCATTATTTTTTATATTTGCATATTATTTACATTCTTATAAAATGTTATTGAACATATGCTTGTCTTTTTCTTATTCTCTTCCTTTTTAGAAACATGTTCCAAATCAAGTATCGATATTGAGAATGGGTTTATTTCTGAATCTCAGTATATATATGACTTACATAAACAAGCAAAATATCAATGCAAACTAGGATATATAACAGCAGATGGTGAAACATCAGGATCAATTACATGTCAGAAAAATGGATGGTCAGCTCAACCCACATGCGTTAGTAATTTATTATGTTTGTATTGATTATCCAGATGATACACAAAAGTTTACTAACTTTAGTCTTTTTATGGGGGCTGATATAATTTCATTTGAAAACATAAGAAAAAAACTTTGAGGAACAAAGCAGACATCAATTTTTTTTTCCTTTTCACATTAATTACTCAAATATTAGTGTGCTTTTCCATTCAGGCTTTTCCCACTCTAAAGCATTCTGTGTTACAGAGACGAGTTAGGGAGCTTTATGTGTATTCTGGTTTAAACTTATTTCTTTTTAGCTGAGACCTTTATAACTGTTGTATATACCTGTTTTATGTGATTAGCCTTCTATATCAAAGTCTTTCTCCTAGATATAAAAGTAATGTTTTTAATGAAGATATGGAGGCATAGTGCATAATATCAAAATAATTTAAACTCTATAATTTGTAGATTTGGCACTGTAGGATATGTCCAATTCTGAATATCTTCCCCCTTAGAAATTTTTTGCAAATATATAGGTAGTAGAGAGACAAAATATTTCTAGATGGTACCCATTTCTGCTCTATTGAAAGATTTCCCTACCATACTATCTAAATATTTATGAAGATTTTCTAGGAACAGTTGGCTCAGTTTGTGCTATTTTTTGCAAAGCCACTCGGTAATATATGTATATTTATATATATATATATCATATATATAAAGATATATATATTATATATTTATATTTATATATATATGATATATATGATATATATCATATATATATGATATATATATGATATATATCATATATATGATATATATATATGATATATATCATATATATATATATATATAGAGAGAGAGAGAGAGAGAGGGAGAGAGAGAGAGAGAGAGAGAGTCTTGCTCTGTCATCGTCCAGGATGGAGCACAGTGGCATGATCTTGGCTCACTGCAACTTCTGCCTTCCATGTTCAAGCAATTCTCCTGCCTCAACCTCCTGAATAGCTGGGATTACAGGCACCTGCCATCTTACACCCACCTAATTTTTGTATTTTTAGTAGAGACAGGGTTTTGCCATGTTAGCCAGGCTGGTCTTGAACTCCTGACCTCCAGTGATCTGCCTGCCTCTCAGTAATATTAGTGAAGTAATGTTTAATATACTCACATTAAGTGAAGTTAATATTTAGGATATTCATGCATACTGTTTTCATTTCTTTTTTAAATGTCTATGCTTAATATGAGGTCTAGTTTACAAAAATGTTACTCATCATAAAAAAATCTTAGTAAATTTTTATTAATTATTCTTTTAAGATTTTCTTATTATGAAAGAGAAAATGTCTTGTATAACAAAGGAATTCATCTTTTTAATCCTTTTTTTCCCTTTTTACATATGTCTCAACTACAATTTAGCCTGGACTTTTAATGTATAAAATTCTGTTATGATTTTCTTTAAAATGTAATATACACCTGTAGTGACCTGTTTTATTACTAGCATTGTCATAAATGCTTTAGTATAAATGAATTAAGAAAAATGCTCTTAAAATAGATTTTGGGGCTTATCGGGGGAAACCAGCCCCTGGCAATTCAATGTAGGTTCTTTTCTATTTCCCTAAGTGTCAGCTGGTCTGAGAAATAAAGGGAAAGAGTACAAAAGAGAGAAATTTTAAAGCTGGGTGTCCAGGGGAGACATCACATGTTGGCAGATTCCGTGATGCCCCCCAAGCTGCAAAACCAGCAAGTTTTTATTAGTGATTTTCAAAGGGGAGGGAATGTACGAATAGGGTGTGGGTCACAGAGATCACATGCTTCACAAGCCAATAAAATATCACAAGGCAAATGGGGGCAGAGCACCAGGACAAAATTAAAATTGCTAATGAATTTTCAGGCATGCATTGTCATTGATAACATCTTATCAGGAGGCAGGGTTTGAGAGCAAACAACCCGTCTGACTAAAATTTACTGGGCGGGATTTCCTCGTCCTAATAAGCCTGGGAGCACTACCCAAAACCAGGGCTTATTTCATCCCTTATCTGCAACCGTATAAGACAGACATTCCCAGAGCAGCCATTTCAGAGATCTCCCCCTAGTAATGCATTCTCTTTCTCAGGGCTGTTCCTTGCTGAGAGAAAGAATTCAGTGATATTTCTCCTATTTGCTTTTGTAAGAAGAGAAATGTGGCTCTGTTCTTCCCAGCTCTCAGGCAGCCAGACCTAATGGTTATCTCCATTGTTCCTTATTGTACCTTAAAATAATACATACCCCAAAACACAAGTTTAAAAAGATTGAGATATCAAGAATATGCTGAAACTTTTGTACTCAGTATGATCCATTGTGAGTTATCAAAATCAGTATGCTACTCTAAACACATGAAAATACAGACAGTGGAATGGGGTCCAGACATACTGGTTTGTTTTCATACGATCCTTAAATAATTAAGTTGGGTATTGGGAAGCAAAGGACGATAGAATATTAAAGTAACATGGACCCTGAGAGATATTCATTTATGATTCATCTGCTTGTGGAAGAACTTCAAACAATTTTCCAGTCTTTAATTTTAAAATTAGTGTTCTCGTTGTAAGAAGAGTATGTGTGTGATAGGAGATAGTATTATGACCATTTGTGGAAAAAAAACAACCTACCATGCTCAAACAGCAGGATTTTCAGAAGTAGAATAGTGTGCCAGATGTTTATTTTCAACGTGATGTCAACACGGCTCCTATCTTCATTTTCTTCTCCATTGCAGAAGATAAGTCTGAAACTACAGTTTCTGAAGCCTGTTTCTCCATAACTTGCTTCTTCCTTAGATTCCCCCATGAGATGTACTTAAAGAAGACTTGGAAGAAGAGAAAGACAAGGCATTATCTGTCAGCAGCTGCTGGTAGCAGCTGAGATCACCAACAGTAGCTTTCCTTGCTTCTGGAAGTTTTCCTGAGAAACATCCACTGCAGCACCATGGATAATTAGTGAGGGCATCACTAAGATTCCTGAACTTCAGAATTTTCTGGAAATAGCATTTCTGACCTTTGTCCCTCAATGCTTCCAATAGTTGCAGAAGCCTTTCATTCCCTGTATTAAAACTCTCTTTACTTAAAAAATAAGAAATAAAAATGAATTAATGTTTTATGTTACTTTTGGAGTTGGTCCATTACTGTCACTAAATAAAGCTGTACATGTACATACCAGGGAATCAATTCCAGAGATGATTGTGAAACCACTAACAAGAATCATTGAAGCATTTTGCAAAACTCTCTGAACTTTGATATTTACTAAGTGACCTTAAAGCCCTAGCTTTGTGGTAGTGCACTTAAATTCAGAATCACACTTGGTAACTAATAATGAAAGATTTCAAACCCCAAACAGTGCAACTGAAACTTTTGCATTACTATACTACTGAGAATATCTAACATGTTGTTACTAATCAATGTCATTCTGACCTTGTGGGTTTCCTGTGCTAATGGACAAGGTAAGTTGAAAGAGATCTAAACACTCAGCTTCCCTCTTAAATGTAACTTCGTGTAATATCTAACTTCATATGTCTATAATTTTTTTATAAATCTGATAGGATATATTCACTATGCTAGCAGAAGTAGCATATTTTGTGAGAGTATAACAGAAATTAATTTTATGAAAAAATATCTCATAATTTAAAGAAAAAATGAATAATATTTTCTTTGTTTTACAAATTCTACAGTGTAAAAAGCATCTAATATTCATTATGGAGATATATGAATATACTCATAAAACTTTAAGTAGGAAACATGTCATTAGATAGATTCTAACCTTAAAATGTTCAGAATTTTCTTATTCATAATACAAGGGAAACTTTGGGAGTGATTGATACTTTCATAATCTTACATACAGTGATTTTTTATTGATTCATATATCAAAACAGCAAATAAAATATTTTAAATTATGCCATTTCTTATATTTCTATTATACCTTAAGAAAGCTGCTACATCTAATTAACATTAATATGAATTTAATATTTCAACAAGATTAGCAATATGTAAATCACAACATATATGTAATCAAAAAGCAGAATATATACTTAACTTACATTGGAATGACAGTAAATTTTAATTTGCATTTCTGAGTTCACTAGCAAATGTTCAATAAATAAATACATAAATAATTTTCATAGCTTTATGTCATTGTTCTCTGATATGTTTTCTCCTCGATAGTCATGTATTTTCTATATTAACTATCTCTTTGAATGCAGGCCTTGCATATTAAAGAACTATATTGTATGTAACATTAGCAGTGGAACCACATGGGTCAAAAATCATGGACAATCAAAGGTGTGTCACCATTAATGAAGAAAACAAATTTTATAATTATCCAAAACTTTATAATATTCCAACAAATGTAATGGAGGATAATATTGGAAATCCCACTATCAATTATTGAGAGTATCTTTTCCCTCAGCCTCTCCTCTCAAAGCTATGCCACTTTATTTGATTCTAAGTAAACAGCTTTAGGTTTTACAGTATTATCTATCACATGATTCGCTAGTTTTAATTGCTGTGCAAAATCAACCTTGATTTGTGCCAAAATGAAAAAAAAGGAATTTCTCTTGTTATTCCCTTTGTTAACTAAACTGCTACAGGCACATTTTTTAAAATAAGGATTACATAGATTAAAGTAGAATGCAAAGCAGAAAAATAGAGAAAAACAGTACTATTTTGAAATGACTGAAATTAGATTAGAATAAGCTCTACTTTCTTAGTTACTTTCTCAAAAGCAGTATAAGAAAAGAATGCTGACAAATTCTTTCTTATTTGATATTCCAGTTGAAAACTTTTCTCCTCCAATGAACTCTTTGTAAGAGTAAACTTGAGAAAAATGTCTTGTAAATTTGGGTCACACCTATATTTCTCAAAGGAGAAAGTAACTCATTTAGTGGAATAACATCTTGGGTAGTGAGAAACATCTTTGTGAATTCAGTAGCATTGGCTCAACTGCATCCCTCCAAAATTTATTTGTAAAAGTCCAAATTCCCAATACCTGAGAATGTGACTGCATTTGAAGAAGGAGAGCTTAAAGATGTAATTAAGTTAAAGGTCAATGATTCAGGTGGGACCTACTCCAATATAACTGGTGTCAATAAGAAGAGAAAATAAGGACACACCATATAGAGAAAGACCACGTAAGGCATAGAGAGAATACAACCATTTACAAGGCAAAGGAAGAGGCCTCAGAAGAATGCAGCCCTGTTGACAGCCACATCTCAAAGTATTAGCCTCCAGAACTGTAAGAAAATAAATTTCTATGAAATCTGTGGTACTTTCTTATGGTAGCACTAGAAGATAAATACAATGATTTTACACAATTTATTAAAAGAATATTAACTTAAAATAATTTTTTACTCTTTACTCATGGATACGTATATACCCACCATACATATTTTAGAGGGTATTTATCAGAATTTGATAATTATATCTTGGCTGTATTGTCTTCGCTGAGTTTTGTCTAGTTGAATACTTTATGTTTATATATACCTGTATTCATATCTATTCAGAATCTGGCAAAGCAAACCTGAGAAATATTTTTCATATGATTAATGAAGGACATACTTTGTGAGTTGCCTATGCTAAGAAACTTTGTTTTTAATGGTAGTTGATGTTTCAGTTCTGAATAATAATTCTTTTGGAAGCCACGCTATTTGAAAGATAAACTTGACAGAAAATTAGTAATTGTAACCTATTATAATGTTCATTGAATTTGTATTGAGCATTATTTCTTCCATCAACTTGTAAGTTATTTACATTTAATTTAAAATAGGTTGTCAGGAAAATTATTTTAATTATGAATATCCTTTTAAAATTGTATAAATATTTCATTCATCTATTAGAGTTGCCATAACAAAGTATCAAAGGTGACAATTAGTATTTTAGAGCAGGATTGCTTCTAAATCTCTTTCAAACTAGATCATTTTCAATACCCAGTGCATTACACTCTGTTGCCATTGTACTTCTTTGGGATGCTCAAATTAGTTTCAAATCTCACTAAGAAGCTGGTTTCTGTGTGTATTTCACGTGCCCCCATTAAGCTTTCGCATAACAAAAGGTTCCAGGCTTTCCTTGACTTTTCCTACTACACACCCAGTTCTAATAACTTCTCTATGAAACTCCAGTGCCTTCTAGTGGGAGAAACGATTTTTAGAAATGAACCTAAACTATGAAAACCTCACTTCAGGTTCGAAAATGTCGTTTATTAAGAAAAAGAATTTTTGGCCAGTCATGGTGGCTGTAATCCCAGCAATTTGGAGGCCAAGTCGGGGAGATCACTTGAGGCCAGGAGTTTGGGACCAGCCTGGCCAACATGGTGAAACACTGTCTCTACTAAAAATTCAAAAAATTAGCCAGGTGTGGTGGCAAACACGTGTAATTTCAGCTACTCAGGAGCCTGAGGCAGGAGAATCACTTGAACCCGGGAGGTGGAGGTTGCAGTGAGCCAAGATCACTCTACTGAACTCCAGCCTTGGCGACAGAGCAAGACTGTCTCAATAAATAAATAAGTAAATAAAATGATTTCCTTTAGTTTACGTCTCTTTCTTCCTTGGACTAAATATCCTGCAATCATAAGAAAATGTAAGAGTATCTCAGGATGTTACACAGAGCAGGGATGGTTAGATTTTCCAATACGGAGGAGACACTCAGCAAAAAACTGTGCATCCGTGCTTGACGGACTGGGTCAGAGAAGCTGTCATGCGTCACCCAACAAGCCTCTGGAGCCAGTTCTGTAACTAGCAAACGCCTCCCAGAAAGTAAAGATGTCACTTCTCTGAACTTAGTCTTCTCATCTACACACTAAAGCTGTTGTGTCACTAGCCTCCTTCCAGTTCTCTCTGATTTATGATGATTCAAACTTAATTTTTCTTTAGTTATATTCTTAAGATTTCATAACAAATAGAACGTAAATATTAATTTCTCTCATGTTTCAGAATTATAAAGAACTTGATATAAAGAAACTTGTTTCAAAATTATAAAGAAACATAAATTATTTGCTATTTAAATTGTGGTAGTGTTCAATGTTCTCTTTGTATATACATATACATATATAAATATACATATAGAATGTATGAATATATATGTATATTCGTGTGTGGACCTATATTTTTATATCAATAATATGTCTCACCTGATACATGAATTCTAACTATGGTAAGAATGTATGCCATCTAATACAAACAAAATGCCACAAAACTCAACAAAATGTTTTATTTCTGGAGATAATTTGCTACATTTCAGATTTTTTCTTATGTTATAGTAATATTTCTTTTCTCTATTTTCCAAAAAACAATTATTGCTAATGTGTGCACCTGAACTGACAGCTTTAGCATAACTTGGTATAGTTTTAGATAAGCTGAGTTTAAATTAACGCTGATAAAATTTCCAGAATTGCCGAAGAGACCATACTACGTAGGAGAAGTGGATAAAGTGGAATGAGGTTCTTCTTGTCTTGTTAGCTGATTTGGGAGCCACTAAGGATTTTAAGTGGAGCAATAAAATGACCAGATGAAGGATCACTAATTTATACACAGGAAAATAGATTATAAAGATGAGAGGTCAGGATCAGGAAATTAGTTATGGTTGCTGTAATCCCAGAAGAAAATGGTTGAGAGAAGATGATATCAAAGATTATTGGCAGGGTTTTTTTGTGCCTGTTGTGTTTGTTTGTTTCTTTGTTTTGATAGAAAAATTGAGTGAAAGGGAACACCACAAATGCAGAAGTTCAGTTAATTTTGAGAGAGGTAATGAGAATGATTAACATGAATTTCCCCCAAAAAAAGTTCTGTCAATAATTACCATATTATGAATAAATAGGGCATGGGTTATTTTTGCAGCTGACTCAGAGAAAATAGCTATCACAGCAAACCTATGTCTATATTGAAATTCATATATACATTTAAAGAATATTATTCTATACCATTTATCTCAAGAGAACTAATCTTCAAAGGAAATAAAATCAGCAACATATTTTTAATTAAAATTTTAACTTCTTTCAAAAATGCCTTTATTATTTATCTGTTAAGAACAGATAAATCATTCATGAAGCATTCAAGTCAAAAAGAATTTTTATTTTTTTGTTGGCAGATTTACCTAGTGGAAACAACATGTGTATTTAGCTTTAAAAAGAAAATTCCATTAATATCAGATGAGGAAACATTCAACTAACAATGCAGTTAAGTGGAAGAAAATGAAGAGTTTCATTAATAACCCTAATATTAATGGACAATGGTGGTACTGAGAGGAACATCTATCTCTTTTAGGCTTCATAAGGAAATGGTGTTTTTCAGTGTCAACAAATTAATCTCCACTGCGTGGTTCACCCACCAAATAGCATATCTGTAATAATATATTGTACTTAGTCTACCACGTTTTAAAATGATTGGTTTCAAACTATCACAGCATAGAAGACAATATATAGATAGTTGAAGAGTTAAAGAAATTGTAGCGTAAGAAGCATGCAAAAAGATAGAGTTATAGCGTTATAATGACTGTCTTGAGATATTTCAAAACACTTACGAAGGGGAGCAAGTTAGCTTTTGATGAGGACTGTCACAGTCAGTGAAGCAGGTAACAGTATTATCCAACATCGAATCAGAGGTCGAGTGACTTTCTAAAAGGGTGACCTTTACAGATATTGCCATATGTTGCTGGGATGGGGGTTGGTGGTAGAAGAGTTGATCTATTCTGAGCCTTCCACATTTTAAGTGGTATGATTCAAAATTACACATACAAACTTTGTTTTAATTATACTCTATTTTAAAAACTGCAATTATCTTTTGAGTTGATTTTATAATTTATTTTTCTTTTAATTTTTGACTTAAGCTCACAAGCAGTTCCTTGGAAAATATATTTCACTACACAATTGAGCGATCTTCACTTATAAGCACTGTTAAGAAAATATGTTAGAAAGAGGTTAATGAACACAAGAAAATGATAACCCACATTAGATTTATGTTTGGCTGATGGTATGTGTAATACCATTGTTTGTCTTCAGATGTAAAAGATTTACCAACACAAGAAGCAGATTTGCTTGTTATTTGGGAATAACTGTATTCCCAAATCTCAGTAGCTTAATAAACCAAAGTTTATGTCTTGTTCACACTTTGTTTTCAATGTAGCTTAGAAGGGAATTTTGTTTATTACATGAATTCTAAGACTCAGGTGACACAGACCTAATCTCTCTATGTGCTTCCATGATAACTCTTAACAGCTGGGAAGATAACACAAAAATTTCTCCAATGGTTTCTTAAAATTCCTCCGAAGCTGAATATTAACTCTCATTTACACCTATTATATATTACAACACTCTCAGTTAAATTGCACCTGCTTAACTTCGCTAATATAGAAAAACTGCTCTATCCCCCCTTTTCCGTTGTTAATGTCACAGAATTTCATCTTTACACATCATGTGCCCAAAACTTAATAATTCACTTAAATGCATTGGTTTCCTAAATTATGTAGAAAATGAAATATGGAGTTTTAAACCAAAGTTACAACAATAAAAGCTTTTAGGTTAATAATTGTTTTTCTAAACTTCACTGGTCTCTTAAATCATATAGAAAAACAAAAAATGGAGACAAAAACCATTGTTACCATAATGCTAGCCTTTTTAAATTGCCCATGTATTTACCTTTATTGAGGTCATTATTTCTTCCTGCAATGTCCAGTTACTGTCTAGTATTATTTCACTTTACCCTTCAGGACTCTATTAGACATTTCTTGAAAGGCAAGTCTAGTGGTCTCAAACTCCCTCAGCTTTTGTTTATCTGGGAATGAATTAATTTCTCCTTCACTTTTGAAGGACACTTTTGACAGATATGGGATTCTTAGTTGAAAGACGTTTTTTTTCTTTTAGCGTTTTGAACATATTGGCCCAATGCCTCTGGCCTATAAACTTCTGATGAGAAATCTGCTAATAATCTGACTAAGAAATACTTACCTGTGAGAAATTGCTTCTCTCTTGCTGCATACAAGACTCTCTCTGTGTCTTTGCTATTTAAAAATTTGATTATGACCAAGTATAGTGGCTCATTCCTGTAACGCCAGCACTTTGGAAGACTGAATGGGGAGAGTTGCTTGAGGCCAGAAGTTTGAGGTCAGCCTGGCAAGCATGGCAAAACCCTGTCTCTAAAAACAACAACAACAACAACAAATTATTCAGGTATGGTGAAATGCACCTGTAGTCCCAGCTACTCAAGAGGCTGAAGTGGAAGGATCACTTGAGCCCAGGAGGTCGAGGCTACAGTAAGGTGTGATCACATCATTGCATTCTGGCCTGGGTGCCAGAGCATGACCCTGTCAAAAAAAATTATATTAAAGAAAAAAGTTAGCCTGATATAGTAGAGCATGCCTGTAGTCCTTACAATTCAAGAGACTGAGGCAGGAGGATTGCTTTAGACTAGGAATTTGAGATTGCAGTGAGCTATGATCACACCACTGCACTCCTCCCTGGGTGACAGAGCAAGACCCTATCACTACAAATTAAAAAACTTAATTAAATTAAAGTTTGATTATAATGTATCTTGATATCTATCTCTTTGAGTTAATCTCATTAAGTTCATTAAGTTTATTGAGGGTCTCTATTAATGCCATTATTTCTTCAAACATTCTCTATTCATCTTTCTCTTCTCCTTCCGAAATCCACTTTGTGTGTGTTGGTCTGCTTCCTGGTGTCCCATGTTCCTTAGATTCTTTTCACTTTATACTTTAATTTCTTTTTCTGTTATTCAGATTCAATAATTTTGGTTTTTCTAAAATTGTTAATTCTTTCATCTGCCTGCTCTACTATGCCTCTGAATCTCTTTTTTGATTTTTTTCCTTTTAATTATTGTACTTTCAGAATTTCTTTTTGTTTCCTTTTCAGGCTTTCTATCCCTTTATTCATATTTCCATTTTGATCATACATCATTTTCTTTCTTCACATCTTTCTTTACTTCTTTCAGTATCTTTAATACAGTTATTTTAAAGTTTCTAATAGACCTACCATCAGAGCTTTTTCAGGGAAACTTTCAGTTTATTTTTTTTCTTTTAATAGGCCATACTTTCCTATTTCTTTGTATGACATAATTTTTTTGTTGAAAACTGAACATTTTAGTCTAATAATGGGTAACAACTGGAATCAGATTCTCCTCCTTCTACATGTTTGTTGAGGGGCTTCCTGCATTGTTTTCATTTATTGTTTTTGTCTGAATGTTGTAGGCTATGTCTGTGTCACAAATTAGCCGGTAGTATAGACTTTAGGTTGTCTCCAGTGTTTTCCAAGCCTGCACTTTTTGCTAAGTGTTCATAGTCATTTTCTAATTTTCCCCATTCATGCAGTTGCTTTGGAACATCCTAGTGTTTAGTGTCTGGCTGCCAAAATATTCTTTTTGTGGAAAACTGAACTTTTTAATCTAATAATGGGTAACAATGGGAATCAGATTCTCCTCCTTCTACATGTTTGTTGAGGGGCTTCCTGCATTGTTTTCATTTATTGTTTTTGTCTGAATATAGTAGGCTATGTCTGTGTCAAGAATTAGCCTGTAGCATAGACTTTAGGTTGTCTCCAGTGTTTTCCAAGCCTGCACTTTTTGCTAAGTGTTCATAGTCATTTTCTAATTTTCCCCATTCATGCGGTTGCTTTGGAATATCCTAGTGTATCTCCCCTTGGACAAATTCACATCAGCCAAGGGGAGGGGCTTGCAACAATGGAGAAAGCCGAAAAACAATGGCCGCCTATCTTTCTGTCTGCATCTCTGTGATCAAAGAACCCAGCAATCAGAGCACAAATCTCAAATATTTGAAGAATCGAGTTGTTTTCGACACTCTGGCTCCCCGCTGCTATGTGCAGGTTGCTCCATAAATACACATACAGCTGCCTGCCATGTGGCTAAGGAGCGTGGTATGAACATATGACACTGTGCTAGGAGCTAAAATTGACTGAATGTGAGTGCAACTTACGATCCAAGTCATCCCTAGAAGTTGTAGGGCTTCAATAGACTCCAAAAATAGTACAATCAGACAAATTCTGGCCATGCAACTGTAAAGGTGAGGAGTCAGATTCCAGGTGTTTCCTCCTCCGCCATCTTCCCAGATTTCTTTTTCTATATTTCTTAGATTGCTTTCAGTAAATAGAATAACAAGCTAATGAATTTAATCTTTTTTATTATTATTATTATACTTTAAGTTCTAGGGTACATGTGCACAACGTGCAGGTTTGTTACATATGTATAAATACGCTGTGTTGGTTTGCTGCACTCATCATTTACATTAGGTATCAAACATAAACACTACTAGCTCCCTCCATTGAGTCGTTCTGAGAAGAAAAGGCAGGGCTCTGAATTCCGATGGAAGGGAACAGAAAGAAAAAAAGAAAAGGACTGAACTGGTGAAAGCACCTTTGTCTTTCAATCAAGATGAAATGGGGGAGTTCCCTGATTCCCCTCGCAGGACGTGCGAGAGGGGTGTTATCTGCTTTGTCGCCCCGCAGCTCAAACCCCTAGGGGCAGCTTGCAGACGGGCAGGTGCAGAGGCCGGCATGAGTGCTTTTGAGCTCTGGCCCCACGGCAGCGTCTAGGGTAGGCGTCTGTGAGTACAGACGCCCAAGTGGACGCGTGTTACAAAACTCAGATTTGCTGTCTGCAGACGGCTTGTGTGTTAATCCGCTCAATGGACCCTCTGCCTTATCTCAAGAGCCTGGGGCCAGTGTGACAGACTTCTGTATCCTGAGCTCTTGCCCAGTGGTCCTAAAGAATTGGATCACATGCGGGCTCAAAGGATGACTGCAAGGTTTTATTGAGTGATGGCGGTGGTTCTCAGCAAGTTGGATAGGGAGCCCGAAGTGGGGGATGGAGTGGGAAGGTGGTCTTCCCCTGGAGTTAGGCCACCCAGCGGCCAGATTTTTCTCCGACCTCCCCTAGCGGAACTCATTTCCCTCGGCATCCAGACATTCCTGCTCTTCTCTCTTTCTCTGCTGCCTTGTTCCGCTGTGATTGTTCAGCCGCGTATGTGTGCCCGCTAAGGTGTTGGGTTTATATGGGGGCTGGATGAGGAGCATGGAGGGCCAAAAGGCAACATTTTGGACAGGAAAACAGACATGCCTGTCCTCATTTAGGGTCGGGGTGGGGCCTTTGACAGGGAATCGCCCTCTTCTAACCAGTATTTGCCTGTCTCCTTTCCGTATCAAAGACTCTCACTAAATCAACCAGAGCTAAGATATGTGTACTCAAGGAGAAAAGCTGAAAGACTTCTGTGTGGAATACATGGATGGTTAACACTGTAAGTCCTTACTCAGGCCTTCCTTATTTGCATTTTTACTGTGTTTCTAGCAAGAATGTACTTTATTTTAATGGGTAGTGATTTCTACATAGTCCACACAGCCGTTTTCTTTTCAGAAAAAAAAAAATGTAATCCTCCTTATATTCAAAATGATGTCTACACACCTGAAAAGACAAAACACAGAATTGAAGATTTAATCATATGTGAGTTTATAGATGGCTTTTATCCTACAACCCAGGGAAACAGGGCAAATGCACTAGTAGTGGGTGGGTACCTACGTGCTCCAGGATGTAGCAGTAAGTTCCAGTCCATATACTGACTTACATTTAAAATCTGAAATTACTTTCTCTTAAACACAAAAAAAGGGGAGACAATAAATTTCAATATTTTAGTATATGGAGTTTTGAGAAGTCTTTGCTTTCCAAAGTAGATAATTCTAAGTAGAATTTAAAACAATTATTGTAAACTAAAATTCTCTTTAATGTTTGCTACTCAGAATTATACAGATGGATGTGTGTATATGAATAGATATTTCTCTATTCTTCCAATGTCCAAAATAATACACTGGGTGAGACTAGCACCCTCTAAAGCCTAGTATATTAGTTATGTATGGTTGTGAAACATATTTTGCTAAAAACATATTTGCTTAAAACAATAAACCTTTATTTTCTCACAGATTTTGTGGGTCAGGCATTTGGGAGTGACTTTACTGTTTAGTTCTGTGTCAGATGCTCTCCTGTGTCGTTGCCAAGGATGTTGGCCTGGGCTGCAGTGACCTGACAACTTGGCTGGGCTGCAGGATCTGCTTCCAACATGGCTCACTCACACAGATTTTGGTAGGAGGTCCCAGTACCTTACCACATTGTCCCCTCCACAGGTTGCTTGAATGGCAACTACATTTCTCCAGAGCTAAAGATTCAAGACAGAGAGAGTGAGGAGTAGGAGGAAGCCTTCATGTCATTTATCACCTAGTCACACACTCTCACCTGAGCCATATTTATTCTTCAGAAATGAGTCACTAAGTCCAGCACACAACAAGTGGAGGAGAATTAGGCTCCACTATTTTGAGGAAGGAGTATTGAAGAATTTGTGGAATTTCCACAATCATCAAATGTAGCAAAATGTCTCTCACGTCAATAGGGTGTTTTATTTCTATGATGGTTCCTTTGCCTTTTTCAAGATTTTTTCTGTCTCTACAAACATATTCTTTTTTTTTTCTATCTTGCAGTGCATTGTAAAGGTGAACCATACTTAAAGTGGATAGTCCATGACAGAAAAATGTTCTTTCCTCTTCTTTTTAAAACAAGGTCTTCCTCTGTTGCCCAGGCTGGAGTGCAGCAGCGCAGTATACGTCGCTGCAATCTTGACCTCCTTGGCTCAAATGATCTTCCCACTGCAACCTCCTAAGCAGTTGGGAATATAGGCATGTGCCACCATGCCCAGTTACTTTTTTATTTTTATTCTGTAGACACAAGGTCTTGCTGTGATGCTTAGGCTGATCTCAAACTGGGCCTCAAGCAGTCCTCCCACCTTGGCCTCCCAAGGTGTTCGGATTATCGTGCCCAAACCCAGATGAATTGTCAAAAGCATGAGTTCTTAAGAAAGGTAGCTATTGTAACTGTGAAACCAATTTCACTGTGCATAAAAACTATAAGGTAAATAAATAATTATTCTATAGTTGGCTTATGAAAATGCTAGATCAGCCCAAATGCTTCTGGACCAACTGAATGCCAGCTATATCTGGTTTTCTGCAAAAGTATTTCGCAAGTGACCTTCTGAAATTTGTGTGGAAAAGATGGAGAAATTGACTGGTTTGATGATTTATCAAGTAGTTTGCAGTTTTATTAAATGTTTTACCTGATTATCAGATACAGCATTTTATTCTCAGGCTTCATTACTCTTTTGTGTCTGCCCATAGTTTAACGGTTTAGGAGAAATGCAGTATAAATTCACAAATGAAATGCTACAGCAGATGGTGACAGTGAATCTGCATTAGTATAGATTCATAATTCCAGAAGAATCCTACGTGCAAAGCTAAATCTAAAAAAATTAAATTTAGTAGTGGTAACTGTAAGATCCTGGTCTTGGGTCAAAGGAATCAGCAGTACTAGTACAAACAGATTAGCAACCACTATAAAAATTAGTGAGTATTTTAATCAACGTTAAGGTCAGTTTGAGTTAACATTGTGATAGAACCATCATAACTGCTTGTGAGTCTACAATTCACATGGTAGAAGACTAAGAAATAGAATGAGGCTGCTCTAAGTTCTGCTGACTTCAGTGCCAATCAGATCATAGGTGGAATTTTTTTTTTTTTTTTTTGCTTTAGAGAACTACCATATGAGAAAGATAAAAATGGTTTAAATTTTCTCAGTAAAAAAGAAAAGTCATGAAGTGGCTCAAGCTTGTGGTATTAATGATAATGATAGCTACTTTTAATTATACTTCCTTTTTGATTTTTTGAAAAGAAATCTCAGCAGACTATGTTATTTACATTCTATGAAACACCATCATGAGATAGATAACTATACTTGTTCTGAAATCAGAAAACTAAAGTTTAAATCTCTGCTCTACCACTTAATGGAAATTTTAATTGAGTTTTTTAAGGCTCACTTCCTGCAAATCCAAAGACTCAAGCTTGTCCAAGGTGGAATTAGTGTTAAATGATCTATGTTGAAGTATCATAATGTATCATGATGAAATTTGCAAAGTTCAAAGGTAAAGAGAAAATAATACAAATATCCAAACAGTGGTCGGGGGGAAACAACAGAATGTAACATAGAAGGAATGAAACTAAATGAGGCATTTTAAGCTCAACTTTGGAAGTTCAAAAAATGGGGGGCAAAATCTATCAACAATGAGAGATATGGATATAGGCCAAGAAACTATACAAAGACAAGTTATTGTTCCCAGGTCTTTGTTAAAGACATTTACAACATGCAAGGATTCAAAGTTATAATCGGCATAACTAATCTGTAGAAACCGGTTGAAAAATTTTTCTAATCAAACAAAAAGAAATAGATTGATGAACGCCAGATGTGTTAAAGACAAATTATTCATCTGACACTTGTTAATATGACAAGACAGATTTTATTTGACTATTGCAATAGGGGAAAGAAGTCTTGAGCTAAGCTTCAAAAACAGCACAGCTGAGGATTTATACCCTAAAATCAGAGTAATTAAGATGCTATTTATAAGCAATGAAACTGAATGAATATTTGAACTTCCACATTGGAAGTTTCAAAAATGTGGCAAAAAAAAAATGGTGAAGAGAAATATGGACTGTAGGCCAAGAATCTATACCTAGAGAAGTTACTCACGTATCTTTTAAATGAAGATACTTAAGAGATGCAAGAATTCAACATTTATAATCCACAAAACAAGACTGTAGAAACTGCCTGAAAATCTCGCTAATGAAAAAATAAGAAAGAAAGACAATAAACCAGTGGACTAAAGAATAATGGAGATAATAAACAATATTGTGCGTGTGTGTGTGGTGCATATGTTGGAATTTTTTATAATGTGTAGTATAAGGTTTCTTGAACAATGATCATATTTCATAGAAAAAATGAATATTCTTCTGGTATTACAAGTAGTAAATTATCTCCGAATCATCCCATGGAAATGGAAACTTTTTTTGGAAATATCAAGTATAAGCCTTATAATAACATAGTGCTTAAACATATATGTCAAATATTCAATATACACAAATTCCTCAATAAACTGTAAATATACTGTAAAAAATATTGTATATAAAACATTAAAAACATCTTATTTTCTAATCAAAATTAAAAATTAATAAAAATGCTTATTACACTCTTAGATATTTAGATATTAAGAAATATTCCTAGTTCATTTTCCTGGTTAAATAAAGGATAGAAATCTTGTCTTAATAACTGGTTTGAGACATGAATTAGCAATATTATTTTGTTGTGTGATGTGATCAATGAGAAATTCCTGTTTCTCTGTAGTTTTTACATTCCTTCCAGTCAATTTTTTAAAATCCTCAAAAAACTACTATCTCCCACTCTAGAGTTGGTCTGAGAAGAACAGGCAGGGCTCTGATTTCTGATGGGATGGAACAGAAAGAAAAAGAAGACAGATGAGCTGAATGGTAAAATAAGCGCCTTCATCTCTCAACCAGGAAGCTCACTAATCAACCAGGGCTACGATATATGTACTCATGGAGGGTACATTAAATAGGTCTGCACAGTTTTCTTCAATCTTCATTAGCAAACAGCTCTTCACATATCTAGGTCATTGGATTTCTGTAACTTTTCTTGCCCTAAAACCCCTAATTCATTACACTAAGAAGAGAATATAATTTATTGATCAAAAATGTCATATATGATTATCTGTTATAGAAAAACATTATTTATACTGTTTTTTGTTTTTTATTACAAGAAGTGAAACCTTGTGATTTTCCAGAAATTCAACATGGAGGTCTATATTATAAGAGTTTGCGTAGACTATACTTTCCAGCAGCTGCAGGACAATCTTATTCCTATTACTGTGATCAAAATTTTGTGACTCCTTCAGGAAGTTACTGGGATTACATTCATTGCACACAAGATGGTTGGTCACCAACGGTCCCATGCCTCAGTAAGTAAACCTCTTTACAAGAATATGTGCATAAAACTTGAAAAGAGTGAGAGAACAGCAAATAAATGATTATATTGTCTTATATAACAGAAATAGGACCAAAGGAAGAGTTGTTCAAGCAAAAAGACCAAAATGGATCTTTTTTGTTATGAGATCTTCGTGAAAATTACATGAGAAATAAATGTGGCAACTTTATGAGAATACCGATATAATTTAAACATATTTTATCATAAAAACTAAGGTTAAGTAACATTGAATACTGACTTTTTTGTAAAAACATTTAGTAGTAGCTTTAGTTTTTCTTGAGTCATACATCATTTTCAGTATTGATGCAGTCTTATTTAAATGTTCCAAAAATTATTTTAATATACTATTTTGATCAAATTCATGTCTCTAATTTACCTTTAAATCATTTTATGGTCCTTAGGACAATGTATTTTCAATTATTTGGAGAATGGATATAATAAAAAATATGGAAGAACGTATTTACAGCTGGTCTCCTCCTCCCAGATGCATTCGTGTCAGTTAGTGCACTCATTTGAGATCCCAGTATGTCCGTAACTGTCTAAGATCTAGATATTTAACTGGAAAATTTTGTACATCAACTCTGAAGCCGAATTTATGTCTTTTTATTTTAAAACAGAAGCCTATCTAGTTTCCAGTTCCAAATGTGTCTGAATACATTTAAAATTTCTGGATAATTAGTGGATTCTGTCACTTAATAGGGCCAAGCAGCAATAGAAATATAAGTCAGGGGCCAGGCGCAGTGGCTCAGTCCTGTAATCCCAGGACTGTGGGAGACCGAGACGGGCAGATCACTTTAGGTGAGGAGTTCAAGACCAGCCTGGTCAACATGGTGAAACCCTGTCTCTACTAAAAATACAAAAATTAGCCGTGTGCAGTGGCACATGCCTGTAATCCCAGCTACCCAGGAGGCTGAGGCTGGAGAATGGCTTGAACCAGGGAGGCGGAGGTTGCAGTGAGCTGAGATTAGACCACTGCACTCCAGACTCGGTGATAGAGCAAGACTCTGTCTCAAGAAAAGAAAAAAACACATATATATATATATGTATATATATACACACACACACATATGTCATGAAGATCACAAAATACACTAAATACACATTAAAGTAACACTGCTTCAGTATTTATATCAAAGTGAATGCATTGATTTAAGTAGATTATAAAATTATAGCATTAATTAACAATGCTTGCCCAAAGGTCACTTGTACATCTCTCACAATTATATGACATCTATTCTTATAGCTAATGCTCATGCTCTGTCGCTTTAAATGAAGACACATTCAGTTATAGCTGACTTTCACTTTTTAGGTAAAGGGGTCTCTGAAAGTTGTTTGTGTGTATTGTTTGCAATTTACAAAACATTCCATTATAGAAACTATATGATAATTAGGATACAATAGAGATAAAGGACAATGGTAATCTTCTTACACATTCATAGAAGCACTGCCCTCAACAACAGCCTAAGCCTCTGGAAGGGAAGTCCCTTTTGCTCCTGCCATAGGCACCAACTCTGTCATTAATCCACTTAACAAATATTGTTGTGTGTCAAGTGCCTTTATAGGTATCGAAAATAAAATTGTTTACGAGAGAAACTGAATACTGTAGTTTAGAGACTGGAGGAGATTAATCGAAAAGTTGACAAGAATAGATCAGAAAACTCATGATTATGACAAATGCTTTATTATAAACATGTATCATCTTTAACATGATTTATTTTCCTTTCAGATAGTAAAATTGGTCCATTTACATTTTTTTCTAATTACTAACCAAAAAAGAACATACACATTATTAATAAGTTAGAACATACGCATTACTAAAATAATTACTACCTTATACATATACCCATTAGTAATGTATAGAACACATACATTGATAATATATAAAGAACATATACATTACTAATATATTAGAACTTATTTTTGCTATCTTGTTTGTTTTTTCCTGCTTACATTTCCACATTTCTCTCAAACACCATGGCTATATGGGTTTAAGCATCCACTTAAGATGACAACTATTTTAAATTCCTGGAGACAAAAGATTTACAAATTTATTTCCTTGCCTGTGGTAGCAGTGTGTACTGTATCTTTGCCTGGGAAATGGCATTTGACTAAATGAAGTCTAAGACCTCTTAATAGCACCAGAAAGGTTCAGGTTATTGCAAAGTAGCCAGAAACTCTTCCAAATAATTATAGGGAATTGAGAGTCTGCTAGATCTGCATTCCTCAAGGCCTGCCAGAGCTCTGTTGACAGTCTCAAAGATTCTTTGCTTTTATTCTGCCCTTCCCTGTGTTTTCACTATTTTCTTTCAAAATTCACAGATGTCTAGGAAACTTCCAGTTTTGCTGTTTTCAATTCATTAACAGATGTTTCATTGTTTCACCATACTGCCATGTTTTTACTTGTTCCCTTCTATAAAAGAAGTATTCAACAAATATTTACTTTTTTCTCTACTTTTTCTATTTTAGGAACATGCTCAAAATCAGATGTAGAAATTGAAAATGGATTCATTTCTGAATCTTCCTCTATTTATATTTTAAATGAAGAAACACAATATAATTGTAAACCAGGATATGCAACAGCAGAGGGAAATTCTTCAGGATCAATTACATGTTTGCAAAATGGATGGTCAACACAACCAATTTGCATTAGTAAGTTATTTACATATTCCCACTCAGTTTCTGTCAACTTCTTTCCTCTCTTTGAGGTGATAGTGTTTTACAGAAAAAGATAGAAAACACTTTTAGGAGTAAAGAGATATAAATACTTCTAACATCATCTAACATTCTGTGCCAAACTAAGTCTTTTTTGCCTTTTTAGAGTAATGGCTACTTGGGAAGATGATCATTCCATCTCTCTCAATTCAATTTGCCTTTACGTAAAAGCAATCCCATCAGGTACAGACTAGTTAGGGAGCTGCATGGGAATATCAGCACAATGTATTACTTGTCAATAAAAACTTTGTTCTTTTCCCTTTCTTTGTATTTCAAAATTATCAACTGCTTGTATTGTATTCCTTGCTCACACTCTTAAGATGTACATGTTAGGGAAGGGATGAGTGCTTAATTCTGAGTTTCTGCTAGCATCAGGAAAATGAGACTTCAATAATTTGTATCAATGATGCAACTGAGGAGAACCAACTCAAAAAATTATTTCCAGCTTATTGTCTAGTACAGAGAAAACAAGTAAAGAAAAAGAGTAAGTGGGTGGGCTGAATGTTTACAAACCTCATACTTGGCAATGGATTCCTTACAACTAAAGTTCTCTAAAACATTCCCAACTTGTAATTATTTATTAATAAAGAGATTGCATAATGAACAATGGAAACCTTGCAGTGGCAAAAGTTTATCTTTTTTGTCTTTCCTCTTTAGGCATTCACCAAGATTTGTAAAGATAAATCATTTAATGTATTTTTAACACACATATTGATATATAATTTACATACTGCAAAATCCACTTCATTTTCAAGGGTACAATTCAACTATTTTTAGCCATGAGACGAAATGGAAAGGACTACTGATATGTAATTGAACATGGATGAATCTCAAAAATATTAATCTAAGTGAGAAAAAAGAAAATGCTACACTTAGAAAGTGATTATCTCAAAGTTACTCTGAGGTTTGGGAGCTATAAAATATCAATTCGTACATTTCTAGAATACTGTTTTCAATTTCTATGCTTATCACGGGCTCTGCAAAAGACAAAGCTGTACACTTCAATCTGATTTGACCAGCTTTGATAAATGATCTAAGATTTGTAAAATAAAAGATGCTTTAAAATTTTTATAGAACGTATATCCAATGAATATAATTTTAATCCAACTTATAAACCCTGTCAGTAAACTGAGTACATAAATATGTACATTAACTTTTAAATTCACAAAATTTTATCTTCTTTAAAATAATACATTATAGTGATAAAGGTAGACTGTAATAACAGTCAATGAGGTGTTCACAAATAAAAATAGATCTGACTAAATAGTCTTAATATGTTTTTCATAGGGTTTGAATAATGAGAAGGATCATTATAGGGAAATGTATTTTTCTCTTGTAATTAACTGTTATAGCACAAAAAAAACACTGATTGTCGGACTATTTTTAATAGTACTCAATTTATTAGCACACACTGATTGGTAAATTTTATTCCTACAATGGGACTTTCTTAGTCGAGTTGTACATCATATGGCATAGAAAAGCAATCCTCAATTTTATTTTGTTTCAGAATTTTGTGATATGCCTGTTTTTGAGAATTCCAGAGCCAAGAGTAATGGCATGTGGTTTAAGCTCCATGACACATTGGACTATGAATGCTATGATGGATATGAAAGCAGTTATGGAAACACCACAGATTCCATAGTGTGTGGTGAAGATGGCTGGTCCCATTTGCCAACATGCTATAGTAAGTATTTTATTCAAGTATTTCTTTTTACTAGAATTAAACAAATAGAAACATACATATGTATATGTACACATATGTGTATGAATACATATGTGTACATATACATGTAGTCCTCATTTGAGTGTGAATTACCTTGAAACTTAAAAAAAAAGGTTGAAAATACAAATGTCTTCCTAAGAAATCAAATAAGATACATTTAAGAGTATATAAAAAGCTTTATTCAGAAAGTTTCCAATAAAACTGTTGATTTTTCCCCAATGTAAAGTATTTTTTTTCAGATTCTTCAGAAAACTGTGGGCCTCCTCCACCTATTAGCAATGGAGATACCACGTCCTTCCCGCAAAAAGTGTATCTGCCATGGTCAAGAGTCGAGTACCAGTGCCAGTCCTACTATGAACTTCAGGGTTCTAAATATGTAACATGTAGTAATGGAGACTGGTCAGAACCACCAAGATGCATATGTAAGTTCTTAATATTCTGGATCTGAGAAAATTAGAGTAATAACTTTGATCCTTGTTTATTTATACTAAAATTTTTATGGGTTATTACCCTAGAACTGTGTTCACAAACAGCTATTCTGCTGAATATTTGCCTTTCAGATCTTAATATATAAGTGTATAAGCTTGGAAAATTTTATGTAAACAATGACAAAGTTTCCTTTTAAAAACAGGAATGTTCAGAGACCTCAATTTGTTAATGGACACAATGAGTCTTCAAGAATGATATCCATTTATTGCACACATATGAAATACAGCATCTCACCTTAACATCAATAACCATTTTCACATTATTAATACTTAGGTAAACAGTTTTCAAAGAGTTTTGAAAACACTGTTTTAAAAACCATGGATGTGGAACCAACCCAAATGTCCAGACCCAAATGACAGACTAGATAAAGAAAATGTGGCACATGTACACCATGGAATACTATGCAGCCATAAAAATGGATACGTTCATGTCCATGTCAAAAGTGACATGGAGGAAGCTGGAAACCATCCTTCTCAGCAAACTATCACAAGAACAGAAAACCTAGCACCACATGTTCTCACTCAGATGTGGGAACTGAACAAGGAGAACAGGTGGACTCAGGGAGGGGAACATCACACACCAGGGTCTGTCACAGGATGGGGAGCTAGGGGAGGGATAGCATTAAGAGAAACACCTAATGTAGGTGATGGGTTGATGGGTGCAGCAAACCACCATGGCACATGTATTCCTATGTAAAAAAACTGCATGTCCTGCACATGTACCCCGAACTTAAAGTATAATAAAAACCATGCACTATTAACTAAAATCCTACTTGAAAACCTGAAATGCTTCCTGATAGAGCACATAGCTAGTTAACACTGAGAAGTTCTTTCTCTGATTATTGTTTTTTTCTTACACTTTACCAGTATTTCTAGCAAGAAAGAAAGAAATTAACAGAAAGCTCAGCCATTTCCAAATGCCAATGCTTTCTGTTTTCACCTTCATCTCCTCTCCCCTCGTCCCAGAATGAAAATGAATACACTAAAAAGCCCTCAAGTCTGTAATACAGGTATACTCTTAGAATTTTGTCCCACAAATCCTATGAACTTGAAGAAACACAATTCAAAAAATATGAGCCAAAATAATTATGGCAGCAAAAAGAAAACCTAAAAGAAAATTTGCCACAAATTTCTACTAGCCTATGAGGTAGAGAACTGAGATACCCATCAGGCCTTGCATATCAGATAACTTATTCCTGTCACAGCTCTTAAACTGTAAACTCACGAGTTTTCCAAATGCTCAAGTTCCTAAGTACAGGATGATACAAGCAGTTCTTTTCTGTGATATGACTCATTTCTTTTATTTTGATGCTATGCTACCTTTTACCTTTTATATTGACTGATGATGCTGATATTTTGGCTGATCCTATGATGGGCTAAACCTTAATTATTGTCCCTATTTATGTATCCACTTCTGTAGATGATCATGTGTAAGTCCGGGCTCCAAACCATGCAAGTGGCAAGACTGCAGAGGAAAATTCGTATCCTCAAATCAAAATAGTTTACAAGTATCTTTGAACATGATTTCATAGGAAAAATTTAGTATTAGGTTTCAGAGATAAATTCTGAGTCTTAAATTTGATTGACTGAGGAGATGGACACTCCTAAGATGGATTTCACAGCAAAATCATTACCTCTTCTCATAATCAAGAACAGGAAAGGATTATAATTATCTGAGGACATAAGATCAGTTCCATGATACAAGCAAGACTTTCAGTCTTAAAATCTAAAGAAGCAAAGAGCATTCAAGCAGGGAATTCTAGGGAAAAAGGCAACCTTATGAAAAATATTACATATACATATGGCATATTAAAGTAATAAGGAAAACATTCCAGAACAGCAGAAAACTTTAGAAACTTTTGAAAAATATGTTTGGAGAAGTATGTAGTGCTCAAATAATATTTATTTTTGAATTGTAAACAGCCCCTGAATGTATTGAAGAGATCTTAAAAATTTTTGGATTTCAAAAGTGATATGTACTATGTTAAGAAATTTATTTAAGTGCTTGAAAGATGGATTAAAATATGATTTGGGGAAATTTCTAAAGAAATACTAATGTTAATAAGGGCTAGACTTGAGTGCAGAATACTTGCATCAAAAGGAGAGAAGAGGAGTGAATGATATCATCAAAAATGAAAAGTTTACCATGGAAGAACTGGGCTTAATACCTAGCGTATGGGTTGATAGGTGGAGCTAACCACCATGGCACACATTTACCTATGTAACAAACCTTCACATCCTACACATGTATCCAGGGAACTTAAAAAATAATTATAAAATTTAAAAAAAAATCTAAAAGAAAACCAGCCAGGCGCGGTGGCTCACACCTGTAATCCCAGGACTTTGGGAAGCCAAAGCAGGTCGATCACCTGAGGTCAGGAGTTCGAGACCAGCCTGACCAATATGGTAAAACTCTGTGTCTACTAAAATTACAAAAATTAGATGGGCGTGGTGGTGTGTGCCCATAGTGCCGGCCACTCAGGAGACTGAGGCAGGAGAATCACTTGAACCTGGGAGACGGAGGTCACAGTGAGCAGTGATCGCACCACTGCACTCCAGCCTGGGAGACAGAGCGAAATTTCATCTAAAAAAAAAAAAAAAGTAAAGAAAAAAAAAAACATTATTTGGAAGGTAACATAATCAAAACAGTCATCTCTTATATCATTGTCTGTTACAGTGAAACATTATTTATACTATTTTTGTTTTTTGTTACAAGCAATGAAACCTTGTGAGTTTCCAGAAATTCAACATGGACATCTATATTATGAGAATACGCGTAGACCATACTTTCCAGTAGCTACAGGACAATCTTACTCCTATTACTGTGACCAAAATTTTGTGACTCCTTCAGGAAGTTACTGGGATTACATTCACTGCACACAAGATGGGTGGTTGCCAACAGTCCCATGCCTCAGTAAGCAAACCTCTTTACAACAATATGTGCATAAAACTTGCAAAGAATGGAGAGAGAAGAGCAAACAAATGATTACATTGTCTTATATGACAGAGATGGTACCAAAGGAAGAGTTGTTCATGCAAAAACACCAAACTAGATCTTTTCTGTTATGAGACCTTCATGAAAATCACATGAGAAATAAATATAGGAACCTTATGAGAATACCTATATAATTTAAACATATTTTATCATAAAAACTAAAGATAAGTAACATTGAATACTGACCTTTTTGTACAAACATTTAGTAGTAGCTTTAGTTTTCCTTCAGTGATACGTCATTTTTGTGTACTGATGCAGTCTTATTTAAATATTCAAAAAATTATTTTAATATACTATTTTGATCAAATTCATGTTCCTAATCTACCTTTTAATCATTTTATGGTCTTTAGGACAATGTATTCTCAGTTATTTGGAGAATGGATATAACACAAAATATGAAGGAATATCTTTACAGAGTCAATCTGTAAAAGTTGAGGATATCCTGGCTACAGTCTTTCAAATGTGCAGACCACAGTTCCATGTACAGAGGATGAATGGTCTCCTCCTCCCAGATGCATTCGTGTCAGTTAGTCCACTTGTTTGAGACCCCAGTATGTCCTTAACTGTCTAAGATCTACACCTTTAACTGGAAAATTTTGTATATCAACTCTCAAGCTGAATATATGTCTTTTTTATTTTTAAATAGAAGCCTAGCTAGCTTTCAGTTCCAAATGTGTCTGAATACATTTATAATTTCTGGATAATGAGTGGATTCTGTCACTTAGTAGTCAAGTAACAATAGAAATATAAATCATGAATAGCACAAAATAAATAGACTACGGATTAAAGTAACATTGCTTCAGTATTTATATTGAAATCATGCTAAATGCATTGATTTAAGTAGATTATAAAATTATAGCATTAATTTAAAAATAAATATAATGCTTGCCCAAAGGTCACTGCTACATCTCTCACAACTATGTCATATCTATTTTTATAGTTAATGCTCTGTTGCTTTAAATTAAGGCTGATCTTCAGTTATAGCTGACTTTCACTTTTTAGGTAAAGGGGTCTCTGAAAGTTGTTTGTGTGTATTGCTTGCAATTTACCAAACATTCCATTATAGAAACCATATGAATATTATGATATAATTGAGATGAAAGACAATGGGAATCTTCTTACCCCTTTGTAAGAGCAACTGTCCTCAACAATAGGCCTAAGCCACTGAAAGAAAAGTCCCTTTTTCTCCTGCCATAGGCACCAACTCTATCATTAATCCACCTAATAAATATTGTTGTGTGTCAAGCACTTTATAGGTATTGAAAATAAAACTGTTTACAATAGAAACTGAACACTGTAGTTTAGAGGCTGGAGGAGATTAATAGGAAAGTAGGCAAGAATAGATCAGAAAACTCATGATTATGACAAATGCTATATTATAAATATGCATCATCTTTAACATGATTTTTCTTTCAGATAGTAAAATTAGTCCATTTACATTTGTTTTCTAATTACTAATTAGAAAAGAACATATACATTACTAATATCTTAAAACATATACATTACTAAAATAATTACTACCTTATACATATACCCATTAGTAATGTATAGAACACATACATTACTAATATATAAAGAACAAATACATTGCTAATATATTAGAACTTATTTTTGCTATCTTATTTGCTTTCTTTTTTCTGCTTACATTTCCACATGCCTCTCAAACACCACGTCTATATGGGTTTAAGCACCCACTTAAGATGACGACCACTTTAAATTCTTGGAGACAACGGATTTACAAAATTACTTTCTTGCCTATGGTAGCAGTGTGTACCGTATCTTTGCCTGGGAAATGGCATTTGACTTAAGGAGGTTTAAGACCCCTTAATAGTACCAAAAATACTCAGGTTGTTGCAAAGTAGCCAGAAAGTCTTCCAAAATATCATTAGGGACTTGAGAGTCTGCTAGATGTGCATTCCTTAAGGCCCGCCAGAGCTCTGTTGACAGTCTCAAGGATTCTTTGCTTTTATTCTGCCCTTCCCTGTGTCTTCAACATTTCCTTCAGAAATTCGTGGTTTCCTTTAAGAACACGGATGTCTAGGAAACTTCCAGTTTTGCTGTTTTCAATTCATTAACAAATGTTTCATTGTTTTGCCATATTGCCATGTTTTTACTTGTTCCCTCCTATAAAAGAAGTATTCAACAAATATTTACTTTTTTCTCTACTTTTTCTATTTTAGGAACATGCTCAAAATCAGATATAGAAATTGAAAATGGATTCATTTCTGAATCTTCCTCTATTTATATTTTAAATAAAGAAATACAATATAAATGTAAACCAGGATATGCAACAGCAGATGGAAATTCTTCAGGTTCAATTACATGTTTGCAAAATGGATGGTCAGCACAACCAATTTGCATTAGTAAGTGATTTACATATTCCCATTCAGTTTCTGTCAACTTCGTTCCTCTCTTTGAGATGATAGTGTTTTACTTAAAAATATAGAAAACACTTTTAGGAGTAAAGAGATACAAATACTTCTAAAACCATTCAACATTCTGTGCCAAATTAAGTCTTTTGCATGTTTAGAGTAATGGCTACTTGGGAAGATGATCATTTCATCTCTTACAACTCAATCTGCCTTTACATAAAAGCAATCTTATCATGTACAGACTAGTTAGGGAGCTGCATGAGAATAACAGCAAAATGTGTTAGTTGCCATTAAAAACTTCGTTGTTTTCCCTTTCTTTGTATTTCAAAATTATCAACTGCTTGTATTGCATTCCTTGCTCACACTCAGAAAAGTTGTACATGTCGGGGGAGAAATGAGTGCTTAATTCTGAATTTCTGCTAGCATCAGGAGAATCAGACCGTAATAATTTGTATCAATGATGCTACTGAGGATATCCAATCAAAAAATTATCTCTACCCTATTGTTTACTACAGAGAAAACAAGTAAAGGAAAAGGGTAGGTGGGTGGGCTGAATGTTTACAAACCTCCTACCTGCCAATGGATTCTTTACATGTAAAGTTCTCTGAACATGCTCGACCTTTACTTATTATGATAAAGAGATTGCATAATGAACAAAGGAAATCTTTCAGTGGCAAAAGTTGATTTTTTTTCTTTCCTCTTTATATATTCACAAAGATTTTTAAAGATAAATTGCCTAATGTATTTTTAACCCAGATACTGTTGTATAATTTACATACTCCCAAATCCACTTCATTATCAAGGGTACAATTCAACTATTTTTAGCCATGAGATAATATGGAACCTTGATACATAATACAACATGGATGACTCTCAAAAATACTAGGCTAAGTGAGAAAAAAGAAAGACACATTTACAAAGTGATTATCTCAATGTTACCATGAGTTTTGGGGGCTATATCAATTCCTACATTTCTAGAATACTGTTTTCAATTTCTATGCTTATCATGGGCTCTGTGTAAAGAAAAAGGTGTATACTTCAATTTTACTCAGCTTTGATAAATGATCTACTTTAAAACTTGTAAAATAAAAGACAGGATGCTTCATAAATTTTTATAGAACTTATATCCAATTAATATAATTTTTATCTAATATATACACCCTTACTGTTAGTAAATCGTTACATAACTACATAAATGGTTTCGTTAACTTTTAAATTCACAAAATTTTATCATCTTTAAAATAATAGATTGTAGTATCATAGTAGTAGACTTTAATAACAGCCAATGAGATTTTTCACAAATAAAAATAGGTCTGACCAAATGTTTCTAATATATTTTCACAGGATTTGAATGATAAGAAAGAATATACAGAGAGAAATATATTTAACTATTGTAATTAACTATTATAGCACAAAAAGCACTGATTGTCAGACTATTTTTAATAGTACTCAATTTATTAGCACACACTGATTGGTAAATTTTATCCCTACAATGGGACTTTCTTAGTTGAGTTGTGCATCGTATGGCATAGAAAAGCAATCCTCAATTTTATTTTGTTTCAGAATTTTGTGATATGCCTGTTTTTGAGAATTCCAGAGCCAAGAGTAATGGCATGCGGTTTAAGCTCCATGACACATTGGACTACGAATGCTACGATGGATATGAAATCAGTTATGGAAACACCACAGGTTCCATAGTGTGTGGTGAAGATGGGTGGTCCCATTTCCCAACATGTTATAGTAAGTATTTTATTCAAGTATTTTTTATTAGAATTAAATAAAATAATAGACACCTACATATGTATATGTACACATATGTGTGTACATATATGTACATATATATGTAGTCCTCCTATGAGTGTGAATTATCTTGAGACTTAAAAAAAAAAAAAACAACGTTGAAAATGCAGATGTCTTCCTAAGAAATCAAATAAGATACAGTTAAGAGTATATAAAAAGCTTTATTTAGAAAGTTTCCAATAAGACTATTGATTTTTCCCCACATATAAAGTATTTTTTTTCAGATTCTTCAGAAAAGTGTGGGCCTCCTCCACCTATTAGCAATGGTGATACCACCTCCTTTCTACTAAAAGTGTATGTGCCACAGTCAAGAGTCGAGTACCAATGCCAGTCCTACTATGAACTTCAGGGTTCTAATTATGTAACATGTAGTAATGGAGAGTGGTCGGAACCACCAAGATGCATACGTAAGTTCTTAAAATTCTAGATCCTGAGAAAATCAGAGTAATAAGTTTGATATTTGCTTTTTTATACTAGAATTTTTATGGGTTATTACCCTAGAACTGTGTTCACAAACAGCTATTCTGCTGAATGTTTGCCTTTCAGATCTTAATATATAAGTGTATAAGCTTGGAAAATTCCATGTAAACAATGACCAAGTTTCTTTTTTAAAACAGGAATGTCGGCCTGGGGTGGTGGCTCACGCCTGTAGTCCCAGCACTTTGGAAGGCCGAGGCAGGCAGATCACGAGGTCAGGAGTTCGAGATCAGCCTGACCAACATGGTGAACCCTGTCTCTACAAAAAATACAAAAATTAGCCAGGCATGCTGGCATATGCCTGTAATCCTAGCTACTCAGGAGGGTGAGGCAGGAGAATCATCTGAACCCGGGAGGCAGAGGTTGCAGTGAGCGGAGATTGCACCATTGCCCTCCAGCCTGGGCGACAGAGGGAGACTCCGTCTCCAAAAATAAAAAAATAAAAAATAAAAAATAAATAAATAAAACAGAAGAAGAAGAAAAGAAAAAGAGAAAAAGAAAAAACCAAGAATGTTCAGAGTCTTCAATTTGTTAATGGATACAATGAGTCTTCAAGAATGACATCCATTTATTGCGCACATATGAAATATGGCATCTCAGCTTAACACCAGTAATCATTTTCACATTATTAACACTGAGGTAGAGTTTTCAAACAGTTATGAAAACACTGTTTCAAAAAACCACGAACTATTAAATCCTCCTTGAAAACATGAAATTTTTCCGGATAGAATACATAGCTGGTTAACACTGAGAAGTTCTTTCTCTGATTATTATTCTTACTTATATTTTATCAGTATTCCTAGCAAGCAACAAAGAAATTAACGAAACTTCAGCCATTTCCACAACCCATTGCTTTTCCATTTTTACCTTATTCTCCTCTTCCCTTATACCATAATCAAAATGAATACACTAAAAACCCCTCAAGCCAGTAATATAGGTATACTTCTAGAATTTTGTCCCCCAAGTACTATGAACTTGAAGCAACACAATTCAAAAAAATATAAGCCACAATAATTATGGCAACAACAAGAAAACCTAAAAGAAAACTTGCCACAAGTTTCTACTAGCCTATGAGGTAGAGCCCTGGGATACCCATCAGTCCTTGCATGTCAGATAACCTATTCCTATCACAGCTCTTAAACTATAAGTTCATGAGTTTTTCAAGTGCTCAAGTTCCTAAGTAAAGGATGATACAAGCCGTTCTTTTCTGTGATGTGACTCATTTCCTTTATTTTGATGCTATGCTACCTTTTACCTTTCATATTGACTGATGACGCTGATATTTTGGCTGATCTTACAATGGGCTAAACCTTAATTATTGTCCCCTACTTAGGTATCCACTTCTGTAGATGATCATGTCCAAGTTTGAGCTCCAAACTATGCAAGTGGCAAGACTGAAGAAGAAATTAGTATCCTCAAATCAAAATAGTTTACAAGTATCTTCAAACTTGATTTCATAGAAAAGTGTTAGGTTTCAGAGATAAATTCTGAGTCTCAAATTTGATTGAATGGGGAGATGGACACTCCTAAGATGGGTTTCACAGCAAAAGCATTACCTCTTCTCACAATCAAGAACAGGAAAGGATTATAATTATCTGAAGATACAAGATCAGTTCCATGATACAAGCAAGACTTTCAGTCTTCAAAACTAAAGAAGCAAAGAGCATTCAAGCACAGAATTCTAGGGAAAAAGGCAACCTTATGGAAAAGATTACATATACATATGGCATATTAAAGCAATGAGGAAAACTTTCCCAGGCAGCAGGAAACTTTAGAAAGTTTTGGAAAATATGTTTGGAGAAGTATTTAGAGTTCAAATAATATTTATTTTTGAATTGTAAACAGCCTCTGAATGTATTGAAGAGCTCTTAAAATTTTTTGGATCTCAAAAGTGATATGTACTATGTTAAGAAATTTATTTAAGTAAGTACTTGAAAGATGTATTAAAATATGATTGGGGAAATTTCTAAAGAAATGCTAATGCTAATAAGGGCTAAACTAGAATGCAGAATACTTGAGTCAAAAGAAGAGATAGGTGAGTGAATGATATCATCAAAAATGAAAAGCTTGCTATGTAAGAACTGACATTTTTATCATGTAAGAATTAGGCTTAATACCTAGGGTATGGGTTGATAGGTACAGCAAACCACCATGGCACACATTTACCTATGGAACAAACCTGCACATCCTGCACATGTACCCTGGAACTTAAAAAAAAATTATAAATTTTTTTACAAAAGAATTTTATAAAAGAAAACCCATATGTGGAAGTAACATTATCTTACTGATTTTACAGATGAAGGCATAGTGAGATAGAGTAATTTGTCCATAATCATGTAGGGATTCACATTAACTCCTGTGTGCTTATCCTTGCCTCTTTAAAATAGAAAATGAAGATGACAGGGATAGATGATGGTGATAGAGAGAGAGATAATTGACAGATATTGAGGTGTATGTATGTATGTATGTATGTATGTATATATAGAGAGTTTTATTTTAATAGATGACTATTAGAAAGATTATACCTTTCTACAGTTCTTTTTCTACACTGTGGGCATAAGAGAAAAATATAAACATAGAATTAAATTAGCAAAATGTGAGTACATTTGGAGTGCTTGTAGTCACGGCTTGTCAAATGGGGGAAAGGAGGATAAGTAACCATGACTCCAGTGGAACATGTTAGCATAATCCTTTTTGATATGAAGTCACTAGGGTGGACACAACATGTTTTAGGGAAGAAGAGTTCAGGCTCTAGAGAAAGACTGCCAGGGTTCACGTTTATCACCTCACCTGATGATCTCTGCTGTGACGTTGGGGAAGTGCAACTGAACTTATTATATTTTTGAAATGCTAAAGTCAGTATGTAGCACAAATTAATAACTATTAACTATTTGGATTATTTTATAATTTTATTTTATCCTAAACTACTCATTAGGATGCATTTTATTTGCTCATGAAAGGCAAGATTATGATTGTTAATTGTTTCTTTTTCTGCTTTCAGATCCATGTATAATAACTGAAGAAAACATGAATAAAAATAACATACAGTTAAAAGGAAAAAGTGACATAAAATATTATGCAAAAACAGGGGATACCATTGAATTTATGTGTAAATTGGGATATAATGCGAATACATCAGTTCTATCATTTCAAGCAGTGTGTAGGGAAGGCATAGTGGAATACCCCAGATGCGAATAAGGCAGCATTGTTACCCTAAATGTATGTCCAACTTCCACTTCTCACTCTTATGGTCTCAAAGCTTGCAAAGATAGCTTCTGATATTGTTGTAATTTCTACTTTATTTCAAAGAAAATTAATATAATAGTTTCAATTTGCAACTTAATATGTTCTCAAAAATATGTTAAAACAAACTAAATTATTGCTTATGCTTGTACTAAAATAATAAAAACTACCCTTATATTGGACTTCCTATCAATGAATTAGTAAGTATAGAAACAGATAACTGAATGGCTTTCTGCATATTGTACAGTATACCTAGACATAGAAACAAAATGACTTTAGACTTTATTTGGGGAAGTAATAATAACATAAAATTAGATGTTAAAATTGTAAGTGAAAATAAACACACTATAGTATTCCCTTATTGCAGCCATGGTCCTCTAGATGCAGTTAACCAAATAGGGTCATTTTTATTAAAAGTAGTGTTTCCTGCCAAACACTGACATTACATCATTATCATGATTTAAAGGAAAAAGTACTAAAGAAGGTGAATTATCATCATTTTCCTGTGAAAAAAGAAAAGAGGTTTTGCTAACCCTTTCAGAGCACTGGGAACACAGCCAGAAGTGCATTAAATGTATATATTAACTTGGGCAATGCTGACACTTTAGGATGCTGAAGCCAGGTGCAGTGGCACACGCCTGTAATCCCAGCACTTTGAGAGGCCAAGCTGGGAATCATCTGAGGTCAAAAGTTCGAGACCAGCCTGGCCAACATGGTGAAACCCTGTCTCTACTAAAAATAGAAAAACTAGCTGGGCATCATGGCGTGCACCCATAGTCCCAAGCTACTCAGGAGGCTGAGGTGGGAGAATCACTTTAACCAGTGGGGCAGAGGTTGAACTGAGCCGAGATAGTGCCACTGCACTCCAGCCTGGGCAATAGAGTGAGACTCTGTCTTAAAAATAAATAAATAGGATTCTGAAAATTCCTATTTAAGGAAATAATTCTTTTTCTGATTTATTTAAGGCTACATTTGTATTTTCTTAATACAAATATTTTGAAAGTTTCTTCACATATGGTTTTTGCATTTCTTATTAAGTTTTGCTTCCGATTTTTTTTTGTCTTTTCTCCTGTTAATTGCCTTCACTCTCTTTCTGTTCTGTACTTTTTTTTGTATATAAGAATTTTTTGAAAAGATTGTATATCCCTGTTAACAAATTGAAATCTCTATTCACTTTAATAGATTTTTAGCCCCAGTTAGCATATGGTTAGTGAGAAATTGCAGGGTAAGAAGAAAACAATGCTCCCTTTCCCAACACTTTTCCTGATTATAGAGAAAAAAGCATGAACTTGTATAATAATCTAGTCCTGTACAGAATAAGAAATATTAATTGCTAGACTGAGAATGTTTTTGTGACTAAAGCTAGGAATAACTTTTTAAGACTGAAGAATGATATAAGCTATCAAATCTAACTCAGTTTTCAAATAACAGGTTTGCAGAGACTGGAGAATAAAAAGTAAAAAATTGTTTTATTAATTCCAGTGACTAATTCTACTTCATCAACATATATCATAAATAAAATTTCAAAAATAATTGCTGATATGGTTTGGCTGTGTCCCCACCCAATTCTCACCTTGAATTATATAATCCCCATGCATCAAAGGTGGGGCCAGGTGGAGATAATGGAATCATGCAAGCAGTTTCCCCCATACCCTACTCATGGTAGTAAATACGTCTCATGAGATCTAATGGTTTTATAAATGAGAGTTCCCCTGGACAAGTTCTCTTGCCTGCCACCATGTAAGATGTACCTTTGCTACTCATTCACCTTCTGTCATGATGGTGAGGCCTTCCCAGCAACGTGGAACTGTGAGTCCATTAAACCTCTTTCCTTTATAAATTACCTAGTCTCAAGTATGTTTTTATTAGCAGTGTGAGAATCAACTAATACAGTAAATTGGTATTACACAGTAGAGTGGGGTGCTGCTGTAAAGATAACCAAAAATGTAGCAGTGACTTTGGAACTGGGAAACAGACAGAGGTTGGAACAGTTTGGAGGACTCAGAAGAAGGCAGGAAGATGTGAGGAAGTTTGGAACTTCTTAGAGACTTGTTAAATGGCTTTGACCAAAATGCTGATAGTGATTTGGAAAATACAATCTAGGCTGAGGTGGTCTCAGCTAGAGATGAGAAACTTGTTGGGAACAGGAGCAAAGGTGATTGTTGCTATGTTATAGCTCAAAGACTGGTGGCATTTTGCCACTGCCCTAGAGATGTGGAACTTTGAACTTGAAAGAGATGATTCAAGGCATCTGGTGGAAAAAATTTCTAAGCAGCAAAGCGTTCAAGAGATGACTTGGGTGCTGTTAAAAGCATTCAATTTTATATATTCACAAATATATGGTTTGGAATTGGAAATTATGTTAAAAGGGAAGCAGAGCATAAAAGTTCAGAAAATTTGCAGCCTGATGATTTGATAGAAAAGAAAAACCCATTTTCTGGGGAGCAATTTAAGCTGGCTGCAGAAATTTGCACAAGTAATGAGAAACCAAATGTTAATCACCAAGACAATGGGGAAAATGTCTCCAGGGCATGTCAGAGGTCTCCAGGGCATGTCAGAGGTCTTCAGGACAACCCCTCCCATCACAGGCCCAGAGGCCTAGGAGAAAAAAATGGTTTTGTGAGCAGGGCCCAGGACCATGCTGCTTTTTGCAGTTTCAGGAGTTGGTGCCCTGCATCCCAGCAGGGGCTAAAAGGGGCCAACATAGAGCTCAGACCATTGCTTTGGATGGTGCAAGCCCCAAGCCTTGGTAGCTTCCATGTGATGTTGAGATTTTGGTTCACAGAAGTCAAGAATTAAGGTTTGGGAACCTCTGCTTAGATTTCAAAGGATGTATGGAAATGCCTGGATGTCCAGCAAATGTTTGCTGCAGGGGTGGGGCCCTCATGGAGAACCTCTGCTATGGCAGTGCAGAAGGAAAATGTGGGGTGGGAGCCCCCACACAGAGTCCCCACTGGGGCACTGCTTAGTGGAGCTGTGAGAAGAGGCCCACTGTACTCCAGACCCCAGAATGGTAGTTCCACCGACAGTTAGCATCGTGCACCTGGAAAAGATGCAGACACTCAATGCCATCCCATGGAAGCAGTCAGGAGGGAAGCTGTACCCTGCAAAGCCACAGGGGTGGAGTTGCCTAAGACCATGGGAACCCACCTGTTGCATCAGCGTGACCTGGATGTGAGACATGGAGTCAAATGAGATCATTTTTGAGCTTTAAGATTTGACTGCCCTGCTGGATTTTGTACTTGCATGAGACCTGTAGCCCCTTTGTTTTGGCCAATTTCTCCCATTTGGAACAGGTTTACTTACCCATTGTCTGCACCATTGTCTGTACCATTGTATCTAGGAAATAACTAATTTGCTTTTGATTTTACAAAGGGACTTGCCTTGTCTCAGATGAGACTTGGGACTGTGGACTTTTGAGTTAATGCTGTAATGAGTTAAGACTTTGAGAGGCTTTTGGGAAGGTATTATTGGTTCTGAAATGTGAGGACATGAGATTTGGGAGGGACCAGGGTGGAATGATATAGTTTGACTCTGTGTCTCTGCTCAAATCTTACTACATGTTAAGGGCAGGGCCATGTGGAGATAATTGAATCATGGGGACTATTTCCCCATATTGTTCTCATGGTAGTGAGTAAGTCTCACAAGATCTGATGGTTTTATAAATGGGAGTTCCCCTGAACAAGCCCTCTTGCATGTCACCATGTAAGATGTGACTTTGCTCCTCATTTACCTTCCACCATGATTGTGAGGCCTCCCCAGCAGTGTGGAACTGTGAGTCAATTAAACCTCTTGTTTTAATAAATTACCTAGTCTCAGGTATGTCTTTATTAGCAGCATGAGAACAGACTAATATGATTGCCTTAGTTTCCTAAAATGGTACAAAAATAAATGGCAGGAAACCACAACTGTAGGAGCAACAAGCAATATCATCAGGAAGATGAAAATAAAATGTGATATAAAAGCATCAGTGGGGTTATTAAAGAGTAGAGTATGCACCTAACAAAGTGAATTGGTGTGATAGATAAGAAATTTGGTGTAGTGGATTTTCAAAGGGAAACCATAAAGAAATGAATGATTATAGAGATTATTAATCTGGAGAATAAACAATAAAAATCTAAGTCTAGGGAAGAAACCAGAACAATTGCAATAAGTACAATCATCAAAATATTCTTACATTCCTTTCTAAACAATTATTCCTAGTGTATAGCTTAATGTGGTTCCAGGCAAAGTGAGAGATAAAATCTCTAGAATAAATCACTAGATAAAATCACTAGAAACATAATCTAGCCAATTGTTTCTTAATTATAAGACTAATGAACAAATATTACAAATCTTTAGGCAGGAAAATAAAAATGACTGAAAATGAAATCTTAGGGAAAACAGAATGGTTGTTATATTAAAATGTAAATATACTGGTGTGATATTTATCAAGCAAAATACCTATTTATGGGCCAGACATAGTGGATCATCCTGTAATCCCAGCACTTTGGGATGCTGAGGTGAAAGGGTTGCTTGAGGTCAGGAGTTTGTGATCAGCCTGGGAATCATAGCAAGATCCTGTTTATAAAAACAAAGAAAACGAATTAGCTGGGCATGGTGGTGCACGCCTGTAGTCCCAGCTACTAGAGGAGGATGAGGTGGGACAATTGTGACACTGCACTCCAACCCAGCCACAGAGCCAGTCCCTGTCTCAAAACGAAAATAAAACAACCCCCCTATTTATTAGTTCATTAATTTGTGCCTAGAAATAAACTGTTTTAACACACCCATTAAGAATCATTATATGCCAAGCCTTTTATCTAGATAGAAAGCACATTTTGAATTTGAAAATACTATTGCTTGATATGAAGTTAATTATAACTTCTTTGAAGATACAATGCAAACACAAAATTCAGAATACAAAAGTATGTAGACAGTATGTTGTTAACAATAAGGGAAGAAAATATAGCGGGGAGATTGGCAGGAAAAACAAGACATTTTGATTTTATCACTTTGAGGTTTCTTCTACTTTACAGTTATTTTATTTATTTATTTATTTTTCATTTTGTGGGTACACAGTAGGTATATATATTTATGGGGTGTATGAGATATTTTGATACAGGCATGCAACGTGAGATAAGCACATCGTGGAGAATAGGGTATCCATCCCCTCAAGCATTTATCCTTTGAGTTACAAACAACCCAATTACACTATTTAAGTTATATTGAAGGTATACTATTAAATTATTGTTGACTATAGTCGCCTTATTGTGCTATCAATTAGTAGGTCTTATTCATTCTTCTAATTATTTATTTGTACCTATTGAAAATAGGTACCCACCTCCTCCCTGACACCCCCAACCACTGCCTCCCACCACTAGCCCCTTGCGTCTGGTAACCATTCATCTACTGTCTATGTCCATGAGTTCAATTGTTCTTATTTGTAGATCCCACAAATAAGTGAGAAAATGTGATGTTTGTCTTTCTGTGCCTGGCTTATTTCACTTAACATAATGATCTCCAGTTCCATCCATGTTGTTATAAATAACTAGATCTCATTCTTTTTTATGGCAGAATACTACTCCATTGTATATACGTACCACATTTTCTTGATCCATTCATCTGTTGATGGACACTTAGGCTGCTTACAAACCTTAGCTATTGTAAACAGTGCAGCAACAAACATAGGGATGCAGATGTCTCTTCCATATACTGATTTCCTTTCTTTTGGGTATATGCCCTGCAGTGGGATTGCTGGATCATATGGTAGCTCAATGTTTAGTTTTCTGAGGAACCTCCAAACTGTTCTCCATAGTGGTTATGCTAACTTGCGTGTCCACCAACAGTGTGCAAGTGTTCCTTTTTCTCCACATCCTCCCAAGCATTTATTACTGATTTTTGGATATAAGCCATATTAATTGGAGTTAGATGACATCACATTGTAGTTTTGATTTGCATTTCTCTGATAATCAATGATGTTGAGTACCTTCTCATATGCTTGTTTGCCATTTACATGTCTTTCTTTAAGAAATGTCTATTCAAATCTTTTGCACGTTTTTAATTGGATTATTAGAATCTTTCCTATAGAGTTGTTTGAGCTCCTTATATATTGCGGTTTATTCATGTCCTGTCAGATGGGTACTTCACAAATATTTTCTCCCGTTCTGTGGGTTGTCGCTTCTCTTTGTTGTTTCTTTTACTGTGCAGAAGAAGATTTTTAACTTTATGTAATCCCATTGGTTCATTTGTGTTTAGGTTTCCTGTGCTTATGGGATATTGCCCCCAAAATTTTTGAACAGACCTATATCCTGGAGATTCTCTGCAATGTTTTCTTATAGTAGTTTCATAGTTTGAGGTCTTAGATTTAAGTCTGTAATCCACTTTGATTTTTTTTTATATGGTGAGACATAAGGGTCTAGTTACATTCTTCTGCATATGAACATCCTGTTTTCCCAGCACCATTTATTGAAAGACAGTCTTTTCCCCAGTGTACATTCTTGGCACTCTTGTCAGAAATGAGTTCACTGTAGGTGTGTGGATTTACTTCTGTGTTCTCTATTCTGTTCCATTGGTCTATGTGTCTGTTTTTATGCCACTATTATGCTGTTTTGATTACTATAGTTGTGTAGTATAATTTGAAGTCAGGTAATATGATTCCCTAGTTTTGTTCTTATTGCTTAGGATAGCTTTGGCTATTCTGGGTCTTTTGTGGTTCCATATAAATTTTAGAATTGTTTTTTCCTATGTCTGTAAAGAATGTTATTGGTATTTTGACAGTGATTGCACTGAATCTGTAGATTGCTTTAGGTAGTATGGACATTTTAACAATGTTGATTCTTCCAATCCATAAACATAAAATATCTTTCCATCTTTTTGTATCCTTTTCAATTTCTTTCATCAGGCTTTTATAGTTTTCATTAAAGAGCTCTTTAACTTCTTTATTTAATTCCTAGGTATTTAACTTTATGTGAGGCTACTGTAAATGGGACTACTTTCTTGATTTCTTTTTCACATTGTTCACTGTTGATGTATAGAAATGCTACTGATTTCTGTATGTTTATTTCATACCCAGCAAATTTATCAAATTTATCAGTTCTAATAGTTTTCTGGTTGAGTCTTTAGGTTTTTCCGAATATAAGATCATATCATCTGCAAACAAGGATAACTTGGTTTCTTCCTTCCCAACTTGGATGGCCTTTGTATCCTTCTCTTGTCTGATTGCTGTAGCTAGGACTTCCTGTATTATGTTGAATAACTATGTAACAGTGGGCATCCTTGTCATGTTCCAGTCCTTTGAGGAAAGGATTTCAGTTTTTCTCCATTCAGTATGATACTAACTGTGTATCTGTTGAATACAGCTTTTGTTACTTTGAGGTGTGTTCCTTCCATCCCCAGTATTTGAGGGTTTTCATCATGAAGGATATTGAATTTTATCGAATACTTTTTCAGCATCAACTGAAATGATCGTATGGTTTTTATCCTTCATTCTGTTAATATGATGTATCACATTGATTGACTTGTGTATATTGCACCATCCTTGCATCCCACAGGTAAACCCCATTTGGTCATGATGAATGATCTTTCTAATGTATTGCTGTATTCAGTTTGCTAGTATTTTGTTGAGGATTTTTGTATCGATATTTATTAGAGATTTTAACCTGTAACTTTCTCTCTTTCTGGGGTGTGTCTTTGTCTAATTTTGGCATCAGGGTAATACTGGCTCCATATATTCCCCCAGCATCTGCCATACCTCAGTACCATATCAGAAAGAAGGAGCCTAGAGTATTATTCTGTTTCTCTGGGATGTTCTCTCACATACATGCATTCCCTCATCATTGGTCACACTTTTTGCCATTTTCTGTTTACTATCTACCTTAACCAAGCTTAGCATCTGTGGATGGAAGTCCATAGGTGAGCTATAATACCCACCCATAGAGTGCAGCAATAGCCCCTTGCATCAATAGCCTTTCCAGAACTTCCCTCTATGAACATTCCCAATAAGAAAAAGTACAGTCACAAATATAAAACATGGCAGGCGTATCTCTACCACTAGTCAGGGGGCAGCATCTAGGCAGTCTTAGTTTAGTGAGAGAAATAATCATTCCTCAGCCCATTGTCCCTTTAGTAATGTACACTTAAATTCAGAGGACTTGAAGTAATGTTTTCAGCTGCAATGACTTCTTGTGGTAAAATCTACAGCTGTAATTCTAAATTGGTAAAAATGGATCTGGCAAAACAGAAACAGTTTACGGGGTTGGAAATATGTACGATCTGACCATTGATAGCATTTGCCATAATCCATGTGTCTGTACATATCTAAGCATTGCCTTTGATATAACCTCTCAATTCTTTCAGAACTTCCAGACATATTGCCTTCAATGTTATTTACCACGAATCTTGCCTTGTAATCTAGATTTTATTATCTACAAGGTGATTGCTTCACTCAAATTGGGACGTGCTATCAGAAAAATGGGCAGATTGCTTTGCACAAGGAGGAAAAGAATCACAGAGTTTAGATCATTTCAAAAAAGGAGCCAGAAGTTCTTTTGTGGATTATATCATTGGTCAAAAATGCTGGCTGCAAACTGCTTATGAATGTAACATACACCAAGAGCAACCACCAGTGGAGGGCTGCTGCATGTGTCATTTCCATATTATTAGTTTTTCTAAACTGTTCCATGCTAATTGGAATGTTTGTCTGATATTACCTATGAAATAACAGGCATTTTGAGTTTTAGAGTTATTATCCACAATGGTGAGGGCTATCTTCATCAAAGCTCAGTAATGAACAAGGAAGTGTCTTTTAATCCCCCTTTAAAAATTCACAAATAATAACCATACATATTTATGGGGTGCATAGTAATGTGTGTGTGTGTGTGTGTGAGTGTATATATATATACACACATATATATACACACATCTATATACACACACATATATATACATATATATACACACATATATATATAATGTATAGTAGTCAGAGTAATTAGCATCTCCATTATCTCAAACATTTATCATTTCTCTTTCTGTTGGGAACACTGAATATTCTGCTTCCAGCTATTTGGTACTATCTAGTATATTCTTGGTAACTGAAGAAAAATTATATCTAAGTGTTAACCCCAGGTATCTTGAAATGCCAACTCCTAACAGTCACAGCCTGGGAGTTCATGTTAGCCTTCTTGCAACTATGCATATCCACATAATTAATCAAAATCATTTGTGTTTTGGTGAGAATTAGCATCTGCAATGGTGAGTTTTATGTGTCAGCTTAGCTAGGCTGTCAATCCAAGTTATTTAATCAAATATTAATCTAAGTGTTGCTGTGAACAAGGTATTTTATAGATGGAGTTAATAACATCTACAATAAGTTGCCTTTAAGTAAAGATTACCCTTGATAATATGGGTGGGTCACATTCAATCAATTGAAGCAATAAGAGTCAAAACTTCGGCTTCCCAAAGAAGAAATTCTACCTCAAGACTGTAACATCAACCCTTGTCTGAGTTTCTACTCTATTAACCTGCCCTGTGAATTTTGGACTTGCTTATACTCACAAATCAAGTAAACCAATTGCATAAAACAAATCTCTCTCTATCTCATCTATCTATATACACCTCACACTATACATTCTGTTTCTCTGGAAAACACTAATACATCGTCATACCACTTAACATTTTTAAGCAATTAAAATCTCTCACTATCTTCCCAAGATTTGGTATTACTTAATATTCACTAGAGAGGCTGGTTTGACCAATTATAAAATTCCCATTTAACAAGAACCACTAAGACCAGGTGAAGAGAGCCCTTTTCCAAAGTCTGACTATAAGCCGGTAATTGAATTCACTACCAAATTACAAACCATTTATTTCAAGGAATCTGTGGAAAGATTAATCTGGCAGGCACCAATACTTTTCTGTTTTGCAAAACAGACCACATATTTAATGTTATTTCTCTAGTATTGATGGTCATCTGGTCTTTAAATCCTGGCGCTTGGAAGGTAGGATCTGTTGATGAAGGGTCAGAGTGAAGGAGTGCCATGATTTAACCTGTATCTCCCCAAGTCTCCATCAAAACCTTTGTCACACATGAAGCCAATTATATTTGGTTCAGATATTTATCTCAATATTGCTGCGGTTGATTGTTCATTTGCTTTACTTTCCACCATGAGATGTTTTAATATCACCAAACTTGCTAGCAGCAACCAAGAAAATGTATTTCTAGTAATTTCTCCATCATTTTGTATCATATTCTAAATACATACATATATATATATATATATATATATATATATATATTACAAACTCTTGAGTCAAAGTCATATACTCCAAACTACACTCCTACGATTCATTCCAGATAATCTTCCTCTGAGGATTTTCCCTTCAGACAAAGAGTGGATTGGTAACACCCTGGCAATAAACGTTTGTCAGACCCTTCATCCTATCCTCCTTAAATTTCATGGTGCCTTTGCCATATCATGAAGAAGGAAAGAAGCTCAGTGTCCACTTCTGATACCACTCTGCCACTCCTACACTGCTAAGCTAACAGCAGTGATCTTGCTTTCAGAACTAGCAATTCACATTTTTACCTATCATTATGTTAACTGTTGAAAATTATTTAACACAGCATTAATGTCAACAGCATAGTGAGAATTGTGACTCTTATGTGTAGTGTCTGATTATCCTAATCTTCACCTTGAATTCATATGTTTAAGGGAGATGACTCAATGAGTGTCTGTGACCTCTGAAGTTCTTCCATCTCCTTTCCTTTATTAGTTGATGAGCTCCCTCAGCTGCATCTTATGAAATCCAGTTATTTATTATACTTATTTTAGATGAACAACCTAAAAAATGTGATTTGAGCACTTAACTCAGATTCTTATTTATCTTCAATCTGGTGTACACCTAAAGATTCTCTTGCAAGAATTTTAACAAGGGTCAAATTATCAGTCTTCTATGAAACTACAGAAAATATCACAGACTTGTTTTTAAAACTTTTCTTAAAGAAACAGGCAGAAAACTGTCAAAAACATGGGTGAGCGCTACCTAGGTAGAGAAATAAAATATTACTCTTTCATTAGATACAAATAAACTTTGAAAACAAATTTAAATATGATTTCTAAAATAGTTAAGACTTGGTTACATTTGATGACATCAATAAAGATGAACTAGGTAAGTAATCATAATGGAGTACATTCTTAAATGCAATCATTTTTATGACACATACGTACCTCAGAGTGGAGATAAATTAAAATATTAGCATGTAATGTATCATAGTTACTATGTTTTGCAGATTAAAGATGTCCACAAATAATTTGAAAATCCTCTGATTAAGTGACCTATTTCCCCATCATCTTGAACTTGTGCTAACCCATGACTTTTCTGACCAATAGGATACGGTATAAGTATCTCTATGCCAGTTACGGATGTAAGCTTTAAAAAAATAGCAGCTTCTGCCTTGGTGTCTTGTAGCTTCTAATCAGCATGAGAGAATTCTGGGTACCCTGTAGAGAGGCCCTGAGAGTGACAGGAGTCACCTGAACCCCAAATTTCACTTGTTGCTGGCAAAGCACCAAATATGTGACTGAAGACATATTGAACCCTCCACCGCAGAATATTAACCAGATGAATAACAATGAATGTCTCCATTAATACACAGAAAATAAAAGATTTATCCATTTGAACCCCACCAAAATTCTATGCCCCATAGAATTGTGAGATGTCATTAAATGGTATATTAGAAAAGAAGAAATATCTCAAAACACTAACCTAAGTTCCAACTTAAGAAGGTAGGAAATCATGAATATTAGTGTATAAATCAATGAAGCAAGTGCAATATAGAAAAAACTGTTTTCTTAATCTTCTCAAAGAATGAATAAAACCAATCAAAGTTAGTTCTTTGAGAAGAATAAATGATATATTTCTAGCAAGAACAATGAAGAAAAAAAGAAGAAACAAATTACCTGTCATTTGGCATAGTATAGGGCATTGATTGAAATGGTTCCAATAATTGAAGGGTATACAATTATTTTAACTTTTGAAATGTCCAAAGTGTCAGGGTTTTATCTGAAAAACACACCAAAAAAAAAGAGAATACCCAAAAGAGTTCCATTATTAAATGGAAATTTTATATGAAGGAAAATTCTACAAGAAGGTACAGCAATGGCCTTGGTCATATTCATGAGTAAATACCTCCTCTTTTTCTGGGACTCACTCTAGAGACTGCTGAAGCTCTGTCTTAGGCTACTGAAGGAAGAGTTTAAAGGGATTCTCCATTAGAACACCTGCTGCCAGAGGCTAGATGATTATCCTGTCTTTCTGATGGCAGTTCATAAATGAATGGTTACTACTCTACCTGGAAAGTTGTGGCAGATCCTCATGGGAAAATATAAGACTAAAGGAATTCAATAGGGTAAACTTTAATGTGTTTTCTCAGCTATTATGGAAGACATTGAGGACATAAAAGGCCAGATCACATGGGTTGATACCAATTCATGACCAGTGATTAATTAATGCAAAAATAGTTGATGCGAGTACTTGTTGCCTGAGATACTACCTTTATGGGAATTAAAAAGACAAATCAAACTGGGACAAGCTGATGCCCACCAAAATAAAAACTCTACCAGGATTGGAAAGCGACTGGAGTCAACAAATAGGTATTTTGGTTCATTACCTAGAAGTAACTACTTATATACATGAAAGGAATGGTCACAGAAGGACCTAAACCAACAGAAGCACCAGAAAAGGTATAAATTGTTTACCATAATGGTCCAGTTTCTTAGCAAGATAGGTAAGATTTAAAAATTCATTAGGACATATCCACTGGGGTGATGGCCCAGCATACAGCTAGTAAATAGATTATATTTGATGTTCATTCTTAACACCAGGAAGATTTAAGCAAGCTTTGAAGGCCACTAAAACGTATTTGAGACTTGGTTTTTTTCATGGAAGTTAAATCTAACGTATGAAAATTAAATAATCTGAATTGTTTTTGCCCACCAAGTTATATTCTTCTGATCAAGGAAGCTATTTTACAGCACGTGATATACAACAATGGGCAAATAAACACCACATCGAATATATATATCATATCCTTTATCTTCTGCAGAGTAGTGGAAATATTTGAAGTCATTAATTGAAATACCTGCCAAAAAAAAAAAGACTGGGGCAGATAGGTCAGTAATAAAGGATGAAAGAGCTGGTTTACTTGTTTTCAAGTTGTGCATTAAAATTAAACATGAGATAATCATGTGGTTTTGTTTTTAGTTCTGGTTTCTGTGATGAATAACATTTATTGATTCATGTTTGTTGAGCCAACCTTGCACCACAGGAATAAAGCCTACTTGATTGTGGTGTATTAGCGTTTTGATATGCTGCCAGATTCAGTTTGATCAGATTTTGTTGACTATTTTTGCATCTATGTTCATCAAGGATATTGACCAGAAGTTTTCCTTTTCAGCTGTGTCTCTGCCAGGTTTTGGCATTAGGGTGATGTTGGCCTCATAGAATGATTTAGGAAGGAGTACCTCCTCCTCAATTTTTTGGAATAGTTTCAGTAGGAATGATACCAGCTCTTCCTTTCATATCTGGTAGAATTTGCCTGTGAATCCGTCTGGTCCCGGGCTTTTGCTGGTTTGTAGGCTTTTAATTACTGATTCAATTTTGGAACTCATTTTTGCTTGGCTTGAAGATTGAATCTAAATGTCCATCAATGGTAGATTGGATTTTTAAAATGTGGTACACATTTACCATGGAATACTGTGCAGCCATAAAATATAGTGAGATAATGTCCTTTGCAGGAACAGAGATGGAGCTGGAGGCCATTAACTAAGCAAACTAACACAGGAACAGAAAACCAAATACCGTATGTTGTCACTTATAAGTGAAAGCTAAACACTGAATACATATGGATACAAAGAAGAGAACAACAGATACTTGAGGGTGGAGGATGGGAGGAGAGTGAAGATTTAACAAGCCACCTTTGACTACTATGCTTATTACCTAAGTGACAAAATAATTTGCACACCAAACCCCTCTGACATGCCATTTACCTATGTAGAAAACCTGCACATGTGCTCCCGAATCTAAAATAAAAGTAAAACATAAAATTAAAATAAAAAGTTAAACATGGGAGAAAGCAAAGATGATTTACTATTAGATAAATTTCCTAGATAGAGTGGTAGAGGTAAGAACGATTTGGGGATGAAACCAGCACTTATCTACAAATCTTTTCAAACACATCACAATTTTCTTCTTTTCTGCCTTTACCCATAATTTCTGAGTCCAGTTTAAAATGAACAGTTCTTGAAGCATCACTCATATTTAAACAGGAGTTACTGTCTATAGTTTTTAATTTAAATGAATTCAGAAGGGATTGGTGGGCCAGATGAAGGACTGGCAAATGACAGTCATGGGGAACTGTGGCCTGCTGCCTATTTTTGTAGGGCTCTGACTACAATGGTTTTTACATTTTGATATCTTTTTAAAATTAAAGTAAGAAAAATCATTTGATAATTAAAATATTCATAAAATTTATATGAAATTTACATATTTGTGTCCATAAAGTTTTATTGGAACACAACCATGTTCACTAGTTTACATATTCCCCATGGCTGTTTTTACACTATCAGGGCCAACAGAGTAGTTGCAACAGAGACCACAGAAGCTAGAATGTCCCGTCCTCTCACCTGGCCTAACCGGGCCTTCAGGTGGAAATGTTTTGTTACCAAGTAGAGGTAACAGGCCAGTAAGTTTGTACATTTCTAATCCTATCCCATGTGAATGAAAATAAACCAAGAAAGAAGCCTTAGCAAGATTCTTATTTCCAGTGAATAGGTTAACTCCATGGTCAAACCTGATATTTCTTTTTGGAGAGGAAAGTTTGGGTTAAAATAAGTGATAGATAAAAAGAAGGTGACATAATTGCCTAAATAAGAGATCTAACAAATATACTATTTAAAGGGAAAAATCAAACATAACTTTGCTTCTAGAGAGTCTTACAGCAAAAAAATAATTTTCTCTCTTACCTTTTAGTCTGATGTCTGTTACAGTGAAATACCTTGTCTCTCAAAGACCCTACTGAGAGGCGACAATGTGCTGGCAGCCCTCGCAGCCCTCGCAGCCCTCACTCGCTTTTGGTGCCTCCTCGGCCTTGGTGCCCACTCTGGTCGCTATTGAGGAGCCCTTCAGCCCGCTGCACTGTGGGAGCCCCTTTCTGGGCTGGCTGAGGCCGGAGCCGGCTCCCTCAGCTTGTGGGGAGGTATGGAGTGAGAGCCCCGGAAGGAGAGACGTGGGCGGGAACCCGGGCTGCGCCGCGGAGCTTGTGGGCCAGGAGGACTTCCGGGTGGGTGTGGTATCTGCGGGCCCGCACTTGGAATGGCCGGCCCGCGCAGCCGGCCCAGGCAGTGAGGGGCTTAGCACCCGGTCCAGCAGCTGCAGAGGGTTTTCTGGGTCCCCCAGCAGTGCCGGCAGGCCAGCGTGGAGCTTGAATTCTCGTGGGGCCTCAGCTGCCTCCCTGTGGGGCAGGGCTTGGGACCTGCAGCCAGCCATGCCTGAGCCACCCCACTGCCGTGGGCTCCTGTGCAGCCAGAGCCTCCCTGGCGAGAGCGGCCCCCTGCTCCGCAGTGCCCGTTCCCATTAACCGCCCAAGGGCTGAGGAGTGCAGGTGCAGGGCACAGGACTGGCAGGCAGCTCCCCCTGCAGCCAGGTGTGGGATCCACTAGGTCAAGGCAGCTGGGCTCCTGAGTCTAGTGGGGACTTGGCGAATCTTTATGTCTGGCTAAGGGATTGTAGATACACCAATCAGCACTGTGTGTCTAGCTCAAGGTTTGTAAATGCACCAAGCAGCCCTCTGTGTCTGGCTCCAGGTTTGTGTACGCACAAATCAGCACCCTGTATGTGGCTAATCTGGTGGGGACTTGGCGAACCTTTATGTCTAGCTAAGGGATTGTAAATACACCAATCAGCACTCTGTGTCTAGCTCCAGGTTTGTAAACGCAAGTAAAGGATGGGATGTATAGGAAGGACTTTATGGAGTACAGCTGGAGAATGCTGGAGCTCTTAGCAACAGAGGAAGCTATGGATTAGGTAAACTCTTGCATGATCATCTTACATGATCCCTGGAAGAAAATAGCATGAGTAGGACATCACAACCTGTT